>NC_000005.10:135558785-136207764 GCF_000001405.40 Homo sapiens
ATGGCATTGTTCACTTAAAGGGCTTATTCAGCAATTCCTGAAGATATTTCTATAATACCACACTGGAAAGAGTTGCTGCAGAGAGATATTTGATAACACAAAACACCCAGAAAGGGTTCTGTTATGCTCAGCAATCACTCCTAATGGAGATCTTCCTTCCACGCTAGCTTTTTATTTTACTCTATTAGGTTCAAATCCATGGCTTTAAACCTTGTTACATTATGTGATTATTTCAATTTTGAATCCATTGGGGGCTGTTATTCATAGGTACTTGTTTTTTAAAGCCTTGTTAATGATAAAGTTGATGTAATTATAAAGTTACTTATTTTTTGCAACGGGGCTTTAACCAGTTTTTCTTTTTTGCCTTTATTTATTAGACTGAGGGGTTTGACTCTAACTTAGGCAAAAACAGAATGAGTTGGCTCCTATAAACTGAGAAGGGCTGTACAAGGCAAAGCGAGATCCAGGGGCTAACCCATGCGGTCTTAATCCCGTCACTCCATTTCTCTGCTCTGATTCCTTCTGTGTGTTGGCTTTGGTCTCAGGCAGGTTTTCTTCACAGGACCTCAAAACAAACTTCTGGTTCTCTGAGTTCAAGTCTTTACGGCTTGGGACCCAAAGAGAAAACAGGCCTGTTTTTCCAGCTTCCATCTAGTAAATCTTGTGAAGTCTCTCACTGGCTTTCTTGGGTCAGGTGTCCATATCTGAGCCAATCAATGTGCTGGGGGAAGGATCCTGGGCTCTGATTGGCCAACCTGGGTCATGTGCACCCAAGTCCTGTGGCTAGCATCAGAGTGCATGGAATCATGATTTACAGCTCCCCTGGGCCTCACGGGGAAGAGAGGGATGCTGGATGAAGAGGAGGGTGAGTTACCGAGCTTCTCTGGACGTCAACGTCCTGTTCTGTGAAACGGAGATTACAGCAGTGCCCACTTCCCAGGCTGGTTGTGCAGGTTACATAAAACAATGTGCTTGTCACTCTACCTGGCATGGAGTAAGTTTCATTAACTGTTAGTTTTGAGGACAGCCACAATAGTCATACCTACTAGGGTTAAGTAAATCTGATTAATATAAAGGCATTTTACCTGGGCATGGTTGCCCTGTAGCCCTGTAGCTTTTGAAATGGGAGGAGAGTCACCAAGTGGCATTCCGAATGTCTTCCTAGAAATGTTGGAAAATCCCTAATCCTCCCTGTGCACTGTGCCTGGCACAAGGCAAGAGCCTCTTTCCCTTCTTTCATTTTTATCTTTTCCTAGTCTTCAGGCCCCTCCTGATCTCTGCCCTGTAGCTACTTTTTTACCCACCTGTAATTATCAGCAGCTACCAATTACCCAGCCACCCAACTGTGGGGAAATAAGGGTAACTGTGGGTTCCTGGGGCTCGATCACTCCCTCCCAGAGGTGCATGCCCAATCAGAGGGTAGCAGGAATGGACGAAATCCTTCCCTCGGGCACCTAAGAAGGTGACTGTTGACTGCATTTTCTACCTTTGAGAGGAGTGCCAGCCTTGAGGGTGATGTGTTGTGTTCTCAGATTCAGTGCAGGGCAGCCCACGTGACTCAGTTGCTCTCACAGTGCAGCAAGATCTAAGATCTAAAATGATCTGTCTCCTCTTCCTATTTTAACATCTCTTAAATCAAAATATGCCTTCTAATAAATGTGCGTATTGTAGGTAGTGGATTACCAGCCCTCCGCAGCCCCACGCCTACCTCCATCTTATATTAAATTGATGCTGCTTCTTACCATCAGTGGTGTCATAAAACAGAAATATAGTAATGTGCATGCTAAGGGACTGTAGGCACTCAGGGACTGTGCTAAGCATTTATGTGCATGATTAGGTTTAGTCCTTCTAACTACCCTACGAGATAGGCCCAGTTATTATCCTCATTTAACTACTAGAGAAACTGAGTCTCCAAGCGGGACTTTGACCAAAGTTGCATGGTTTGTAAATGGCCAAGCCAGGATTCAAACCTAGGCAGCGCTTTCTGATTCTAGAACTGTGCTCTTATCCGATACATTATAGTTTCTTTGTTAGTTCCGAGGGTTAGATTGTGCAGCGAGGAAGCATTCTACTTTGGTTTTTATGATCAATAACTGGGTTAAAAGGGGAAGTCCCTCTGTTCCACCTTGCCTTCCCCTCCTCAGGGCACCCACCTCAGGCGCCAAGCGGCACGCAAGTTGCAAAGGCACCACAAGATGGCGCTTTCGACCTTTCTCCTTAATGTGAGCTCTGGGCCCGGACTGCCTTTCCCTGCACTTCCTGTTAATGCACAGAGATGTGTTTAGTGGAGCTGCTGCTTGACGGTTTTCCGCAGAATTAAAGCCTTGCAGCCTGTTGGAAAAGAAACAGGCCATAGTCGCGGTTGGACGCCATGAGGGGTGTGTGCACGGAAAAGCGGTGCTGTGTGGACAGAAGAACTCTGTTCAGCACCCAGATGGTGGTTGGAAACCAGTGGTGGCGTTTGGTCATTTCACAGTAAGCCTCTTCTCCTTAGGCCGATTCCTCAGTATCAAAAGTTCTATGAGTTCACTCAAGAATCTGTTTGAAAAAGAGTGAGTTAGGAATTTCAGTGTCCCTTCAAGAGCTTTTGAGAAATCTCAAGTCAAAGGCTTCCCGAACCTTCTCCCTCCCACCACACAGCCGCCTGCACGGAGGAAGGCTGCTGTGGGGTGGGGAAGTGGGGGGCACCTTGGGGAGAGTCTACCTGCTGGGCTCAGGGAGGTACCCAGGTGTGGGAGGGACGTAGGACACCCTTCAGGTCAGCTTTCCAATGACTCGGGTGAATGAATGTCACAATTTTAGGGCTGGCATGTCCTGGGTGGGAGGGTCCCAGAACCTTCTGGTCATGTGTGGATGATAACATTTCCTAATGATTCACAGAGTTGAATATATGCTCTAAAAGAAGAACCTGGACATCAGGGCTCAGTTCCAAGAAGCATCCTCCCAGCTTGCTAGCCCCAACTGACCGCTTTCCTTGTTCTCCCTCCTCCCAGCAGTTGTAAAACACCTACTCTGTGCTAGGGACTCACAGGGGCTAGGAATTCTGAGACAAAGTCTATTCACTATTGTTAGGGATCCTACATCCTAGTTGGAGAAACACACATATCTATAACAATGCGGTTTAATGTGTTAATGCTGAGGTGTGGTAAAATAGTGAGGCTCAGACAGGCCTGGGTTGAAATCCTGGCATGGCTCTCTGGTAGCTGGGTATCTTTATGCAAGTGATTGAATCTCCATCAGACTCAGTTTTCTTACGTATAAGACAAGGACGGAAGTATAGATGTCAAAAGGTTGATGTGAAGATTGAATGAGAACTTGGGTAAGGCACCTTGTCCCAAGCTTAACCCAGGGAGATGCACAAGTTTCATTGATCTCCTTACCCTCTAAGAGATTTGCAAACATTTTCAGTACACTGGGTGATAGAATGTGAATTCCAAATACTTCCCAAAGGTTGAAGTGACAGGAAAAAAACTGGTAAGATTAATTGGGGCATATGTAAAGTGGTAGGGCTAGCTTCAAAGGATCAATTACCCCAGCGTAAGATTGGAGTGGAGATACGTGTGGCATGAAACTCTGCTCTTGTGTGATGAGGCCTTGGGGACCTATTAAATGCTTGCTTAATGGATGTGACTTGGTGGCTGAGAACATTAGCAGACTTAGATGGGGTTAATAAAAGTACTGTGTCCAGGACAAAGAAAATGAGCCACAGCCACACAGCAGGTGGTTTGGGAGGGTGACCTGGAAGGCAGGGGCCTGGACACCATCACCTAGAATGGCTGAGAGGACAGCAGGGTTAGCTCAGGAGAAGGTCAGGTATGTCCCAGCATGGCCTCTGCCTTCTGAACATGTCAAGGGCTGGTACCTGAAATAGGCATTGTGCTACCTCTGTGTAGCTCTGAGGATGGAACTCAGGAAGCATCTTTTAGTGTCCTGATTTAATCCTAACACTTTTTAGCATGTGGACTTTTCCAATCATAGAGTGAGCTGCTTTTTGAGCTGTGAGGCTCCTGTTACTGGAGATATCCAAGCCACCTCTGGATGCCCTACCTGGGATTGTCTAAGGCAGGAATTACTCACACAGGGTCCAAGGAGCCATAAGGATGACATCAGGGAAGTCTAAGAATCTCCTGAAATGGTTTGCAAAATATACTGGGCATTTTTTTTTTTCAGGGAAAAGGAATCATAGCATTCATCAGCTTTTCAAGGGGGCCCAGAGTTCAAAAGCAGTTAAAAAATTTACAGCTTCAAAGAAATTTTTCTAGTGGATATAAGGTGGGACTAGATTCTAAGGTATTTCTTCCCCCAGGTTTAAGATTCCTTGGACTGTTAAATACATTTTTTAAGAAACACAAATTTATTATTATTAACTATTATTCACTGTGTGCTTATTATATGCTACACAAAGTGCTAGATATTCTATTTGAATGGTCTCATTTAGTGTCTCAAGAAATTCTTTGAAATTAAGCACTATTATTATTCTTATTTTGGAGGTGATGAAACAGGCATGGAAGTTTGCCCAAGGTCACAGAAGGTTTCAGATTCCTCTCTTGGTAGATACGTTCTTCAAGTTTGGCCTTTTTATGCCTTATAAATGTAATGTTGGCCGGGCACGGTGGCTCAAGCCTGTATGCCAGCACTTTGGGAGGCTGAGGCGGGTGGATCGCTTGAGGTCAGGAGTTCTAGACCAGCCTGGCCATCATGGCGAAACCCCATCTCAACTAAAAATACAAAAATTAGCTGGGTGTGGTGGCATGCACCTGTAATCCCAGCTACTTTGGAGGCTGAGGCAGGAGAATCACTTGAACCTGAGAGGCGGAGGTTGCAGTGAGCTGAGATTGCACCATTGCCCTCCAGCCTGGGTGACAGAGCAAGACTTTGTCTCAGGAAAAAAAAAACACAAACGTAAAGTTAATCCAGGTTGGTTAATCCAGATTTTATAGGATATAAAACTAAAGTTTCTCTTGGACATTTTAAAGGCAGATGATAATAATAATAATAGTAATAATAATAATAACAACTACCATTTATTTACTGCCTACTTTCTGTGTTGAGACATTTATCTCATTTAATACTATAGTTGTAAAGTTGGGACTGGGAGAAATTATTTTATCCACGGGCCCCTAGACTTTGAAGGAGAGGGTTGAGGACAGCTCTGCAGACAGCTGGGGGTGGACATTGGGCTGGGGGTCTGCGCCCCTTTGTGTATCTGTTCCCATGAGAAGCCATTGGAATAGATTTCCAGGGAAGTGCAGAAAACCCCTAGCATCTGGAGTGGGTGGGCATCCAGGTAAGACAGTGGCAACTGGACATTTCCTAAAGTCCCAAGAACGATGCTCTGGCCCTGGGCTAAACACAGAGAGGAAAATTGAGGCGGTAAACCTGAAGGGTTCAGGGGCCACCCCAGAGCTGCCTGGCTCCAGGTGGCTCAGAGAGGCTGTGACACCAGCAGGGACCCCATGGCTGCATCTTAGGTCTGTGCCCTCTCTTTCACCCCAGCTCCTTCAGGCTCAGGGAAAGGAGCAAGTGAGTAGCCTTCTGGTGGGCTAACACTCCAGAGTTAGGGAGTCCTCGGCAAGGTGGGGAGGGAGCTGCGCCTTTGGGTCTGGAAGGATCCCCCAACCTTCTTGGCATGCTTCAGCCTTCTACAGCCTCCTTGAATTGGAATAGGATGTCAAAGGCCCATATCGCATTACCACTCCTCTGAAGTAGCTAATCCCTCACTTAAAGCACATGCCAACCACATTGTCAAGGAAAAGTTTGCCTCAGTCCTCTTGGAAGTGCAGCTGCCTGGCTGACTTTTATTTTCTTGAAACCAGAACCTGATGCTTAAATCGTCTGGGGAATCTCATATGGGCAGACACATGGAGAGAGGGACAGTGTTTTTTATTTAGTTCTTCATTCAACAGATGAGTCTCCAAAATACCTGGTGCCTCCCAGCGAACAATCTGACAACATCAGATCCAGGCTGCAGGGAAGGCAGGCCAGGCTGGAACAGGGGATTTTAGGGTACTCTATGGGGTTAAAGAGTTACCATAACTTCTAAAGGGCCCAAACTCACTTACGAGTTGGTGATCCAAGCGGAGAGGTTGACTGATCATTCCTTAGCCGTCATATATACTTTTCTGCTAGGCCCTGTCAGTGGGGTGATTATACAGTATATCAGCCATACTCGGACTCTTTTGAGAGTGAAAGGGAACATTCTTCATAATTGCATTGGGTCAATTACCATAAACCAGGACTGTCTCAGGCCAACCAGAATATGTGGTCATCCAACCTAGGAGTGTCCAAAACTTTTAACACTGCCCAGGACAATTTAGCTTCTCTAAACCTTAAGTTCTTCATCTGCAAAACAGGACTTATAGTGGAGTTTGGTGAGAAAGAAAGTGCGGTTGTTGCTATTGTGTTGGTTAAACTTTGCTCCCCTCAAAATATGTGGAATCAGCAGGATTGGTACCCTAGTAGCTATAAATGAATTGAAGGGTATGCTTTGTCTCGTACTTTTCTTGGCTTATGACATTTTTTTTGGCTGTACCGATGTGAATACCTAACTCCAGTCTATCTTTGCAGGCCATTATTTCAGGGGAAAAAAGCCTTTGTGATTTAGAAATGATTCTTGTGTGAGCACTGCCTTTAAATAACAATGGGTTGAAAGAAAGAGCTTGTTGCTTCATCATCCCCGTTGCTCTGGGGGAAAAACTTTGAATATTAGATCAGAGTCTCATCTGCATCTAATTAGACATGCCTACCACTCATCCCGGAATATCAACTCTGTCCTCATTGTGAAATGGGGCAGATTATTTGAAATCCAGCTTTGAATTGATTTTTTACCCAACAGAAGATCATTTTGCTTCTAACCAAAGCGTTGAGTTGAACTTGACGACATCATGGTCATTTTGCGTCTTCAGTGTATTTGGTGTTGGGGGAAAACCAACCCTGCTGCTCCTCTACTGAAGTGGAATTTGTGTCTACCAAATGAGAGCTGGAGCAGCCGTTTCACAGCTCCGGGGCTCCCTTTCTGGATCGGGGGGAGAGGCTCTAGAGGAGCATGTGATTTCTGCAGATGTCTGCCTGTAGGAGACAGAACTAGACACCAGCAAAACAAACCTGGCTGAGGCTGGTTGTTCGTGTGGCCCAGGTTAACTGGGTGATTAATCTCCATTTGATAAACAGGGGGTCAGCCCTGAGCCGGAGCATGAGAGCACAGTGGAGCATCCTGTGGGCTGGGGTGGACAGGAACTGTAAGACACTGTGTACTTCAGAGAGCAGACAGTCTCCTTGCAGCCCGACACACGTGGGTTTGAATCCTGTCTCTTCCACCTGCTAGCTGTGTGAACACGAGTGATGTGTTCACCTCACTGAGCCTTGTTTTCCTCATCTGTAAAATGGAGCTTCAATAGAACACCCCCGTTGTGGTCGTTACCAGGATTCAATGAGATAGGGTATGTAAGGCCCTCCACACAGGGTCTGGCTCACAGTAGGTAATAATTACACTAGTCCTTGTCGCTGTCCTCATGCAGCCTCGGGGAACTTGGAAAGCTCTTGGCTGAGACACCCGGACTCTTGGCTGCCCTCTGGTGGTGAGGCTCAGCGCGGACCTGCGTGGAGGAAGCTGGGAAATGTTACTTTGAAAGCAAGAAAATAGCTTAGGGTTTTAGTGCTTTCTTGAAGACCTCCAAGAATATCCATGTAACTTTTCAAAAACAGGAGGAGAAGAAAACACCCCAGGGGCTCTAAAAAGCAGCACGGTGTCTTCCTTGTGTGGAGGTTGAGCAGGAAGGGTTGTGTGGGCTTCTTTGCCTTTGAGGTTCCGGAGGCCCCCATCACGGTGTCCTGGCAGGACAGGCAGAGAGAAGGGAGCTGGGCGAGAGGGGAGTGGGGACTGAGGCTGGGGCTGGGCTCTGTGGACATGCATCTGGGGCATGGCCGATGCTCCCGGGCCTCCTCTAAATCCCCCAGTGTTCTCTACTTCTCTGCCCCTGGTGCTCTGCCGCAGCTAGCCCATCTCATCGCACATGGGCGTGGCGGCCACGGGCCATGTGAGAGCCAGGATGGAATCAGCACCTTTTTTTTTTTTTTCTTGCCTGATAATGACTTGCAATCTGCCATGAGCCTTCCCAGGACTGACAGATGTCTTGATCAGTCTCCTCCTCTGACCCTGGGTGAGACACCCGCTCTTTGGGGCTGCCCCAGAGTCTGCCGTGAGTCCGTCTGGCAGTCAGACCAACAGGCAATTTCAGGCAGCTTCTTTGCCTCCCTGTAGACTGAGTTTCTGGAGGGGCCATCTCCAGCATCCAGCACAGAGCAGATGTTTAATCATGCAACAGTAGCTGGGTGAATGAATGGTTGAACTCTGTCCTTGAGGATAAAGGAGCACAGCCAGTCATACCTCTGTTCCCCATGGTGCCCAGCAGAGTTTTGCACATAGCAGTAGCTCAGGAATGCGTGAAGAAAGCATGTTCTCAGGGATCTCCCTATGATCCTAATATTAATTCAACTGTGTTTGAATACCTCGTAAGTGCTATCATAGATTCTGGGAGGTTTTTACAAAGCAGCATATGACACAGCTCCTGGTTTCTAAGAAGGGCTTCTTCTTAGATGCTCAGGTTCAAATAAAACTGTTAAACTGTAGTGCAGATTATGTAATAATTCAGGACCAAAATGAGTCACCTATATGGATATTAGAGTTGATACTGGAGGCAGGGTTGGCCCCATGGGTTTGTGACATGTGAGTTGCACAGAGCATGTCTGGAAAGGGCCCCATGCTTGGTTTAATGCCCTGCTGTTGCCGTCTAGAAATTCTTAATAATTTTTGAACGGGAGGCCTGCATCTTTTTTTTTTTTTTTTTTTTTTGCACCTAGGCCTGCAAATTATGTAGTCAGTCCAGGATGACCAGGAGAAGCTCTGAGTGGAGTAGATCTGAGAGCGGTCAGGTGAGGTGGAGGAGTTGAACTGCAGGGCTAGGCTGGAGCTCTCTGAGGACATGGCCATGCTGGTGTCAGCCCACTACAGCACCAGGGCCTGCTCAGGACGAGCCTATGGGAAGTCAGGGCAATGGCATTTGGAATCAAAACAAGCCTAACTGTGAGGATGCAGTGGCTCCAGTGGAGGTGGGGCCTGTATGTGGGCCGGGTCTGCCCTGTGTGCAGAGGAGAAGCTTGCTCTTATCCAGGGAAGCCCATGAGAGCCACCAGTGCAGAGCCCGCTCTGAAAGGCCACCTGGCCTTGCTTTGCTGCACTGGGATTACTCTCTTTCCTGGAAGCTGGCAAGTGGACACTTCATAGGGATACTGGGAGGCCCAGAGAAGAGGTACAGGAAACAGGTCTGTAGCCGGGGAGAGAAGATTCTTCCCTGGAGCCTCGCACAGTTCTAGGCGCCTGTGGGTCCTCATTTGGTGTTTGGTGAAGTGTTTGGGCTCAGAGTCTATTCTTAGTGGTCAGGTTAATCCCTGTCTGCGGGAGGAAAGGGCCCAAGCTCTCCCTGGAAGCATAGCCCAGCCTCTGTTGTCCTGGGACCCCATCTCTGTAGGGAATGGAGATATTTACATGCAGACTCTCCACCGTTTCTGCGCTTTGACCAGCTGAGGCTTGACTTCCAGGACTTCCTCTACTGTCCTAAGCAAAGTGCTTCACTTCTCTGGGCACCTGCCACATAGCGCATTGTGGGAGTGCAGACAGAGCATGTGGGGCCAGTGCTTGGGTGAGTGCCCGGATCAGTGGCTGGACCAGTGTGAGGTGACACTGTTGCTGTTATTAATGATCCAATCTGTAACTTGGGATGTCAGAGAAGGGAGGGACCATCGGGGCCAGCAGAGTTAGAGGAGGGTGGCCTAGCACTAGAGCCACAGGCAGGACGAGGAGAGCCCCAGCAAAGACAGGGAGTGTGTATGGCTTGTTTACAAGCGGCACCCCACGGCCTGTGCTGTCTTGGAGCAGCTTTTGCTCTCGGTGGCCGGGGCTCTTCAGCCAGCTTTGTACACTGCCCTTCCCTCCTGAGGCTCCACTGGTGCTGCTCTGAGGCCAGGCAGGGTTCAGGGCTCCCAGCAAGAGGCTTGGCCTCTGCTCTGCCCTGCCCTGCCCTGGTATGCACTGTCTTCTGGGGCTCTTGCATTCTGTTCTGTCTGTTGGTCTTGGGGTTTCCCTGTCTAGTCTACCTTCTTTCTCCATAATGAAGGGAAAGGCAGGGCTGCTGCAGGGCATTCATGGTCACCAGCTCACTGTGGCCTCAGCTTGCCCCTCCTCCACCCCTCAGCAGAAAGGCTGCCAGGCCCAGCCATTGGAGGGTGTGATGAGTGGTAGCTGTGTGACTCTGGGCAACTTTCTCAACCTCTCTGATCTTCAGCTTCCTCAGGAATACATGTGGTGTAATCTGAAGCCGCCAGGAGGAAATAAGATGGTGATAAAAGCGTTTGTGGTAGCATCTTGCCGGGGACATGCTGAGACAGGGTACTTGCTGGGTGTCCTCGTAAGTGTGTGCAGAACCAGTGTTTCAGGAAGCTTCCGGGGAGGTGAAGGGGACATGGGTGACTGGCTTCCAGTTGCTAGTGTAGCAGACAGGGTGGAGTCCTTCTGGGTGTGGAGAACCCAGGGAAGGCAGAGAGGCCTGTTTCAGGGCCTGGCTGACTTTAGGATACGGTGAGATGCAGGGCTGTGGGTAGTTGGTACAAAGTGCAAAGTGGCTGGTCTGGTGTTGTGCTTATTAAAATAGCTTCTGGCTGGGCATGGTGGCTCATGCCTGTAATCCCAGCACTTTGGGAGGCTGAGGTGGGAGGAGGATCACTTGAGTCCAGGAGTTTGAGACTGTCCTGGGCAACATAGAGAGATCCCATCTTGCCAGGCATGGTGGTATGTGCCTGTAGTCCCAGCTACTTGGGAGGCTGAGGCAGGAGGATCCCTTGAGGTCAGGAGTTCAAGGCTGCAGTGAACTATGATCGTGCCACTGCACTCCAGCCTGGGTGACAGAGCAAGACCCTGTCTCAGGAAAAAAATAAAAATAAAAAAATAAAAAAAGGGCTTCCATTACCACGTGCTCACCATGCCCTGGTATCCTGCTAAGTGCTTTACATGGGCCTACGACATGCAGTCCCTAGAAGCACAATGAGGTGTGCCCTACTGTCCACCTGTCCACCTGGCAGGAGCAGGAACAGCTCCAGTATCTCCCAGGCGTGGCTCCCACGCCTCCAGAGTCCAGAGTCTGCCCAGCTCCAGAGTCCCACAGCCTCCCAGGTGGGCATTTCCCACCTCCCCGAGTCCCCCTGGCATCTTGGGGCCCTGGACCCCAGGGTATCTTGACTGGCCCCATCTACTATCTTCTCTAAGTGGGAGAATATGAGTGATGTGCTCACCTCTTTAAGCCTTGGTTTCCTCATCTGTAAAATGGAGCTTCAATAGAACCACCCCCGTTGTGGTTGTTACCAGGATTCAAAGAGATAGGGCATGTAAGGCTCCCCGCACAGGGTCTGGCTCACAGTAGGCAATAATTACACCAGTCCTCTATTGTTGCCGTCCTTATGCAGCCCCAGGGAACTTGGAGAGCCCTTGGCTGAGGCATCCAGCCTCTTTGCTGCCCTCTGGTGCTGAGGCTCAGTGTGGTCTTGCGTGGAGGAGGCTGGGATCGTGACCCTCTAGTTCCCTGTGCTCCAACCTGCCTGCTCTGATACACCTGCTGCAGGGGTAGGAATCGTCGGGGAAGGAGCCTTAGCCTCAAGGCCTGGCTTCTTGGCTTCCTGACTGTAATGACAGCTCCACACGTTCCACAGAGGTGATGGTGTTGACAGGTATTTGGGAAATACCAGTTTTCTTTCCCAGCATATTTGTCCTTATTTTTTCAGGACATGGTAAACATTTTATTGTCATCCTAGCTTAATTAAATAGAAAAAAGGTGGCAGTCTAGAATTTTGGTACATTTCAAATATATTTTATTACTTTCCATCTTAGAAAGAATATGAAACCTGCATGCAATGCTAATGGTTTCTGACATGTACATAGCATATAACACAGCAGTACAATGCGGCATATACTGGGGGGCAGTGTGTGGAGGGGGCGTTCTTAAGGGTATATGTACAGAGGAAAGGGCGCATGGTCATCTTAGCTTTCGAAAGAGGACTGCACTGTTTAACATTGAAGAATTACATGGGGAATCACAAATATATTGCTTTAGTACTGCATGTTCTGTTGTGGTGAGGGAAAGAAACATGCTTTGAAGGTTTTCCCTTGTCAACAGAATGTGTGTCTGTAGCTGTGTATTGCGCATGTATTCATATATTTTTAAGTTTTCTCCTAAGGTTTTTGCTGACAGTGTTGGGAACCTCACATGCTTCTGAAGCATTAAATATTGAACCTGTGAACCTTTCAGAAATCCTCAGGTTGGGAAAGACCCCACACCTTCTTTAAGGATCATTTGTCTCGCCATCACAGGATCTTGGAAATGTTTCCTAGGGTGTGTAAAAATTAACCAGGGGGGAATGAAGCACATTTTTCTGGCAACCAAACTTGAGTTCCTCAGAGAACAGATGCAGAGAGACCTGCTCCTGCTTGCCCGGCTACAGGGGCCACTGTGGAGTCACACTGAGGCTGTGACCGGCCATAAGCCCAGGAGAGCCCGTGGCAGCTGTGCCGAGGCGCCAGGACCTCTAAGCGGAAGCTTCCCAAGCTAGGAATGGAGCAACACTGCAATGAAATGTGTCCACCAAGCTCATTGTTCCTCCCGGGCGCTTATAAAGCTCAGATGTATAGTGACGTATGGACAAATACAAAAAAGCATTTTTTAAAAAGGAAAGGCATGAGTTTTCCCCTTTTTGATAAAAAGCAGCCTGTGATGAAGTCTGGAGCACAAGAGAGATGGGTCTCCCATCTGGAAGCCTTTCGCACGCAGCTATAAAATGTAAAAACTGACCGTTGGTAAAAAGTGCTTCATAACAATATATAATTTGTGTCTTATGCCTGTGAGAAAGAAAGGCTTTTTTTTTTTTTTTTTTTTTTTTTTTTTTTTTTTTTTTTTTTAATCTGCAAAGTCCTTTGCACAAGTCTCCCAACTGGTTTGGAGTTTTCCCTTCTGAGGTTTTTCACCCTATTCTTCGTAGACCCTGGGGAGAAAAAACACATGTGTAAGTGGCTCAGGACATGAGGCAGGCCGTTCACAAGATGCTGGCTAAGCGGCTTCATTCACGTCTGGTCTGCAGGGAATGCCCCTGTCCCAGAACTGCAGGAACCCCCAGGAGAAGTGGGAGGGATCCTTCTGAGGATGTGGTCCCGGGGACCATGAAAACTCACACCAGTGTGGCTTTGTCTTTTCTAACCATCTGCAATCTCACTTCTGCAATCTCATTTTGTCCTCAGAGGCCTATGGAACAAACCCGCTTTGCATATGAGGAAACTGAGGCACCACAGACTTAAGATTTGCCCAGTGGCCACCGACTGTTAGTGGCAGGAATGTAGTCTTTCTCTAGCATGGCGGGCTGCTCCCACACCTCCTTGTTTCTTTCCGCGTCTGTACTCAGCCTCTCTATTTAGAGAAAATAGCAAGGGTGGGAGGCATTCCCTTACTTGACTTAGGCTTGTATATTTCTTTGTATTTTGCCCAAATAATGCATGTCCTCCAGAAGAATGCTAGCTCTAGAAGCTGCTTCCTGGAGACAGAAGAGGTGGTTGGTGGGGTGGGGCAGTGGTGCAGGAGGCCTGTGCCCCTCAGTCCCTGCTCCTGGCTGCATTGCCTCATCTCTACTCGTTCCCAGCCCCACCTTCCCCTCACCTCTCAAGCTGTGCCCAGTTAGATATTTTGCTTTCTTCTAGTTCTGCCCCATGGCTGCCCTGGGGCCATACGTTACACTTAGCCTATCACTTTTCTGTCTCGTTCTTGATTTCTGAGTAAGACCACTGAATTATCCATTGAAATAAAATGCCTGACTAGGCTGCTTCCTGTGGTGGCCAGAAGCTCCCTGGAAGCTCTGGTCTCTGAAGTGCACAGAGCTCCTCTGTGTGGCCCCCATGGGCCTGAGCCCACCGTATACCCTTCTACTTCCTCCAACCTAGCTTTGGCATTCTCTTTCTCTCTCTCTCTGTACAAAGAGGACTTCAAACACTTCCTTTATCACTGTTCTATGTTCATTAAGATATTTTCAACTTGTTTCAGGGGAGGGAGGTGGGGAGGGCAGGGACCTCAACACTCTAAGAAAGAGGGGTGAACTAATTTTATAGCAAAGTGAGAGAAGGCCTGGTAGTGAGAGGCTCTCGTTGCTTTTGTTATTGGAATTTTCAGGAAAAAAAAAAGCAGGGCCATGTTTAGACCTGTGGGTGCCTCCTTTTCCAGGCTGCAGCTCAGGTGGAGGGGAGAAGCAAGGTGAGCTAAAGGTTTGAGTATCCCCCAGCAATCAGATCAAGATGCCCTCAGCCTCTTCCATAACCTGCCCATGGGATTAGCCTTCTGCCAGTTTTGATGACACAGGGCCTGGAGGGTGACAGAGTGTGGACTGCGCAGTTCTGGCCTTTGCCACATGAGCTGCCTGGCTTGACCAGAAAGAGGGCTTCATTCCCAGCAGATTTATAGAAAATAATTTATTGCTCTCATCACTTTCTATTTCAAGCAACTGCAGATGAGGCTGTTTTGGAGGCAGCAAAAAAGGCTCAGGTATAGGGGTTGAGCCCGAGTGTCAGCTCTGGGAGAGCTGGTCACAGGGCTGAGCTTGGGGTAGCATGGCTGGGCCAGGTGAGGGGAGGGCAATGCAGGCACCCACTATGGCTGTACCTTCCACCCTGTGAGGGCAGCTGGTGGGGTAGCACCAGGAGGCCTGGTTTGCTGTCCTGGCTTTGCCCTGTGCTCCCAGGCAAGTCACCCCTCTCTTCCATTTAGCCTTGATATCCCCCTCTGCAGCAGGGGTGCTGGCACTAGTTCCTGGGGAAGTCACCTGCATGGTGTGTGCATGCATGCGTGTGTGTGTGTGTGTGTGTGTGTGTGTGTGTGCTTCCTGATCATGCTATGCAGGCAAATGTGTAAACAGACTCTGCGTATCTGAGGAGTGAGACAGGACAGGCTACCTTCGCATGGTACAGGGGAGCTAGGAACTGGATTCTCCCTCCGAGGACAGACATAAGACCCCAGGAAACCAGAGATGGGAAGCCACCTTCTGATTTTAAGGAAACAGTGCCCAGTAAGTACAGGGCTGGTTCAGGGTGCTGGTGGTCTTAACACTGCTGCCCGCCTTGGTTAACAGTGGCTCTGATTTTAAAGAGCCAAACCTGTGGTGCCTTCCAGCACCTGCGAAGGAAGGAGTTTATCAGGTTTCTGGGCAGCAGAGGGAGTGGGGCACCTTGGAGAAGAAAACATGTTTCTGGCAAGGATCATCCTCAGCACCTCATGGTTTTATAGCGCAGTTTTATAGCCAACATACACAGTCACCTAAGTGGTCACATTTCACCCCACTGAAGTCCTCAGAGCTCCCCTGGCAGCCATGCCAGTGCTCACTCTGCCATTTAACAACTTACGTAACTGAAATAAAAAGAGGAATTAAGATTATAATGCAAATATTAGAGTGAGACAGACTTTAGTTTACAAAATGACAAACCTGCCATGCTTGCAAATGGACAAGAGATGGATAGCTAGCTTTGGTAAGTGGTGAGTTCCTTGTCCCTGGGGGTATGTAAGCATTGTCTGAGTATCTGTTTGCTGTGGATGTTGTGGTGGGTGTTCACATATTAGATGGGGCTAGATGACCTGGTGGGGGGGTCCCTTCCCATCCTGAGAGCCACAGCTGGGTCTGGTGGGAAGGAAGGTGAGTAGAGGCGGGGCGTACCTGCGCTTCTCGTTCCAGGCGTTGTACCACTTGATGAAGCGCTTGGTGCTCTGCAGCTTGGGGTGCAGGCAGTGCTCCTGACCTCGGTACCTGGACACGCTCTTGGTGGTGATGCTGAAACGGAGCAGGATGAGGTGGAGGGTTGAGGAGCCTGAATAACATGTTGCCTCTTGTGTGGCCTGTGAGTAGCCCTGGGCTAAGTCAGGGCCCTGAGAGACTGTGGCTTCCTGCCTCCTCTCAAGGGAGCCGACTTGTGTGCTCACTTCCAAGCTGGCTCTTTGGAAGGTTCTGGTTGTCCCCTTATTCTCTGACTCCATGTTAGGGCCTAACCCTGTATGTAGTGAGCAGCCCTCACTTTTCCCCTGGGAGTCCTGAGAGTCTGGGATGGTCTCTCCCACCCCCAACCTCATGCAGTGTGTTGTCTCCAGGGCTCAGGCCTCTTTTGGGGAACAAAGGTCAGAGGACTCCCAGCCTCTCTGAGCCTGGGATCAGGAGGTGGAGAAAGCTAATGCCAGCAAGGTGCACATGCCAAAACCTCTGTCCTTGGATTTGAGGAGCTCATGGCAAGGCTCAGACATGCCCCGCAGACACTCTGATTTCTGTCTCCTCAACCCCAGTTCCCTCTGACCCACCACAGATTGTCCCAGGGCTGGGCATCTCCTGATCCTGAGGCAAAGTCTTGTTGGCCTTGTGGGAGGTCCCAGGTATCTCACCCCTAAGCAGAAGAGTAAGACCTCTCTTCTGCACAGCCTGAAGATCTCAGGCCTCTATCAGCCAATGTCCCAACACCCAGCAGAAGCCTAGCCATGTGGTAGAGAAGCAGGTGTTGTGCAGACTGTAAGGGCCTGGGACTGAATCTCAAATTTGGCTGTGGGACCTTGGGTAACCTCTCTGAATCCAGTTTGGCCATCTGTAAAATGGGTATAATAATAGGACTATCTCACAGGGTTATTGGGATGATTAAAAGATACAATCTTTAGAAAGTACCCAGGACCTGGTAGATGCACAATTAACAGTTACTGTTACTAGTCATTGGTCATGGAAGATGAAGTGGCCAAGGGGAAAGAGTAGCCTTGCTGTGGGGGCTCCAGCCTGGAGGGCGAGGCAAGCCTGCTGCTCAGAACTTCTGAGCACCTCTAGGCCACAGGCATGACAGGAGTTGTGGGGAATAAGAGACCACCTAGGGTATTTGGAAAAGTGCAAGGTGAGAGGTGAGGATGCCACTTCTTGAGGGGTCACAGCCATGCAAGCCATGATGGTAGACTGGGGTGCTGGAATGGGCTTGGAGGGCAAAGGGGGAGACTGGAAGTGAGAGTGGAAAGAGTGAGAAGAGAGGGACAGAGGTCAGCTAGTTCCCCACTGTTAACCAAATGGAAAATGTCATGGCTTATATGGGCTAAGTTCTAGAAGGGACAGGATTCCCATTACTTCAGTCTCCCAGTTGATGGGGAAAGAAAATCGGATCTTGCCACCAGAATGGGGGCATAATGTTCCTAGGCAACCTGTTCTCTTCCCTTCTCCGTGCTCTGGGTTTCTGGGGTCCCTGCTAGGGCCTAAGCTCCTTGGGGCAGGGGCGGGTCTTCCTGCTGATGCCAGGTGATGGTGCCTGCCTTGACTGGACTCCTCTGTGACTCCGGGTCATTCCTCTAGCCTTGAGCACAGGCCAGGCTTCAGAGTGAACTCTGGTTGTCTCTCTCCCCCACTGTGCCCAGTCACCCTGCAGGAATTTAGCAAATGCTTTTCTCTTTCTGCCTACAAGGCTGCTTTAGCATTCTGAAGGAAAGGACGTGGTAATGCCTGATAAAAACCCTTTCTCAGTTAGGTCAGTGTGCAGGCTGTGCATCCCAAATCCTGAAGGTCAGGGAGAGCAGGAAGGGAGAGCAGGAAGGGTCACTCAGCCCTCTCACTACAGTGCTCAAATGCCACGTCATAATACTGGGATTATGAAAATCGGTTGTGGAGTGCAGACATAGGGATTTGTGACTCCAGCAACTATCAGAAATTCTGAGTCCTGTGACCCTCTCCTCCACAGTTCTGGCGGTGGGGGTAAGGGTTTTGGTGAGAGCTCCATGGACCTATGACACAAATTGCTCTTTCTAGAATTCGGACTCTCCTGGATCCTTCTGGGTGCAAGGACTCCCACTTGCAAAGCGGACCTCTCCCCCCGCCCCTACTCCTGCCCCCACCCCCAGCCTCAGCAGAGATTTCTGGGTGACTCAGGGTAAGCTGGAAAATTTGCTTTTGTTCAGCCTTTGTGGCTGAAAACCTGCTTTGCAAAAGTGCTGGCCCCTCATCTGATTTGGAGAGTTTTAGGATTGTGGAGGGGGAGAGGAGCCCCCAGCCCTCAGGGATGGAGTGGGAGGCCCTAGGGGGTGGGTTAGAGGTTTAGTAGAGGGTGATTGGATTGTGTGCTGATCTCCTGAGGCCCCTGCACGTTTCTACAAGGCTCCGTAAAGCCTTTCTCACACTTGCCTAGCTATAGTTTTTCTCTATATGTGGAAAAGTTTAGCCAGGAAAAGAGCAAGCCTATTTACTGAGGGCTCTGTCCTTTTTAGGTATCACTGCATCCTTTACCCTGCTTTCTTCCCCTGCAAGGTCTCAGAAACTTGTTTGGTTAATAGAGTGGTTTTCAGCTCTTAGACGAGTGAGATTTAACTTGGAATTCCCCTGTCATTCTTAGCCCCCAAACTGGAAGCCCTGAGGAGCTTGGAGCTCCTTTCCCAGCTCATTTGACACTTGGCCCCCACCCAAAAGGATTTTTGGGTATTTTCTTTGAATTTGGTCTGCAAGGCAAGGGGTAGGGACAAGCAAGTTAATTTAGGTGTCTGTGAAGGAAGGCAGTGGGGTCAGCTCAGTTCCAGTGGATTTCTGAATTCCCCTAATTTCAGCCTGACAGTGTAGCCCCTAGACGGGGATGGGGGGTGCTGGGTAGGGGTGTGCACTGCTTTCGCAGACACTGTGAAGGCCTTTGCGCCGGTGGGGGCCAGCTGGTGGAGGGCACTTGCCCAGACTGAGAATAAAGTGCGTCCTGTTTCTGGGGGAGGGGAAGAGGGGCCAATGGTCTGTGGCAAATATTTGGTAGCCGCTTTGCCAAGGGCTCCCTTCCTGGCCAAGAGCATATTGATGAGGAGGCAGCGGTGCTGGCCTCAAGTGGTTAATTGGGAAGGCGGAGGAGCAAGAAACTAAGTGTTCTCTCACTCTGCCCCAGTTTTTCCAACATTCCCCACATCCCCACCAAGCAGGGCTCCAGCCATGTGGCACATTAACCCCAGCAGAGCACTTTCTGCAGTACTGCTCCGTATTGGGGACCCACAAGGAGTACAGTCGGTGAGGGAAGCTCGTGGAGCGTTCTCAAAATAAAATCTCTAGGAGCCAAAAACTTGCGGTCCACTTGTCTCTGACTGGAACAAGGCTCTGAAGGAGACTCAGGATTTAAGATAGTGTTTGCATTAGTCCTCTATCCAGTGACAGGAAGGCAGCACGCCTCACAGTTTGGGTGTGAGTGTGTTTTAAGTGATTTCAGTCTAGGTTTTCTGAGTTGGCACAAGGGAACCCTTTAACCCTTGATGGCCCTAGCAGAGTGGGTGGCCCATGGTACAAATAGGGAGACTGCTCATTTGAATCCTAGCAAGGGTGAACTTGGAGGCGCTGTTCCGGAGCGGGACAGTGACCCCCCTTCCCGACTGTCTTCCAGAGTGTCTCGCCAGCGTCCTAAGGACTCTCTGGGCAATTACAAAGGCTTTTCCAGGGCCTTGACAAAGTCGGAGAGAAATGTTTGTTAGCCCGACCCAGGCCCAGGCTGTGCCCTGGCATTGGGTTGACAGCAGTGCGCACCCCCTCAAGGTGAGGAGCGAGAACTCACATAACCATCTTCTCCTCGCAGTGCGGGTACTTTGGCTTCATTTCCAGCTTCTTCACGTCGCTGTAGCGGATCTTGGGTCCCTTCCGGGAGCACTTGCATTTGGACCCTGCGAGCGAGCGCGGGGCAACGGCTTAGTTGCTAGGCGGTCTCCTGCCCCTCGACCACCTTGGTGCCCACCCAGACCACCCCCCGCGGGATCCCAGGATGCCTAGAAATTGGCGCTTGGGTTCCCCAGGACAGGACAAGACGAGACGGCGACAAGGGGAGCTCCCCGCACTCACCGTCCACACGCGCGGTGTACAGCGCCAGCAGCAGCAGGAGCAGCGCGGCCGCCAGGAGCCTCATGCTGACCGGAGGGGCGCGGCGTGGGAGCAGGGACATGGGGAGGGCGCTGGCCCGTCGGAGCGGCGGCCCGGAGACGCCACCCAGCTCTGCTCGGCTTTCTCTGCCCGGGGCGCGCCTTCCGGCTCTGCTGGCTCCGGCTGCGCCGTCGGTGGATGCCCAGGGCTGTCTGTGGCCGTGCGCTGCGCTCTGCGCTTGTCTCCGCGCTCTCTCCACAGCCTCCCTCCGCCCGCCCTGGCCTCTTTTAAATCCGCTCCTGCCCTCGCAGCGAGCGAGCTCATTAATATGCAGAACCACTCGGTGACTCACTGAGATTTCTCAATGTGGTGAGGGGAGGAGACCTTCCCAGCCCGCCCGTCGCCCGCCCCGGGAAAGGACCCGCTATCGCAGCGGCGCACACCCGGAGCCACGCGCGCACACGCACACACACATCCGCTACCCTCTCGCTCACACAACACGCCGCCTTCGCACACTTGCACACCCATACCACAGCGCGCACACATTTCCAGCGTCCCGCTCTGCCTTTGGGGAGCCCAGACGGTGGAGAGGCTGCTGAAGGGCACTGCTTTTCTGAATCGTGTGGTTCTCTCTCTGGCCCGGCAGGCCAGCTTTTCCGAGCCGGCGGGAGACCCAGGCCCAGGGCTCAGATCCTCAAAGACCTGAAAGGGTTTTGGAGCAGGTGCCAAGTGTGAGTGCCTGCAGGCCTGACCCCCAAGGGCCCCTGCTGGGCCAGAACACAAGGCCAGTTCTGGACAGGGGCTTGTCATAGACTGTCCAGCAGCAAAGTCATTGACTGTGATCACTGGAACTGACTCAAAGAGGGTATGTGTGTGTATGCGGGGGTGGGGACGGGTATTGGGGAGGAGTTTTGGTGACTCCCAAAGGAAAGCTCCTTAAAGTGGGTCAGTGGCCTGGTGGCTGTGTGAGTGTCTGGGTGGTGGGGAGAACCAGGAGGAGTCCTCACTCTCACACTACTCTCCAAAGCCAGGTAGAGAGCCCTAGTGGAGAGCGATGACAGTGGTAACCATCTGGATGAAGGCCTTCCCATGTTCTAGACATTGTGCCAGAATGCGAGGTATAGTGGTGTGAGCCCAGCCATAGTGGCAGAAATTCCCTCCTCACTACTTTCCAGCACAAGTGACTTTACCGCTCTCAGCTTTTGTTTCATCATCTGTAAAGTGCAGATCATCACAGTGTTTCTGATAGGGTGGCTGTGAGAACTATAGAAATCATACATGTTGTCAGTACCCAGGAAATGTTACTTATTGGCACCATCGTTTTATGTCTAATTTATCTATTACTTTGATTCTTACCAATTGGTACTTTTCTTCCAAGTTGGTACTTTTAATTTCTTTATTTGACAGGTGTGGAAACATGCTCTGAGAGAAGAAATAACTTGTCCAAGGTCACAGAGCTAGGAAGCAGGTGACTAGGCCAGGAGGGTCCTCAGTATATACGGCTGCAGAACTGGGACTCCTGTCCCTGGACCACTCTGTTGCTTTGAGGCCTGTCTGCCCTTCACTTCTTGCTGCCTTGAGAGACCCAGAGACAGGAGGTGGATCATCTCAAGCTCTTGGAGTCCCTGGGCTTGGCTGTCAGG
This sequence comes from Homo sapiens, assembly GCF_000001405.40. Lineage (NCBI taxonomy): Eukaryota > Metazoa > Chordata > Mammalia > Primates > Hominidae > Homo > Homo sapiens. The sequence goes on from NC_000005.10 coordinate 135,580,376, forward strand.
AGAGAGCTCACCCAGCTCTATGCCATCAGCCTGGCAGTTCCCTGGAGGCAAAAATGCCCAGAGGGCTTCTGGATGATGGGGACAGTCTGCTGAAGGGTGCAATGGGAAGAATCTGTGTCGTCTCTTCCCAACTGGAGAGCCCTTGCTGCTTCAAGAAGAAGCTGAGCCATGAAAAGCAAGCAGCGCCTATGCGTGCTGTTGTGCCTATACCTAAAGCAAAGCCAATAGCTGGACATTTGCATTTATGCATGAGATGAGTATGAGGGAGTGACTTTTGGCATTTATGTTAGTTTTTAACTCTAAAAATAATTTTTTAAAATATAGAAACAACACGTTTGCCCAGAAAAATCAGAAAACCCAAGCAGAAGAAAACTAACATTTTCACGCAAGTAAAATCTTGGGTGAAATCTTCCCAAAGCATCCTCTTTTTGCTTTGTGTGCACATGTACACATGGGATCAGGCTGCATGTAGTCTTTAATAACCTGCTTGCTATACCTATTAGCATATTGTGAACATCGCTCCATGTGGCTAGCCTTGCTACAACAATAGCTCCCTTAATGGTTTCATCTGAGGCCGGGTAGTATAATGGCTAAGAGGCTGGTGTCTGGAGTCAAATTGCCTGAGTATGCATCCTAGGGACTAGCTGTGTGACTTTGGGCAAATACCTTAACTCTATTTGGTATTGGTTTCCTCATCTGTGAGATGGAGATGATAATAATATGTACAGCATAGGCAGAATTAAATGAGATAGTGCATGTAATGCTTTTAATGTGGTCCCCAACACAGAGTAAGTGTTTGATATGTGCTGACCATTGCGGTTATCATGATTTTAGCTGCAGAGTATTCCGTCATACAGATGTACCAGAATTAATTTGACTACTCCTTGCTGGACATTTGGATTGTTTTCAACCTTACCCTCTTACAACCAATGCTGTTTGACAAATATTCTTGTAGCTCCATTTTGGGGTAGGTTTTAATACATTGGATCAGCCCTCAGAAATAGAATCATGGGGCCATGGCACATGCCCATTTTAAGACTTTTCATAGAAATTGCCAATTGCTTTCCAAAAAAATATATTTTATGCTGCAAAGGAATTTCTTAAATACCAAGCTTTCCTAGAGCATGTAAAGTATTATTTTTTATTAACGATTTTATTTCTAACATGTTTGTTTCAAGAATATGTTGATTGATTAACTGGGATCTAACAACACCAGCGATCGTGGGCACTGAGTTTTCACAGGAAAAAGTAGTTGGCTCTAGAAATATGGACCAACGTTCCCCAGCTTCTTGGGCTGGACCAGAGGTCAGACGTCCCAGTGTTTTGTCCTCAGTTACACTCCTCAGTCTGTGTATGCAGATCTCTGGTTTGCAGAAGGCAGCCACTGTGCAAGCAGAGCTGAGCCCTTGTTTGTGTGAGTTCTTCTGGAGCCATGGTACAGGAGAGCATGAGGCCCCTGCTGCCAGCAGGTCTGTGGGGGATGCTGCCTAACTGGGTGAGGGAGGGGGCTTGGCCCCTGACACACCTTCAGGGCACAGACTGTCTAGTGAGCCCAAGCCGAGGGCCTCTGAGCAGGTGGGCATGTGTGAGGCCGTTCTTTGTACAGTGGCACTGTCTGCTTCAAGGAGGTCCCTGGGGTACAGTGAAGGACAGCACACATGCCTTGCCTGTGTGTGTGTATGCATGTGTGCAGATGTCAACACATTCATGGTCATACTGGATTCTACAGAAGAGGTAGACGTGAAGTGTGGGGGCACAGAGGAGGGAGGAAGTGGAAACAGGACATCACTCCTTGAGGGAGTGGAAATTTTGCTGAGACCCCAGGGATTTGCTTATTTCTTCTCTTTACATTTATTGAGCACCCACTGTGTCCCAGGCGTTGTACGAGGTGCTGGGGGTTTGAGGTGAGCCAAGGCAGCTGTGTGCCTGTCCCCAAGCAGCTCAGAGTCTAGTGGGGAAGGCAGACATTAGCTATAAACCACAGAGATCAGTGTGAAACTCCTGCAGAGGTCAGTGTCCTGGAGGGTGGTTGGTGCTAGGAGACTCATCAGGGGATCTGACAGGGTGACGAGGTGGGGACAAATTCCTGGAGGAAAGGGCCATTGAGTTAGATATGAAGGATGGAAAGGAATTAACCAGTGACCACAGGAGGGAGGCCACTCCTGGCCCTTCATGGTCCCTGCTGCTCACACAGTGATCTCCTGGGGGAAGTCCCTGCTCTGAACCCTTTACTGGCTCCCGATCTCATGCAGAGTGGAAGCCAAGTCCCCAGCAGTGCGCACCCAATCATGACCAGCACCTGCCATGCTCCCCACAGGCTGTGCTCCAGATACTCTGCCTTGTCTTACCTTCAAACATCCAAGCCTGTTCCCACCTCAGGGTCTTTGTGCTCACTGGCCCCTCCACCTGCAGTGCTCCTCCCCAGGGGCTGACAGGCAACCCTCTTCTCCTCAGTGAGCCTGGGCTCCAATATTCACCATCCAGTTCTAATCCCACGAGCATACCCCCAACAACAGTCCCTCTCTGTGTTGCCACCGATTTTAGTTTATTCATTGTATGTGCAGCAACCTCAAATTGTACATTTTCATATTTATTTGGGGGTGCATTGTGGATGATCTGTCTGTGTCTGTGGGTGTCTGTCTTGCTCATCCTCAGTATCTACAACAGTGATTGGCATGTAGCAGGGGTTCACTCCCTATCTGTGGAGTAAATAAAAACATGTTTCAGGCAACAGCTCAGCATGTGAGAGTACTGCTGAATCCAGGCTGCACAGGCTACAAGGTTGCATGTGAGAAAGTGTGTGTGCGTGTGTGTGTGTGTGTGTTTGCGTGTGTGTAGGGGTGGCCATGGGGAGTCCATATTCCCAGGGAAGCCAGTTCATCCTCAGGGCATTTGTTTTAGAGATGAAGTCTCTGGGAAGAGGAGGTGGTGATAACAGGAGTGTGACTTTCCAGGAAATCCCACAGGTGTCTGGGCACTACCTCCTTGGTCTGCTTAGAAAGGGGTCTTGACTGGTCAAGGCTGGTTTTCTGCCCTGGGAGCTGGGATCCAGGGCAATTCCTTCCCCCATTCTTTTAGTTCTTTTCGTGACTGACCTTCTTTTCAGAAGAGGAGTCCTTTTTACTTCCCTGGCAGGACAGGAATCCTAGAATTCAGCACTGGTAGAGGCTGAGGCCACAACTGGCCTTCATTGTACATATGAGGAAACTGAGGCCCAGCAATGGGGTTGACTGCATACAAGATCTCCCTGTGCATTAATGTTAGCCAGCCTCCTGTCTCTGTGTCCTGTACCTAGCTACTTAGGCCAGAGCAAGATCCTGGGCTCCAGTAACCTGTCTGGCCCCATCACCACTCATGACATGGTGGGTCACCCCAAAATACCTGCTTCCATTGTGTTGTGTGGCTGCTGGCTCTGAATCCAAGCCTGGCGGGTGCCTCTCCCTCTCCAGCTCCTCCCTCTGTCTGTTCACCTGCAGCCTGTGGAGTCTGGGCAGCCAGCTGCCTCCTCTGTGCAGCTTTCTTTCAGCTACAGCCCTGCATGCTGACCCCTTCCCTGGCCATGCTCTGGGGTGAAGGAAGTTGAAGGACCAAGGTTCCCAAGAACAACCTCTGGTTTTGTTCTTCACACTGCAAATATTTAGAGATCCTGAGTAACTTAAGCCCAGAGAAAATGATGTGGGGGACAGCCAGGCAGTATTGAATTAGGCTTAAAGCAGCCCCGAGGCAGAGTGTATGTAGGGGGGCTCTGTTACTCAGATGGGTCACAGGGGGCACTGCAAGATTCCCCTAAACATGGGAGAAAATGCTTGCAGCAAATATGACAAACCAACAAGTAGCATTTATTCCACCATCTATTCATCCAACAACACTCCCTTACAGGCAAGCATCTTTATTATATTAAGAACACATGCAAAGATATTTCCGAAGAGGGCCCTAACATATAAATGAGCAAAGGACATCAAAGGACAATTCAGGAGAAAAAGAAAGGCAATTAACCAATTCATCAAAGAACATGCATCCTCTTTGGCAATGAAGGAAAAGCACAGCAGTGCTGCAGGATCACGGCATTTTGGTTTTGGTCCCACTCAATGAGGAAATGTTTATTTTAAATAGCAACATCCAAAGCTGATAATGGTAAAGTGAGGAAGCATCACTTAAGCATCACTCATGGGACTATCAATTGGTACAAAATTTGGGGAAGTTATATTTATAGTATGGTATCCAGACTGTTTGAAGTAAACCATTTCATCTTATTAACCACTTCAGAAATCTGTTTAAAATTCTCATAATGGAGAAATACCACATGCAAAGCTAGTCCTTGTTAAAAATAAAGATTTAAACTAAATGCCCAACAATGGGGGATTAAGAAAACAATGAAAGCTCTAAATTTGTGGAGTAAATGCTTATGCAGTAAGTAGAAAAAACACAAGGTTGTGTAAACACTGTGATTATAAGTATGCAAAACAGTAACCTCTGTACAAAGGATGGCAAGACAGAGTTACAAACGTCATTCTCTTTGAGTGGCGAAATGTTGGGCATTGTTGTTGTAAAGCTTCTCTCCTTGCTTTCCAGTTTTTCAGAATGTTCTTGTTATAACAGCAACTCAGGAGCAGTTGATTCAGCGAGGGCTTGGGCAGCCTTCAGCCTCACTGAGCAGACGCTGGCGATGGGCGATGAGCACCTGTGCTGTGCAGGTGGCACTGCAGAGAGGCAGGTAGAGTTGTTGGTGGCTTGGGTGAGTCCCATGGTGAGGGTCTAGGCCCATCTTTAGAGCTGTCCCCCACTGCTTGGCACAGGGGAACAAGCAGCCCCTCCATCCGGCCTCACTTGTCCTCATTCTGCTCTGCCCCACCTCCTGCCTCTCTCACCAGCCCTGTTCCATGTTTGCAGCAGAGTCCTAGGCCTCTGTGCAGGCACCGCCAAGTCCTGTCTCCTTGGCTAGGCTGTTTGCTTTCGTTTGCCTTCCTGAAACTGCGAAGATGTCATTTTACAGGGAAGCCCTCCTTGACTGCACACATCTGCCTGACTCCCGTCCTAGCCCCAGGGTAGGAGAGGCACCTGCTGTCCGCGTGGCTCGTAGACCTTGTTGTCTCCAGTGCCACTCCTCACACTTGTAAAGGCTCCTATGAGGTCTTCTTTCAGGTCCATGATCCTCTGAGGTTGCTCTGTGTCTTTCTTATTAATTCTAGTTCCCCAGCTTGAGCACAGGGCCGGGCACACAGTAGGTGCTCAATGAAGAAATGATTGAATGCAGGATGAACGAATGCAGGATGAATGAATTAATGTGGATCACAGTTTATCACAGTCTAGTGTGTTACAGAGTCAGACTTCCTGGTCTAGAGTACTAGTCTATCACTCTGTGCTTCTGCTTCCTCATCTGTAAAAAGAAGATAATAATAATAATAATAATAAATAATCAGGCTGTGATAAGGATTAAATGAGCTGATATAGAACAAACATGTTGCACAGTATCTTGTCACATAGTAAGTGTTCCATAAATGTTCATTCTTGTTTTATGATTATTAAATCTCGTAGACTCACTCCCCTTATCTGTGGGTTGGCTTGGCTAATTTCTTTTGCTTTATATTTATGAAATGCTTATAGAATGCTTACTATGTCTCAAGGACTGTTCTAAGTGCTATACAAATATTAATTTATTTAATTTTCATAACCACACAAAGTAGGTTATCCCCATTTTACAGATGAGGAAACTGAGGAGAAGGTTAAGTATGTTGCCCAAAATAACTACCAAGTGGCAGAGCTGAGATTCAAACCCAAGCAATCTGACTCTGGAGTCCTGCTCTGCACGGCCATACGCTGCCTCCCAGGAGGAGGGTGGGGGGACGCTCCCTACCTTTTGCCCAGGTGTCACCCACTACCTTCCTGTCTGCATGCTGCTGCCACCTGGTCCTCAGTTCTTCTCCCTGGAGGGCATCCCAGAGTTCTCAACCAGCTAGGATTGTCAACTTTAACAAACAAAAAATACAAAATGCCCATGCAATATTTACGGCATACTTATACTCAAAATTATTCATTGTTTATACTGAAATTCAAATTTAACTTGTGGCCTGTATTTTAACTGGCAACCCTACATCCAGTACCAGAGGGTGGTAATGTGGTGGTCCAAGGAGTCTTCTGCAGTGATCTCAGACACAGACATGGAGCCTTCTGGGTCTGCCATGGGCGGAATGTGGGGAGAGAAAGGCTAGGCACACTGCTAAGCTCTCATAGGGCACAGTGGGCATTCGTGCTCTGATAGGGAAGCAGGCATTGAGGAGGATGGTTCAGGCAGAGACAACAGCTTAAACAACTGCTATGGGATGGGGAAGGTCAAGGAAACTGTAGGATGCTAACGGAGCCCTGTGTGTGTAGGGCAGGGATCTGGGCAGGGGAGGGAAGGGTGATTAGGCTGAATATGTAGATCAGCACCAAATTGTGCAGGGTCCTGGGCAGCTGAGGAGTTTGGGCTTCATCACCTGGATTATAAGAAGCCATTGGAGAATTTCAAGCAGGGTTGTGTGATTCGGTTTTGCCTTATGAGAAGATCTGTCTGGCTGCTGGACGAAAGAAGGATGGCAGAGAGGGAGATGGGAGGCAAGAGAAACCTTGGTTCAGGGAAGTTCTTGCCCAAAGGTCAGGGCATTGTATTTTTTTTGTTTTGTTTTGTTTTTTTGAGACAGGGTCTTGTTCTGTCACTCAGGTTGGAGTGCAGTGGTGTGATCTCAGCTCATTGCAACCTCTGCCTCCCAGGCGCAAGTGATCCTCCCACCTCAGCCTCCCAAGCAGCTGGGACTACAGGCACATGCCACTACCCTTGGCTAGTTTTTAAATTTTCTTGTAGAGACGGGGATCTCACTATGTTGCCCTGGCGTGTCTTGAATTTCTGAGCTCAAGCAATCTGCCCATCTAAGCTTCCCAAAATTCTGGAACTACAGGTGTGAGCCACCATGCCCTGTCTTTCATAAAAGTTTTTGTCTTCTTATTCCTGAAATTCTTTGCCTTCTGAAAAAATGTAATGCACAGATGGAAAAGAAAAAATGTTCTCAGTCTCGTTTGCTGTCAAGAGGGAGTGTTTGTGATATTGGTGTTTTTATTTTTACCAATTCTGTCAGTGTGGTCTCTAGCACAGCAGAAGGGAGGAAGTGATTGGGTCTGGGGTGAGAAGATTGTGACTAATTTGCTTTTAATCAGTCTCTGGCAGCTGATGGAGGAGAACAGGGTCCAAGGTGTTCCTCAGAGGATTTACCTGCCAGGTAAATACTAGCCTTCATGAATCTTCTATGAAGAAAACTTTTCAAGCAACCATCTGAGACATGTTGCAATTTTCTTTCTTAGCAACTAGTCATTGCCTCTGAACATGATCAGGTTCTTAACGGTGAGCGATTTAAGGCCATAAAAGAATTGTCATAAACAGCTCCCCAGAGCCAAGAGTGCGGCCCAGATTTTAAGCACATAATGGAATCATATCAAAAGCAAGGAGGGGCAGCAGGAACCATAAATCCTGGAAGTGCAAAATCTGTCCATTGTGAAACTTGTGCTGAAGGGAAACCAGATGTGGATGCTAGAGAGAGAGGGCAGGAGGGAAAGTGTGGTATGGGGACTCTGAGAACGGGCCCCTGTGTAAGGCTAGATGTCCTGCTGTGTGTTGGCGGAGGCCCGAATTCAAGAGGCTCAGAACCACGGAAAGCAGGGCGGGTTTGCTCCTGGTGTCGTGGCTGACGGTCCAGTGTCCAAGGAAGAAGGCAGAGGCCGGAGAATTAATGTTCTTGTAGCTACTGTTTCAGCTGGACTAACAGAAGTATTGTACAAGTTTTTCCTGAGTTTTTGTCTTTGAAGATGAAACATTTGGGGGCAGTTCTTTAAACATGTATTTGAGCTATCACAAAGAGACTAAATTTGTTTATCCTGTGGAGGAAAAAAAGCCACTAACACATGTGGAAATCCATTTGGATTGGGATGAAAAACATGATTATCCAAGTTGCCATCCTTGGCCTGAAATGGGGGGTTTATTTTATTCTGGTAAGCAAAATCCTCTATAAACACCAAGTTGAGCCCTTGCTGAGTGCCTGCTCTGTGCCGGGGTTGCAGGGCTGCGGGGGCTGCGGGCCAGAGGCTCGGCAGGATGTCTGCAGGCCAGAGAGGCCCTTGCCAGCAGGCTGAGAGAATACTTCAAATGAGTTACGGATGCGAGGATTCCAGATGGGGGGCTGTAAGGCAGTCCCATCCAGGTTGGGGATTGGGAATGCTTTCATGAAGCAGGTAGTGGAAATAGACCTTGAAGGATGAGGAAGACTGCTCAGGTAGAGAGGGGTGAGTGAAGGTGACCCGCAGGGACAGGGCAGCTGAGGTCCAGCCTGAGGTCAGAACACATGTGATGAGTCAGGGACTGGCTGGTTTGATGGGAGGTAGAGTATACACAGGGAGTGTGGGCAGCAAGAGGGTATTGCGGAGAGCCTTGAATGCTGCATCAGGAACTCATAATTAATTTGACTGGAAAATTGGATTTGGTGCCTAGGTCTGTTTGAGGCCATTTCAACTCCCATTTCACAAACAAAAAAACAAACAAACAAGCAAAAATAAGCAAAGAACCAAACAAATGATACCATTCTGAAGACAGTACAGCATCACTGAAGAGAAAAAGGGGCACATGGAACTTTCCATCCTTCCCAGAACCAGTCCAGCCTGTGCCCGTGCACAGAAACTTTCACATAATGACAGTCACACTGCATAATCCTGTGTACGCATCTTTCTTTGGGGCACACTGTTTCATAAACGCTGTATAATCCCCACTTTAAATGCCTAGGGAGGTTTAAAAGGTCCTGGGGTGAAATACAGATTTTATGAAATGTGAACAACTTCCAGCTAAATGATTTTAAATTTGGGGTTCTCAAAGAGTGTCTCTAGTTTATACTTGCAGTGGCTTGGGAAGCCCTTAGACCTTGGCTTCCCCATTTCCCTCAACCACATGCTCCCATAGTGCGACGAAAAGGGAACTGTGTCATGGTTGTCACAGTCTGCCTGGTCCCTGATAGGTGGCTGGGCTGACACCAGGCACTGGGCTCAGTCCTGTAGGGGCTCCAGGTTAATTTTCCAAGTCAATATGCTGAAGGGCCAAGGCCCTGAAATATCAGCTTGTCAAAGTTAGTTTCTAGTAACTATTGGTAACATTTACGGGCCTCTGTGTCTTGCTGAGTGTGCCCATTTTCAGTGTATTTGGTGGTTGATGCATTCATTCATACTTTGAATTTGGGATGTCCCATGTAGTATTGCAAAAAGGGAAGATTTTAAAGATGCATTTTAATTAATTAATTAATGTATTCATTTATTTATTTATTTTGAGGCGGAGTCTCACTCTGTCTCCCAGGCTGGAGTGCAGTGGCACGATCTTGGCTCACTGCAACCTCTGCCTCCTGGGTTCAAGCGATTCTCCTGCTTCAGCCTCCCGAGTAGCTGGGACTATAGGTGCCCACCACCATACCCAGGTAATTTTTTGTATTTTTAGTAGAAACAGGGTTTCACCAAGTTGCCCAATTGGGTCTTGAACACCTGACCTCAGGTGATCCACCCACCTCAGCCTCCCAAAGTGCTGGGATTACAGGCATAAGCCACAGTGCCTGAAGATGCATTTTAAATCCAGTCTATTGGTTTTCATTATGAGGTAAATTCCCAGATTTGCTTTTTTGTTTTTTTTGGAGGCAGAGAAAAGCACCACATTTCTGGTGGTGCCTGGGAATAGCGATTTGGGAAGTTCTTGTTCAGGGCTCCCTGTACCTATCCCATATCCATGGCAAGATAAAACCCTTTTAAGGATAGGGCTTTCCTGGTGCATATAGGGCCCCCAACATGGGAAGTCCATGTGAACTGACTCCCAGGGAACTGGACCTCCCTCCTCTCCTTCACCCCATCAATGTGCAGAGGAACACCCTCTGAGCAAAGCCTGCCTGGGTTGCAGTTGGAGAACCCTGAAGAGCTGGAGGAGGGCCTTTCCCACACCATCCCTGCCCATGGGCCCCCGGCCCCAGCCAGCCTGCAGGGCCTGAGAGCTCTGCATGGTCCCTGAGTGCCTTTGCTCTGTGTCTGGGCCTGTAAAACTGCTTGGAGCCCCCAAGAATGCACCACACTCCTCTTGCAAAATCACCCTTTATTTGTGTGGGTTTTTTTTTCCTTTTTTAAAATGAAGGCACCTGGTTCCCTTAAGCTCGGGGCTTCTCAGAGGGCTGGGGGCTGAGCTAGTGGAGGAGAACAGAGACCTGCTGGGGGACCGTAAAGCTTGAACGTTTCCAGGGCTGCTGCTGGCCCACCCCCACCCCAACACCTATGCTGGGGGTTACGCTGTTCCCTGTCCTGCAAAGAGGGTGGGAGGCTTTGGAGAAAAGACAATAGGCTGGCTTTGTGAGACCTGAGATCCAGACACGCCATGGCTCTCAGGCAGGGCAGCCCAAAGAGGGCATTGGCTGCAGGCCTACCGTGTGCTTTACAGACAACATCTCTTTGAGTTCTCAACCCATCCCAATGTTCGGCACATGCCCATTGGCGATGAGAATAAATGACTTTTTGGAAGTCACCCAGCCTGTGGGCAGAGCTGGCTGTGAACTCTCAACCCTCCTGACTCTAAGGCTCATGTGCCACCACAGCATCATCCTGCCTCTCAGTGCTGCCTGGCACTCAGGTAGGAGCCTCCAGGGTATCTGGGTGACCAGAGCTGCCTTCTCTCCAAAGCTTTCCCCTAACTGCAGGGTGCCTGTGATTCCACTATTAAGCTGCACTTCTCTGGGGTCCCTACACCCCCATGATGATGCAAATGCAAAGCATCGGAGGTCACACAATGACCCTGCAGATATTCTCATGCCACTCTGGGAGGCAGGCATTCTGATCCCCTTTTAGGGTATAAAGAAACTGAGACCCAGAGCAGAGAAGGGACTTACTCAGGGCACAGAAGTGTGGCGCATTTGTTCTCAATTGTTTGCCTGATGTCTAGAATAGTGCCTGGTGCATCACTTGGATGTTCGGGGGATGGTCCTTCTGTGCCATGGAACATGACTCAGGACCTGGAGGCAGGAGCACGGGCCTACACCACCCATCATAGCTGCCTTCTGGGCCCACCTCCAATTTCAGTGGCAGCTGTGTTGGACAGTTCTGACTCACCTCTCCCTGCCTCAACCCACCTGGAGTGTTCCATGTATCCTGCTTTCTTCTGCAGCGCTTGCTCCAGCCTACGCAGCTCCCATTGCTTTTCCTCAAACAGCCTGGAGATGTGGAAGGGGCTTTGGGTGGCCAGAGTGCATACCTCTGGGGCAGATCCCAGCCAATGGGGAGTGGGAGCTGGTGAGTGACTGTTCTGGCCCTGCCTTTCAAGGAGCGGTTCTGGGAGGCAATTGAATGCTTTCAGAGACCCTGGCAAAATGGGGGCCCTATTGCCTATACCTGTGACGTTGACACCCACCTTACCTTTTCTCCTTTTAGTCTCTCTCTCCTTGCTCCCTCCCTCCTGCTTCCTGGGATTTCTCCCAAATAGATCACTCAGGCTCTGTGAGCGGAGAACCTAAGCTAAGCAGCTTCTTGGCTGAACCTGCCCCCAACTCTTCAGAGGCAGTGAGGAACTCCTGGGATGGGAGACTTTGTAGTATGAAAGGCCTTTGAGAACCACAAAGCTCTGTGGTTCTCAAAGAGAACCAGCTCTGCTTGTGTTAGAGTGGGAAACAGGCCAAGTTAGAGGACTGACTGGCCCAAGGTCCCTTAGTGCCAAGGCAGGACTAGAGCTTGGCATCCTATCTCTGAGGCAAGGATCTACGGTGAGAAGAGGCTCCATGCCTGTCTCCTGGATTTGGTGAAGTGGTGGCAGGAGGAGAAACATGAGCTGATGTGCCACACACCTACTAAGCGCTGAGCCCTTCACCCCCGTGGCCTCATCAGGGAGGCGTGATGAAGCCTGGCCTATCAGGAACAGGTGTTTTCTGCTGCTCCAGGAGTGCTCTTCCATTCCTAAACATCTTGACTTTGTTCTGTCTCTGAAAGTTCATTATGAGATGTTCATGCCTTTGGGATGTAGTAAGTGCTCATCAGATTAGTACCAGGACTGTATCTGTAGAACGCATGTGTAACAGGTGTCACTGGCAAATGCACACCATTATAGAGAAGGGCGTGTTAAGGGCTCAGCTGGCAGTGCTTGAGGAAATAGCTCATGAAAGGTTAAATCTCTTGGAAAAGGAAAGTGGCAAGGTGTGATTTACTGGAAGAGGAAGGCAAGTCAGGAATGAGGGAGTGAGCGTGTGTGTATGTGTGTGTGAGAGAGAGATTGAGAGAGAGACAGTGAGAGAGAGCACCACAGGTGTGTCCTGAAATGGTCTAGAGATGGCCCTGAGAGGCAGCAAGGTAAAGTGAGGGCGCTGGGAACTTTGGGGAGAGCTGGTTCCCATGCAGGTACTAGAGAGTGAAGAACAGACATCTGTGGCTTTCAGAAACTCTGAAACTGCCAAAAGCATCAATGCCTTAAGGCAGAACTCTCAGGCCCAGAGAGAAAGAGAGAGTGCAGTGTGGGGTAGAGCTTGAGAGACAGAGACGCTTGGTATAAACGTTCTATAACTTATATGAATATCACTGGCTGCCCTGAACCACCACTGAAGCTCCTGGAGCTCTAGCACCTGTCAGGGGAAATTCCCCACCAGAGCTCAGCAGGACCCAGGCTCCCGGCTTCCTGACTCCTGTTTAATAGTGAGGGCTCAGGTCTGAGGACTCAGAGCACACTCTCCAGGCTTTCAAGGTTGTATTGCATTGTTCCCCCCACACCCCTCCTTTCTGATTGACCAGTCCCTCATTTCTAGTCACGGCTGATGGAGTCCTCAGTGTTCTCCACTCCTGAGGTCAGAAGCCAGGACTTCTTGATCTTGGAATCTGTAGGGCTATGTGCATGGCAGGGCCACAGGAAGATGCTGAGTATAGGCTTCTTGTTCCTGCAGAGGCTCACCTACAGCTGGTTTTCTGTGCTGTGACCCACAGTCAGCCACAGGCACAATGCACGTGTCTTAACCTCAGGTCAACACTCAATGGATATTTCGTGTTTCTAGCCTCTGGCAGATCCAATCAGAATAGGAGATAAAAATGGGGCTTTGATGGATCTGGGAAGCAATTCCATTTAATTAAGTAGCATTTGAAGTTGATTAAGCTGCATCTGTGGTTTCCAGCACCATAGACAAAGTTCCAAGGGCTTCTCCCAGGAGGCAGATGGAGGACAGCGCCTTCAGGTACTGACTGATAAGCTAAAACTATTGCAGTGGTCCATTTCTGTGAGAACCTGACATCCAGGGCTTTGAGGAGTAGTCCCTACTCCAGATATTCTTTTATTAGATCTTGTACTTAGATTATGGATCTTGGAGATGTAATCGATGGACCTTTGAAGTCTGATCATAGCGTTAGTTGTAATTAACAAACTGAATGACAGACAAACGTTCTGAAATGGGAGGAAGAGTTAATGGGGACATTATTGTTCTTTGTGGAGTCATAGCTGGGAGAAATGTTGGAGTCAAGGCTTGCTAACTTCTGGGACCAGCCCCCCTGGTCACTGGCTGGATGGGACTGAATGCTTTGTGACCACAGGAACTGCATCATCTTGTTTACCTGGCACAGTATCTGATACACAGCATGGTCTTGCTAAATAATTACAGAATGAATGAACAGTCCCCCGAGGGATAGCCCTAGGTAAGAACACAAGGCTTAGTCAGGAGCAAAAGAGGAACTCTCAAACACGGTGACTTTAGTGGTCAAGGAGTCAGAGGGCTGCCACAATGACTTCATCTTCAATTTCTGAGGACCTGAGTATAAAAATCAGCTCTTTTAAAGCTTTGGTGTTGGCTGGGATAGACATCTATTTAGTTACAGAACTGTTCTTTGTTTAAATTTCCCTTGGGAGAAAGTGGCTTCAGTTGGGGATACTTAAGTAGAACCAGAGGCTTGGTGAAACCTGACACATCCCTGACCCCCAAGTCCCATTACAACCTAGAACACAGTAAGACACTGCGTGATGTGGTGGAAAGTCTAGGACTCTGGCGCCAGAGAACACTAGCTCCAAATCCTGCTGTCTCACTCTCTAGCTGTGTGACTTCTGGCACTTGATCTCAGTTTCCTAATTTGTAAAATGGAGCCAGGTCAGTACCCTCATAGGATGATTGTGAAGATTGCATCAGACTTACCCCAGTCCTTGGCATGTGGGAGGGGTCTGGACAGTGTTGGGGGGTCATGGTTGAACTAAACCTAACCCTAACTGTTCTTCCTCTTGGTTGGCCCCCAAGGGGAAGAGCAAAAGCACAGCAGTAGGCAGCAAGGATGTCATTGTTGCCAAAGGGGTCAGTGAAAGGGAGTGGGTGAATACAAAACCTGGCCACACCTCAGCTGCTCTCACGGCATCACTGCTTGGAGGGTGCCCAGATCCCTCCTATGCATAGCATTTGACAGCATGAAGAGCACCTTCACACACAGGCTCAGGTAAGCCTTTTTGTCTTCCTGTTAGGCAGGAGGCCCAATGATCATGATGCATATTTCACAGATAAAGAAACTGAGGTGCAGTGAGGGAAAGGGTGCTGGAAGTTCAGTTAAGATGGAATCAGAACCTTGGTCTCTCAACTCCTAGTCCAGGGAAGCAGGCCTCAGCCTCATCGATCTGAGGCTAGGCCTGCTTGGATCTGAGGCTAGGCCTAGGACACTGTCTCAGGCCTCATTTCCAAACAGTCCCTGGTGGAGGCAGGTGGAGCCCTCCATCTTTAGGCAGGCTGGTGAACCCAGAACCCACCTGCCTTAATTCTATGAACCCCCCTCTCCCTTACCCTGCTCCACTCTCATGCAGCCCCTGTCACTTGCTGTGTTTGGAGACAAGATTTTATGGGCAGGGCTATGGGATTGCTTGCCTAAATCCTTGGGCATTGCCATTCCCACTGTATGTCCCTGGAGTTGTGGGACATGGTGATTCCACCCAACCTCATGGGCTCTAGGAGGTCAGAGCTGCCAAGGGCCCCACACTGGATTGGAAGGTTATTGATGGACAGGCACCGCCAACCAGGAACATAGAGCTTCCAATGGACAGACACCACTCACCATGGACATAGGCTCACCTATCCAGGGAACTCCCCCTTGGCAAGTTAGAAAAGCTGTCGTGTCTGTCACCTTGAAAACTTCAGAGTTTTGCTGGGTAGACATAACATTCATGTTTGTGGGACTGTTGTGTGGTGGCAGAAAGGAGGGGGTGAAGAGAGCAGGGGCTTTGAATTGAGATGGGCTTGCGCATACATGCTAGCTCTGTTTCTTAGATGTGTGACTGCTCTGAGACTCCATTTCTTCATTTGTAAATTAAGTGTAATTATTATTATATGCATCTCATAGTGATATTGTGAAGATTACATGAAGAAATACTTGTAAAGCCCATGACAGTGACTGGCACATAGTACATGCTCCATACCTGTTAACTGTCATTATCATAATTCACTCATTCAACCCAGGTTGCATCTATTCACACACGCATCAGTATAAGGCCCCTAGCAGGCACGATCACAAGCACGATGACTAAATGATCCTCTTGGTCCTTTTGGGCACCAGCCCTCCCAGAGTGGACATCATCAGGTGCTTTCTGTTTTCTGGGCATCTCCACCTGTCACTCGGCCAACCCCTTACCCTTGCCAGAACTGCCTCACTTAGGAGATCTGAGGCTAGGGCTGAAAAACAAGTCTGCACAATTCGTGAATTATTATTGATAGCCAAATAGTTACCCAACTTTATCTATTTTTGTGTGTATAGACATTTCATACAAAAATTTTAAAAGATTCTGTGAACATTCTGTATATTTGATTTCCATGATTGGAGCCCTAGGGGTGTTTTTTCAGAATATTTTATGTAAAAGAGACAAGTGATAATTGTTTATACTCAATTGGTAACCATAGAGATGAAACTCCACCAGATCAAAGTATGAAGGTAATTAACTCCCTGCAAATTATAGTTGTTGAACTTATGCACAGAGACATGTGACTTCACTCATGGGCCAAGGAAAAATCTCTGGGGAAGGAAAAGGATTAGCAAGGACTTAACAGCAACACCATGTCCCCATACCTGTCAAGACCGAGGGTTTAGCCTCCGTAGTCCTCAAAGTCAGATGTATCTTGACTCTCTTCTCTTCACTTCCATTGTCTGAATGATCTCTTTCCTGACTCACTGAGCCGGAGGGTGTAGGCACTGAAATGAGCAGAGGTGCTCAGTTGTCCGTGGGGCTGCTGAGGAGCGAGTGGTTGTCAGCCCCTTCTTGCCTGCAATCTCCATTTGCCACCCCCTCCATTCTTGAATTTGGACAAGGGGAATTTTCTTATCCTGTGTAAACTGCTAAGCAAGTGGAGCTTCATGCCCCACTTTTCATTAGATTGACCTTCCTGAGTGCTCCCTCCATACTGATTGCACTATCATTTTGGTAGCCTCCAAATGACCACGGGACAGCCTTTGGGAGACAGTTCTGCTTTAATGTGGTGTAGCGTAATGATTGGGGGTGCACTTGGCAGAGGGCTGAAACCCAGCTCTGCCACTGACTAGCTGTGTGACCTTGGGTGAGAGATGCTAAGTAAGCATGTCTATGACTCAGTCGTCTTTTGAAAAAAGAGCCAATAGTAGGTTGTGAGGAGACAATGCATGTAAAAGCCCCAGCATAGTGCCTAGCATATCAGACAGGGCTCTTAACCCCAGACAGAGAGTCAGTGACTTGCTCAAGGTCATACTTAAACTTATAAGGTTGATTTGAGGATTAAATGAGTTAATGTATTAATATTTACAGCTCATAGAGTAGTGCCAGGCACATATCTCTATCTCTATCTCAGACTGGATTCAATGCAGGAAATTGAAACCAAGTTGCAGATCTGAGCAAGAAGGGATTGGATACAGGGAATGAAGTACTACAAAATCATGGGAAGGGCTGACAGGGTGGCCACTGATGGGCCTCTGGGAAGGTTCCCAGGACAATTCAGAAGTCACCCTCCAGGTTAGGGCTACCTGCCTCCGACCTGCCTCTGACACTGGAATTAAGAGCTCAGGACTCATTCTTACAGTTGGGATCCAGGTACCAGAAAACTGGAATCAAAACTGCACTTGCTCTTGCAGTTCCACCAGGACACTGCAGAATGGACACTGGAACCAGCTGCAAAGGACCCTGCTTGCCGATAGAAACAATCAAAGGAGATGCGAGAATGGCCTCCACCTCACTTCTACTTCTCAAATCTGGTGTGAGTGCATCCAATTGGTGGCACATAGTTCACATCCTAAGCTTTAGCTACAAAAGAGTCTAGGAGTCTGGGAAATGTGTTGAGCTTTCCAAAGTCCCCACCTAGCTGGGTGCAGTGGCTCACGCCTATAACACTAGTACTTTAGGAGGCAGAGGTGGGCGGATCACCTGAGGTCAGGAATTTGAGACTAGCCTGACCAACATGGTGAAACCTTGCCTCTACTAAAAATACAAAAATTAGCCGGGCATGGTGCTGCACGCCTGTAGTCCCAGCTACTCGGGAGGCTGAGGCAGGAGAATCACTTGAACTCAGGAGACGGAAGTTGCAGTGAGCTGAGACTGTGCCACTGCACTTCAGCCTGGGTGACAGAGTGAGACTCTGTCTTAAAAAAAAAATCAAACCAAAAAACAAACAAACAAACAAACAAACAAAAGCAACGTCCCCAACTAGGAGAGTAGAATGGAGATGGAAAGAACCAGTCCAAAAGAACTCAATGCAAAGTGTTACCCACTAGGATGACTGCAAGTGATCAAAAAAAGTGACATAATTATTATCATTATTGTAGTTATGTTGGCTTTCCTGGGCAGCCTGGCTTCAGGAGGACTCACAAATTTGATTGTCCCCTATAAAACAATTTTAAGGATTTCCTTCTGCTTTAGGGGCTTCCCTTACCCAGTGGTTCTTCCTATTGCATTATCTCATTTAACAGCATCATCATTTCTCCTTCCACCATATTGCCTGTGCCAGGAACTTGGACCACTCTGACTTGTTTTCCTTCCTCACTAACATGTTCACCCAACCACTCACCAAGCTTTGTATAGCTTCTACAATGGCATACTGTTAACTGAAGAATCATGAGGTTCATCAATATGAAAAGGAAAGCTTCATTTCTTATAAAGGGTTGCAGCCTGCAGGCTGGCTACCCTGCAGACTGGGAAGCATAGCCTGTGGCAGAAGCTGAAAGCAGGCACTTCACAGAAGAAAAGAGTGAGGTAGGAATTTATGCTGAACAGGTCGGCTAAGTATATAAATATATTCAATAGGTTATAGGAGGAACTATGAATATTCATAAAGAGGGACACACACACATGTGTAGTAAGCAAACATGCATGTTATATACATCCCATTTTCACTTTGGGGTGGAGTATTAACATTTAAATGCATTAAAATTAGGCTCTGTACATCATAAAGTGAAATGGAGGACATAGAGGCATCCTGTGCGCAGCGTCCGTAAACCAGCAGAACCAGTCTGTGGTCGGTGGTCTCTTATCAGGAAGGAATGCTGCACAGTTGCTGTGTCAAAACAGCAAAAGTAGAGGGGAGTGCAGCTGGGCTGGATTCTATTTAACTCTTAGGAAAGAA
The DNA here is from genome assembly GCF_000001405.40 of Homo sapiens. Lineage (NCBI taxonomy): Eukaryota > Metazoa > Chordata > Mammalia > Primates > Hominidae > Homo > Homo sapiens. Next base: position 135,598,981 of record NC_000005.10, read on the forward strand.
AGTCTAATGGCAGTGAGTGAAGGAGGGGATATAACGAGGTGTGTCTGACCTCCCTTCTCGTCATGGCCAGGAACTCACTATTTTAAGGCTTCTCTGGGGTCGTCTTGGCCAAGAGTGTGACTCATTCAGTTGGTTCGGGGGCTTAGGATTTTGTCTTTATTTCTAAATACCAACTCATCCCTCAGCCCATTGCCACAGCCCTGTCAAGTCTTCATCACACTCTTGGAGATGGACAGTGTGGCTGCCTTCTCCCTGGCCTCCCAGCTTCCAAGCTTATTCTCACCCAGATGGTCATGCTTGCTTCTCATTTTGGGAACTGCTATCTGAGTCTGTGGCTGTACACATCCCTCCCAGGCTGTCTGAGTTGGCATCCTTAGAGCTCATGGATATTGGAGTGCCCCGCTCCTGTCAGATTCTGATAGGCAGTCTTTGGGGGTTTGCTGTAATCAGGTTACCCATTGTTCCCCTTTCTCTTCTTCCTTGGCCATGCATAAGTTGGAGGCTACTATGTCGTGTTGGGATCTGCAGGTAGTCCAGCCCTTTATCAATCGCTGGGGCACTTCTAGAACAACTGGAAGCAGGAGTGGGCTGCTGGGGAAACCGAGGCTGGGAGTTGTGAGGCCCAGGCAGCACTGGCTGTGTGAATGGCCACTCCAGCTGCATGTTTCTTCCGCATGCACTCCTGACCACAGACCAGCACAAGAAGCTGCTTGTTCTTCCTTCCTCCCTTCCTTATTTCCTTCCTTCCTTCCTTCTCTTGTTCATTTTATCCAGCCAGTGTTTCTTGGTGCCACCTTTGGCCTGATCCTGTATAAGGAGCTGGCATGCAGGAGGAGCAGCCTCAGTTCTGGCCTTCGCACTCCCAGGCTTGCCCAGGATGGGGCTGCCTCCCCAGAAGCCTTGTAGAACTTTAAAAATTTGGGGGACGTCAGCACATAGCAATGACCTTGGGAAGAGGAGTCTATTCCTGTCTGTCCCTGCCATAACATATCTAAGAAAAAAAAAAACATTTGTATTTCTACATACTCCCCCCTCCCTTGGCCAACCCCCTTGGGGCTCAATATCTCACTCATCACTTTTGCTGTGTTTGAGTTGTCAAGGATACTTCTTCTGGCCTCATTACAGCTTTTCATGCTGGGAACTGTGTCTTTGGGTGTGGTTTTTGATTGATTAAAAGTAGGTTAAAGTAATGAGGTAGATGGAGGCGCTTCTAAGGGCCTTCACGGCTCTGATGCTGATGGATGAGACATTTCAAAGGAACAGCTTGGAGAGCAGATGAATAATGTGGTTCTCCTGCTCCCTGTGGGCAGGGCCCTCATCCCTACATTCTCGGCTGCTCACTGCCCAAGCCCCAAGGCTATAAGTTTGTGGATTTTGAGGATCCACAAGTCAGGGACTGAAGTGCTGGAGTCCTTTGAGGGGGTGTACCCTGGGACCCAGCTGGACTTTTCCACCGAATGGCTGGGTTGACAGGGAACACATCTTCTCTTCTCCTGCTCAGAATTGTGCCCATGCTGTCTCCCTGACTAACCTTCCTCGGGCTCCTACCCTTTTGTAGTGTTCACTTCTGTATCTTTGTTCCTCCTGCTTGGAATGCCTCCTCCTTCAGGGACTGCATTTATTTTTCACTGTTGTGTCCTCAGAACCAAACACAGTGCCTGGCACATAGGTGCTCAAGTGTTTTTCTTTCTTTTTCTTTTTTATTTATTTATTTTTTTTTGAGATGGAGTCTCACTCTGTTGCCCAGGCTGGAGTGCAGTGGTGCAATCTCGGCTCACTGCAACCTCCATCTGCTGGGTTCAAGCAATTCTCCTGCCTCAGCCTCCCGAGCAGCTGGGACTACAGGTACGTGCCACCATGCCCGGGTATTTTTTTTTTTTTTTGTATTTTTAGTAGAGACAGGGTTTCACCATGTTTGCCAGGCTGGTCTTGAACTCCTGATCTCGTGATCTGCCCGCCTCGGCCTCCCAAAGTGCTGGGATTACAGGTGTGAGACACCGTGCCCGGCAAGTGTTTTTTGACTAACTGACTGACTAAATGGATGAATGAACAAGTTAATCCTTCCCCAGCTTCACAGAGTTGGTCACATAAGTGGGAAGTCAAAAAACCAACCACAGAAGACACTGAAGAGTGAAGGGCTGACCACTGTGGGGAGGAAGTGACTAGGGAAGTTCCGACTGCTGAGGTCACCCCATCCGTGAGGCCACTCCATCCATGGGACAAGTAAGTCATTTAATGGCTCTTGACACCAAGGTGTTCATTCGTGATAATAACCGCTGCCTGCCTCCTGTCCTTGAAGCTCTCTGGTGGGGGTCATGTAAGAACACTTTGCATACTGTTTTGTGCACATGTGAGAGGTTGCCACTGCTGAGGGCTGGCTCTTCCCACAGGTACCTCTTGCTGCCATCCTGGGGAATCTGGCCTTTCCTTAATTCTCACCTTCCTAGACATCTCTGGGAACCTTCCAGGGAAATATTCTTGTATCCTTGAGCAGCTCATGTGTACTTGAAGAATTTGTCTTCACCTTGTCTACAACTCCTAGGAGAAAGTGTCACTCTCCCCTCTCTCCATCTTGACTGGAACCCATGGGTCACACAGTTTTGAAGAAACTCCCTTTCCTCCCCAAGCTTTGAACTTCCTTACAGCTTTCTCTGGTGGGTCCCACTCCGTTGCTTCCCTGGCCATCTCCTACCAGACTGCAGGGACAGTGAGCTGCTCATCTGGACTTCTTGCCCTCTCTGATCTATTCATCTCCCAACAGCTGCCAAAGCGAAGGCCTGGCTGAGCCAAAAGAAACTGTATTCTTGAATTCCTGGGGAGGTCACGTGTGCAAGCTTTGATGTCCAAAGACTAGAGTTTGAATCCAGCAGTGTGCTCCCTTGCTCAGTGACCCCGGGTGGTCACTTAATGTTTCTGGGCATTGGTTTCTTCTTTTTATAAAACATGGTTAACAATGTCTACTGCACAGGTTTATAGTGAGGAATAACTTCAATGTTAATCACTTGTACAGTGCCTGCCACTTAGTAGGAGCTCAAAGAGGATTAGTGCACCTGTCTCTGGCACATGCTAGACATTTATCCAGAAACTTCCTATCTCTTAATTTTTTGTAAATAATGTGTACAGAGCCAGGGCCCACAGCAAATACAGTGAGCCTATAACATGGTGAGAATCAGCTCTGATGAACAAAAGAGGATAACTTGTGTTTGGATTCGTATATGCTTGTATGTGCTGCTAAAGGAATTGAGAACACTCAGTAAGGCCAAACATTTCCCTCACAAATGTGTTCACCAATGTACTTTCCCCAAATCATTTACAACCCCCTGCCCCAAGAGATTCCACATCAGTTCAGTGAGACTTTGCCACAGGTGAGTGGACTTCTGCAGACCTGGGATGGACCTGGCTTCCAGGAGGCTGCCTCCCCTGCCCTAGTCCCCATAAATGGGCTTATGTACAATGGTTTGGTCATCTCTACTCCCTGAAGTTTTTGAGTTATGGGGTTAGGGGTTCTACTAACTAAGTAGGTTTAGTTACTAAGTAGAATATTTGTGTGTTTATTTTCTTATTGCAAAGCATTGCCACCGGGGGCTTTGTAGCCATCAGTCCTTGCATGGAGTTTTCTTTTTTTTTTTCTTTCTTTTTTTTTTTTATTATACTTTAAGTTTTAGGGTACATGTGCACAACGTGCAGGTTTGTTACATATGTATACATGTGCCATGTTGGTTTGCTGCACCCATTAACTCGTCATTTACATTAGGTATATCTCCTAATACTATCCCTCCCCTCTCCCCCCACCCCACGACAGGCCCTGGTGTGTGATGTTCCTCTTCCTGTGTCCAAGCGTTCTCATTGTTCAATTCCCACCTATGAGTGAGAACACCTTGCATGTAGTTTTTGAGTAAAGAGGCATTTCACCAGATGGATATATGTCTGTTTCTCTGCTGGTCTCAGTTACACAAACTTGCACCTCACTGTCAGTCCATTCAGCTCTCACACCAGCAGGTCATTGCTGTAGAGACTGAAACAGCTGAAAAGTGCACACCTGTGGAAACCTGAAGAAACCTGGAGGAACCTGTGCGCACGTCGGTTCCTTTGGTGGGGTCTCCCCTGACCAAATCAAATAGGCTGAGAGGGAAAACAGAAAAGTCACTCCCAAGCCTCCAGCCCAGGCCCATATCCTGGCTTGAGACTAATGTTCCAGAAGTTTCCCTTTTTGCCAGTCTCAGTCATACATTCATCTGGTTCCTTCTGTCCCTCTAGGCTCCTGAGGCCATGCTGGAATCCTTTTAGGAATTCCAGACACCAGCTCCCAAACCCTGCACCTGCACCCTGCAGCCTCACAGCTGCAGTGGGATTGCTTTCTGAAGACGCTTTCATGAGGTTGAAGGTAAATGACTTCAGGCAGATGATTAGCCTAATTAAGCTTAATGCCTCCTGCAATTACCATGCTGGCTTTGAGGAGTGTCCCATTCCTCTCATTCAGCCTGAGGGCTGAGTAGAATCCTGATGAGGCAGGACAGGCCTCCCAGCAGGCCCGGCCCTGCCTCTGGCCTCATCCCTCTGACGGCCCCTCCCTGTGTCTGGTGGTGGGGGGGTGCGAGCCAGCTCAGGGCCCTGGGGAGCCTGACCTCCTCAAGTGCAGGCTTGGTGGTGACAGCCAGCTTCCTGCCTGCCTCACTTAGTGCCCAAGGAAGGGGGTTCAGAAACAGGGTGTTTCAGCCTTGGGGGAAGGACACAGCTCCCCAGACTTATTTGTTGAAAGGAGAAGGCGTTCCTTTAGCAATGAGATGCTCATGGTTCTCTGGAGTGCTAGAAGAGGCCTCACTGTCCCTACAAGGCTCTGTGACCATGATCGGGCACCCTCTGTCACCTCCACTGTGAAGTGGGAGGTGGGAGGTGGAGGGTGGTGAGGTCTCTAACCTCTACCGGGATCAGGCCTTGTTGGTGTTTCCCCTGCCCCCTTCCCAGGCCAGTGAAATGAGTACAGGGGAAAGCAGACGGTGTGGAAAATGAAGAAAGAAAGAAAACAAACAGCTTTGACTTATTGAGCCCTTGCTGGGTGCTAAATTCTTTGACATGAATTGTCTCATTTAATCCTCACAGTAACTCTGCGTGGTGGGTTCCGTTATTATGCCCTCTGTGCAGGTGAGAAAACAGAGGTTTAGCAAGCTTTAAGAAACCTCAGAGTCAACCCCAGCCCGTCTGAGTCCAGAATCTGTTCTTTCCATCCTTGTGGATGAGGCACAGGTAGATAATTAACTGCATGAACAAGTAAATGAAAAACAAAAACCAACGAAAAGCAGTCTGTACTTTACCCAGCCCAGGGCCAGCCTGGGCCAGGTGCTTGATAGGCATCTCTCTGTCTCCTTAATCCTCACAGACATCCTGTCGGGCAGGTATAAGTGCCCCATTTTATTAATGAGAAATTAAGTGCAGATAAATCGAGCCTTTCCTGAAAGAATAAGTGGAGAACCGGCCAGTCCTGGGGCACTGAGGGATGGGGAGGCCAGGGCTCAGAACACCTGTAGCCAACGGCTCCTTGCTCTTTTGATGGTTATTTCTTTGGCAGTTTTTGCCTCTGGTTCCCTATGAATAGTCTGTTTCAGTGGGTCCCACCCCAACCTTGTAGTTAACAGTTGAGATAACTGATGTTTGGGAAGAAGCTTTTTCCTACAATTGATACAAGGGTAACTCAGAGAGCTGGAGGGACTTTGACTAGAGGGGACTTTGAGGTCTTAAATTCAGCATTGCCTCAATCACAGGAGACCAAACTAGAATATTACGGAGTCATAAAAGGTCAGGTGTCCAAAGTCCACAGCAGCAGCCCAGTGTGGTGGTCAAGAGCATGGTCTTTGGAGTCAGACTGCCAGGCGTGAACTCCAGCTCTGCCACTTGCCTGCTCTGTGGTCCCTCAGCGTTTCCACCTGTAAGTGGGTAATAATAACACTCATCTCATAGGCCTGTGGGGAGTTGTGTGCTTATGAAGCACTTAAAACAGTTTCTGGTGCAGAGTAAGTGCTATGTAGGTGTTCTTGAAATATAAACATTGAATGTCATTGAAAAATGCTTTTAAGTAATTTTGGGTATAAACTGAGCTGCAAAACTATACACATTATGCTTCTAATTTTCTTTATATGTATGCACTTATATAATTTGTAATAATGGCTATCTATGTTATGGAATTTTGGATAATTTTTATTTATTTATAACATTCTCTATTTTCTACAAGGAGCAAGAATTACTTTATAATTTAAAAAATACAAAACAAAGACTTCTCTTTCATGCTGGCCTCCAGCCCCTATTCCCATTATGAGATTGGTTCTAAATGATGAGTACTGTATTCGTCTGAAAGGCTGGGAGGTCTCGTCTGGAAACATCCAAAGGATTTGCATCTTCTGAGTGTGAGGATGTGGCCAGGAGGGTTTGCATCATGCCTGTTTGACTGCCTTGTCCACAGTGAGGATGCTTGGGGAGAACCTCTGGGTGTGGTCTGCCTTTTCCAGGGTCTCATTTCTCCTGGGTTGTCTCCAGCTCCTGCAGAAATGCTGCAGGTATCCATAGAAACAATGGACACTCTTGATTTAGCTTACCTTAGGTACTTGCTTTTCAGAAATGAGAACATTTAACATCTTCTTCACTACCTCTACCACTGCCTGACTTTCTTGCTGGGAATTTGGCCATTCTGAAACACATATCTTTGGAAGTGGTAGTGAACTTGGAAATTGTCCTAAGTTTGGTACCATTGTAAAGTCTCTGACTGGGTGAGATATTTCTGCACTGTCTTGGATCCCGGGAAAATGTTTATTTATTACAGTACCAGATATGAGCAGAGAAATATCTGTGGTGCCACAGAAATTACAAGTTTTAGGGAGATGGACTTCTGGCTTGGGAAGGTATTGTCAAAGAGAAGCTTGCTGGTTGAAGCCAGCATTTTACATGTTACCTATTATTTTCCAATTTAAGATTCAGCTCAAGCAATGCATATTTGAACACCCCAAATGGGCTAGATTCTTTCCTAAGCAATGCCACTGCAGAGGACTGGGAGAACAATTTCAGCCCTAGGGGAAAGAAAAAAAAAATCTGGCCTTTCAGCAAAGGTGAACTGGCTAAAAAATCCTGAGACTGGATTTGCATTGACATGAAACTAAGTCAGGGCTGGGCCTGCTTCTGGACAGAGACCCAGTTATTTGGACTGGCTCCTGCTCTACCAGGCTTACCTTTTTCTTCCACATAAAATGTCTGCATTGTCAGGGAGGTGGTCTGGGTTGCAAGGCTATCTTGACAAGATAGGGGAGTATGTTAACTTGAGTCAAACCTGAAGTTAATTTGAGACCCCAGAAATGATAATAGTTTACTAGGATCTGATTTTTCAACATTTTATTTTAAATAGTTGAGAAGCATTGATCTGCTGATAAATTATATCACATTTTTAATCCTCTAAGTGGACAAATAACTCCACTATACATCTGCAGAGCACCACCAGGTCACAAAGTGACTGTGCTGTATCTATGGCAGGCTCTTTTCATCCTTGCTGCAGCCCTGTGAGCCAGCAGCATTGTCGGGTCTGTTTCACAGGTGAGAAACCAAGACTGGAGAAGGTTAAGTGGCTTGGCTACAGGTCCCTGTCTAATGAGTGGCAGACCCTGAACAAGCCCCCAGCTCCTTTGTCTCTGAAATACCCAGGATCCATTGTCATCCCTGGCACACAGGCTGTGCTTTCTTTCAGGGTCAGTGAAACTTGCCAGCAAGGGAGTTCCTTGGAAAAACAGCATCACTACTAGAGGTGTCTTTGTATCTGTGGCCTCTGAACAAATCTCCCCAACCATAAATAAGAGGTTTTCCAGGCCCAGCGAAGCTGCTTTGAACGTGTATTTGATTTGCTTTTATAGTTCAGAGGAGCAATAAAATGGCTAAAATCACCACTGTGGCAATGAATTAGAATTCCTTGCTGACGAAACCCCTAATTCTCTTCTGTTCCCTGCATACTCCCCTTCTTTACCGTGTGTCCTGCCTTGACTGCTTCTGGACTCATCTGACCCTCAAGAACTCTTACCCAGGGGACTTGGCCTAGACCTCAGGACCTCTCAGTGTCCACTGAGTTAACATATTTCCTCCTCCTTCTCATGCCCCATGGCTGCCCTTCCAAAGGCGCTGCCTCTGAGAAGCACAGATTTCTGAATTCACTGTATTCACTGGTTTGGTTTAGAAGGTTCTCCAGCCCCTTTCCTTCCCCTACATTCTTACACTGCTGCCCTTGAATTATCAATAGCAAAAATAGTGGACATCAAAGGTTGAATTTAATGATGACCTACTTATCAAGTTCCAAATAGATCTATAAATACAGCTGATCTCCAATCAAGGAGACCAACTCATTTCCATGCATGCATGCATGTGCCCATGCATACATCTATCCATGTGTGCACGCATTCATCCTTCATCTTCCTACTCATGGAATTTCAGCACCTGCTTGTGCCAGATGCTGTGTTAAGAGGTGAGGTATAACAGCGAGGAAGACCGTCCTGATTCTTACCTCTAGGAGGAGAGATCCTCCCAAACTTTACTCTAGAATGAGATGTGCTTCAATCAGAAAAGTGTAGGGTGCATGTTCTGTTGGTGATTGCCTTTAGAAGAAGAGCATGCATGCATCTCTGAGTGTATATGTTTTCCTGCTTCTATATGAAGTAAGCCAGCTGGAAATTGTATTAGGGAAAAAGAGAGAAATTTCTTTAGCTCAGGATTTCTTAGCAAATAGTGATTTGTTAGTTCCTAGTGGAAGCTCATCTTGGTGACTTCAACAGGGGCCCATTTTTACTTTGGTAGGTATGTAAATCAGGACTCACCAACAGTTGAAGTAGGAGGCAGAATTGGCTTATTTATGGGGCTGACATCAGGAGATTTGAGTTGTAGTTCCACTTCTGCCACTAACTTCTGTGGGATCTGAGGCAAGTCTCCTTACATTATTCTGCCTCTGTGTCTTCATTCTTAAAGTGGAGACTATACTTGTTTTCATAGTTCTTAAGAATATTATACAGATGTGAACATGTGTGTGAATTTTTAAATAAATGCAAGCAGTTGAAGAAATGTACTTGAGTGAGTCTTTTGATAAATGGTCCAAGCTCAGAGATGTGTTCACAGCTGTTAGGACCAGCACACTTGTTGCCTTAGTTAGAGTGACATACACCTGGTTTGCCCAGACAGTCCTGATTCATGCCCAAACTCCTGGCAAAAGTATTAAGACTGATCCTTTATATGCTCAAGACTATCTTGATTGGGAGGAGAAATCATATGGTTTTCTTCCTATAGAGGACATGAACTAAGCAGAAGACTAACCTCTGTCTCAGTGGCACGAGTTCTGTCATGTTTTAGGTTCATCAAATGATGGTGGTCAGAATGGGACCAGCACCAGCCTGAGATCAGTGCTTGAGTATGTATAGCTCAAGTTAGAAGTGAGCAGCTGCTGTTCTTTTCTCTCCATGAGCAATGACTCTGCAGTTAACCTAGCGTGTCTCCAGGTGAGCCAGCCAATGAGGTGGTCCCAGAAAGCTGGGTCCATTGGAGGAAGGGCAGATTTCTATGTGGGGCTGCGCCTGTCTTCTCCCCCTTCCAGCCATGGCTCTGCAGTTACAGGGCACATGCTGGAGCATGCAGGTCAGTCGTGCCTGGAGGTGCAGTAACTTGATGAGGTTGCTGCACCGTGGCCAAGACAATGACTGATAGAAGTGGCTAGGCTGAGCAGGAAATGGAGGGTGCCTTCTTCTGTCTCCATCCTCCCTCTTCTCCCAAGGCTGGCCAAGCTAGAGTGAGAGGAAATTAGTGAATTGTCACTGGTGCCTGAGGCCCCTGACATCTGTCAAATGTGAGAGGGATAGTGTGTGTCCTTTGCTGGACTTGCTGCTTCTTGGGGTGACCTGGGACATGACTTTAGATCTTAATTGGAGGAAAGAGCATGAAGGTGTCTTGTCTTGGCCCTTTATCTATGGATATCTGCCATGTTGGGCTCCTATTTGGAAACAACAGCTGGCACTTTGGACGCTGAGCTTCAATTGGCATGACCTGATATTTCCTGGAGGTGGAAGGGGCATGGGTCTTAAAGTCCTAATGTCCGAGTTACAAGTTTGGCTCACCACTGACCCACTCTGTGGCTTTGGGCTAGTTGTGCTTCTTCCCCAAACTTGTTTTTCCATCTCTAACTTGGGATTAATTTTTACCCCAGTGATCTCATACCACCTCATCTATCCCTCACTCAGGAGGTTAAGGAGCTTTGTGAACTCACAAGGTTACTTTATTTACTCACTGAGTATACACTGAGCACCTGTCATGTGGCAGCATGTGGAGGGTGCCAGGAATACAACTGACTGAGACAATCATAGCCTTGGCCCTCATGGAGCTGCTGTTTCATGAGAAGAGATTAATGATGAACGACTAAATAAACCGGCAAATAAAATAGATCCCACTTTAAATAGTATGAAGAAAACATACAAGTTCTGAGATACATACAGGTGCCTGAGTGAGGGAAGGGGTACTGTTCAGATGAGGTGATTGGAGAAGCCTCATCTCCGAGGGTGACTTTTATACAGAGACCTGAACATGACCAGACAGCTGTGTAGAGTTGCAGAACCATATTCCAGACAGAAGGACGCAGAATGAGTTCCATTGACATCTCTGGCAGGTGGTTTACAAATCTTCCTTACAAGGATCATGGGAAGTAACCTGAGACCACTGGGTTACAGATTAACCCATGTCTAAGATAGGTAAGTGGAAAAAGCAAAGCACAGAACAAGCTGCATAACTTATTATCATCTATATAAAAAGAGAATACGTGTACATTCATATATGCTTGTATATTTGCAGATATCTCTAGAAGGATATACCAGAAATTAGTGGTTATAGGTAAAAAGGGAGTCTTGGGGCCTATGGTGAAAAAGAGACTCACTTTTAATTGCACATCTATTTTTACTGTTTGATTTTTTAAACCACGTGCATATGCTACTTTAGAATAAGCTCACTTTTATAAAAATATGTATACTTATTTAAAGTAAATGTTTGTAGGCCATTTGGTAGCAAAAGCAAGACAGGTATATGGGAACATGGGTGTGTGTGGAATTTCCCAGGTGCCAGGAAAACAAGCCAGGTCTGGAACTGAGCAGTGCCTGGGGCCAGCTCCAGCATGGAGAGCCCAGGAAAGGGGGGCACGGTGACCCTAGGCATCCATCCACACATGCACAGACATATTTCCGTGGCCTTTCTTCTCACTACACCTGACGGGGGTGCCCATCTCCCCTCTCTTGTACTTCTGCTTAAACTCAATAAATGTGTTTATTTGGGCTTGAAAAATCACAGCCCCAACCCTCACATATGTGCTGACTTTTAATATAATTATTTATGTGCACATTCGATTTTTTTTGCAGGATTAACCCCTAGGGCTCCTGCCACAGAGCCTCATGCCTCATGTAGTATTTAATATGTGGAACATATATAACAAATATTTACTTGCCCTGATAGGTTATTTATTTTTCCCTTTCCATGTCCTTTCCAGGGTAGTGAAGACATTGACAGCAATAATTTCATCAGATATTAGGATGAAAACTTCTAGTAAGTTTATAGAAAGCCAATTGAATTATTGTGGAATGAGGTGTTGAGGTTAATTTAATCTTCAATTTTACTGTCTGGTTTACTCCCTTTCTGTTGTTGAACTTCCAAAAGCATGATTATGTTTACTTTCCTGCCTAAAACTTCAGTACTTGGAATCCTCTCCTCTCCAGAACAGAGCTGACAACCACTGAATAAAGGGAAAAGTTTAGTGAGCAGGTAAAATCATCCAAAGTTTACCATATAATAAGACTTTAATCTTACTCATATAGAAAATGCTTTCTCAGAGCTTATTCTCACTTTATACATAACTTTAGTGAGTAGAATTTTCTAATTTAGAGGAATAAGCAGATACTTTGACATTAGCAAGACATGACAGCCTAATAACATAGAAAAGACTTACAAAGCGCAGAAACTCAATTTCAAAAAACATAGTGTTGAGGGATGGATTAATAAAGGTGGGAGTGTTCCATGTGTCTGGAAACATTACAGTAATAGTTGTACAATCAATGATTCTGAATCTTCAATGTAAATTATGTTCTAAATCTGTTTAAAGAAGACAGAAGCCAAGCAACAAATTTTAGAAAGATGTTTTAAAATTAGAAATGGTTAAAAATTGTAAATGCTACGGTGCAAAGAATGTTTTCTTAACACTTGTCAGGCCGGGGTGCGGTGACTTGTGCCTGTAATCCCAGCACTTCGGGAGACTGAGGTGGGCAGACCACTTGAGGCCAGGAGTTCAAGACCAGCCTGGCCAACATGGCGAAACCTTGTTTCTACTAAAAATACAAAAACAAAATTAGCTGGTCTTGGTGGTGTGCGCTTGTAGTCCCAGCTACTCAGGAGGCTGAGGCGGGAGAATGGAGCTTGCAGCGAGCTGAGATTGTGCCACTGCACTCCAGACTCGGTGACAGAGCGAGACTCCATCTCAAAAAAAAAAAAAAAAAAAAAAAAAAAAAAAGAAAAAGAAAAGAAAAGAAAAAAAAGAAAAAAAAATAAGCTGGGTATGGTGGCATGCACCAATAATCCCAGCTACTAGGGAGGCTGAGGCATGAGAATCGTTTGCACCTGGGAGGTGGAGGTTGCAGTGAGCTGAGACTGCACCTCTGCACGCCCACCTGGGTGACAGTGTGAGACTCTGTCTCAAAAAGACACAAACAAACAACCTCACTTGTCTATACTAACAACCAACATTGTAGAAAATAGGGAAAGAATAGAGATATTCCTATTAAAAGCAACAATGTGATAAGAATGTTCCCCCTTATTCCAACCTCTGCTACTTAATATGATTTCATGCAATAAGGCATGGAACCCAACAAAAGACACAGCTGTTGAAAAGAAACGGAATTGTCATTATTTAAAAATTATGTAGTTGCCTTCCAAGAAAACTTAAGAACATTGATAGAAATGTTATTAGCATTAATAAGAGAGTTCATTAAGGTGCCCAGGCAACATGAACGGTTTATATGCTGTGGCTTTCCTATGTATCAATATTAGCCACTTGAAAATGCTATAATACAAAATATTTCATTTTAATTGTCTAACATATAAAATACCTAAAATAAGCAGAATAAAAAATAAGTTGGACAAATTTTAAAAATTACAAAACATTGCTGAAAGTCATTAAAGATTATTTGAATTGGTGGAAAAGAATACCATGTTTATGAATTGGAAGACTGCATATTTTCTAATTGATGCCTACTATTTTACATATTTATGGGGTACATGTGATACTTTGCTGAATGCATAGAATGTATAATGATCAAATCAGTGTTGTTGGGGTATCTATCGTCTTGAGGATTTATCATTTCTGTGTGTTGGGAACATTTCAAGTTCTCTTTTCCAGTTACTTTGAACCATACAATTTATTGTTCTTAACTTTGCTACTGAACATTAGAACTTATAACTTCTATCTATCTGTATCGTCTGTCCCCATTGACCCACCTCTTTTCATCTCTCCACCCCTGCCCTGCCACGTACACACCCTTCCCAGCCTCTGGTATCTATCATTCTACTCTCTATCTCCAGGAGATCAACATATTTAGCTCCCACGTATGAGTAAGAACAATGTGAAATTTGTCTTTCTGTGTCTGCCTTATTTCACTTAACATGATGACCCCCAGTTCCACCCATGTTGCTGCAACTTATAGGATTTCATTCTTTTGTGTAGCTGAATAGTATTCCATCTTCTTCATGCATTTGTGGTTTATGCATATGTGGTTTAGTATACCACGTTTTCTTTATGCATTTGTCCATTGATGGACCTTAGATTGATTCCATATCTTGGTATTTGTGAATACTGCTGCAATAAACATGTGAGCACATATATCCCTTTGATATACTGATTTCTTTTCCTTTGTATGAATATCCAGTAGTTGGATTGCTGAATTATATGGAAGTTTTATTTTTAGTTTTTTGAGAAATCTTCATACTGCTTTCTATAGTGCCTGTACTAACTAATTTATGTTCCTACCAACAGTGTATGAGTACCGTTTTTTCCATATCCTCACCAGCATCTGTTATTTTTTGTCTTCTTAATGATAGCCATTCTAACTGGTCTAAGATCATATCTCATTGTGGTTTGACTTGCATTTCCCTGGTGATTAGTGATGCTGATCATTTTTTCATATACCTGTTGTCTATTTGTATTTTTTTGAGAAACGTCTATTTAAGTCCTTTGCCCACTTTTTAATGAAAATATTTTTTGTTTGCTTGTTTTTTAATGCTGAGTTGTTTGAGTTTCTTGTATATTGTAGACATTAGTCCTTTATTGGATGAATACTTTGCAAATATTTTATCCCATTTTAACAGAGTGCCTCTTCACTCTGTTGGTTGTTTACTGTGCAGAAGCTTTTAAGTTTATTATAATTTCATTTGTCTATTTTTGTTTTTGTTGCCTGTGGTTTTGCAGTCTTAGCTATAAAATCTTTGCCTAGGGCCAAAGTCCTGAAGTGTTTTCCCTATGTTTTCTTCCAGTGGTATTATAGTTTCAGGTCTATATTTAAGTCTTTACTTAATCTTGAGTTGATTTTTGTACATGGTGAGAGAGGGGTCCACTTTCATTCTTCTGAATATCCAGTCTATGGATCTATGGATATCCACTCTTCTCAGCACCATTTACTAAGGAGGGTATCCTTTCCCCAGTGTATGCCCTTGGCACCTTTGTTGAAAATCAGTTGACTGTAAATACATGGGTTTATTTTTGGATTCTCAATTCTGTTCCATTGGTCTATGTGTCTGTTTTTACACCAACCCCATGCTATTTTGGTTACTGTAGCCTTGTAATATATTTTGAAGTTAGGTGGTGTGATGCCTCCAGATTTGTTTCTTTTGTTCCAGAATTCTTTGGCTATTCAGGCTCTTTTATGATTCCATATGAATTTTAGGATTGTTTTTTCTATTTATGTGAAAAATGACATTGTTATTTTGATGGTGATTGCATTGAATCTGTAGATTGCTTTCGGCAGAATGGTCATATTAATAATATTAATTCTTCTAATTCATGAGCCTGGGATGTCTTTCCATTTGTTGTGTCCTCTTCAATTTCTTTCACCAGTGTTTTGTAGTTTTCCTTGTGGAGATCTTTTACCTCTTTGGTTAATTTTATTTGTAGGTATTTTATTTTTTGTAGCTATTGAAAATAGGATTGTCTTCTTGATTTCTTTCTTAGCTAGTTCCTTGAAACACTACTGATTTTTGTATATTGATTTGTTACTCTACAACATTACTGAATTTATCAGACTTAAGAGTTTTTGGTGAGTCTTTTCTAGATATAATATCATATTATATGCAAACAAGGACAATTTGACTTTCTCCTTTCCAGTTTGGATGTCTTTTATTTCTTTCTCTTGCCTGGTTGCTCTAGCTAGGACTACCAGTACTGTGTTGAATACGAGTGGCAAAAATGGGCATCCTTGTCCTTCCCCCAATTCAGTATGCTCTTAGCTGTGGGTTTCTCATATATGACCTTTATTATGTTGAGTTATGTTCCTTCAAATGCTTAATTTGTTGATAGTTTTATCCATGAAGGGATGTTGAATTTTATTAAATTATTTTCCTTCACCTATTGAAATGATCATATGTTTTTTTCCCTTTTATTCTGTTCATGTGATTTACCACATGTTTGATTTTGTATATTGAATTATCCTTGAATCCCTGGGATAAATCCCACTTGATCACGGTTGATATGGTTTGGATTCGTGCCCTTGCCCAAATCTCATGTCAAATTGTAATCCTTAGTGTTGTAGGAGGGCCCTGGTGTGAGATGATTGGAACATGGGACCAGATTTCACCCTTTCTGTTCTCGTGATAGTGAGTTCTCATGAGATCTGGTTGTTTAAAAGTGTGTAGCACCTCCCCCTTTTGTCTCTTCCTCCTGCTTCAGCCATGTAAGACGTGCCTGCTTTCTCTTCACCCTCTGCCATGATTGTAAGTTTCCTGAGACCTCCCAAGCCATGCTTCCTGTGCAGCCTGAAGAACTGTGAGCCAACTAAACCTCTTTTCTTTATAAATTACCCAGTCTCAGTTATTTCTTTATAGCAGTATTAGAACAAACTAATATAGAAAATTGGTACTGAGAAATAGGGCATTGCTATAAAGACACCTGAAAATGTGGAAGCAACTTTGGAACTGGGTAATGGTTGGAACACTTTGGAGGGCTCAGAAGAAAATAGGAAGATGAGGGAAAGTTTGGAACCTCCCAGAGACTTGTTAAATGGTTGTGAACAAAATGCTGATAGTGATATGGACAGTGAACACCGGGCTGATTAGGTCTCAGATACAGGTGAGGAACTTAATGGGAACTGGAGCAAAGGTCACTTTTGTTATGTGTTAACAAAGAGGTTGGTGGCATTGTGCTCCTTCTCTAAGAATCTGTGTAACTTTTAACTTGAGAATGATGATTTAGGGTGTCTGGTAGAAGAAATTTCTAAGCAGCAAAGCATTTAAGATATGGCCTGGCTACTTCTAATACCATATGCTCACATAAATGAGCAAAGAAATGACCTGAAACCAGAACTTACATATTTAAAAGGGAAGCAGAGGGTAAAAGTTTTGGAAAATTTGCAGCCCGGCCGTATGGTAGAGAAGAAAAACCCATTTTCTGGGGAGGAATTCAAGCCAGCTGCATAGTTTGCATAACTGAAGTTTGCATAACTGAAGTTTGCATAACTGAAAGGAAAGCAAGTATTAACAGCCAAGACAATGGGAAAAAGTCCCTGAAGGCATTTCAGAGACCTTTGAGGCAGCCCCTCTCATCCCAGGCCAAGAAGCTTAGGAGGGAAGTGTGGTTTTATGGGCCTGCCACAGGGCCCTGCTGCCATATGCAGCCTTGGGGCACTGCTGCCTGCATCTCAGCTGCTCCAGCTTCAGCCATGGCTCAAAGGGTCCCAGGTACATGGGCTGCTGCTTCAGAAGGTGCAAACCATAAGCCTTGGAGGCTTCATCTTGGTGTTAAGCCTGTGGGTGCACAGTGCAAGAGTTGAGACTTGGGAGCCTCTGCCTAGATTTCTGAAGATGTATGGAAAAGCCTAAATGTCCAGGCAGAAGACTGTCGCAGGGGCAGAGCCCTCATGGAGTACCTCTACTAAGGCAATGCAGAGGGGAAATATGGGGTTGGAGCTCCCACATGGAGTTTCCATTGGGGGACTACCTAGTGGGGCTGTGAAAGGAGTTTCACCGCCCTCCAGACCCCAGAATGGAAGCCACACTGACAGCTTGTACCGTGCACCTGGAAAAGCTGCAGACACTCAGTGCCAGCTCTTGAGAGCAGCCATGGACACTGAGCCCTGCAGAACCACAGGAACAGAGCTGCCCAAGGCCTTGGGAAAATACTCCTTGCATCAGTGTAGCCTGGATGTGAGACATGGAGTCAAAGGAGATTATTTTGGAGCTTTAAGATTTAATGACTGCCCTGGTGTGTTTCAAACTTGCATGTTTCAAACTGTAGCCCCTTTCTTTTGGCTGATTTCTCCCTTTTGGAATGGGAGCACTTACCCAATGCTTGTACCACCATTGTATCTTGGAAGTAACTAACTTGTTTTTGATTTTACAGGCTCATAGACAGAAGGGACTTGCCTTGTCTCAGATGAGACTTTGGACTGTGGAATTTTGAATTAATGCTGAAATGATTCAAGACTTGGAGAACTGTTGAAAAGGGATTATTGTATTTTGCAATGTGAGGAGAACATGAGATTTGGGAGGGGTCAGAGTGGAATGATATGGTTTGGATTTGTGGGAGAACGAACTAATACAATAGTATATTACTTTTTTGATGTGCTGTTGGATTTGGTTTGCTAGTATTTTGTTAAGAAGTTTTATTTCTATGTTCATCAGGGATATGACCTGTAGTTTACTTTTTTGTTGTGTCCTTATCTGGTTTTGGTATCAGGGTAATGTTGGCCTCATAGAATGAGTTAGGAAGAATTTCCTCTTTTTTAATTTTTTGGAATAGTTAGAGGATAATTGGTGTTATTTCTTCTTTGAAAATTTGGTAGAATTAATCAATAAAGGCATCCAATCCTAAACTATTCTTTGTTGGGAGACATTTTATTACTGATTGAATCTCATTATTCATTACTGGTCTGTTCAGGTTTTCTATTTCTTTCAGATTCAATCTTGGTAGGCAGTGTGTGTCAAGGAATGTATCCATTTCCTCTAGGTATTCTAGTTTGTCAATATATAGTTGTTCATAATATTCTCTGATGATCTTTTGTATTTATGTGGTATGAGTTGTAATGTCTCCTTTCTATTTCAGATTTTGTATATTGGGGTCTTCTCTTTTCTTCTAGGTTACTGTAGCAAGTGATATATCAATTTTGTTTATTTGTTTTTAATAAAATGACTTTTTATTTCATTTATTCTTTGTATTTTTTAGTCTCTATTTTGTTCAGTTCTGCTCTTATCTTTATTATTTCTTTTCTTCTACTAATTCTCGGTTTGGTTTTATCTTCCATTTTTGGTTAGTTGAGGTTTACCATTAGATTATTTGAAATCTTTCTACTTTTTTGAGGTACTCATCTATTGCTGTAAACTTCCCTGTTAGCACTGCTTTTGCTATATCCTGTAGGTTTTAGTATGTTGTATTTTGACTTTCATTTGTTTCAACAGTTTTTTTTTAAATTTTCTCTTTAATTTCTTCCTTGACCCAGTGGTCATTCAGGGGCATGCTGTTTAATTTTAATGTATTTGTACAGTTTCCAAAGTTCCTCTTGTCACTGATTTCCACTGTGGTCTGAAAAGATACTTGATATGATTTTGGTTTTAAAAAAAGTTTTTTGAGACTTGTTTTGTGCCCTAACGTATGATTTATTATCTAGAATGTTCTGTGTGCTGATGAGGAGAATGTTCTTTAAATTTCTCTTGGCTCCATTTGGTCTAATATGCAGTTTAAGTTTGATGTTTCTTTGCTAGTTTTCTGTCTAGATGATGTGTTTAATGCTTAGAGTGGGATTTGTCGCCCAAGTATTATTGTATTGAAGTCTGTCTATCCCTTTAGATCTAATAATTTTTGCTTCAAATATCTGTGTGCCCCAGTGTTGAGTGGATATATATTTAGAATTGCTATATCCTCTTACTGAATTTATCCCTTTATCATACAATGACCTTCTTTGTCTATTTTTACTGTTTTTGACTTAAAGTCTGTTTTATCTGATATAAGTATAGCTATTCCTACTTACTTTTGGTTTCTATTTGCATTGAATATCTTATTCCATTCCCTTATTTTCAGTCTATCTGTGTCCTTATAGGTGAGAAGAGTTTTTAGCAGGCAGAAAATAGGTGGATCATTTTTTTTTATATTTCAGCCAATCTCTATCTTTTAAGTGTAAAGCTAATCTGCTTACATTCAAGGTTATTTTTGATATGTGAGGGCTTATTCCTGTTATTTAAAAAGTTGATTTCTGGTTGTTTTGTATGTCCTTTGTTCCTTTCTTTCTCTCTTATTGTTTATCATTGTGGTTTGATGGTGTTCTGTAGTGTTTACATTTAAGTTTTTTCTTTTCTTTGTTTGTATGTTGTATTTGCTCTACCAGTGGTTTTTATGTTTTCATGATGGTAGTTATTGTTCTTTCTCCTCTGGGTGTAGGACTCTTTCAAGCATTTCTTGTAGAGCTGGTCCAGTGGTGATGAATTTCCTCAGCATTTGCTTGTCTGGGAAAGACTTAATCTCTCCTTCATTTATGAAGGAAAATTTTTCTGGGTATAGTATACTTGAGTTGTAGTTTCTTTCTTTTAGCACTTTGAATATATTATATCATTCTCTCCTGGCCTGTAAGGTTTCTTCTGAGAAATCTTCTGTTAGTCTGATAGGGGTTCATTGATAGATGACTAGATGCCTTTCTCTTTTTTTTTTTTAGAATTTCTCTGTCTTTGATTTTCAACAGTTTCACTAAAATATGCCATGGTAAAAACCTTTTTGAATTTTGTTTATTTTAGGGAAATCTGAACTTCCTGTATCTGGATGACTAAATCTCTGGCTAGACTTGAGATATTTTCATCTTTTGCTTTATTTAACAAATTTTATAACTCTTTTGTTTTCTTTTCACCTTCTGGGACACCAAAACTATGAATATTTGGTCACTTTATGATGTTTTATGTGTCACAAACACTTTGTTCCTCATTCTTTTAAAATTCTTTTTCTTTTAAAATTTTTGTTTGACTGGATTATTTTAAAACACCTGTCTTCATGTTCTGAGTTTCTTTCTTCTGTTTGATCTAATCTGTTATCAAAGCTTTCAAATGTATTTTGTATTTCATTTAGTGAATCCTTCAGTTCCAGAATTTCTATTTGGTTCTTTTTTTGTGATATCTAGCTTTTTGGTAAATTTCTCTTTCATACCTTATTTTTCTGAATTATCTTGTATCTCACTGAACTTCTTTAGTAACATTATTTTGAATTCTTTAGCTGGGATTTCATAAATTTCTTTTTGATTGGAATCTGTTGGTGGAGAGTTGTGGTGGTTCTTTTGGCAGTATTGTGTTTCCTTTCTTTTTCATGTTTCTTGTGCCCTTATGTTGATATCTGCAGATATGGTGACATGGTGTCACAGTCACTTCTTCCAATGTTTTGAATTTGCTTTCATAGGGGACAACTGTTTCCTGAAGATGCATCTATGCTGTTCATTGGGTAGCGTACTTTGGCTTTGATTCTGGGTGTGTTCAATACTGTAGTCTGTATGTGATTTATTAGCTGTAAACAGTGTCAGTGGTGTCTATGATTTTCTTGGTGGCTTGGGGTATGGTTGTTAGGGGAGGCTATGGTGAAGATTTTTTGAGGGACTGGGATGCCAAGTGGGCCATACTTTGGGGACCTGAGGTGGTATCATTTGGCTGAGTATGCCTGTCCTTGGGTCCCACAATGATGTTCACTGGATTTGATGTTAGTCCAGGCAGGCCCATTCTTGGGCCTCCAGGTGGCTTGCTTGGGTGCCAGAAATGGCAACAGAAGTAGGTTGGGCAGGTAGGTGGGCTCTTGTGCCCCTGGGCAGCAGGAGTGGCATGAGCGATGGCAATAGCAGTGGTCAGACAACCTTCTGGGACCCCAGCAGTCCATGTTTATATTGGCATAGTTCTGACAGCTTGGACAGGTAGGTCCCCAGAGCCACAGGTGATGCATGTGGGTGGCTGCCCACTATGTTGGTGGCAGTAGGTTGATTGGACCTGACTTCAGACCCCAGGAGAAGTCCTCAGATGTCACTGGTGGTGGGCTAGGCTGGGCAATCCCCAGACCCCTGGATGGTATGCTTGGGTGTCATGGGGATGGAGCTGAGCTGGGCAGACCTTCCTTCGGGCCACCCAGTGGTATATATGGGTGCTGACTTCAGTAGTCAGGGGCAGGGTGATCCCCAGGCTATAAGCATGCACAGGTAGGGCAGCAGTGTCCGTGTTTAGTCCTAGTCCTGCTACTGGGGAGAGCAGGGTTGCTTTTTCTGGAAGCACCCAAGATTGGAAGCTTTCATAGGGGGTTGCAATCTTTACTCATACTTCAGCCCCGCAGCAGACTGCAGGTGGTAATTGCAGGCAGGGGAATTTGTCCTTGGGACATGAGAAAATGCATGGCCACTCCTCTGCTTGGGGAGTGGGGTTGTTGCTCCTGACTCTCACCTCAGCCCAGTGGCAGGACAGGACACAGTCTAGTGGGAGCTAGGCTCTTAAAATGGCATTGTGCTGCAGCTGCTTCGAACTCCAAGGTGTGTGAAAATCAGTGTGAGCTCCCTCTCTAGAGCAATGCAGTCTCCAGGGTGCTCCAAATGTCATACTTGGGGCTGCGAGAGTTGAGGGGCTCTCCCATGGCTAGGATTGTAGATGTGTAGTGGGAATCTGGACTGCTGGAGATCTCTCTCTTACCCCTTCCCCGCGTTAGGGAGCCTCTCCAGACTCATGGCAAATCCCAGCTAAGCAGGCTACCTCCCTTCCTTCTCCTTCCAGATGATCTATTCAAAGTTTGATTATCTACATGCTATTTTGGTTCCTCTTTGTGTAAGATGCATCTAGTCAGCCATCTTGAAGCCCCTTCTAGGACTGAGTATTTTGAATGTATGTGACAAACAGGGCTGCATGCTGCCAAGAGGAAAAGTGCTATAGTTAACTGGATCCAAGTGCCAGCTTTACTACTTACTGGATGTGTAATCTTGGTTAAATTGCTAAATATCTCTGGGCCTCAACTTTCCCATCTACAAGGTTTCTGTGAGTTAATATGTGTGAAGGGCCTAGAGCAGTACCTGCTACATGGAAATGGCTCAGTAGATAGTAGCTGTCATTTTGATACTAATTTTTCTAAATTATGTTTTCAGTTTATGGGAATATCAAACAAAATTCTAAAAGGATTTTTGGGAGAAATGTTACAAAGGTTATCTAGTAATTAACAAATTGGTAAGAATGGTCAAGAAAATTTTGAAAAATAAGAGTTGTAGGAGTATTTCTATGTCCAGATATGTGTATTCCAAGGCCTTAATAATAATAAAATAATAGTTCTGGCACAAAAATTGAAAGACAAATCAATGGAATAGAATAAAGCTTAAGAACAGACTCAAGTGGGATATAGGAATGTAGTTTATTATTCAGCATTTTACAGCAATTGGTAAGGAAGGGTTATTTGATAAATATACTAAGGCAATTCATCCACTACTAAAAAAAAAAATTAGGTTCTTTCACTATATCGGTGTTTTTCAAAGGTGTTTACAGGCATCAGAATTCCTGGGAGCACTTATTAAAATTTAGGTTCCCAAGCTCCACCCCAGAGTACAGAGTAGAGAATCTAGTTCTCATTAAAGTGTGAGAACTGCTGTCATATACCATATATTAAAATACATTCCAGGTGAATTAAGGAATAAATGTCAAAATTACCACCTTAAAGCCAGAAGACAATATAAAGGAATATTTACATTATCTTTCATGTTTATATAAGATCTTGTATAGTTCAATAAGAAAAATATAAAAGCATGATAGAAAAAAGGGCAAAGGACATAAATAACCAA
The DNA here is from genome assembly GCF_000001405.40 of Homo sapiens. Taxonomy (NCBI): domain Eukaryota; kingdom Metazoa; phylum Chordata; class Mammalia; order Primates; family Hominidae; genus Homo; species Homo sapiens. Next base: position 135,622,041 of record NC_000005.10, read on the forward strand.
ACCATAAAAGAAGAACGGAGAAGGCCAAGAAGCATATGGAAAAATGCCAGACTTCACTGACAGTCAAAAAATGCACAATAAAACAATATATCATTTTTCATATTTCCAGAGGAAAAGTACTTGAAGAATTAGAAGATCCAGTGATACTGAGGACAGAGTGAAGTGGGCACTTTGATATTCAGGGGATGGGTGGGTACTTTGAACAAACTTTCTGAAATGCTTATATCAAGAGCCTGAAAAATATTTATACTTATGGACCAGTCCATTCATCTTCTCTAAATTTATCCTGAAGAAGAATCAGAGATTCACATATAGACTTATATACCTGTGCAGATATTTGTTGTAGCATTATTTTAATAGAAAAAATTGGAAACAGCTGAAATGTCCAACAATATGGTAATAGTTAACTAAATCATGGCCCATCCATATGATGAATACTCTGTGGTCATTAGAAATCATGTTTTTGAAGAATCCTGTCATTAAATGACATGAGAAAATGCTCATAATGTATTAAGTGAAAACACCAGGATATAAGCTATATATAGCATGATTCATTTTTTTAATTAAAAATAATCAGAGACATAGAGAAAAGATGGAAAGAAGAAAAAATGTATATCATATGTTAATGGTGTTTACATCAGGATGATTAGATTTGAGCAATTTTATGTTCTTTACACATTTTTTATTTTCCAATTTTGTGCGATGTACATGTATTACATTTGTAATGATAACATGTTAATTAAAAGATAATAAAACAGATGAGACTGGCCAAGAGATTCTGAAATAAATGTTACTTTAAAATGGTAATAATAAAAAGACTGTGTTTCTGGATTTAATAGATCAGTGAAGCTGAATGGCTACGTTAGAATCTGATTATGTGAGGAGCAGGGGCCATGAGGATGGATGGGCAGGATGAGGGCTGAATATGCGGGGGCTTGGAGGGCACCAGAGCTTCTCAGAGCAGCTGAAACCCCTTCTGAGTCAACCTGCACTGCAGACTCCCCTCCACTGGGCGCAAATGAAATCTGTATGCTAAGGCACCTCTCCATCCTGTTAGCTACCTATAAACATGCTGCTCCAGCAAAGGGGGATGGTGCATGGACATCCCTTCTTGGTTTGTTGCTTTGAAAGGAAGAATTTTAGTATAAAGACTCTAGTATGAGACTTTTAGCATAAAGAGTTTGCTCTTGGGAAGCCCTGAGGTTGCTGATACAATTCCCTGGCTAAGCTTTGTCTCCTCTTAACTCCCCATTTTAGTGCCTTACCTAGCTCCAGGATCCTGGTTGCTCACTGGCCAAGACAGCTGGTGGGGAATTCTGAAGACAGGTGTTTCCCCATCGGCATGGTGCTCAAGGCTCTTGGCCATTCCAAATGGATGATAGCATCTGCCTGAGGATACCAACATGTCTGGGGAAGGTTGGTCTCAGTCAGGTTTGGGAAAGCAGTGGAAGGCTCAGGGGTGTTGGAGCCATATAAATTGGGTATGGACTCCTCTTGTTGTTCAAACATGAAGGCTCCACCTGACCTCAGGCTTGTCCCTTCACTTCAGTAGTCTGAGCCTCAGGCTGCCCTTCTATAAACACGTTCCCCATTGGTAATAGTACCTTAAAGGGCCATGTGAGGCTTAAATAAGCAAATGTATGCAAGTGTTTATCCCAGCCTTACACAGAGGAGACACCCAGGAAATCATGTTTATCATGATTGTGGCCTTTCTGTTCTCCCTAACCTTGCAGAAATTTAGCTATCACTCAACAGTGTGTGGTGCCAGGTGCTGTACAAAATATGCCTGACCTGTGCAGCAAGACTTCTGAGAACACAGGTTGTCATCATTATTACTGCTGCTGCTGTTGCTATGGCCTCTGTCCCCCCGGGTACCTCATGAGGAATGGCAAGGCTCTCCAGCCTCACCTTCACAGAGCTTACAGCTCTTGGATCTCTGTAAGAAAGGGCTCCCTGTGCTGCTTCTCTTGTCAGTAGGAGAGGCTCTGGGGATGGAAATCACGGGTGGGAGCGGGGGGTTGGTGTGGTTGTTCCATGAAATGAGCACAAAGCCTGGTTTGCCTTTCTGTCTTCAGCCTTCTAGTGTTTGCAGCTTCTGATCACCGTTACCTCCTTAGCTGGGTGCTTGAGAGTTGTTGGGCAGGGTGGATGAGGCATCCTGAGAACCTGGGAACCATAGCGCAGTGATGGGGTGGGGCACAGTGTTGACATTTCCGTCCCAGAGCATCTAGAGGCAGGCGAGCAAACCGGGGCTACCCACAAGTGGGACATGCAGGACCTAATGGAGAGGCAAAAATATTTTAGGTTCTATACAAACTTAGAAATGTCAATTGTTTTGTGTTTGGGTTAGTGGATGTTAAGAAAAATAAAATGCATTGAATGAGTAAAACTAAGTAAAAGAGAGTCATTTTCATGTTAATATGGAAAATAAATATAAAATAAATAATAGTGTAGATGGTAAATAGATGATGGCAGAAAAATTGCAACAATGGTGTGAGAATGACTGTTTGGCAAATGCTGTTCCAAGGGAACTGGGATTCTATGCCTGCCTCTTGTAAAATGAATATGCCTTCCTGATTTGTCTGTTTTTATGGGTCTTCTTAAATGAGTACTGGCAAGGTGGGGAACCCCTTAAATTAGTCCAAACCCAGAGGAACTTTATCAAAAGTTGGTGCTTGTTTGAAGCGCGTTTGAGTCTGTAGATACATAGAAAAGACAGTGATTGTTTTTGGCTGGTGTGGCTGGCTTGGCATTTTCTTGGCTGGATCAGACGATGGAGAAGTTTGCTTTTATGTCTATGGCCAACAGATCCGATTTGTGGAACACTGTCGATCCCAATCTGGTGACAAAGCATTGCTAATACAATGAAGTGATGTGGTTTCCTTCTCTGTATGTGAACTGAGTTGTGGAATATCACTGTGCCAGGCCCAGGGCTGGCAACATATTCTGATCCCTGTCCTTGTGGGGCTCTCTGTCACAGGGGAGAAGGATGAGCCATGTGCTCAGAGGTCCTCACTGTCTTTTTTTCAAGACAAGGGCCATAGCAGCCATGGCAATCAGAAGAAGGAGCGGTTTCCCTGATTTGGGGAAGGGTGCAGCCCTGATAGGTGAGGGTGAGATGAGGAAAGGCCTCCCAGAAGAAGTGACGGTTAACCTGGTCCCTGAAGGGAAGGGTTTTCTGGGTGGGGAAGAGTCCTGCAGGAGGACAAAAGGCATGGGCACAGGCACAGAGGCTGCACAGCACCAGAGAGCCTCCACTGTGTGCTGTGAAGATGGAGGGGCCCTGAGAACAGATGAGGGGCATGAAGTGGAGGAGTGGGGACAGAAGAGATGTGGCTAGCAAGATGGGCAGTCCCTCCTTGGGACTGGAGGAAGTCACAGTTCCTCACTGAGAGGTGAACTTGTTTCTAGAGCTCTTGGTCAGGGTCCTTCTCATCCACACCTAGATGGCTGCACTCCCACAGACTCTGTGGGACATGATGTGGCCCTCTGGGTAGAAGAGGAGGACTGCCAGAGCCCAACATGGATTGCCTACCTCTGCAGTCTCACTCGGGAGTTAGCTCTGGGGCTTAAGGTTTAGTTTCCTATTTGGTATGCATCTGCTCCCAAGATTCCTTGTGGCAGGCTTGATGGTGTCTGGGATTTTTGGGTGTTTTTAAGGCCTTCTGAGGTGCCCCCAGGTAGAACAGGGGGAAGAAGGTCATTGATAGGAGAAGCAAGAATGCAGGAGACAAACCACCCTAGACTCTCTCCTATAGTGCTGGCTATGACAACAACCAGGAAGGAGACCCTCAGAGTCCCACTGGGTCAACCTTCACATCCTGGTAAGGGGCAGGAGTGGACACATTCTGGGAATGCAGCCAGTTCAGTAAATCTCTCCTGTAGGTATCTCCAGACCCCAAGAATGACTTCCTCTAGATGAGCTAAGTGGCCACCACTGCCCCATCTCCTGTGTTTGGGCACCCCCTGTGCTCTCCAAAAGTCAACAGCAGGCCCTAAAACCCAGGCTGAACCTGATGAAATAAACCTCAGGACAATGGGGTAGGACAGGGGTCAGGGTAGGCCAACTCAGCATGGCGAGGCTGGGACGCCAAGGGCCTGAGTCTGCATGGTCAGTCCTGCCTGCCTTCACTCCCCTTTTCCATTCTCTGATGAATGTTTGGACAAGGTGGGTGGCAATGAGCTTATTTAAAGTGACAAATTCCTGAGGCAGATGCTCAAGTATAAACAATGTTTTTCCACACCCAGCTGTTTTTCTGCAAAGTGGGATTTCTTCCATTTTGTCCTATAAACATCCATGGGTGCGTGACCTCTGCTTAAATGTCAGAGTCAGTTGTTTTCAGCATTACTGGCTCCCAGGTTTTAATGTGTGTTTCTGGTGAACAGAGGCTTTTTAATATTAGAACATTGAGCCCTCAAGCCAAAGCCTTGGCTTATCCAGGGGAAAAGAAGAATCCATTTTAAGGAGAACTTTGGGGAAACATCCAGAGAATTCCAGCATATATGTGTGTGCATAAGTGTGTGTCTGTGTGTGTGTGTGCTTGCATACATGTGTGTTTCTGCAAAGCAGGCTTCCTAATTCCTCTTTAATGTGGACAAACCACTTCGGTGCTTCTCTTCAGAATGAATTAGAGGGTAATGCCCCAATCTATGCATCCTAGCAAGTTCTGAAAGTTCAGGTCGACTATATCATCCTGAGAGAGCTGGCTTTATGGGCCCATTGGAATGTAGGGGGTGGGGTGTGAGAGCTGGGAGTTCCAAATTCCCCTGGACATATTGCCAAGTTTGGGTGATTTTTGCCTGCACTGCCCTCAGTCCCAGATTGTCCAGGCCAGACCTTCCGATGCTCCTTGATCAGTGACTGACCATCCAGGGTCCAGCCAGCCACCCACCTTGGCCTGCTGGTTGCCTTCTTGCAACAGACCCATAGAAGTAGCCCCACTTATGGCCTGGCTTGGCACAGGAGGTGGGAGCCTGGGGAGAAAGGAGCCCATCTGTGAAAAAAGGAGAGCCCAGGATCACGCAGAGGGAGGGAGGTGCTTATTGTGGGAGAAATGAAAGAAGAGTATTGGTCCTTGGACTGCTGCTGCTCAGATCCATGTCAGGCCCTGCTCTCTCTGCCCCATGGGGTGGCTGACTGCTCGAGCTAACATTTCTCAGGCCCCCTTGCCTCTGATTTCTGTCTATGTTGGGCCAATAGGAGGCACCAATGGGAGACTGGAGGGTGGGAGGAAGGAAGAAGCAGGGTATTTCTCCTCATGTCTGTTTGGGGCAGTGTCTAGGACAATGGCTGCATCCTCACTGTGGTTCTATTATCCATGGCCAGCCCCTCTCTCTCAATCTGTGGGCCCAGGTCATGACTATGATTCTGCCTCCTGGGCTCTAGTAATGCTACCTCTTTCCTTTGACCTTCGATCCTAGAAGTGGTGGCGGATTCCTGCTAGTGCTAAGCTCTGGGTTGCCTCCTCTTTCCCCGTGTGGTCTTTCTGCTCTTCCAATACTCTGGAACTTGTTTCTTATCTTAAAACCCTTCATTAAAGTACTTCATGGTTTTTTGACTGGACCCTGACTGGTACAAGGACTCTCCTTCCCTCTTCCTCATCTCTCCTCCTTTATTTCTCTCCCATCTCCATTTTGCTGAGGAGTCAGCATTTGCTGCAGTGAGCCACTGGTGGTATAGTCACCCAGTCCTATTATTACTGCATGTGCATATACAGGTATTTTAGTGTTCATGTTAGGAGAGGAGGGCATCATGAATGCCCTCCCATGGTCACTCCTGTCATGGAGTGGGACCTGAAATTTATTTCTTTACCCACCTCCCTCCTTTAACATTTGTGGAGCAACTCTTCTCAGCAAAAAGACTCTATGCATGGTTGGGGGTGGGGACTGGGGCCTGAGATGAAGGATACAGGCCCTGCCCACCATGAACCCCCTGCACACTGAGAATGCTGAGGCATGCACACAGGTGAGGGTGATGTGAGGCACCACCTGAGGAGGGTGGCTCAGGGAAGTTGGAGAGGGAAGCCTCCTTTGACACAAGGAATTTGGCTTCTCTTCTAGAGAAGGTGACATTTGGCTGGGTTTGAAGGATGGGTAGGATCTGGGGAGGTGCTTGTAGGGGTGATACTCATAAAAGACATTCTGGGATTAGATGTGGAGTCTAAGACTCCAAATTTCTCTGAATAACTGCAAATTTCCCAATTGCCCATCTATGCCTTAGTAAAGACTCCAAAAACCTTTTCGTGGAGGTGCTACAACTACAGAAGGGGGTCAATTTACACCCCGAGGAACCTGGGGAGAATCCCTCGGAGGTTTTAGGCAAATGCAGAATATCTTGAAGGTCCCTTTCTAAGGCTGGGTTATCCTCTGATGGACTCTACTTGGGATTTAGGGGGCTTTCCATATATCTGCTCATGGAGAGGGGAAAAGGTAAGTTGTTGGAGGAGAGAAGAACAGAAGACGGGTGACATCAAGTTTGGGTTCCAGAGGTCTTCTGGAGAGATCATCCCAGTAGATCTGGATTAGTGTAAGGCAGCCTGAGGATATGGGTCCAAAGGGAGGTGACGTTGGGCAGATTTACATCAGTCAATGGATGGCAGTGTCTTCAGCAGTCTCTGTCTCTGAGCATGAGGAGACCTGTCTTAGAGGATGGAAACGCCTTCACCACACCCAGGAATATGGCAGAACAGAGATGGTAGATATAGGACAAATACAAGAGGAGCCTCTCTCCCTCTTTCATTCCCACCTGTCCTCCCTCCCTCCTATTTTGGAGGGATGTCAGAGGCGTCATTACCAAGATGGAGGGCGGGATTCGAAATACATCATGGATTTAATAATGGAGATTTGTGGGATTTCATCTTGCATGTCTCAGACCCCTGAGGCCACCCCATGTCCAGATGAGCATATGTGTGAAGACAAGGATATATGTCCACAGCACTGGGGCCAGGAAGCTGCAGCTGGTGCTAGGTTAATTTCCAGAATTAGGCTACAGTCCCTTTTCATAAATTCCCCAGCAGTTAGAACAGCCATTAAACTGTGACTTTTTAAGGAGGAGAAATTTCATTATAGATCCAATTTTGCCTTGGGCTGCTGTGGATCATTTCACAGAAATTCAGGGCTAGAATGGCCCTGAAGTGTCATCCAGTGCCAGAATCTCCACCGTTATAGCCTTTTTCTTTTTTCTTTTTCTTTTTTAGCAGCCCAGCTTAAAGAAAGAAAGGAGGAAAAAAACCCTGCTGGACGTTGGATGTACAGCCAAACACCTGGGTTGGGAATGCAGAAAACAGGCATGGAATGCCAGGAACGCAGCACCTGTGGCTAAGTTGTGGTCTCACAGGTCAGTGTGGGCCCTGAGCACAGGACCCCACAGTGCCCCACTTTGTTGGCTGCCCCTGAGAGGCAGTTGGGTACACAGGGGTTGGGGGTGGTTGTCAGCCTGGTGTTATAAACGATCTTGGGCTTTGGAGCCACATAGACTTGGCCTCTAATCCCAAGAGACCCTGGGAGGTGGGGGTGGAATGTGGAGTGAGGAAGTAAGAGATGGAAGGGAAAGAAGCCGATAAAAGATGTGTTAGCCAGCAGGCTGACTCTGTGGGCGCCTGAGGATGCATCAGGCTCAACAGCTCTGGAAGACGGTGTGAAATGTGATCAGTTATCACAACCAAGGAGCGAGGGAGCTGGGGCATTGATCCTTCAACTCCCCATCCATCATGGGTGGAGGGTTGCTCTCAGTGGTAGGGCATGTTAACTCTCCAGCACTTCTGGCCTGCTCTGCACATGGGCTGAGTGGGCCCATTGGCCAGAGAAAACCCTAGGGCAGAAACTATCAAGAACTTGCCGAAAGTAGTTGGAAGTCACAGGCATGACATGAGAATGAGGAGGAGAAACGGGCAAGGCACCAGCAGTGACTGCCACAGGTACCTGCCACAAGACCCCAGAGACTCATGATCTGATCAGTCCATCTGTGTGCACCTGCTGGGAACCCAGTGGATGATCCTCTTCACTTCCACCAGGAGGATTTGTTCTTACCCGCAGCTTAGGAAGGGATCATGCATATGCCAAGGAATGAATGGCTCAGCTAGAATATGGGAGGTCACTGAGAGTTCTGGGGAGGCAGGCCATAGTCACCTTTCTGCTGATGTGGAGCCTGTCTGGACTGGAGGGTACCCCTGGGCTCAGCAAACTCCCTTAGACACATGGGCTTGGCTGGCTTCCTCCTGCCTCTGCTGTAATCCCAGGAGGCCTCCTTGAAAGGTTTCTTCTGCTGCTCTTTCTAAGAAAAATCTCTTCCTTAGCTTTGAGACTTGAACACTCAGCCCCATGAGGGTAGTTTGGAGAAAACTGCCATAGCTAAGCTCATTCTCATGGGGATGAGGAAACCAATACTCCAGCAAAAATAGGCAGATCCTTGACTTGAGCATCCAGGGATGGGGACTTCAGGATAAAGCCAATGGATGGAAATTTAGAAACTAAACATTCCTCTTTCTTCTGGTGCTCAGGGTGGAAGGATAAGAGATGAAAGCAGGGGAAGATGGTTAGGCTGGGCACCTTTTTTTTTTTTTTTTTTTTTTTTTTTTTTTTTGAGAGAGTCATGCTCTGTCTCCCAGGCTGGAGTGCAGTGGAGTGATCTTGGCTCACTGCAACATTTGCCTCCCAGGTTCAAGTGATTCTCCTGCCTCAGTCTCCTGAGTAGCTGGGATTACAGGTGCCTGCCACCAAGCCTGGCTAATTTTTGTATTATTAGCAGAGATGGGGTTTCACCATGTTGGCCAGGCTGGTCTTGAACTTGTGACCTCAAGTGATCTGCCTGCCTTGGCCTCCCAAAGGGCTGGGATTACAGGCATGAGCCACCGTGCCTGGCCTTAGGCTTAGCAGTATTCTAATGAGCACATCCCAGGTACTTAACAATAACGCTCCTGGACCTGGGCCTTGTTTGAAGCTGGCAGCATCATCTCTACACTGTTGGACCAGATAGAAGACATGGAATATGCCAAAGCCTTTGAGTCCTTGTCTTCCTGCATCGACCCTGAACTTCCAGCAGAAAGCCTCGAGTTAGATGCATGTACATTTTTCCTTTGGAGAAATAGACAGTTTTGTGGCTAGCTTTATGATGATCAAAGGTCAGCTGGGCTGAGCGTGGGGTTCTCCAGGTAGCATTTTGGACATGGTTTGGTTAGGAGAGTAGAGAATGGAAAATGAGAAAAGGAAATAGTCTGTAAGAGGGGCTTCTTCATTCAAAGTATTGATTGGCTCTGCATTCCTCATGGTGGGATTCCTTTAATGGACTGATGTGTTTCCTGGGAAGTGGGCTCAGAGTGCGCAGGTTATGCTCTAACTTTTGTGTCCAAGATATGGAGGCGGAGCCATGGCTTGTGCCTTTGGGATATTGGCAGCCTTTTATCTTCACAGGGCTCCCATCTGTTTGGCAGCTCAAGAATTGCTCTGTGCAACTGGCAGTATAATAGTTCTCATTTTAGAAAGGTTTCAGGCCTATTTAATGCTCTGGGAGGCCAAATTCAAAGCTGAAAGCTCCAGGGTGACCCAACAAATGGCTAATTTTCCAGAACTAATCTGTCCTGCTCAACTTGTCCCCTTTTGTCTCCCCGGATCAGCATAACTGTCAAAGTCATTCTCATGTTGTACAAAATGACAACTGTAATCGCAGAAGAGTGGAACAGGGCTACTCCAGAGGGGAGAATCTGTTTTGAGGATGATTCATTTAAAATGTTGTTCTATGAGGTTGCTTTGCAATTTATCCCTATACGGAGGACTGCCACATGATTTAAAGAGTTTCTCAATCCCATCTTTAGTGTAAATTTAAATGGGTGTAACTTCCTGTGGTATATTTTTGCTCTTTATCTATAACACTGTTAAGCAGAGGACTGCTTTTGAAGTCCAACCCAGGGGAGGGGGAGGTCTTTGAGACGATGTCAGCCCACAAGTGCCTCCATGTTGTTTTTCTTCAGAGCCCCTCTACCTATGTGGTTCTTGGCCTCCTGAGGATGAGGATGAAAGAGGTGTGTAAGGCTAACTTCAGTGTGACAACACATGTGGCCTGATTGTCTTTTGCAGCATCCTTTGGAGGCCCGATCCATGGTGACATCATGAGTTAGCAAGATGACTGGGTCATAGAAGATTCTGTCTTCTGTACTACAGTGCGTAGGCTTTGTCTTGAGGGCCATGGGGAGCCACTAAAAGGTTTCATGCAGGAAAGCGGCAAGGAAGTTTGCTGTCTTAGAAGACTGACTCAGGCTTCCATGTGGAGGATGGATTAGAGAAGGGAACCTGGAGGCACAGCGACCTATTAGGAGGTAGATATGTTTACCCAGGTGGGAGAAGGAGTGGTAGCCTGGACTCAAGAAGGGTTAGATGGAATGCCAAAGAGAGGCACAGTCAAGAAATACCTAGGAGGTAAACTTTAGCATGCTCAGGGATTGATTATGAAGTACAGAGGAAGGAGAAGTCTAGTTTCTGGCCAGAAAACAGAATGGGTGTACAAAGTCAAGGTTGATTCTGGCCTCTCTCATTCTTGGGAATGTCTCCACAGCACCAGGAGGGCTCTTCTCTATTGTAAAAAACAGAGAGGAGCCTGGGCAGAACAGTAGGAAGAACATTCAAACCCATGTTTTGAACTATTTTTTAAATCATCATTTCCCAGATAATGTCATTATACTAATTTGAAAGGGAGCAATCCAATTCATTTTCTATTTGTGGTTGCCAGCCCCATGAATACTTAATGGTTTTGGATTACAAAGCCTTCAGCAGTGGCTCTCATGCAGTCAATAGGATTGGAGGGCGAGGAGAGGCCAGTGTTGAGGTATTGATAGGCTGTGTACCTCCTCATGTGTCTCCTGCTTCAATAGCGTCTATTTTGAGCTGAGTTCTTTCTGAAGCTCCGGCAGGGTGAGGAAAATGAGCATGCTTCCTGCTTCCAAGGCTGGCTGTCAGAGTTCAAGAAATGATCTGTTGTGACAAATGGCAGTGGCTTCAGGTTATGTGGGAGGACTGCAGCCCTAAGACGGGCAGTTATCTCTGCAGTTTAATAGTGATTTCAAGTGGGGGAGGGCAGCCAATCTGTACAAGGGGAAGATGACAGACTGTGGATGGATATTATTTTTATAGGTTTCTTGAAAGAAAGTGGGCTGTACGGTTTATTCACAGACACAATGCCCATGAGAAAGGTGCCTGGGCTGGAAGAACTGTGTGCTTGAGGCATAGTGAAACTCATCACAGACATTGCTAGGGACTGAATTGTGTCCCCCTGCCCCACTCATATGTTGAAGCTCTAATCCCAAATGTAACTGTATTTGGAGATAGGGCTTTCAGGAGGTAACTAAGGTAACTGAGGTCATAAGGGTGGGGTCCTAATTCAATAGGGTTGGTGGCCTTATAAAAAGAGGAAGATCTCCCTCTCCCCTGACTCTCAGTGCACATGCCAGGAAAGGCCATGTGAGCGCACAGCAAGAAGGCAGCCACCTGCAAGCCAGGAAGAGAGCCCCCTCCAGAACCATGCTGTCTCTTGATTTTGGATTTCAAGGCTCCATAACTATGAGAAAATACATTTCTGTTGTTTAAGCCACACGCTTTCTTGTGGCAGCCCAAGCAGACTGAGGTAGACATGTAGATGTGAGGATGATCTAATAGTGTCTCATTTGAACAAAACAAGTCCACTCTCAGGGTACCAAGTTGAGAACTGAAAATGAAAACTAATTCTTCTGGATTTAGATTTTTAATCTAATGGAGAGGGAGGCTGATTTTCCTTTCCTCTTCTTGCATCAGTGATGTGGCAAATATATTGTTTGCTCAATTTTAAAATCTGCATAAATATTGTGATCTTTAAATTTTTTTTAACTTAATTTAAATCTTATATTGGCAAATGGCTAACATATTCCTCACATAACTTCTGAATTCTCTCAGTATCAGGGAGGGTAGATGCATTTCTCCCAGAGCTTGAGCTATTTTCAGAGACTAAATTAGAATTGGGCAAGGCCGAGTGCATTCTTCTACTTCTGTTGCTGTGCTATGGGGGTACCTTGCCCATGGCTCTATCTCTCACCAGTCCTATTTGCTCTCCAAAAACAAGGTAAGAAGGCAGGGCCAATTCTAGACTTGCCTAGGTGGTGTGGGGGTGCTGTGTGTGCTTGGCCTGTGGACTATGCTGCCTCCTCAAGAGGGATGTGGTGGACACTTCTGTTAACGGCCAAGGAGACGATGCTGGCACAGGGTCCATCCTGCAACCCAGTGTACCAAATGCAAATAACAGGCATCTCTTCCAAAATCATCTAGGAGAAGCCATTCAGGAGGGAAGGGCGAAATACCTTCTAGAGCTGAGCTGTGACCCAAGGAGTGGAAGTTCTGGCTAATGGCCAATCATCATGGGGCCATGGGACTCCTAAGATATGTCCAGCTTATGTTGAACTCAACACCATGGAAGGACACTAGAGAAAGAGAAGGCTTGGGCCCTACCTTCCAGGAGCTCATGATTTCCCTAGGGAAACAAGACAAACCCAAAGAGAAGGTCATAAAAGACTGACTTGCATTGGAAGATTTTTGAGAAGGGAAAGCAGTGATTTGGGGTTCAGTGTTGTCCTGGGTGGATGACATAGTTGACACCTGTGTTTAGAAAGGCCTTCTGGAGGAGAGGAGCTTGTTTGGACCCTCAAAAGGGGGTGAAGTCTGGGAGTCCCAAGACAGAGCTCCAATGGCTTCCTCATTTGTTTGCTCACTAGGCAAATACTTTTTAAGAATCTGCTGCATGCCAGGCCTGCGCTGTGCCACCGTGTTAAGAAGAAACCAAGTAGCCATAGCCACATTGGGGAGAGTCATCTCTCCAGGGCAGATGGGGCTCTAAAGACCAAGAACTCTGGAGCCAGATGAATTCCTTATTCATGGGAGGAAGACAAGTGTCACCCAGGCAGTGAGTACTGCTGTTGCTGCAGCTTTGTTTTATGACAATGGCTAATTGCCTCCATCTGTGTCTCCTCTGACTCCACATACCCATCCTTCTTCCCGGTGGCCCCCCATGTCTCTGTTCCACATGGGAACAGGATTCCTGGGGCTGGCCTCTGAAGGTGTCCTCTGTCTGCAGGAAAACTCTAGTGATTGTGACTCTGCCCTCTGGCCTCTGTGGGTGTACCAGCGTGTGGAATCCAGGGCTATTCCACAACTGCAGTGGGGTTGGTGGAACATTCTCCTGCCACAGATCAGGAAATCATCTCAAGACATCTGCCAGCTCAGGGCTCTGAGAGGGATTGCTTGCCAGATGCTGAAACTGCGTTTATTGAGCTGGGGTCTGGTTGTAATGGTAGTGTTGGATTCAGACCTCTGCTAAGTCCATAATTAAACAGGTAGAGTGGACAGACCTGGGAAGCTGGTAATGATAACACCAACAACAGCAACAATCCCAGGCATGGGACCTCTGTCTCCAGCTGGGATAAGAGATGTTTTGAAACCTTGGCACTAGAGGAGCCTTAGAGGTTATCTTACCAGCCAATGCTTTAGTGCAGGATTTCATCTACAGATTTTCTTAATACTGGTCATTTTGCCTTGAATGAATCAGTGGTATGCTGGTAAATGTTTAACAAGTGGCTCTCTGGAGAAAGTAAAACAGTCTTGATTTGCGGTTGTCAGTTTCCATGGTATAAATAGTCCCACCACGGCTGGTTTCAATTTACCAACAAGACATCCATGAACGCAGAATTGGGAAGAGATACTGACAGCTAGCTCTCACGAGAAAGTATGAGCCAGATCCTGCATACCACTGCTTTAATGGGATACCGCTAAGTGACAGGAAACCCACTACCTCTTGGTACAGCCCATTCCAGTCATCGTTCCTTCTGTCTGACGTCTGTCAGATTTGATACCTTTTTGAGGACCAAAGTAAGTCCATCCCGAAGCAAATGTCAGAAAATTATACCCAGCCAGAGTCTGTCATTCTTTCCTATTAATGAGTAGTCCCCCAACTCCCCATTCCCATTTCTGGTTCCTATTTCTACAGATATTTAAAGAAGAAGGGAGTTAAGATTAGAGGTGAATGATTCTCATGAAAAAAGAGTAATGATTATGTACTGGTCTTGGATAATAATCTTGTACTGACCACCAGATTGCCCACATATAGGTTACTCCAGATCTAGCTCATTACATTTCCAGTTAATTTCATTCGACAATCACAATAAAGCATCTACTTTGTGCAGGCCGTGTGCTGGACACTGTGGGGAAACAGTGAGTGAGGCATGGTCTCAGCTCTTGGTGGCTCACTGTTTAATGAGCGAGAGACAAGTCAGCCAAGACTCTTAAGTATTTTGTTCCATGAGAGAGGGGCAGAGAATGTGCTTGGAGGTCTCCAGTTGTAGAAAGGTCACTTCTGACTGGATGGTCAAAGAAGATGATGTGAAATTTTAAGCCTCAATGGTAGTCATATGTAAATTGCTACAATGTTTGTGGTTTGCTATTTTTGGTGTCCCTGCTATGGAAAGGGACCAGTTTCTGTGTCTGACTTCTAAGAGCAGAGAACACCTTCCCCATGAAGCTCTGGGTAGCTTCTGTCACACATATGGCTGCAGGAATCTGCTCACGTTGCAGTGACAGGCAGGGGATTTAACAGCACCATCATTAGGCCTGATCAATAGCTCAGCATGTGGAGTGGAATAAGCCCATAGTTCTTGTATTAGAAACATCATCTGTAGCAACTGCATGCACAGTAGCCAAAGTCTTTAGATATTGGACTCTGGTGCCAATTTTCAACTTCCGTTACCTCGAGGTTGAGTAACATTATATTCACACACCAGAAAACATGTGGGCTATTGATAGCCAAACCAAGCCACGTTCTGCATCTCTGCTGAAGTGGGGTCTGCTTCCCACGGGACTCAGGAGGAACTCCCCAACTTCTATGCTGCCTTGGTGCAGAGGGATAGAGAGGAAGAGTGGGTATCCGTTACGAGTAGGGTGGAAATATAAAAGATGACCTTTAAAAGCCAGCTGCTGTGAACAAACACAGCTACTCACAGCAGTAAATGGCATTTGTTTAATAGCCATTTAGATTTGGAGTTGATATGCACAGTGAGTTAAACTGACCCTGTCTCTGGCCTTCAGAGTTTATAATTTATCACCAATGTGGTCAACACAAATCACCAACAAGTAAAATTTCTATCACATGCTGGTTCTGAAAATGGTGAAACAACCTACACAGTGAAACCATACCTTCCTGCTGGAGTTGAACCAGAGGAGGAAAGCTTCGTAAAGAGGTGGCTGCTGCAGAATTCCCAGGATTTCCAGATTAAATCAACTAATTAATTAATTCTCTTTCTCTCTCCTCTTCTTCCCCCCGACCCCCATGCCTCCCACTTCTTGGAAAGGAAAGTTCGAGCAAGCATGAAGGAACACAAAAAAGAGAAAGATGTTACCAACTTCAAGAGCTTCAGTCTCTGAAGCCAATCAGGGAAAACTGGATGAAAGATTGTTGAGGGGTTCATTTATTCATGGCCCCTAACTCCTTAGTGTTTTCATGCTAAAGATCAAGATGAGGAGTATAGCAATTTTATTTAACCCAGCAGGTCTTCTTTGGCCAATGTGTTTTTCCATCGGGAGAGAAATGCAAGAGTGCTGAAAACTCTGGTAGATAGCAAAGCACAGAAAATCCCTTTCACAAGTAGCAGAGACTTTGGTTACAAGGTGGGTTAGGGGGCTCAACCCCTGTTCTTTGTTAAGGTGGCATCCTCAGCCTCCTGTCATTTTTCGGGAAACTAATTGGAGACTCTACTGACTAGGCAGGCCACATAGACAAGGCCTGTACTGGATGTTTGGGCTGTATTTGTTGTTGTTGTTGTTGTTGTTGTAGCTCAAGTACTTTGATTCCTGGCATCAGAAAAGCCCAAATCTAGATCAAGAATGAGTATGTTTTTCATCACTTATTCTATTTCACCAATTTTAAGATATACTTTTCTCCTTATTTTCCACATTTTAACATCTATAAAATTAAGGGCATTGTGCAGTTACTGTCAGCCACGGAACAGTTGTGACATAGTTGTCATCATCTATGCATGTGAAGACCTGGTCTTAGCTATTAACATATTCGCTGCAATTGTGTTTTGAAGCTGTATGCATTTTGATTCTACATATGTTAAGTTTAATTGAAATTTGTAATGTTTTAAAATAAATTATACTATGCTTTGGTATTGAAATAAAACAAAAAAAGAGTAGATGTAAAACTGATATTAGTGAAACAAATATTAATATTTGTCACTGGAGAAATAACCGAAATTCTGTATTTTCTTGCAGAACACCAAGTACTGTGTGAAAATATGGCTTACACTTTAATGTGCCAACAAATCAAATCACCTGGGAATATTGTTAAAAATATTTGGTAGGTGGGGGAGGGGAGGCAGCAGTTCTTCATTTGTAGCCAACACCCTGGTGATATCAATGCTTCAGGTCCAGAACACAGTTTGAGTAACAAGGCTTTACAAGACCTAAACAAATAAGTTAGCCACAAGTAGATAAAACTGTGCTCATTTTGTTTCTGAGTTGTGTGCAGTGGATTGTGTATCACTTAAGTCATGCTACTAAAGGAAAGAGAAATACCAAATCCCCAGGGATAGGATGAAAGAAATTTTGAAGCATTAGTGGTGTGATTGATTTCATGTGTCTCACATGGCTATTGATAAGGTATCATGTCATAGTTTAATTTAGATACCAAATATAACGTCTTATGATCAATTGGCCTCAGATTTAATGAAAACCATAATCTGCATACATCATTGTCTTTATATAAATCGTGATACACCATGTTTCAACTCTATATAAGCACTATATGAACCTTTCCTCTGCATCTTGTCAAGAAAGCCAATGACAAGGTATTATGTTCTCAAAAAAACCCAGCAAGACAAAACACAATCTTAAATATAAATGACTTTCATTTCTTTCAAATTTTTGCTCTCACCTTCTTCTTCTAACTAAATGGATTAGATACTACATTTTAAATTGAATTTTCAAAGAACTTAAGTAGTATTAGTCTCATAGCCACGCTGTCTGATTAACCAAGAAGCTAAAATACGAAAAATATGCGGCCCAAAAATGATATTCAGATACCAACAGATATGAAAAGTGCATTCAATATGTTCTTTTGGGCAACAGTTACTTGGCACAGCTGGGGCTGTTAACTACCAACTTTGTCTTTATAATGGTTCTAAGATCATCAGAAGTTACTTTTGTGCATAAAGGGCTATAGTACAGCAAGGGAGATGCCAGACAATGAAAACTTTCAGTCTCACAGCTCTTATGTGTTGTTCAGAAAGCTTTATATTCCACAAACACCCATCACCAGCTTTTTTGAAAAAATAAAATATAGCAAATCAAAATTGACAGATGAGGCAGAAATCAGAGTTTGGGCATGCAATGGGGTAGGATATTGTAGATGACAAGAATTGTTCAGAAATTTAAATAGGAGTCCTCGGATTCTTGGCTGAGGGCTGCAGTGTTTGTGTATAGGCGGGGAGAGTGGCTGCTCAGGGTTTGGGAGCTTAATATAAATATAAGAGGTCTCAAAGAGCTCAAAGATGAATTATGATCAAGCCAGAATGGAGAGAACTCAATAAGCATCTCAAACATTCAGTTATTATCTTGGAAAGGTCATGTATTAGGAATAAGGACCATGCTCTAGAGTAAAGTTCATACCCTGAGACTAAGGAAAAAGAAACAAAACCCAAACTAGATCAGTTCTAACAAAGAATAAAATCAAACTCAGCAATATCAAGAGGACCCACCAATGACAAGTATCTTCTAGAACAAACAGCAATAGCTTTTAAAGGATGAGAACATTATTCAGATTCCCAAACAGTGGGAACAGTGTGAGGAATACAACAAAAATTACTAGACATACTAAGAAGCAGTAAAATGTGATTGCTAGTCAAGAAAAAATAAAAACCATAAGGCAACCCAGATGTTGTAATTAGCAGACAAGGAATTAAAAACCTTACTATAAATATGTCTAAGAACTTAAAGGAAAAGATGGACTTAATGGGGAAACAGATGAAAACTGTAAAAACAAACCAAATGGAAATTTTAAATTGAAAAGCACAATATCTAAAATGAAAAATTCCTTGAACTAGATTAACAGGAGATTGCAGACTGTGGACGAAAGGGCCAGTGAATTGGAAGAGAGAACAATGGAAATGTTTCAATCTGAAGAATTGAGAAAAGAAAGAGTTAAAAATTGAACAGAGACTCATGTCCTATGGGAAAATAGCAAGCAATCTAACATATGAGTAATTGGAGGGCTTCAAAGATAAGAGAGAGAATGAGGCAGAAAAATACTTTAAGAAATAATTGGCTCAAAATTTCCCAAATTTTTTGGAAAACATCAACTTCAAAAGATCAGCAAACCCCAAGTAGGATTCATTTAAAAGAACCCATACCAAGGGACATTATAGTCACTGGCTGAAAACAAATAAAAAAGAATAAAACCTTCCGCATGATACAATACCTGACAAAATATTATACAAGAGGAAACTAAAGACCAATATCCCTCTGAACACAGACAAACATAAAAAATCCTTAACACGTTATAAGGAAATTGAACCCAGAAATATATAAAAAGTATTATACTAGTTATGACCAATTGAAATTTATCTCAGAAATAGAAGCTTGGTTTACCATTTAAAAATTAATAATCATAACTCACTATGATTAAAAGAACAAAAAAGAAAAACCATATGATCATCTTGATAAATACAGGAAAAGCACTTGACAAAAATTTAACACCCATTCATGATCAAAATTCTCAGAAAACTAGGAATAGAAGGGAACTCTCTCAATTTGATAAAAGGCATCTATGAAAAATCTACAGCAAACATCATACTTAATCATTCAAGACTGAACATTTTTCCCCTAAGATCAGGAATAAGACAAGGATGTCTGTACTCATCATTTCTATTCAACATTTCGTTGGAAGTCATATGCACTGAAATGGAGCAAGAAGAAATTAAAGACATATAAATTGGAAAGAAATAGAACTGTCTTTATTCACAAGCAATGTCATCTTGTATGTAGAAAATCTTGAAGAATCTACAGAAAAAAATACTGGAATTAATAAAATGAATATCATTGCAGGTCAACATACACGATTAATCAGAAGCTTGGCTTGGGACGTGTTAAGTCTGAAATGTCAGGTTGGCAGTTCGATTTGAAATATAGGGTTTGAGGAAGAGGCCTGTCATGGAGAAATAAATGTAGAAATAGATTTTAGAAGATATTTGTGACCTTTGGATGAATGAAATCCTCTAAGGAATAAGGATGGAGAGGGAAGAAGAGAGGTCCAAGGACTGAGAGTCCTTTGGTGCAGAAAGTCTTTTAAGTTTCACAGTTGGCTCTTTCTCTGGGTCCTGATTGTGAGAAGAGGGACTTGTGGGGCTTGTGCTGTAGTGTAGACTCAGTATAAATCAATATTTGCTCCAAGGGACTCTCATTTGAAGAACAACATAGGCTCCCAGAGGGTACTGGAACTCTTGCTTACATAGTCAGTTCTTATTAATACTAACTGATGCTCTCCAATCAGCATTAGTGATGACCTCTTTGGGTAGCTGTAGGGCAGAATTTGTCCCTTCTGGCTTGGGAAAGGGGTCATATGAATCTTATTCCCTTGCTTACCCAACAGGAGGCATTTCTGTGATAAACTCCAGCGCTGTTTCTTTCTTTGGCTTTTTTATTATGCTTTGGCATCTCATCTAGTCCATGTGCAGTATCTGTCTCTGGGGCTCTGTGGAAACAGGAATGCTCCAATACATCACCATCATCCCCTTCATCACCATGCTGCTAGTCGCAGAGTGCTCACTTGGACATCTCACTCCTCTTCCACCCCCAGAGCCTGGAAGATGAAAATGCTGGGCATTTCATATAGCCTCAGGCTATTGACAACTAGTGTAATACATAGAGCCAGATGGCTTTACATATTTTTCTGAAGGCAGAACATAGCTTGTCTTTTCTAAGATCTTATCTCTTTAATGAGCAGTGGTAGTATAATTAAGGCCTTTCTCCAATGCTATGGATATGCCAAACCTACTGGGAAGTTTGTTTAGCTTTCATAAATCAAATTGGTTTGGACCTTCGCACGCTTGGGGGCCAGTTCTGACATCTACTGATGGTGGCTGTCATAGTGGTGTTTGGTTTTCTCTTCTCACAGGGAAATTACCTTTGTTTAGAGGGAGGCTTCTCTGATGGTGCTGATTACTAGGGCCAGATGGCTGCTTTTAAGGCAAAGGTAGAGCTTGGGATGAAGGAGTGTTGCTCTCAAGTGGGAGGTGTGAGAGGTAGCAGGGCTCTGGGAAGGAGCCCTTTGGCATGGAGCAAGTTCTTACCTGGGAGAACCCAGGACTGCCCTGTCAGGGACAGCCCCTGCCTGGTGGGCAGGACCAAAACCCCTTAGGTAGCTTGCTTGGCTCTGCTGGCTCAAAGAGGTCTACAGCATGGTTCCCCAAAGAGCCGGGTGGAAATAGATGTATTTGCAATTTGCATTCTAAACAAGCTGTTTGGAATAAATATGCTGGCTACATTGTTTTCTTGGCTCTTATTCATTGGTTAATAATGTGTTATTTTTTTGGAAATAGCTCTTTCTCTGTTGGCTTGAAAGATGAATCCAAGGGAAATGTTGTGTTGGATTCTGTGCTAATCTTTCAAAACAACATGTGTGCAGGAGTGGTTTGGTCAAACCTGGCTACGATCTCATAGAAACTCATAGCGAGTGGTTCCAGACAAAAGGGGAACTGAGGATGAGATGAAAATGCTCTTGGCAGGTCCTGACTCAAATGTGGCTCCTGATGGGCACTTGCTCAAGAGTAGAGAGAAAAGGGCACAGGCTCAGATGGTATCCACAGGACTAAGCACATCACTTATGGCTTCTGCAAAGAAATTGAGAGACTATCTCACACATAGGCTCTGAGGGAAAGGACCCAGGCCAGTGGGAGCCAGGGCGGCAGCAACGCAAGTCCTAAACCCCCAGCACACAGGAAGGGAAGTGGGCAGAGAACAGTCAGCAGTCTGGGGTGCGCTGAATAGACTCAGCCCCCAACATGTATGTCAGCCGTCCCGTCACCCGGACTGCGACACATCCTTGGTGGACACGATGTATTGTTCTGAAGCAGGTTCTTTTTACAGACACAGCTGCTTGATTATGTTTTTGAGTTGCTTCCTGACGGGCGGTGGGGAAAAAGCTGAGAACAGCTGCAGCCTCAGTGAGAATGAGGCCAGAGTCCTTGTGTGTTTTCAGCCCTTCTCAGTCTGGGGCTGAACACACAAGACTCTGTGAAGAGAAGGCTGAGCTGAGTTTCTAGGCCCTTCTATGGTGACCAATTCAGAATGTCAGTCAGCCACACTTGCAGGAAGAGCCTCTGGGCTGGAAGTAAGGGTGGAACAAGAATTGGTTCTTGGTGCCAAGATGGCCCCATCACTGCACAGAAGAGCATCTCCCATCTAGCCTGTCTCTCATGGGCCTTGCTCTCCTGCAATGCTAATGAAGGGGTGACTTGCCCTCTGCCCCACTCAGAGAGGTCAGGACAGACACCATCTCAGCCTTCGCAGAGTCAACTCTCCCAATGGAAAGTCCGGTCCTTTCAGCCAACATTTATGGGCATCTCGTCATGCCAGAAACCATGTTTTTTCTGTGGGACAATCTTGTTCTTGGCCTTGGGGAGCTCCCAGGTTAGTGAGCAGCGACCCCGTTAACTCGCACAAGTTCTCAGAGCAGCAGCTACCAACATTTACTGCACTAATATGTGGCAGACATTTTCACCAGCATCATCACATTTAATCCTCCCAACAATGCCATGTGTTTAGCGCTATGATTATCATCTTATTTTGCAGATGAGGAGATTAAGGCTTAGAGAGCTAAGTAACTTGACCAAGGCTGCTGCTAGTAAAAGGAAGAGCCAGGGTTTAAACTCCAGAGCCCACACTCTTTATTAGAGCCAGAGGACTGATCTCAGAGAAAATAGATACTTTAATCTAGTTCTTATGATAAGCATTTGATGTTACACACTGTGCTATGGAGGGGCCAAGGAGGTTATTCAAATAAAGAGATTAGAGAAGGCTCTTTGGAGAAGATGATTCATGAGACAGACTTTGAAAGACAAATGGAATTTCAGCAAGTTGCGGATGGGGAGAAAAAAAAAACCCAGTAGGAGGGCCAGCCTTTGCAAAAGTGTCAGAACTGAGCAGGGCATATTTGGACTGAGAAGCCTAATATGGTGGGAACCTGGGACTTGTGAAAACAGGTGGTGGAAGATGACACAGGACAGCTAAAATTCTGGAGTCTGACTTTTACCGTCTGACACAGACGGTAAAAGCCATGAGGGTTTGGGGCAGTAATGTTTCTGATCTGAGTGCAGATTTGTGATTGATGGTGACATCTGATGAACCCCAGGTGCACATGTCTCTAGGCTGTCTGGGGCAGTGCCACCTGCTAATATTAATGAAAATAGCCAGCATTTGTTCTAAGTGTCTGCATCACTGCCATCATTCCAGAGGCTTTATATTCATTATCATTAGTCTTCATCATAGCCCTGCAAAGCAGATAAGAAAACTGAAGCTCGGAGAGGTTAAGTCACCTCCCTGAGGCCACCCAGCTGATGAATGATGGAGCTAGGAGTCAGACCCAGATTTGTGTGGTTCCAAAGCCATGCTCTTTGCACAACACATGGAACTTTTCCCCAGAGATTAGAAATGAAATGAAGACCATTTTTCTGCTCATCCTCATGCCCGGGAGGTCACTTTCCCAAGTGTAAGTTGACAGTGAGGCTGCCACCTAGCACTGATTTTACCTGCAGGGAGGGACTTTCCACCAAGGCTTTCCATTGCCATCACTGTTGACTTCTGAGCTGGGCTTACCTACAGTGGAAGGCAGTGCAGTCTCTGAAGAGAGAACTCCAGTTCAAATACAAGAACTCTTGTATTTGAAGGCAAGGGGGATCCGCTTTCCTGTCTCCTGCTCCATCTGTCCCCATTCTAAAACAGCCAAAGGCTCCACAAGGCTTCCTCTGCACTGCTCAGGTGCACGCCAGTTTGGAATGAAACCAACTCTCAGCCAATTAAATGGCGTACGGGAGCGTTGATATAATTCCGAGAGTAAGGACTTGTGGACAGTTTTCCCTTTGGTTGTTCACTTCTTTTGCATTGTGTTTGAGTGTACAGATGTGGAGCCACAGCTGGTTTCCTCCTTTCTGTGAGGGCCCTTTGATAGCCAGTCAACTGAGTTTTCCATTGTTATTTTTCACAGGTCTAATAGCTGTTGGCAACCACTTTGTGTTATTTTGTTCACATAATTATTCACTGAGCATGAAATACCCCTGAACAACCATCAGCGTCTCAGCTGTGGCCTTGCTAGCTGGCGTCACCACTAGAAAGTGGTTAAAACCTTGAGGACGAAATGGGGATTTTTTTCTAATAAGATTGATTCAGCCACTAAGCGCAAAGCCTGACACATGTGTTGAGTTCGAATTCACTCTGAGTTGCTGTGACATGGTTGCGCAAGTGCCCTGAGTTCTGCCAAGTCTGTGATCATAACCCTTCTTAGAAAAGTGTTTTTAGGGAAGACAGGTCAGCCTGGTCTCTGCTGCTCATGATTGAAATTGAGGGCAGAGACTACTGGACCCCACATGAAACCTCTTCCTTCCTGCCTGGGGCTTGTCCTTCAGTGGCTCATGTTTTACTAGCAGCTGCTTCATAGTTCCAGCACTCAGGAAAGCATAGATACCCAAAAGAGAAAACTCAGAGACTTTAATCTGCTCTCTGCCTGTGTAGGCTCATGTGCTGTTTGGAGAGAATGTAGAACTTCTCCCTTTATCTCATAACTTGAACTACAATTGCTGGCAGTGAAGTTCAGGGCCAAGGGAGGAGTAAAGAGAATAGGGCCAAGGGATTGCATTGATGGGCATGACCAGGCAATAAGATGGCCACAGGAATTCATTCTTAATAAGAGACTTGGGAATAGCTGCAAGTTTTCTGTTTGTGTGAAAAAGAGCCTTAGGAAGTGTTTTGAATCTTGAAAAAAAATCTTATAAATAGAAGGAAGAAAGAATTTTCCCTTAGTAAGCTTCTGAGGATTACGTTCCAAGGCCCTAGGGGAGGAAATAGGAAAGAATTTAATTTCCCGCTGGAAGGATTTGCACACTGCAGGCAGGGGTGTTGGTGGCATTCTCACTGAGGACGCTGCACACGGAGGAAGAGCCCTCTCCGGCCGGCTTGGCTCTGGAGGGAGTTCAGGAGACCCAGCATGTGTTTCAGGAGCCTTATGGCAGATCACTCATTTTTATTTAGACTTGGATTTCCATTTAGCAAGTTGATCCAATAGTCCCTCCATACCTGAGGTTGTATAGGTGGCTGCCTTATCTCTGTTCCTTCAAGTTCTGGTGACTTCTGAGCCACCACCTCCTGGCCACCTAGACTCAGGATGTCTACAGCTTTGGCCTCAGTTTCCTTAGCTGTAAGATGAAGATTATAATTGTAGTCTCCATAAAGTTTTTGGAAGGATTTAATGATCTAATTCATGTAAAGTACTGATTAAATGTATATACTCATTATATATATAATTTCCCATTTATGTATATATATACGCATTTATAATATAATTTCCCATTATATATATATATATATATACAATGGGAAGGACATAATGCTAAGTGAAATATGCCAGGCACAGAAAGACAAACACTACATCATCTCACTGAAAAGTGGAATCTAAAAAAGTTGAACTCATAGAATCAGAAGTAGAATGGTGTTTGCCAGTGACTAGGGAGTGGGGGAAATGGGAAGATGTTGATCTAAGGGCATAAAGTTTCAATTATACAGGATGAATAGGTTCTAGAGATCATGGTAACTATAGCTGATAATACTATATTGTATACTTGAAATATTATATTATATGATATACAATATATTGTATACTATATTGTACACTCTTTGCTTAGAGAGTGAAAAATGTTCTCATCACACAAAAAGGTAATTATATGAGATGATGGATATGTTAATTAGGTCAATTGTGGTAATCATTTCGCAATGTGTACTTATATCACACGTCATGTTCTGCACCAAAAACACATACGGTTTTTATTTGTCAATTATACTGTACCTCAATAAAACTAGAAATAAACAAATAAATGAGTTTTGAGGAAACTTAAAAAATCTCAGAAGCCAACACTGGTACTTTATATTAACTAAATTCTAGATTTTATTTGGATTTTACTAGGTTTTTCTACTAGTGTCCTGTTCTGTTCCTTGATCCAATCCAGGGCACCGCATTATATTTAGACTTATTTTTATTATCCTTCTCCATTTGTTCTGTAAGAATCCCAGGGACAGGAGCTGTGTCCTCCCTTCCCTCAAGCACAGCACAGTCATGCATGGGGCCATGGCACAACCAGAGCTTGGGGATGTTATCAGTGACTTTGCTCTAAAAACATCTTGTCCCCAAATCTCTGTAATCTGGGGAGATCATTAGGGCCTAGGGTCCTAATGAGCAGTCCTCATTAGGGTAGAGCAGTCCTCAGTGCTCTACCCACCCTCAGCCCCCAGCCTCCTGGAGGACAGAGCCAGGGCATGTGCAGAGGAGGCCTCCTGGGCTCTGGGACACATGGACACATGAAGTCTTTGCATTGTGCTCATGGCAGGGAAGGGGTCACTTTCTGTTTTCCTGAGGCTCTTAAGCCAGCCTTTGGGCCTTCCTCACCATCCCAAGCCAGTGCCAGTCCAATGCTCTCTGCAGAACAGGACCTGTGGCGGGAATCCCTGGGGCCCTAGCTTTCTTTGTAGTATGACTCCTTGGAGTTTAGGCCTCTTCTCTGGGAGCACTGCTTGGAAATTCCACCACTGCGCTTTAGAAGGATCTTTGTTTCATTTCCTGCCTTGGGCCTGTGGTTGTAGAGAGAGGAAGGTGGTGGTCCTAGGGGCATAGGGCCTCCTGGTGTCTTCTGGCTTTGCACTAGACTCTTCCTCTCTGGGCTCAGGCCTGTGTGGCCTGTGATGAGAGGCCTCAACGGGGAGATTCATTCCGGGGTCCACTGAGAGTCTTATGAAGTACAGGTAGCCTCAACCCCCAAATTAGTGCAGAGTTTGAATGAAAATCCTCAGCACTGGCTAGAGAGGGCAGGTCTTTGTCATTCTCTCCCAGGACCTGCTCTTGGGCTGCCTCTGGGGTCTGGCACTTTTAACTGGAGCCATGCTGAAGTCTTGACAGTTTCGGGTCCTAGGCCTTGGAGTTGTGCAGCAGATGCTTTCAGCACCCCAAGTCCCAGGGCACTCCTATCAGGCAGCCAGCCTGCCTGACGATGGAGCCTGGCTGACTACCAAGAAAGTGCACTTAATGTACATTCCTACTCCAAACCTTAAGTACATTAATATTTTGAAACCTCAAATCAGTTTGTTCTCTTAAAAACTAGAACCACATGCCCTCAGAAACATTGTGCTGATGGGCTCTGATTTTTCTTTTCATGAAATGGAAATCACAGGCTGTGGAAGCAGGAGACCTGCGCTCCAGCCCAGCTGTAGCACTAAGTGCCATGTGAGCCTGGGCAGGTCCCTAACCCCAAGGCCTCAATTTCTCTAGCTTAAGGGCCTACCAGCTCTGAGGGTTTATGATCCTAGAGGGAACAGAGACTCTGAAGTTGACTGGTTTATAGGAAAGTTTACTTGAAATCCATGAGGGCCTATGATTGCTTGTAAATGATTAAGATGCATTTTTTTGTAAGTCTAAACACAGGCAAAATGACAAGAATGTAAACAGTGCTTAGAAAGTCCCCTTCTTCTGGTGCCTGTGGATGAGAATCACAGTAAAAGCATGGAAGAGGCAGGAGAAGACAAGGCACTAGCTGGTCATTATGCCCCTGGGGGCCTGTGGCTGCCCAGAACTGGGGCAAACCAGCAGCCTGGACACCGGTTATGGTACCAGTTCCTTAGTTCTCTTCCAGGAACAAGGGCTTGGAGCCTGCAGCCTTAACTTCCCAGCTTCCCTCTGGGAGAGCCCTGCAGAGTTCCTGTTGCCAGCTTTGGATTCTTGTTGGAGCCATGCGACTCAGTGAGGAGGTCCCAGCTAACCAATTTATGGGAAGATGGAGTAGAGACAATAGCGGGAACCCTGTCCTGTGCCTGGCCCTTGCCCTGAGGTGTTTGGCAACAGCATCCACAGAAATCACTAGGTATGGGGTCTTGTGGGATAAGATTATTTTAGGGTGGAAAAGAGTTCTGTGGTTAATAACACAAATTGAAAAAAAATGGTGTAAATGATTGACTTGGTGTCAGTTGGCTAGGGCACCCCTCATGAGGGGGACATGAGTCTATAAGGCTTTATTGTTTTCTTCATCAAGTGTTGACTGAGTGTCTAATCCATCCCAGGTACTATGTTGGGTACCTGACTTGGTGGTGACTGTATGCCGGCTGGGGAGAAGGAATACGAACAGGTGAACCACAGTTGAAGAAGGGGTAACAAATAGCAGACAGGGTGCTTTGGTGAGAGTGGCCAGTGACTCAGATGGGGTAGTCAGGGAAGACTTCTCTGGGGTAGTGCCTTTATACTTAGACCAGAAGGGTTAGGAGGAGCCAGTGTACAAAGGGTGGAGGGAAAGGAATCCCAGGCAACACAACAGCACAGGCTAAGGCTCTAAAGCCAGGAAGGGCTGGGCTCGGGCTACACAGAGTGGTTTGAATGAGTGAGGGAATACAGGCATTGAAGATGCACATGCAGGGTTTCTTTGACTATGTGTCCTGGGTAGTAGGGGGTGGCTTTGGGGTTAGGATGATCATGGGTATACAGGATGCAAAGAGGACTATGTGTGTACCCATCAGAGACCTTGGAATGGACATGCCCTAGATTAAGCACAGCACCCATGCAGCAAAATGCCAAGCTCTTGGCTAAGAAGCTGAAAACCATGGCTCCCTAAGCACTTGTAGAAAGACAGTGAATTAATGCAGCCTTTCCTACATCCACCCGCTTCTCCTGCCAGCCATCGTCAGAGGCCATTCTCATAGTTCGCCCTTTTCTTATGATCATTCATATTCTTCAAAAATATTCTTATATTTCCTGCAGTCTCATTTCTTTAGGTGGCCCATAATTGCTTGGAGAGAAAGCTGTCAGGAGGCCCAGCTCCAGTGCCAGAAATTCTGTGAAGCCTTGTCCAACCTCATAGTCCTTGCTGAGGCCTGTATTCTCTGGCCTGTGTCAGCTTGATTCTCTAAGCCACACACTGTAGACAATTGCTACTCAAAGTTTGGTTTCTCCTTTCTCCTCCCTTTTCCTTGACTGGTACACTCCAAGCTCACTTAGTCATGAGAATGGACGGACATTGCCAGCATTCAAGAGGTCAGAAGTGTGGCAACATTGATTGAGGATGATGCTTCCTTCACATGGGGTGGGAGAGAGCCTCCAGACACAGTGAGTTCCCAGGAACCAGCCGGGTTCATCAGGAGGGTGCTGCCTTGGAGAAGGATGACTCCAGGACAAGGGATGACCCTGAACAAAAAGTGCAGTCACTGATGGAGTGGAACTAAAAAAAAAACAACAACAGAACTCTTTCTTTCAAAGCAACTGACTGTTATTAAGCACCTACTGTTAGCTCAGCCCTGGCCAGGTTCCAGGGAAATGAGAGAAGGTGCTCATTTCAATGTCAGGACCACAAGGTTTGTTTTTTAACGGTGGTTTGCTTAGAGTCAAACAGAACTGAGAACATCCAGTCCCCATCTTTGGATTGAGCCTGTCATCTTTGTGCGTGTGTATGTGTGTGTGTGGTGGGTGGAATGGGGGGCATAGGCAGAGGAGCTCATTTTTTGCTTCCTGATTGCTTTAGGCCTATTTATTGATCAAGAGCTTTGTTTGCTCAGTTTATTCACAGAATAATATACATATGTTGGCCTACTCCCTGCCTTCCTCTCTGGCGCCACTTCCTGACACCCCTACATCCATGCCAGTTATCAATATATTGCCTTTCAGCTCCAAATCTACCCTTATTTTCCTGCTTGTTGATAATGGAGGTGGGCTTTGTAAATATTTTTCCCTTATTGACAAAGAGCATTGGAGGGACACTGGAGAGAGAAGGGGTTTCCCCTTCCTGGTTCCCATGAGCCTGGTCCACCAGGCTCCTACAGAGCATGCTTTCTCCAGGCTTAGGTCCTGAGAGCATGTAGTTTCTGCTGTGCTAGGCTCATGCAGTGAACTCCTTTTCCCAATGCCTTGCTCCTGCAGATGGGGCTTTTTGAGCTCCTATAGTGCCCAGTGACTCACAGCCCCCTCCCTCTCAACCATGTCCTCTGGCAACCTTCCAGTGGAATGCCACACTCATCCTTGTGAGTGGTTTCCCCCAGGACTCCCTCAGGTGACTGTACAGTGAGTTCCTAGGCATGGCATGTGTGGACACCTTCCCCTGACACCTTAGTAGGCAGATTCCCAGCAAGTCCTACCAGCAAGTCATCTGCCTTCATTAGTTTTTTCTCATCCAGTAGGCCATGGCTATCCCCTCTCCAAGATCTTAATCCCAGCCCTAGTGGGAGGAAGAGGCTCTTCTGTGGGCATCAATCTCAGCCCTAGGGGTAGTGGCTGCTACCTATATCTGCTGTTCTTATATTCTTTAACTCTTACCAGAGTTAATTCTGCTCTTTTATTAATAATTCTTCATATTAAACTTTTTTTCTGTTTGAAAATTGCTGTGTGGTTTCTTTGTCCTCATTGGACCTTATGGGCAGAACTTTGAGGAGTGCATTTGCTTGTCCACTAGTGTGAAATGAAAGATAGAAGTATGGATCTACATAGATTTATAGGTAGTTGCTAATGGTTTGGCTGGATAGACAGGAACTTGGAAGGAGCAGGATTGGAAGATTAGTGATAATAAAGTCTGGGGAAGATATATATGGATGGATCTCTCTCATAATGGGCACAAACGGTGAAGATATTTGAGTCCCGTGTGAATGCCCAAAGGGCATCATTACTGTAGAAGAGATTAATAATCAGACAAAATAACATGCTCAGAAGCTGTCAGCCTCTTCCCTCAGCCACCCTAGTGCTTGCTCAATGGGACCATGAACAAAGAAGCCAAGTTGGCAGGGATGGAGGCTATGCAGGAGCTTAACAGGGTGGACTTCCCCTTATAAAGGCTGTACTAATACTATAGCTGCGTGCCTAACCTATCTACAGCAGAGACTAAACACTGAGCCCCTGATATGACACCATTCCCTGGGGGTGAGTAGACAGTCACCTGGTGGCAGATTGATTACAATGGACCTTTTCTATTATGAAGGAGGCAGAGATTTGTCACCATGAGAATAGATATGTATTCTAGAAATCGACTTACCTTCTTTGCACATAGTGCTTCTGCCAGCACCACCATCCATGGATTCACAAAATGCCTATCCACCATTATGACATTCTCCATAGCGTTGCTTCTGATCCAAGAACCCACTTCTCAGCAAAGAAAGTGGTGCAATGGATTAATTCCCATGGAATTAACAGGTCTCACTATATACCCCATTAACTGGAAGTGGCTGGGCTAAATGAAAGGTGCAGTCACTTACAGAAGACTCAGTTGGAGCACCATTTGGGATTAAACACCCTGAAAGGATTGGGTTCTGTCTTAAAGGACATAGTATATGCTTTGAGTCAGAGACCATAATATGGCGTTATTTCCCCATAGCCAGAATACAAGGGTCTGGGAATCAAGGGATATAAATAGAGTTACATCTCTTACTATTATGTCTAGTAATCTATGCACAGAATTTTAGCTTTACACAGGAGCTACAACTATGATTTCATTAAACTGAAAGAAGGATCTGGTCATTTTGGGCTTAAGGACTGTGATAGTCTGAATGTGTCTTCAAAATTCATGTATCAGAAATTTCATCTCCAATGCAACAGTGTTGGGAAGTAGGGCCTAATGCAAGGTGTTTAGGTCATGAGGCCTCCACCTTAATGAGTAGATTAACACCATCATAAAAGGGCTTTTGTGGTGGGTTCACGCTCTTCCACTCTTCTGCCATGTGAGAACACAGCGTTCATCCTCTCTTGCCCTTCCACCTTCCATGGGAAGACATAGCAAGAAGGCCCACACAAGATGCTGGCACCCTGATCTTGGACTTTCCAGCCTCTAGAACTGTGAGAAATAAATTTCTGTTCTTTATAAATTACTCAGTTTCAGGTATCTTGTTATAACTGCATAAACAGACCAGGACAAGGCCACTGAATCAAAAGGCAGAATAAGAAGTTACTCTACTGGCTGGAGTGATTGATCCTGATTACCACGGGATGATTGGATTGCAGCTATATAATGGGGGCAAGAGAGACTATTTCTGGAACCGAGGAGATTCTGTAGGTCACTTCCATACCCACTAGTAAAAGTTAATGGAAAACTACAGTAACCAAAATATAGGCAGGGTAATTGAGGACTCAGAGCCTTCAGGAATTAAGGTTTTGGTCACTCTACCAGGTAAAGACCCCAGTCTGCTGAAGTCCTGACTAAGCATGGGGAAGCACAGATTGGTTAGTAGAAGAAGGAAGCCATAGATATCAATTATAACCTCAAGACAGTGATAGAGACGAGGAGTGTACCAGTTCTGCATATTTTCTCTAGAGGAGGAGGAGACTGCAGGCTAGTTGAGGTACAAAGAGTCAGAGGGAGGGAGAAGACTTTCCCATAAGACAGACCAATCTCCACTCCCCATAAGCTTCCTTTGGAAGATAAAGGAGCTGAAAGCAGTGAGAGCAAAATCAGTAGGCCATGTCCATGATGGGTGGCCAGAGAAGGAATATCTCATTGACAGCGGGTATTTCCTTATGGGATCCAACCTCCAGGACTGAGTTGTTCCAGGAATTGTATAGCCAGACACAGCCACAGGGCAAGCATATACTCAGGGTTCTCATAGGGAATGTTGTTCTCTCTGGGGCTGGGAAGCTTTGGATGGTGGTGAGGGTAGCGGCAGGGCTAACCTGGGACCTGCCATATAGAGCCCCTGTTTCTTAGTGGCAGTGGCAGCCAGAGAGCCACAGCCTGCTTATGTAACAGCCACCAGTGGGACCCAATTGTGACATTTTCAGCAGGAGAGACAAAAATGGGCAACCGTCTAGGGAAAAGGAGTGCCCAAAATTGTGAGTACGGGTTACTAGGTACAATAGTGCAAGAAGGCTGGATTTCTGGGCCCATGTATTACGGCAATGGAAAAAATGGCATCATGTATTGGTTGCTGGTTTAAAATTGCAACTGTAGCCTGTTGGAGAGCCCCCAGTCTTGCAAGGTATGGTCTTGCAACCAGCCGTAGCTAAGGGCTCAGGAGTCGATTCCAATATTCTATAAGGCCAGACGATTCTGGGACATAGGGTTTGTATCAGTTGGGGTTCAGTCAGGGAAGGAGAACCATTATGAGTGAAATGGAATGAAAGATTTCTTTAGGGGATTCAAACTTATGTAAGTGGGGGAGCTGGTGAAGAATTCCACAGAAAGCTGTTTTCTCTGCATCTCATGGTGGGCCTAAAGTTGTTATAGGTTACAGACCTACAGCTCAGGAAGAAACACTGGACATAAAGTGGGCAGGGCAAGGACAAACGAGTCTGTGGTGATGGTTGATTTTATGTATCAACTTGGCTGTGCTACACTACCCAGTTATTTAATCAAACACAAATCTAGATGTGATTAACATCTGCAGTCAGTTGACTTTACATAAAGGAGATTACCTTTCATGATCTGGGTGGGCCTTGTCCAATCAGTCAGAGGCCGTAAGAGCAGAAACTGGGGTTTCCCAGAGAAGAAGAAAGTCTGCCTGTGGCCTGCAGCATCAGCTGCTGCTGGAGTTTCCAGTTCTTCCACATAGACTGCGAGAACTCGGCCTGCCCCACTCCTGTGTGTATTCCTAGCAGTGCTGAGCATAAGGCTTGGCCCAGAGTGGATGCTCAATAAATATTTCCTGTATTGAAACGACATCCATCTGTCGGAGTCAGTGTGAACAGAGCTGTGCCTTGGGGCAGAGGCGGAAGCTGGGGGACCTAGCAGGGCCTTTCCTGTCCTTAGGTCCTATGACATTAAGCGGGAAGCACTCCAGATTGTGAATAGGTTGTTGGGAGACAAAGCGGGAAGCGAATCCGAGATCTATAAAGCAAAAATGAAAATTGAGGGGGAGTGCTGGAAGAGATGCAACTTCAGGGGAAGATTCCAAAACCCCGGCTTTGCTAAGAGTGCTTGCTGCAGGTGAGAACTTACATTGGCTGTTCTGAGGGGCCAGGCGCTTTCTAAGTGCTTCCTGTGTATTAACTCATTTCACTCTCACAAGGACCCCATGAGATAAGTGCTCTTCTGTGCTCCCTGTCTCAAGGATGAGAAAATGGAGGAACAAAAAGTTAAGTAGCTAGAAAAGGATTCATTTCTCCCCCTGGAGGCTTCTTCTCCAGGCAGACCACTCAGACAGTGAGAAGTGGTCCTTTTGTCTATCGCGTCTAATTCCAGCCCAGAGCTCCACTGGATTGTATCTTCCAGAGTTTGCCAAGAAAGTCCCCAAAGGGCTGAGTGAGTTTCCTATCCTCTCAGGGCCCATAGTACGCTCTACATCAGCCCTGGTGGTCTTCAGTGTGGGGACAGATTTCTGTGCAAATCTTTTCACTCAGAGCTGCAGGGCTGGCTTTGTGGCCACATGTGTGATTCATAAAGTTTGCATTTTCCACAGGACTTGGTTTCCAGAGCCTTTTGGCCTGAGCACTACAAGCTTTCAAGAATTTCAGCTGAGAAATGCTATCCACAGATTGCTCAGCTACATGCATCCTCCCCACGGCTGTGAAGTTTGGCATGGGTGTTCTATTATTGCTCTGGGATCAGATTTTGGAATTTTATTTTATTAATATTCTTTTCTGCAAGGATTTGGGAGGGGGGTCTGGAGCAATACTGGTTTCTCCAGGTTCATCATTATTCCCCACTGACATGCATGATTGCCCTCTTTCTGTCAATTTTGACCCCGTTTGCCACGTTGACTCATGTCTTTCTTATCCTGAGGGCTGGTCCTTGTGCAGTGCATGGGAGAGGAGTGTGACTATAGGTGAAGGAATATGTTTAGAATAGCTATAAATTTGCAGTCATCACATTAGTTGGCTTTAAGAACTCTCTGTTTACATTAATTTTTAAAATAAGCTCGGCTTCAAGACTAGGGGTTTGATTTTTGTCCCTCTTGGGACTCCTTCTCCAATCCCCCGCTATCCTGGGTTGTGAAAGTTCTCAGGACCACATTGGCCAGCACACGGGAAGGTGTTCTGGTCCCCATCTCACACTGGCCATCCTGATGTGCTACTTGTCCAATCTGACACAGTCTGGCTAGGGCAGCTTTGCTATTTTTACACCCAGATTGGGCACCAGACTATTGCAAGAGCTGAGATCCCTGGGTCCTGGGTCCTGGTTCCTGCTTTGGAGGTCTGCTAACTTTCTGCCATCCTCCCAGGACACTGGACCTTGCTGATTATGGAACCCCTGAGACACCATCTTCTCCGTGTTCTGGGGACTGTCCCCCTCTCTGTTATGGGTGGTATTGTATCCCCTCCAAAATAGACATGTTGAAATTCTAACTCCTAGTACCTCAGAATGTGACCTTATTTGGAAATGGGGTAATTGCAAATGTAATTAGTTAAATTAAGATGAGGTTATCCTGGAGTATGGCAGGCCCTCAATTCTGGTTTCCTTATCAGAAGAGTAGAAGAGATATGCAGGGAGAAGGCCATGTGATAATAAAGGCAGAGATGGGAGGTATCCATCTGCAAGCCAAGGAACGCCTGGGACTGCCACTGCCAGCAAAACACTGGAAGCTGGGAGGAGGCCAGGAAGAATGCCCCACATGTTTCTGAGGGACCAAGGCCCTGCAGACACCTTGATCTTGAACTTCTTGCCTTTTAAATAGTGAAACAATAATATGCTGTCTGAAGCCACCCAGTTAGTGATACTTTGTTATGGCAGCCCTAGGAAACAAGTATATCCTCCATCTCAGGGTGAGCAGTTTGCCTGCCCCTCCACCCTCTGGGAGCACCCAGCATAACCCCTCCTCAATGGGCATCTGAATGGGCACTCACAATATTGGGTACTCTTCTCAGAGGGTGAGTGTTGCAAAGGTGTTGCTGAGACCAGCCACTTTTCTTCTATTGACCAACCCTGTAATTTAGTTCTACCATGATTCAGTTCCAAGCAGAACTAAATCATACATAGCAGGAGACCAGGGCCAGATAGAGTTTAGAGCCAACATCCAAATACACAAAGTTTTCTTTTCAGTTTACTCTTCTACTGCAGAGACAAAGGTGAGACCCTGGTTTGGTGAAAGATGTTTCTCAGAATGCTGTAGAACAGGGCTTTCTGTGGGAAATGAAGACTTATGAAAGTCAAATGTTTGTGAAATGCAAACTCTTGCATATTTTTATGGCACATGGCAGTCATAACCACGACATGAGCTATGGAATAAAGGAAACCAACAGTTATCCCTTGCTCTTTGTGTATACAGAGAGTAACGTTGCTTTTTGGCAGTGATCAGAAGGGGAACTGTCGTTTACAGACTGCTGTTCAAAGTGACTGGGAGATGGGAGTCCCAAGTAAGTTCTCTTGATCCTCATTTTGCAGAGTTCCCTCTAGCATGACAGGCCCTACTGGGCTCTGAATAAAGAGCTACTGACTGTGTGTATCTAGTCTAAATTCCCTGGGCAGGAGTGTCAGCAGCACTTGCCAGCCTGCATTTGCCATGAGCAGGTTGCTGTGGGTGACAGCCAACTGGAAGAAATGCATTAGCCCGATGAACTGACCTCCAGGGACTTCCTCTCTTTACTGTAGACCCTTCTGATCTTTTACAAAAACTCGTAATTTAGATGGAGAACTCACTCACTATCATGAGAATAGCAAAGGGGAAATCTGCCCCTATAATCTAATCCACTCCCACCAGGTCCCTCCCCCAACATTGGGAATTATAATTAGACATGAGATTTAGGTGGGGACACAGAGCCAAACCATATCATTGTGCTCCTGGCCACTCCAAAATCTCATGTCCTTCTCACATTTCAAAACACAGTCATGCCTTCCCAGCAATCCCACAAAGTCTTAACTCATTAACTCAAAAGTTCAGGTCCAAAGTTTAATCTGAGACAAGGCAAGTCCCTTCTGCCTATAAGCCTGTAAAATGAAAAACAAGTTAATTACTTTCAAGATACAATGGAGGTACAGGCATAGGGTTAATGCTCCCATTCCAAAAGGGAGAAATTAGTCAAAACAAAGGAGCTACAGGCTCTGTGCAAGTCTGAAACCCAGCAAGGCAGTCATTAAATTTTAAAGCCCCAGAAAAATCTCCTTTGACTTCGTGTCTCATATCCAGGGCACACTGATGCTAAGGGTGGGCTCCCAAGGCCTTGGGCATCTCCATCCCTATGGCACTGCAGGGTATAGCCCTCTCAACTGCTTTCATGTGCTGGCATTGAGTGCCTGCAGCCTTTCCAGGCTCATGGTGCAAGCTATTGGTGGGTCTACCATTCTGGGGTCTGGAGGATTATGGCCCTCTTCTCACAGCTCCACTATGCAGTGCCCTAGTGGGGACTGTCTGTGGGCGCTCCAACCCCACATGTCTCCTCTGCACTGCCCTAGCAGAGGTTCTCCATGAGGGCTCTACCCTGCAGCAGACTTCTGCCTAGACATCAGGTATTCCCATAAATCCTTTGAAATCTAGGTGGAGGCTAGATTTCAAACCTCAGCTCTTGCCTTCTGCATACCTGCAGGACCAATACTCCATAGAAGCTGCCAAGGCTTGGGGCTTACACCCTCTCAAGCAACAGTCTGAGTTATACTTGGCCTCTTTTAGTCATGGCTGGAGCTGGAGTGTCTGGGACACAGGGCACCATGTCTTGAGGCTGCACAGAGCAGCGGGGCCCTGGGTCTGGCCCACAAAACCATTTTTTCCCTCTTATGCCTCTAGACCCGTGATGGGAGGGGCTGCTGCTAAGGTCTCTGAAATGCCCTGAAGGCATTTTCCCTATTGTCTTGGCTATTAACATTCTGCTCCCTTGAGTTTTTCTCCCATAAAATGGGTTTTTCTTTTCTACAACATGGTCGATCTGCAAATTTTCCAAACTTTTATTCTCTGTTTCCCTTTTAAATATAAATTCTAGTTTTAGGTCATTTCTTTGTTATGAAAATGAGTGTAGGCTTTTAGAAGCAGTCAGGCCACATCTTGAATGCTTTTCTGCTTAGAAATTTCTTCCACCAGATACCATAAATCATCTCTCAAAGTTCAAAGTTTCACAGATCTCTAAAGCAGGGGCACAATGCTGCCAATCTCTTTGCTAAAGCATAGCAAGAGGGACCTTTACTCCAGTTCCTAATAAGTTCCTCATCTTCATCTGAGATCTAATCAGCCTGGCCATCTTTGTCCATATCACCATCAGCATTTTGGTCAAAACTATTCAACAAGTCTCTAGGAAATTCCGAACCTTTCCTCATCTTCCTGTCTTCTTCTGAGCCCTCCAAAGTCTTCCAACCTCTGCTCATTATCCAGTTCCAAAGTTGCTTTGACATTTTCAGGTATCTTTATAGCAATGCCCCCTTTCTGGTACCAATTTTCTTGTATTAGTCTGTTCTCACACTGCTGTAAATAACTACCTGAGACTGGGTGATTTATAAAGAAAAGAGGTTTAATTGGCTCACAGTTCTGCAGGTTGTACAGGAAGCATGCCTGGGGAAGCCTCAGGAAACTTACAATCATGGTGGAAGGTGAAGAGGAAGCAAGCACATCTTCACATAGCAGCAGGAGAGAGAGAAAGTAAAGGGGGAAGTGCTACATGCTTTTAAACAGCCAGATAGCATAAGAACTCAACTCATTATCACAAGAACAGCAAGAGGGAAATCTGCCCCCATGATTCAATCACCTCCCACCAGGTGTCCCACCCACCTTCGGGAATTACAGTTCAACATGTGATTTGGGTGGGGACACAGAGGCAAACCATAACAGTGTTGAAGCACAAATGGTTTTGGTATATAGCTGCACTTGATATTGGATGCCTCCACTCATTCCTTGGGCCTTTAATTGTGCATACATAAAAATTGGCTCATCTAGTGGGGTTCTAAGCTTGGAATTTTCAGCTGTGGAGGCTTTTGTTTTTCAAATTAAACTCTTTTTGAGATTCACATGCAGTTGTAAAAAATAATACAGAGATATCCTCTACACACTTTACCTAGCTTCCCCCATGATAACATCTTGCAAAACCATAGTGAAATATCACAACCAGAATATCAATGATGATACAATCAAGATGCAGTGAGTTCGATCACCACCATAATCCAACCCCACCCAACTCTGTCCCTAGTCCCTGACAACCACTACTATGGTCTCCATTTCTATGCTTTTGAAAGACATGGTATTCATCAGGTCAATCTTGGTGAAGTTGACTTTATTCCTCACTAGTGTCCTAAGCCCTCTGCCATTTGGATGGATAAAGAAGCTGTTCTCCATG
This sequence comes from Homo sapiens, assembly GCF_000001405.40. Taxonomy (NCBI): domain Eukaryota; kingdom Metazoa; phylum Chordata; class Mammalia; order Primates; family Hominidae; genus Homo; species Homo sapiens. Next base: position 135,660,499 of record NC_000005.10, read on the forward strand.
CTGTTTACAAGGTCAGCATCATAGTGGCTAACTATGCAGGCTCCAGAGGCAGTTTTTTTAGGTTTGAATTCTACCTATCAAAATTACTAGCTGTGTGACCTAAGACAAGTTACCTGACTTCTCTATGACTCAGGTTTTTTTTGTATAGGAAGTGCGGATGATAATAAAAGGACTCAGCTGAGAAGATTGTTAAAGGATTAACTGAGTTAATAGATCTAAGTATGAAGAACAGTGCTTCTCAAGCTTTCGTGTCATACAATTACCTGGGTCTTGTTAAAATGCAGCTTCTGATTCAGCAGTTGGGGTCTGAGATGCTGCATGTCTAACAAGTCCCCGGGTGCTGCTGCTGCTGGTCCACAGCCCACACTCTGAGCAGCAGGAACTCAGAACAGTGCCAGGCCAGAGTAAGCACTCAGTAATTGTTGGTTATGTTTTCTCAGCATGAGTCTGAAGCTATGCTGGACAGAACCCAAAGCAGTGAACCTTAGCTTCAAGGCTCAGACTCTGGAATGCCCCTGACTTTGTCAGTCCCAGGGCCAGACTGGACCTCTGAGAATGAGGCAGACAGCCCTAAAGGAAATGGGTGAGAGTGCAGTTGGTGCCCTTGGTCCCAAATCTCTATCTTAGTGCTGCTTCCTACAGGAAGAGGCAGGCCTCAGGAGTTCCCTAGCTCCCTCACCAGCTTCCTGTCTGCCTCCAGAACAGCAGCTCCTGCAGCTGCCTCTCTTCCTTCACCGGATAGGCAGATGCGGGGAGAGACAGCAGTTTCAGACAGATGAGAGAAGCAAGAACACCTGTGCCCAGGTAGCTGGGAGCAGCTCTAAATTGCCAAAGGTTGGCCTGCTCTTATTACATCAGTGACAGTAATGGGGTTGACAACTGTGCCCAGGGAGCAGTTCTACAATGCTCCTTTATGGAGTCTTTGTGCCCTAGGTTGCCATGGTTCCCAGACCTGAGCCAGCAGCCTTGGGTAAGGTGAGCAAACTGGGATTTTTCTGACAGTTGCAAAGCCACCTTCCAGGCATTAAATCCCACAAAAAACATGGCCTCCTTGTGAAAATACACCTGGCACATCACTGTATAAAGCTAAAAGCCTCACTCCTTTTCTTCCCTCCCCGGTCCTTTTCTCAAGGAGTAACCACTATCAACTGACTGGTGTGTGTCTTTCTGCTACTCTCTCTAGGGGTGCATATTATACATTCATATATAAACAATAATGAATCATACTATGCACATTGCCTCACTACTTCAACTTGCTTTTCTCACTTCAGAATAAATCCTGGACTTTTAAATTTTTTGACCGTATTAACCTGGGGATCTGCCTCATTACTCTTAACAGCTACACCCTACAGTGTGGATATACCACAGTGTAGTTTACTCATGCTTCACAGATGAACGTTCAGTTTGTGTCCAAGTTTTTGCCTTTACAAGTTGCAGTAAACATTCTCAAGAATAGGTGCCTGAGAGTGGCATCATCAGAGCAAAATGCATATTCATTTTTGATAGGTGGTGCCCTATGAAAAGATCATACCCCCCACTATTAACCTTCCACTGGCAATGCATACAAATCCCTTCCACACACCCACCCCTGCTGTGGCAAGCTATGAACAAGCTGTTTGATTTTTGTCAGACTGCTAGGGAAAGATAACATCTTGTGCTTGTTTCAAGTTGCATTTCTCTAATCATTAGAATGGTGGAGCATCTCTTCTGAGGTTTATTTGCCATCTGCATCTCATGAAATCAGGATCCTAGTAACCCCCTGGCCAGGATACGCTGCCTGCCTGGCTCAGCTCACCACTGAGAGCTTCACGGGAGGAGGTAAGCAGTATTTATTTGTTTAACTTAAAGACTTTGCTGCAGAAGCAGTCACTGCAGTCCCCAGAGGGCCTGCAGCTCATGTTGGAAGAAAGAAGAAAGCTTCCATGTGACCCTAAACTCTTTCTGTTCTGGTAACTGTTAGTCGTCATTCTGTGTCTGTGATGGTGCAACTCCTGCTAGCCCCTGTGTCCAAATAAGAGGCCCATCTGTGGGTCTGCATGGTCCTAATACAGAGAGATACAGCCAATGGGGAGACCCCTGGGCCTGGGGCCAGCAGACCTGAGTTCAAATCCTGGCTCTTCCTGTTGAAGGCAGGGGTGAGCTTCCCCCAGCTTACCTCCTCCTCATTCTCTTTGCCGTCTTGCAGCTTTTGACCTGCCTCTCCCCCTCAGGTCCCTTGGGAGCAAGGGGTGAGCTTTTGCTTCTGTGACACTACTGTTGCCAGCTTCTTTCTCTGTTCTGTCACCACTCTTTCCCTCCTGCCTTCGAAGGGTCCTTCTCTCAGTGTCCTCCAATTCCCCCTCTATACATTCCAGGTGCATCCCAATAATATCCACTAGGGCGGCTTCAGTGTCATCTCCTGCACCAGGCAGGAGCTCTCTCCTGGGTTCCAGCTCACATTCTCCACTGCCTTCGGAGCAATTCTGCCTGGTGCCCTGTGCCCAGGAATGCTCACAATGTTCACTTTCCAGTGTGTTTCTCCCTAAAGCTGATCCTTTGTGCTGTGAATTAGTCAGTCACTCAAGCCAAAGACCTCAAGAGTCAGCCTTTGGGTTCTCCCTCTCTGTTGCTAGGAATTTTTCCATGACATATCATTGCTCACTGAATAAAATTCAGGTTCTTTGGATTTTGCCCCAGCTGAATTTCCTGGTTTTCCTTCTCTGAGTTCCCTACATGTATCTTACATTCAAGTCAAATCAGGCTACTTATAATTACTCCTGTAATCATACTTTCTGATCTCTGTACTTAGAACAGAGTTTCTCAGCCTTGGCATGATTGACATGTTGAGCCAGATACTTTTTTGTTGAGGGAGCCGTTTTGTGTATTGCAGGATGTTTGGTAGCATCTTGACTTCTCTCCAGTAGTATCACCCTGTCCCCAGTCATAACAACTAAAAATGTCTGTAGACATTACCAAAGGTCCAACCCCTGGGGGACAAAAATCATACTCTGGTAAGAACCAGTGCTCTAAAGTAATATCATTTCATCTGCATGGAAATCCTTCTCCCATGTCTCTTCATCCCTGATTTGTAATATAGTGATACATTTAAAAAGCAAATTACAGAAAAGTATACACCATGATTGTTATGTGTGCAAGTGAATGAAGACTGGAACAGGTACACAAAAATGAACACAGCTATGTAAACTGCGTTTCTGTGGGCTACTCTTGTGTGGAGTTTAAAATGTGGCCACTTTTTACAGGACCAGACTGCATTTGGTTATCTCTCACCTCCACCTGTTATCACAAGATTCTGGCCCCAGAAATTCCTGGGAGTCCTTTTGGCCTCACAAAAAAAAAATCTCATGACAGACAAGTTCCCCTCCCATGGAATCTGCACTGGCCTCAGGCACCTGTCAGGCTGGGTGATGCCCGTACATGAGCCACCTGCCAGGCACTGATGTCCTCCACCACGCACATGGGTCCTTGGGGTCCTGATGTGGCACTGCATCTGTGGGAAGCCTCAGGGTGTCACAATCTCTTTGTATTCTCTGCAGTCAAGAGTCAGCCCTTGGGTCCTCCCTCTCTGTTGCTAGGAATTTTTCCATGACATCCCATTGCCCACTGAATAAAATTTAGGTTCTTCAGTTCTCTGCAGAACCATGGACATGTGATTTTAGTAAAGTTACTCTTTGCCACTTAGATAGGAACCCATGGAAGGCTGGGCTGGGCTTCAAATCCAAGAGACAGATATGGCGACAGACTCATCATTCTGACCACCTTGGCTTTGTCACTGATCCAGCACATTGTGCCTGATGCTGTCCCAGCAAGTTCCCATATCTCTTGGGCAAATGGACCCTGGTGACCTACCTCCAGCTCTCTAGCCCAAACATGTCTGCATTCCAGTGGTGAGCATGGACCGATCTAGAATGGACCTTCTGTTGTAATGGGAAGCAGGATTATGAATTTCTTTTATTTCAATAACTTTTAGGGTACAAGTGGTTTTTGGTTACATAAATGAATTGTTTAGCGGTCAAGTCAGATTTTGGTGCACCCTTCACCCAAGCAGTTTACATTGTACCCAATATACAGTTTTTTATTCCTCACCCCCAACTTCCCCCTAAGTCTCCGTAGTCCATTATATCACTCTGTTTGCCTTTGCATACCCATAGCTTAGTTCTCACTTATAAATGAAGACACACAGTATTTAATTTTCCATTCCTGAGTGATTTCACTTAACATAAGGGCCTCCAGCTCCATCTAAGTTGCTGCAAAAGACATTATTTTTTTTGTGGCTGAGTAGTATTACATGGTGTATATAAACCACATTTTTTTAATCCACTCATTGGTCGATGGGTGCTTAGGTTGGTTCCATATCTTTGCAATTGTGAATTGTGCTGCATTAAACACACACATGCAAGTGTCTTTTTGATATACTGACTTCTTTTCCTTTGGGTAGATACCCAGCAGTGGGATTGCTGGATTGAATGGTAGATCTACTTTAAATTCTTTAACCAATCTCCATACTGTTTTCCATAGAGGTTGTACTAATTTACATTCCCACCAGCAGTGTATAATCATTTCCTTTTTACCACATCCATGCCAACATCTATTGTTTCTTGACATTTTATTAATGGCCATTCTTGTAAAAGTAAGGTGGTATGTCATTGTAGTTTTAATTTGCATTTTCCTGATGATTAGTGATTTTGAGCATTTTTTTCATGTTTGTTGGCTATTTGTATATCCTCTTTTGAGAAATGTCTGTTCTTGTCATCTGCCCACTTTTTGATGGGATTATTTGTTGTTTTTTTTCTTGCTGATTTGAGTTCCTTGTAGATTCTGGATACTAGTCCTTTGTTGGATGCGTAGTTGGCAAATATTTTCTCTTATTCTGTGGATTGTCTGTTTACTCTGATGATTATTTCTTTTGCTGTACAAAAGCTTTTTAGTTTAATTAGGTTTCATTTATTTATTTTTGTTTATTTTATTTTATTTTTTGCATTTGCTTTGGGGTCTTAGTCATGAATTCTTTGCCAATGTCCAGAATAGTTTTTCCTAGATTATCTTCTAGAATTGTTATGGTTTCAGGTCTTAGATTTAAGCCTCTGATCTATCTTGCGTTGATTTTTGTATAAGGTGAGAGATAGGGATCGCGTTTTACATGTGGCTAGCAAGTTTTCCCAGCACCATTTATTAAATAAGGTGTCCTTTCCCCAGTTTATGTTTTTGTATGCTTTGATAAATGACTTTTTGATACTAAATTTTCTTAAACACTCTTGTTATTCTTTTTGAAAAAAAAAAATCAGATTCATCCTTGAGTCCTGCCTCCAAGATTTCTGAGCTTCCGTGAGGCCTCTTTGCTCCCAATATGATGAAATGTGGGCTCTTTCTCTCCTTCCAGGTCCCACACTTTGGCCTTCTCATGGGACCTTTCATAGCTCTGCTCTGTAGAATACTTATTTGGGTACTTTTTTCCTCTCTCTCTCTAATGTGGACTGTCCTTGAAGACTTGCCTTAAACCCACTGTGAGCACCATCACTGTTAGGTGAAACTCCAATGTGTGATTTGACTCCTTGAGCATATAGCGGTCATCCTGTGCCATGAACCAGTGACAGAGGTGAACTGTCTGTAACACAAGGTCCTTCTGTGGACCATCCAGGACACCAGGATCCTGACCAGCTCTGCCACCATTCACTAAGACCCTGGCCAGCTCTCATAACTTCACGTCTCAGTGTCCCATCCACAAAGTGGGGGAAACAGCCCCTACCCCAGAGATCTGGTGAGACTATGTATTTAAGTGCACTGAACCACTAGAGGAGAACTTCTCCATTTATTAGAGGGCTAATTTTAGCAATCTGTATATTTTAGACCAGGAAATAGTGATGCAGTTTTTCAGTAAAATACCCCGGGGATCTGCTGTCTTCAGATATCTTTCACATAAAGAGCTTATGTTCAGGAAGAACTCAGCAGGCTAGGGTAAGGATTGAAACCCAATTCTAATCACTCCTGGCCTACATCCTTCTGCTCCTCGATGTTTACCTGTAGTCTTGGGGGGAACTTCTAGAAACAGGGACCAACTTATAGCCACGGCTGAAAACTAGGGCCCTCACTCTGGGACATGAAGGCCCTAGGAAGATTTGGAAAAGCTTTGATTTCTAATAGAAGCCTGTGGTTCAGGGCATCAGAGAGAGAGAGAGAGAGAGAGAGAGAGAGAGAGAATTAGTTTAGGGGAAGGAAACCTTGTATTTTAGGAACCCAATTGAGAGTTGTAAGGAATCTGGGGATCATAGTTGCTGCTTATTTAGAAAAGGAAAGCTATTTTCCTATCCCTACCTTGCTCATTTTGGAGGGCCAAGGGTGTAGGGTGGTGACTATGGGGAAAGGCGGGAGGAGATTCAATGGGAACAATGCCTCACTGTTCCAGAATTACAGGAATAAGGTTTACCATGAACAGATTTCCCAGAATACAGAATATTGGTCCAATGAGGAGATTTTGAAAGAGTATAATCATTTGGGAATGGAATCTTTCTAATGGGTGTGGGATCTTTTCTGGCTTTTTAAAAGGAGTACATGGAATGGTATTTGGCTTTTTCCATATCTCAGCTTTATTCACTTTGCCCTGAGCTCTAGCCAATCTCCTATTTCATGTTCTGGAACATGCCCATACTTTTCCATCTCTGAGCCTGTGCTGCCCTTGCCTCTGTGTGCCTGTACCTATGCATCTTCCACTCTGTATTCTAAAAGCACTCTGCTTGGCATTGTGAAATGGGATATACAAAATGGTACCACTCTGGTTCAGAGCTCTAAAATGGAGTTGGAGTTAGGCCATTCTAAAAAGGATTGCCTGCGTGTCCTGCAAACTGGCAAAACAAAACAGAAACTTGCTTTGAACCTTTGAAGTATGCCAAAGTACAATGACCACAACATCCTGGAAAACAAATGAATTTCACCAGTGCTGCAACTCCCGAACAGTAACAACCAATGAGCTATGGGCTCATGTGCTAAGCCAGCTGCGTCCACCAATAATAATCCTTTCAAAACAGCTTGTGTAACCACCCTTAGCTTTCTTGTTATTTTCTCTTAAAAACCCCCTACTCCCTTCCCTCTCTTTGGAATATAATTTGGCTTCGAGCTGAATCTGTATCTCCCAAATTGTGATTCCTAAGACTCCAGTGAATACCTTGTCTTACTGCTTTGCTCTCTGGTCTTTTGCCTCTTCTTGGTTGACAGCATTTAGCACACACAGTTGGTGCCAAATAAATACCTTTGAATGAATGACGTAAAGCCATAAAAAATCCTGTCATTTAAAAGTTCTGTCCACTTGGTGAAACACCTTCATTGTTTCTTTCAAATAGTAATGTTTTCACAGGCATTCAGGAGGGAAAAAGATTGTTCACTCACTCTATAAACATTGCATCACTTCCTGCTTTGACCCAGGCACAACGCCTTAGTCTCACCTGTGGAGCTAAGTGCATGGGCTTTGTGACTGCTCTTTCCTGAGTATAAAATCTATTTAGAAATTTCTGGGGTGTGAAGACATAGTCCTGGCCTCTCTGAAAGTTGTAGCAGCCAGTGCAAGAGTCCAGTGGAAGAGCTTTCCAGGGCCAAGAAAGGGCTTCATTCACACTCTAAGATGTCATAATACCTAATAAGCAATCATGAATGGTGGTTGGGTTAATTCCTAATCTGGTGTTTAAAATCTCAACTAATAAATATTGGCACTAACAAGCGGCCAGAGATTTCATCATAATGACCAAATGATCAAAACTCAGGATCCTATAAGCTGAGAAGTTTAAGACTTATGGATCAAAAATGAATATGAGCTATTTATATACGCAGCAAAGTTAAATGTAACCTTATATCCATAAAATATACCTAGAAGAGTGAAGTTGAAATAGTAGTGACAACCTGCCACCTTCTAATTTCTGAAACATCTTCTTGCAAGCATCAGTCTAGTCAGGCTCTGGCTACATCCTGTTGTCAGTGACTTGAGGTTATTAGCAGCTACCTGGTGCTATTTGATATACTCATATCAAATAATTTAAGTCAATTAGAGGACATTTATCGAACACCTACATGAGCCTGACATAGTGGAACATAGACATGTATAAGCACTGATGTTTTCCTTGAAGGACTCACTGTTTAGTGTGAGACAAACAAATGTATGAAAAGCAACATCATAACCCAGAACATCAATCACAGCTGCCACCTTTGACCTATGGACTTGCACAAAGCAGCAAACAGGGGATGAAGAATTAAAAGAGGGAGAAAGTTCTTTAGGGGCTCTGTTCCCTAAGCCAGCAACATAGGATAATTAGCATGTCTTCCTTGCTTTCATCCAGAAATAGATAATGCAAAGATTAAACAAAGCAATTTAACACAATAGGTATATAATGAGCATCAGCTCTGGGAGGGGCTTTCTGGGAAAGGCAAAGATAAAATATCCATGGTGTGTGACTTCAAAGATGTCATAGCTCAGTGAGGGAGGCAGGACAAGTGTTTGGGTTATTCTAATAAAAGAGAATGTCAGTAATAATAATAATGACAGCTATCCTTCAGTGAGCACTCAGGATATGCTAGGCACAGTGCTAAGTTTCTATCATGCACACACACACCACACCTGTTCTGTGATGTCAATGCACTTGTCATGTTTTATCTTTTAAGAAACAGGCCATGAGAGGCCAGTTGATGTGCCTAGGATAACATGGCCTTCAAAGAACCTATCTGATATCTAAATCCAGACCTGTCTTCTCCCCAGCCTGAGCATTCAGCCTCTGTCATGCATCCTGGGAAGAGAGGCTTACAGGAGATGCTCTGGGGCCTGGAGGTGGGAAAGGACACTTCTGGATAGGGGCTGCCTTCTTGGGTTCTCCCACCAGCAGACTCTGAGAGAAGGATTTGTGTGCAAGTTGCTTATTGGGAAGTGATGCCAGGAAGCACCTATCTGGGGGGAGGGATGTGAAACAGAAGGGAAGGGATGGAACTCAAGCAGAAATACATAATCTAGCAAACTACCTCTGTGGGCAACGGGATGTCACTTCCACTGGGGAGCTCAGTGTGACAACATAGACCACGGCTCAGAGTTATCCTAACTGAGTGGTGAAGCAGCTGGGGATTTTATCACCATGCCCACCATCTGTCATTAGTTGAGGGCTGCTTCTAAGAGCCTTAACTCTCAGGAACTCTGGCTTGCCTGTGTGCTGTCCAAGAATGTGCCTCACAGCTAGCAAAAAGCCACCCAGCAGGGAGACTCTGAGTTCTCAATGAACAGCCTCATGCACAGAGGTGAGTGCACTGTTCTAGGTATGTCTCAGAGTCTGTGTTCCCTGGGCAATGGTGCCCGAGGCTGAGGGATGAGATGGCAATGCAAGTCCCTGCTCCCCTCCTATGCTGAGGAGGCAGCATGCTGTGCTTGAGGTTGAAGCCCCAGTCATTAACTTCTTTCCAGAATTAGAGGTCTCTGTTCTCCATGATGGTGAGTTCAAGCCTAGCAGAGAGCAATTTCTTACCCATAAACACGCATAGGTACTTTGCAGACCTTCCCGTGATGACTGGAATGATGTCCCTGCAATTTAGAGATCAATTAACTGGGAGTTTCTTAGTAAATCGTTGTAGAAGCCTTTGTAGATAAGTTTTTCAAGTCATCCCAGATTTCAGGGCAGTAGACCTGAATTTGAGTCTTAGCTTTGCCACTTATAAAGCTCTGTGGCTTTGGAGAGTCCCTTAACTTTTCTGAGTCTCAGGTGTGAAAAGGGAGTATCAAGCAGGCCAGCCTTTCTGGTTTCTTGACCAGCTAGCAGGTCAAGCTGTCTCACCCAGCATAGAGCTAGGGGGCTTTCTGCAGAACATAGACAAATGATCCGTTGTGCAAGCTCTTTTCAGTTTTTAAATAGAGCTGCAGGCTAGAGGCCTCCCAGATCTCGTTCTAGGGCTCCCTGCTGTAGTCTTTTCCAGGCACGGACACAGAGTGGAGGGTTGGAGCATGGGCTTTGCAACCAGCAGGCTCTGGTAGAGTCCTGGTTCTGCTGCTCACTGGCAGTATCACTCTAGGCAAACCACTTAACCATTTTGAGCCTCAGTTCCCTCAGTTGCAGTATGAAGATATTCAACTCAATTCTTCTTAGTATGGTGAGGATTAAATCAGATAGTGCATGTTCAGTGCTTTGCATGGTGTGCTGTAAATATTAGCCTCTTGTTATCATAGCTTTGTCCTGAAAGGGGTCTCACTCGGTAGAGCTGGGAGGAAGCATTCAACGTTTTGCGAGTCTCCTGGAAGAAGTACTGACGTCATGGAAGCAGACGCTCTTTGCCTGTCTCTGTCTGTAATTGTCAGTCTTTGTTCTCTTCCACAATTAGACATATCAGATTCAAAAGGGACATTGTCTCATACTAATGAATAGATTAATAGCCTCCCTCCCCAGATGCAAGAGACTTTATCAGCCTCTTGAAATGTGGATGATATCTCAGAAAGGGAGTTTTATGAAGCGATGCCTAAATAAATGATTAATCCCTGGTATACCTGAGACTCAGTCTTGGCTGAGAGGTTGGGGCCTGCTGTCATGGCACGGACGAATGGCTTGGGGGTCAGTGTTGGGATACATGAAGTGGGTGCCCAGGAGCTAGCTGGCTCCTAGCCAGCTGTGTGGGGAAAGATGAAAAACCTAACTCTAACATCAGAGAGTGGAATAAGGGCCGAAGGAGCTAGAGGAAGGAAAAGGAATGCCTTTTAATCTTGGGCTCAAGCTTGCAATTCACAGGTGTGCCCATACAAGCCCAGACCTGGAGCTGGGAAGTTTGTCACTGATAAGCTGGTGGACACTGTGCTAGCCTTTTTTCCTTTATGTAGCAGGCTCTCTAGAAGGCTGGCCATGGTGCCCTTGGCTGAATCTTTTCTGGCCTGGTGTTAGCCTCTAGGTTTGCACAATATCAGTTCCATTTCTTGCTCTGGTTTGGGGTACAGACCAGATAAGTCAATATGCTGTATGTGAGAGGTTCCTCTTTTGTCTTCCTGAAGAAACCCACCCAAGAGTCTGTTTCCTTTATCCCTGAATGCATATCCCAGCTGGCTGATGTTGAGGGCAGGCCTGTCAACCAGCCGAGGGTCGCTGCTCCCATCTGGTGGGGAGCCCCGCCCCATTAACATTTGATGAATCTGACACTTTCTCACTTTCCCCGAGGGAGGTCAGCAGCCTATGGAGGAAGCAGAACTTATTTAGGAGAAAGATGTTTCCAAAAAAATGAGAAGAACATCAGAGCCTTTTAACAAACACAAGGTAATTTCATTTTTATATTTCTTTCGTAATAGAATTTGACCTACCATGAAATGAACCATTTTAAAAATTATCTACCAACTCATACAACAGAAGGCATTAAGTTCCCTCTACTCCCCCACCCCCACCCAGAATTAACTTTTTAATTTTAGGGACAGAGTAGAAGAAAAACACTGAGACCAAAGTATCCGGCATTTAAGAGAAGCCCCCAATCCCTGGCTTGGCCAATTTGTAGGAACTGGCCTTCCCAGAGGAATTGGAGGTCTAAGCAAAGCCAACCATTAGCTTCCAAATTGATTTTCAAACCAAAATTGGAACAGTTCTCAAATGCTCCCAGGATTTGGGGCTATTAATACAGAAGAACAATGAGAAGGAAAAAGTGAGTGTGTAAGAGGTGATTTATGACTGAAAGGAAGTTACAGCCTCGGAAACTTGTATGTAACCCAATCACGAACCCTTCTGGAGATGTTCCAGGGAAGAGATGGAGAATGTAAAGGGAGAGGGTTTCCGAGGGATATTAAAGGTTATGAAAGGAGGTAATGTGGGTTTTGGGCCTGAAATGAGCAAGGAAGAAGCTGATCATGTTGAACATTTCATAACCACAGCAGGTTTTTGTGCAGCTGTCATCGGTGCCTGAGACACCCCATGAGCCTTTCCTTTTATTTATTTCTTACCATTAGTCCATCACCAGACAGGTTAAATGGCAGGAAGAGAGTGTCCCCACAAGAGTGTGAGACTGTGACTGCTGCTCAAACCCATGGTCTCGTCTCAGGTGTCCAGTCTTCAACAGTCAAGGTCACAGCTCTAGCTGCTAATCAGTAAGACCAGCCATGGCCAAGATGGAGTGGAGGTTCACAGGAAAGTGTGGTTGGGCAGCCAGATCCTGGTCAGGTGTTCTGGAAATGAACACGTAACATCCCCTGTTTTTTTCGTAGTTTTTGCAAAAGTTATTTATTATTTACAGTTTTATTGGGGTGGAATTGATATACAAGAAGTTGTACATATTTAAAGTGTGCAATTTGATGAGTTTAGACAAATGTATATGCCAATGGAACCACAACTACAATCAAGATTATAAATGTATCCATCACTCCTAACAGATTGCTCAGGCCCTTGTAAATCCCTTCCTCCCTCCATCTTTACCCTTATGCTCCACCCCCAAGCATACAGTGATTTGGTTTCTGTCAATATAGATTAATTTGCATTTTCTAGAATTTTTAATAAATGAGATCATACAGTATATATATTTATTTATCTGGCTTCTTTCAGCATAATTATTTTGATATTAATATTCCTCCATGCTATTGCACATATCAATAGTTATTCCCTTTTGAGTGGTATTCCACTGTATGGATATATCACAATGTGTTTTTTAATTTATCTGTTTATGGGCATTTGGGTTATTTCCAATTTGGGGCTATGACAAATAAAGCTGTTATGCACATTTATGCCTAAATCTTTGTGTGAAAATGTATTTTAATTCCTCTTTGCGTAAATGCCTAGGAGTAGAATAGCTAAGTTGTATGGTAGATGTATGCTTAACTTTCCAAATATATGCCAAACTGTTGTCCAAAGTGACTATGCCTTATTGTATTCTCTCCAGAAATGCCTCTGAGAGTTTCAGTTCCTGCCCATGCTAACACTTGATATGGGCACTTTAATTTTAGCCATTCTTGTGAAAGTGTAGTGGTTTCTCATTGTAATTTTCATTTGTATTTCTCTAACAACTAATATTATTGAATATATTTTCATTCACTTGACATTTGGATATCTTCTTTGATATATCTGCTCAAAAACTTTCTTATTTTTTAAACTGAATTTTTTGTCTTCCTATTACTGAGTTGTAAGAGTTCTTTACATATTTTTGGTACAAGTTCTTTGTCAGATGTTTTGCAATTATTTTCTGAGTCTGTGGCATGCCTTTATATTTCCACAGGTGTCTTTTAATGAACAAATATTTTAAATTTTGATGAAGTCCAATTTATTGTGCTTTTTTGTTTGTGTTTTTGTATTATATTTAAGAAATCCTTGCCAAGTCCAGTCATTTAGATTTTTCTTTAAGGTTTTCTTCTACAAGTTCCATAGTTTTAGCTCTTCTTACATTTGGGTCTATTATCTGTTTCAAGTTAATTTTTATATATGATATGAGGTAAGATGAGGTAAGGGTCAAGGCTTTTTTTTCCCCCCCATGGTATTTGATTGTTCTTATACAAGTTGTTCTAAGGCTCTCCTTTCTCCATTGAATTGCCTTGGTACCTTTGTCAAAAATCCATCAACCACATGTGTGGTTGGTCTATATCTAGACTTTCTTTTATGTTTCATTTGTTAATATATATATTTTTGTGTGACCCACACTGCCTTGCTTACTGTAGCTTTATTTTTAATTTTAAAAACATTTTAATTGATTTATAATATTTGTATATACTTACAAGGTACATGTGATATTGTGTTACGTGCACAGACTGTATAATAATCAAGTCAGGGTATTTGGAGTGTCCGTCACTTCGAGTATTTATCATTTCTATGTGTTGGGAATTTTTCTAGTCCTCTCTTCTAGCTATTTTGAAATATACAATATTTTGTTAACTATAGTTACCTTACTCTGCTATTAAACATTAGAATTTACTTCTTCTATCTAACTAACTAATGGTATGTCTGTACCCATTAACCAATCTCTCCTTATTACCTCTTACCCACAAGCCCTTCTCAGACTCTGGTATCTATCACTCTATTCTCTACCTCCATGAAATCAACTATTTTAGCTCTCACATATGAGTAAGAACATGTGATGATTGTCTTTCTGTGCCTTTTTTTTCTGTGTCTTTTTTTCTTTCTGTGCCTTTTGTCTTTCTGTGCCTTTCTGTGTCTTTTTTTCACTTAACATAATGACCTCCAGTTCTGACCATGTTGCTGTGAATGACATGATTTTATTCTTTCTTTATGGCTGAATAGTATTTAAGTATGTATGTATACCACATTTTCTTTATCCATTTGTCTGTGGATGGACATTTAGGTTGATTCCATATCTTGGCTATTGTGAATTGTGAATAGGGCTACAATAAACATGCATGTGCATACCTCCCTTTGATATACTGTTTCCTTTTCTTTTGGATAAATACCCAGTAATGGGATTGCTGGATCTTATGGTCATTCTATTTTTAGTGGGGTTTTTTTTTTTGAGAAATATATTCATTTTCCATAGTGGTTGTAGCAGTTTACATTCCCACAAACAGTGTATAAGAGTCCCTTTTCCCTGCATCCTCGCCAGCATCTGTTACTTTTTGTCTTTTTAATAATAGCTATTCTAACTGGGGAAAGATGATACCTCATTGTGGCTTTAATTTGTATTTCCCTGATGATTAGTGATGTTGAACATTTATTCATATACCTGTTGTTCATTGTATGTCTTCTTTTGAGAAATATCTATTCATGTCCTTTGCCACTTTTTAATGGAATTGTTTGTTGCTGAGTTGAGCTCCTTGTATATGCTAGACATTAGTCCATTGTTAGATGAATAGTTTGAAAATATTTTCTCCCATTTTGACAAGTTGTCTCTTTACTCTGTTGATTGTTTGCTGTGCAGAAGCTTTTTAGTTTACTATAGTCCCATTTATCTGTTTCTGTTTTTGTTGCCTATGCTTTTGAGGTCTTAGCCATAAAACCTTGGCCTGCATATGGATATCCAATCTTCCTAGCATCATTTACTAAAGAGGGTGTCCTTTCACCAGTGTATGTTCTTGGCACCTTTATTGAAAATCAGTTGCTGTAAATACGTGGACTTATTCCTGGATTCTCAATTCTGTCCCATTGGTCTACATGTCTGTTTTTATACTAATACCATGCTGTTTTGGTTACTATAATCTTGTAATATATTTTAAAGTCAGGTGATGTGATGCCTCCAGCTTTGTTTCTTTTGCTCAAGATTGCTTTGGCTATTTAAGCTTTTATCGGTTCCATATGAATTTTAGGGTTACGTTTTAGAATTCTGCCCAAAGTGACATTTGTATTTTGATAGGGATTGCATTAAATCTGTAGATTGCTTTGGGCAATATGGTCATTTTAATGATATTAATTCTTCTGATCCATGAGCATGGAATGTGTTTCCATTTGTTTGTGTCCTCTTCAATTTTTTAAATCAGTGTTTTGTAGTTTTCCTTGTAGTGATCTTTCACTTCCTTGGTTAAATTTATTCCTAGGCATTTTATTTTATTTTTTGTAGCTATTATAAATTGGATTGCCTTATTGATTTCTTTCTTAGCTAGCTTATTTTTGGTGAACACGAATGCTACTGATTTTTGTATGTTGATTTTATATCCTGCAACATTACTGAATTTATTACATCTAAGAGTTTTTTGGTGGACTCTTTAGGTATTTCTAGTTATAGGATCATATCATCTGTAAAGGGGATATCTCTTGTTATTGGTCTGTTCAGGTTTTCTATTAATATTTCTTCTTGATCCAATCTTAGTATGTTGTATGTGTCCAGACATTGTCTGTTTCCTCTAGGTTTTCTAGTTTATCAGTGTATAGTTGCTTTAATAGTCTCTGATGATCTTTTGTATTTCTGTGGTTCAGTTGTAATGTCTCCTTTTTATTTTCCGATTTTATTTACTTGAGTCTTCTCTGTTTTTTTATTGGTCACTCTAACTATTGGTTTATCAATTTTGTCTTTTCAAAAAACCAACTTTTCATTGACCCTTTTTGGTCTCCCTTTCATTTAGTTCTGTTCTGATCTTTATTATATCTCCTCTTCTACTAATTTTAGGTTTGGCTTCTTGCTTTTTAGGTTCCTAGAGGGGCATCATTAGACTGTTTATTTGGAATCTTTCTTCTTTTCTGATGTACATGTTTATTGCTATAAGCTTCCTTCTCAACACTGCTTTTGCAGTATCCCATAGGTTTTGGTATGTTGTGTTTCAATTGTCATTTGTTTCAAGAAATTATTTGACTTTCTTCTTTATTCCTCCTTGAAAAAGGGGTTATTCAGGAGCATGTTGTTTAATTTCTATGTATTTGTACAGTCTCCAAATTTCCTCTTAATATTGATTTCTAGGTCACTATAGTCTGAGACAATACTTGATATGATTTTGATTTTTAAAAATTTGTTGAGATTTGTTTTGTGTCTTAACACATGGTTCATCTTTGAGAATGTTCCGTGTGCTAATGAGAAGAATGTGTACTCTGTAGCTGGTGGATGAAATGTTCTGTAAATATCTGTTATATCCATTTGGTCTAATATGCAGTTTCAATTCAATATTTCTTTGTTGACTTTCTGTCTAGCTCATCTGTCTAATGCTAATAGTAGAGGGCTGAACTCCTCCACTATTTTTGTTTTAGAGTCTATCTCTTTCTTTAGATCTAGTAATATTTTCTTTATGAATCTGAATGCTCTAGTGTCGGGTACATAAATATTTAGGATTGTCATATTCTCTTGCTGGATTGTTTCCTTTATCATGAACTTTTTCTATTCTTTTGACTTAAACCTGTTTTATCAGACATAAGTAAAGCTACTCCTCACTTTTGGTTTCTGTTTGCATGAAATATGTTTCTATCCCTTTACTTTTGGTCTATATGTGACTGTTTAGGTAAAGTCTATGTTTTTTGTAGGTAGCATACACTTGGATCATGTATTTTAAATCATTCAGCCAGTTTATGTCTTTTTAGTGGAGAATTTCATCCATTTACACTAAGGGTTATTGTTGATATGTGAGGTTTTGTTCCTATCATATTGTTAATTGTTGTCTGGTTGTTTTGTGTATTTTTATTCCTTTCTTTTTCTCTTATTGATTATCTTTGTGGTTTGCTGATTTTCTGTGGTGGTACCATTTGAGTCTTTTCTCTTCCTCATTTGTGTACTTGCTTTACCAGTGAATGTTATATTTTTATGTGTTTTCAAGATGGTATATGTCACCCTTCACTTCCAGGTTTAGGACTCCCTTGAGCATTTCTTATAAGGCTGGACTAGTGGTGGTGAATTCCCTCAGCATTTGCTTATCTGGGAAAATTTTTATTTGTCCTTCATTTGTGAAGGATAATTGTACTGCTACAATATTGTTGTGTGGCAGTGTTTTTCTTTCAGCACTTTGACTATGTGATCCCATTCTTTCCTCACCTGTAAGGTTTCTCCTGAGAAGTCTGCTGTTAGTTTGATGAAAGCTCCTTTATTAGTGACTAGACCCTTTTCTCTTGCTGTTTTTAGAATTTTCTCTTTGTCATTGACTTTAGACAATTTGACTATAATGTGTCATGAAGAAGACCTTTTTGCATTGTATCTATTTAGGGGTCACCGGGCCTCCTGTATCTGGATGTCTAAATTTCTTGCTAGACTTGGAGAGTTTTCATCATTACTTTGTTAAATAGGTTTTCTATCCCTTTTGTTTTTTCTTCACCTTTTGGGACATCAAAAATTCAAATATTTTTTCACGTTATGGTGTCACATATACCACATAAGCTTTGTTCATTCTTTTTAATTCGTTTTTTTTCTTTAGTTTTGCCTGACTGGGTTATTTCAAAAGATCTGTCTTCAAGTTCTGAAATGTTTTTATTCTGATTAATCTAGTCTATTGTTGAAGCTTTCCAATGTATTTTACATTTTGTTTAATGATTTCATTAGTTCCAGAATTTGTGTTTGGTTCTTTTTAATAATATCTATCTCTCTGGTAAATTTCTCATTCACATCTTGAGTTCTTTTTCTGATTTATTTGTATTTTTTAAAATTCTCTTGTATCTCACTGGGCTTTTTAAATATCATTATTTTTAACTATTTGTATGGCATTTCATAAATTTATTTTTGATTGAGATCTGTTGCCAAAGAATTACTGTGTTCTTTGGAGGTATAATATTTCCTTTTTTTCATGTTGCCTGTGTCCTTACATTGATATCTGCACATCTGGTGTCACAGTCACTTTTTCCAATTTTTCAAATTTGCTTTTGAGGGACGGGGGTAATTTTTCCTGAAGTAGTATCCATGGTGCTGGTTGGAAGGGTTCTTTGGCTTTGATTCTAGACATATGTAGTAGCATAGTCTTTGGTATGATTTTTTTCAGCTGTAAACAGCATTAGTCATGTCTGTGATTTCCTCAGTAGCTTAGGGTGTGGTTGTTAGTGGAGGCTGTGGTAAAATTTTTCTGGGGACAAGGACATAGGGTGGGTCCATTCCTGGGCCCTAGTGGTTACAGTCACAGGCTGAACATGTCTGTCCTTGGGCTCCAGGACAGTGTACACTAGCACCGGTGTCCATAAGTCCAGGTGGGTTAGTTCTTAGGTCTGCAGGCAGCTTGCTTGGGTGCTGGTAGTAGCAGTAGTGGGCTGGGTAGGCAGGTGGGTCTTGGGCCCCTGGGCAGCAGTTGTGGCATAGGCAATGGCAGTAGCAGTGAGACTAACCTCTGGGTCCCAAGTGGTCCATTTTGGTTTTCATGGTGGCTGTGATGAGCTGGGCAGGTCAGTCCCCAGACTTGCAGGTGGGACATGTGGGTGGGTGCCTACTATGGTGGTAGTGGCAGATTGGGTAGGCCTGACTGCAGGCCCCCAGTAGGAGGCTTACAACAGAGGTAAACTGGGCCGGGCAGTCCTCAGGCCCCTGGACAGCATGTCTGGGCACTGCGAGGGCCGAGCTGGGCCAGGTGGATCTGTCCTCAGGCTCCCAGGTGGTAGGGTGATCCCCAGGACCAGTGTGGAATGCTTGGGCGGTGGTGGTAGCAGCTGTACTTCAGCCCTGCTACTGGGGAGAGCAAGGTTACTTTGGTGGCAGTAACCATATGCAGGTGGCTGATGAGCATGCACTTTGCTTACACTTCAGACCTGGCTGTGTCAGCCTGCATTGGCATCTGCTGCAGGAAGGGGATTTTTTCCTCAGGGCAACATAAAAATGCACAGTGACTTTGCTGCTGGGGCCAGTGAGGTATTTGCCAATGGCTTGTGCTTCAGCTCTGGCCCAGGGCTTCAGGCCATGCACCTGGCTGAGGTGGTGGCTGTGGGCTCGGAAGGTCAATGGGGTTCAAGAAATATGGAGCTATAGAGGCTCTTGGGTCTCCAGGCCAGATGCAGTCTGCTGGAGCTGGGCTGTCAGTATAGTGCCTTGCTGTAGCTGCTTAGGTGTTGGGAGTGTGTTTGGGATCCAGTGCGAGCTTTCTCTCCAGAGCAATGCCTTCACATGGTCTCCAGGCGTACCCCCTAGGTTAGTCTAGGGGCTCATGAAAGTCTTGGAGCCTTCCCATGGCTAGGATGCAGGTATCTACAGTGGGAACGTGGACCTCTGGGAGCCACTCACTTACCCTTTTTTGCACTGGGTTGCCTCTCCAAGCTCCTAGCCAATCCCAGCCAAGCAGGCTGCCTCGCTTACCTTTCCTTCTTGCTTTAGGTGTCTGTAGTCACTACTCTTTTGAATTCAAGTGTTCTTTCTTAGATGGTCCATTTGAAGTGTGATTATCTACTAACTATCTTGGTTCTTTATGAAGGAGGTGAGTACCAGATGCCTCTAGTCAGCCATTTTGAAGCCCCTCCCCGATTACTGTTACCTTACACTACATCTTGAAATCAGATGGTATATGTTCTCTGATATTCTTTTTCAATGTTGTTTTAGCTAGCACAGATCCTTTGCATTTTCATGCAAATTTGACTTGCTAATTTCCACCCCCAAAATCCTGTTGACATTTTGATTAGGATTACAATGAATTTATGGATGAATTTGTGATAAAATTTAGATAATTTTCAGTCATGTTTTAGTCTGTTTTCATACTGCTTTGAAAAAATACCTGAGACTGGGTAATTTATAAAGAAAAAGTGGTTTAATGGACTCACAGTTCCACATGGCTGGGAAGACCTCACAATCATGGTGGAAGGCAAAGGAAGAGCAAAGGCACATCTTACATAGTGTCAGGCAAGAGAGTGTGTGAAGGGGAACTGCCTTTTATAAAACCATCAGATCTCATGAGACTTATTCACAATCACAAGAACAGCATGGGAAAAACCCACCCCCATGATTCAATTATCTCCCACCAGGTCCCTCCCATGACACGTGGAGATTGTGGGAACTACGTTTCATGATGTGATTTGGGTGGGGACACAGCCAAACCATATCAAGTCATTATTTCTTTAAGCAATTTTTTGTCCATCCTCTCTCTCTTCTTCTGAAACTCCAATTATATGTATCCTAGGCCATTTGAAGTTGTCTCACAGCCCATTGATTTTCCCTATAGTTTTTCTCTCTTTTTCCTCTCTGTGTTTCATTTTCTTTTTCTTTTTTTCTTTCCTTTTTTTGAGATGGAGTTTCGCTCTAGTTGGCAAGGATAGAGTGCAATTGCACGATCTTGGCTCACCGCAACCTCTGCCTCCCATGTTCAAGTGATTCTCCTGCCTCAGCCTCCTGAGTGGCCGGGATTACAGGCATGCCCGGCTAATTTTGTATCTTTAGTAGAGATGGGGTTTCTCCATGTTGGTCAGGCTGGTCTCAAACTCTGACCTCAGGTGATCTGCCCACCTCGGCCTCCCAAAGTGCTGGGATTGCAGGCGTGAGCCACTGTGCCCAGCTGTGTTTCATTTATAATAGTTTCTATTTCTGTCTTCAAGTTCACTATTTTCTTTTCTTCAGCAGTGTCTAATTTTCTGTTAACTTCATCCAATGTATTTTTCATTTCAGATATTGTATTTTTTACATCTACAAGTTCAGTTGGGTCTTTTATCTTACATGTCTCTCCTTGACATTTTACTTTCGTCTATCTTCTAGAACACAGAGAATGTAATGGTAATAACCTTTTAAATGTTCTTGTTTATTAATTCTATCATCTGTATTATTTCTGTGTGTTTCTTTTGATTGATTTTTCTCCTGATATGTGTAGTATTATCCTGCTTCTTGGCAATATGGTAATTTTTAATTGCTTGCCAGACATTGTTGATTTTACTGTGTTGTATGCTGGATATTTTTGTATTCTTTTAAATATTCTTAAGCTTTGCTCTGAGATTCATTTAAGCTACTTAGAAACAATTTAATCCTTTTGCAGCTTACTTTTTAAGCTTTGTTATTCAAGGCCAGAACAGCCTCTAGTCTAAGACTAGTTTTTTTTCGTTAATGAGGCAATGCCCTCTGAATGTGCTATCTGATGCCCCTAAGCATGTGTAAAATGAGGTTCTTCCACTCTGGCATAGGAACATAAACTATTCCTGGCTCTACATGATGATTGATGATTGTTTTATGTGTTCCTTTTGGGTGGATTTTTCCTGGACTCAGGTAGTTTCTTTCCATGGATGTGATGATCAATACTCAGCTAAAGACTTGAGAGTCTGCAAATATCTGGAGCTCTCTCTGTGCAATTCTCTCCTCTCTGGTACTCTGCCCCATAAATCCTAGCTGCCTTTGCCTCCCAAAATTCTTAACTTAGGAGAATTTATAGGCTCTGTTTGGATTCCCCCTGTCTGCTATGGCCTGGAAACTATAGGCAGGCAGTAATTTGGGGTAACAAGTAGGGCTCACCTTGTTAGTTTCCCTTCTCTTGGGGACCACTGCTCTGAGCCCTGCAGTCTGATGTCTGAAAACTGTGGTTTTATATATCTTGTAGGATTTTTTTGTTGTGTTGCTTAGGGTAGGAGGGTCAATCTAATTCCTCTTACTCATCATTCCTAGTGTCACTCTTCGTCAAGGCAATTTCTTGGTACTTTTCAACCTGGCCAAGGATTAGGTAAGATTGGTATAAGTGTGCATGCATGTGTTTAAATTTATATGTATATGTGTGATAAATATATATGTGTGTGCATACCTATGTGTGAGCACATGTATGTCATATGCTTGCATACATATGTGCCTTTCCTTGAAGGATGTAAAGAGAATTAACTAATCACCACAATACTTTGGCTATGTGCAAGGCATTCTTGCAGGTTGTATGCCAATCACATTTCTTTATGGGGGAGAAGAAGAAGAGAAAAAAGGGCTGCTGGGTGGGGCTCTGAGCTATCAATCCTTGAGAGATAAGAGGTACAACCAACTGAAATTATAATTCAAGTCCCCAGAATGGCCAGACAAATATTCTTTCTAAAAATGAACAGCAGGTAATAATTCAATCTGGGGGAGGGTATGTCAAAATGATACCTTATACTGGCACAGTGTTTTATAGTTTTTAAAATGTAATTCTATCCATGGTCTTACTGGGAGGCACAACATATCTTTATTGTTATTATGATTATTACTAATCATCATTTATCAGGTCTGCTTATGAGAACTCATTTTATGGCTGAATGAGAGAGGGTAGAAGGGATTAATGTCACTGGATGGCTGTGGCTGTTTCTACGATCTGAATCCCACTGGAGAAGCCTCTGGAGGGTGGACCAGAATAACTCTCCACTGTCTCCACTGTTAACACTGCTTCCATTTGTGGCGTCAATCTCAACCCTCCATTGACCTGACTGCACCTGCAGATAACATACATGACAGAATGAAAATGGATAAACTACTATTGGTTTAATCAGTATTGACCAAGGAATGGGGTGGGAGGAGGGCAGGGGGGCAGAGAGTTCTGGGAATGAGGAGAACTCTAATATATGGAAAAGAGTCAGACCTTATAAAGGCATTTTACAGTGTGGCAGGGACCAAAATTGTTGCATCACATGTTTATTGGGCCCCCAGGATCTGCTCTCACTGGAAAGTCCCAATCCCAATCTCATCTTTTGCTAACTGGCATTCTTGCTGACTTAGCAATTCTTGAGAAATCACCCTGATCCCTCTTGGCATGTTGCAGTTCTGTATTTATAAGTGGGATAAGGAATACATTTCTTAAAGTAAGTCTTGGCTAGTTGGGGTGGCAGGAATTCTGATTTGGAGGGAGCATCTAGAAAAGCACACCCCTAAGTATGTGCTGACTAGCTGGGTGGTCAGCAGCACCAAGGCACTCAAGGCCAGGCTTTTGGACAGCTTCCTAGGAATGGACCTGATAGGAGGGTCATCCCACCATCGTCAAACTGCCCATGACAAGAGGACAAATATACCTTACAGTTTCTAGTCCTTCTAATGGAATGTGGGTTAACACTGAGCACTTGAGGTTCCCGGACTTTGGGAACAACCCCATGGAGCACTCAGGAGTGGATGCCCTGCGGGAATCATTCCCCATTCCCAGCTTAGCTTGGATCTAGAATGTCCCTGTGAGTTTTGAAATGGACAAGAAGTAGCATTCTCCCTGCAGTGTCAGCAGGCCATGTGGTAAACATGAGCTCTGGTTTCATTGCTGTGATTTTAGGATTTCAGCCTGGCAGAGACTTCATGCTGAATGCTGGTGATATCTAAGGGCCAGAAGAGACCCATTCGGTTTTCTTGAACATCTTCCACCTTCACTTTTTAAAGGCATTGTTACTATTTAAATGTATTTTTAATAGGTAACATATGTTCATGATATAAATTTCAAAAACACAAAATGAAAAATCCATGAGCAGTTTTCCTCCTTCTCCTGATCCCCAACAACTCGGTTCTCAGAATTAATCAATATTCCAGATTCTTGCATGTCTTTCTAGGTGTATTCTTTACACAACTGACAGGTATGTCAGTGTGCAATTCTTTAATTTTTACTCCCTTCTCCCCCTTTTTTTTCCTCCACAAATGGTAGAGATAGCAGGTTAGTTCTAGGGACCTAGACTCGGAGATTGAGATTTGCAGGACAGGAATTTTCCTGGGGAGTGCCTTTGGGATCAACATCTGCAAGGAAGAGAAGGAAGCAGGATTGAGCATAGGGAGGGAGTAAACTGTATTGCAGTCTCGACAGAGGCCTCCACCAGCTCTGTGGGGAGCTAGGATAGCCTTCAGAGTTGTCCCAATTTGGGTTGGAGGGGAGCAGGCCATTGAATGTGAGCATAATTTTCCAAAGGCTACTCTCTTCAGCCATGGGTAACTCCTGGAGAAGGACTTAACTGTCAGCCACCAACACTCACAGCAGCTGGGGGATCTGGTTGGGCCCAGCACACAGCATCCCCTCCAGCAGCACATGTATGTTGCTTTTTTCACTTTACGGTAGATGTTGAAATTTGTTTCACATAACTGCATAAACTTCCTTATTCCGTTTCTAATGGCTGCAGAGTGTTCCATTGTGTGGGTATAGCATATTTTACATAGTCAGTTTCCCATTGATAGACATTTGGTTTATTACCACTCTTTTGCAATTATATCCTGTTCTGCAGTGTAGATTTATCTCTTCATAGACATGCAAGTAGTCAACTTACAGGGCCAAAAACTAGGTACACTTTTCATTTGGAAGCTATTATCCAATCCATCCACTGAGGCTGTATCAGTTTACACTCTCACGAGCAGTGTATGAGCTTGTCTGTTTTCCTGACCTTTGCCTGCATTATATTATCAAAAATTTTAATTTTTCCCAATCTGAAAGGTTAAAAATGGTATCTTGTGGTAGTTTCAGTTTGAATTTCTCTTTTTTATGCGTGAGATTGAGGATCTTTTTGTTATGTCTAAAGCAATTTGCATCTCTTTTTTTTCTGCAAACTTTTTGATTATAGCCTTTGTCCACTTATCTTTTAGGTTTTTGGCCATTCTCTTGTGGATTTTGTAGAAACTCTTTATATATTATTTTATATATTATGAAATTTTATATATTTTGAAAAATGTTATATATTAAGAAAATTCGACTCTTGTAATAGAAATTGACAAGTTAGCTCTTTATCTTAGGTAGGGAGAAGAAGCTGTTTTAGATGTAAGGACTTTTTTTTTTTTTTTTTTGAGACAGACTTTTGCTCTTGTTGCCCAGGCTGTAGTGCAATGGTGCAATCTTGGCGCACTGCAACCTCTGCCTTCCGGGTTCAAGCAATTCTCATACCTCGGCCTCCTGAGTAGCTGGGATTACAGGCACGTGCCACCACACCCAGCTAATTTTTGTATTTTTAGTAGAGACGGGGTTTCACCATGTTGGTTTCTAACTCCTGACCTCAGGTGATCCACCCACCTCGGCCTTCCAAAGTGCTGGGATTACAGGCGTGAGCCACCGCACCCAGCCTATGTAAGGACCTTTTAAAGAATAGGTTCTGCGGCATTTCTGATTCCTATACATGACCTGTGTTCTTCCATCCACCACTGAATCCACATGCTGGGATTGAAGCCAGTTGCAGCTGTTCTGCCTTCAGTGGTGTGTCCCCTACTTTAGCAGCCCAGCAAGTCCTGCAGATTCCCTGGGGATTTTTGACCTGGAGTTCCTGTTCAGTAGACTTGGTGTTCCAGGCACCACAGCCCCTCCCATCTCCCATCTTCTGTCTCTCAAGGTGACTGCTGCTGGAGCTGTCACACATTCTGTGACTTGGTTCATATGAGGCCGGAGCAAGCTGAACTTGAATGGAGCTTGTCAGAGAGTGTCCTCTCTATTATCATGGTATTGCAGTTGGGCAGCCCTGGGTTCAAATCTTCTCATCACCACTTAACCATCTCATCTTGGACACATCAGTTAATCTCTCTGAGGTGCAATTCCTCATCTCTATAATGGGAAAATTAGCAGGTGTTTCTGTGGGTTGTAGAGAGGATTAAATGGATTAAATTTAATTAAACAGTTATTTCTGTGGGTTGTAGAGAGGATTAAATTATGTCCAAACTGCTAGGCGTGGCTCACAAGGCCCTCAGAAGTGAGCTCCTCTTTGTCCCTCAGCTCTCTGACCCCTACCTTGTTGTTTGCACTCCAGCCACACTAAGTCTCTTCCAGTTCCTTGGATAACTGTACTTGGGCTAATGCCCATTTATCTCGCATGTCTCAGGGTAGTCTCCTCAGTGAAGCCTTCTCTGACTCCGCTGCTCCCCGTATGGTGGAGCCTTCCATGCTACACCCTGGCACACTATAGTACTTCATGCTTCTCATTTGCTGTGAACCTGTCTCCGCAGACCGAACATGCCATGAGGGCAGGGGCACTGCGTCTCTCCCCTGGGCTCAGTCCAGAACCTCATATTTAGCAGGCACCAGTGAAGT
This sequence comes from Homo sapiens, assembly GCF_000001405.40. NCBI lineage: Eukaryota > Metazoa > Chordata > Mammalia > Primates > Hominidae > Homo > Homo sapiens. The sequence goes on from NC_000005.10 coordinate 135,686,678, forward strand.
TTTACTGGACGACAGATGGATGGTTGGATGGACAGCTAGATAGAAGAATGAATGAATGGAAAAAGGGAAGGAAGGATGGGAAGGGATGGATAGATAGAGGGAATGAAAGGATAGACAGATATAAGTATGGAAGTATGGGTGGATGGAAGGATGAATAGATGAACTGATGGATAGACAAGGTGTTTAGGTTATCATCTGACATTCTGGGAAGAGCTTCATTTATTTCTGAAGGCTATGACTTGCTAACTTCAAAGAAAGGGAAAGGGTTGTTTTTTTTTTTTCCACAGAGAAGCAGAATCCTGATATGAACAACCTAATGCCCTCTCAGCACAACCCAGACCATGACAATTTTTAAAACAATCCATTAAGTGGCTTATTGGCTTGACTCATCCAGGATTTTCATGCCCAAAGATCATGAAGTTGTGCGCTCTTCTGTGTCTTGATGTCTTCACTCTGAGTGGGAACCAGGGAGACTGAAAGAATTCTGACATTAAGGAATCTTATTTACTCTGACATTAAAGAATCTTATTTACTCTTCAAAAAGGTTACCTACAGATTGGGTGAGAAGGTGAGCACTTTACCACCTATATATTTGGAAAATCATTAGGTAATTTTTGGAAAAGTCAGTCATAATGTATCAGAAGCTTAATCCTCTATGATTTTACAATGGCACTTAGAATTACAGTATTTATACATGCAAAATGCTCCATTTATCTGCCAAGAAACATGGTGATCCAGACAAATCAGATTTCTGTGTAACTGAGATTTCTGTGTAACTGAGGCTTGATATTTAAATATTCATTTTATTTTTCTAACACTATTGTTATGACTCAAAGCATTTTTGAAATCTTTTATAATTTCCTTTATGTCAATTCAGGTCAAGTCTTTTTTTTAATGTTGCTGTTTTAATAAAGATATCTTCCCTTTCCTCCTTAGTAAATAGCACCTTAGACACAAGTCACAATTTCATAAAGACTTAGAGTTATCTTTGTAAACAGACATTGTTTTCCTGGATTCTTGTATTTGGTAATGTTCTCAGGGCTCTTGCAGAGTGAAATGGATGCTGACTGTTCTGTTTTTACTAACAATTCTTCTCCTCTCCATGTTTATTGCATGGCTTTACTTTTGTCTGTTTTTGTCCTGAGTGTGGCTTATTGCATATGGGCTTTCTGATAACTACTTACTTTTCTGGGGTCTTTTTTCCCAATTATTTTTAAATTGTGGTAAAATGCACATAATATAAAACCATATTAACCATTTTAAGTGTACAGCTCAGTGGTATTAAATACTTGACACTCATTAATGTTGTACAGCCATCTCCCCCATCCATCTTCAGAACTCATTCATCTTGTAATTCACCCCTTCCCCAGCCCCAGCAACCGCCAAGTCTAGTTTCTGTCTGTGTGATTTTCACTACTCTAAGTACCTCACACAAGTGCAATCATACCGTATTTGTCTTTTTGTGAATGGCTTATTTCACTTGGTATTATGCCCATAAGATTCATCCAAGTCATAGCCTGTCAGGAGTTCTTCCCTTTTTAAGGCTGAATAATATTCCGTCATATGTCTATATCACATTTTGCTTATCCATTCATCCACCAATGGATATTTGGATTGCTTCCATGTTTCTCTCAGGCTTTTTTTTTTAACAGCCTCTGTGGATACAGTTGAATAGTTGACTTTATTGGTGTTCTGATCTCTAGATAATCCAGATATTCCTGTAAGAGATTTTGACTTAGGATCCAAAGTGCTCCTTGTGTTTCACTGCATGAATGTCTATGAAGAAGTTCAGCAACACTGAAGAAGTCATAGAATGATTTATTGCAGCTTAAACACACACACACACCATGGAAAGAAATTGCAAAATAACTTATTCCATGAGGGAACATTGCTATCCAGGGAATATTGATTTGAGCATTCACATTCCCTGTAAACATGCTGAAAAAACAAAGGCTAAAACGCCAACACTCTGTGAAAAGCCAACATTCATCCCATGCAATGGGATTCAGTGGAAAAGCAGGCCCTGAAGGCTGGGTTGGGCATGAGTTCATCGAGATGCAATTCTAGCTGCCACTGGTGCAGAGGAGAGTGGTAAATTGTACAATGGAGAGATGCTTTCACCAGCAGCTGCCCCCACTCCAGCCTGGCTGAACCCTCACTGGGAGTCAATGTCAATGGGAGCCAATGGGACCATGTCCAACCATATAATCAAATAATAATAATAATAGCTATCATTCTTTGAATGCTTACTGTGTTTCAACTCTTCACATATGTTTCTGAGTGCATCCTCACAACAGTCTTATAAGACAATATTATTATTTCTGCCTTACAGATGAGGTAACTAAGACTTAGATAGATTAATTAATAAGATCAAGGCTACATAGCTAGTAAGTTTGTCTAGCTTCCGAGTCTGTGAGCCTAACCACTATGCTTTGCTGCTTCTGATCATTGGTTTGCATGAAATCAATGAGATAAGCCAAATACTCTCCTGATGGCCTTTGGCAGCAAGGAACTGGGTGCCTCAGACCCTCTTGGACCTATCAGTCCCTTCTGTTTCATAGGGAGGCCTCATCCAAGTCTTAAGAGGGAATCTACAGGCACAGGCACTCTCTTAACTGTAATCCCTGAGAACTGGAGCACCTGTTGTGATTCTCCATACAATAGACCCTCCTTCTACAGCCCATGGTTTTGGGGAAGGAATCAGATAATTGGTCAATTGAGGTTTGTGTTCAATATGGATCATCCCAAGTGAGGCAGCACCGGCACCTGGTGACAGCATACATACATTGTTGAATAAGTGTCTAAAGTAAAAGAAAGGGCCTTGAGAGCTGAAGAGCTGGATGTGCAAGTTCAAATGCTATATCACAGAGTCCTACAGTAATAGAGGTGCCTTTTCAAAGATCTATTTTGTGCATTCATGCATTTGGATCTACACAGATTGAGGATTGCAGGTGGTTCTTGCTTAGAAACCTGAAGGTCCTAAAACTCCATTGTGCCGACTCATTTCCTTGTTGGTAAAAGAGGAGAGATGAGCTTGAAAGTGCCTGTCTCTGTAACGCTGAATTGTGCAAGACATTTCCCGAAAATAGCTTACAAGAGCAACCCAGCTATGCTGTTAGAGGAAAAGTGATCTTCCCATCATGGAAATGAAGATACGATTTTATTCAAATTGGCAAATATGAACCCACTCCCATTCTATTCCAGGTTATTTTATACAAAAATGCTTTAAGACATAGTTGCTGTCCTTGAGGAGTTTGTGTCTGCCTGGGGACTTGGGGACGAGGACTGGGTAAGGAGAGGAGCAAGGGGCGCTGAGGAAAGAGCACTTATTTGGGTCAGCCAGACATGTACATTCGAACTAGGGTGACCCACTGCCTCGGTTTGCTTGGGGCTGGGGGGTTTCCTAGGATGCAAGACTTTCAGTGCTAAAACCAGGATGGTTCCAGACAAACCAAGACAAGTTGGTCACCCCAAAAATTAGTAAACCTCCCTATGCCTCCGTCTTCTTATCTGCAAAATGGAGATAACAACAAATTCTTCAAGTTCATGTATGGGAGAAGTGAATGTGGGAAGACTCATAATGCATGTGGCATTGGGAGCATGGGTGTAGGAATCCTTTAATATATTATGGAGGGATGAAAATCACATAGAGCAGTGGAATGTTCAGGAAAGAACAAAGCCAGCATAAGCCAAAGAGAACTGGGGAAGGCTGCATGAAGGTAAGCGTGCTCCAGAGGGGCCTTGAAGAACTAACAAGGCTGGGTCTGAGATTGTATGAGGAGATTTGATTATCTTGGAGTAAAACATGAGTGATTCTAGAAATAACTTCTTCCCTGCTACAAGCCACTTGTGTTTTGCAGGGTTTAGCTACTGCTCTGCTATGATTTGCAGCCCCCACCTGTCCCTGCTTTTCCTTGGGATTCTCTTATGCTGTGCCATCAGCTGAGCCCTCCCTTCCCAAAACACCTGCTCATTAACAGGCCACCCGCCCCTCCCCATGAGAGGTGTCTGGTGAGCCAGGATTAGGGAAACTTAAGCTCAGAGAGGTTGAGTGACTTGCCAAGAATCACCCAGCAGATCAATTTTGAATCCAGAAACAGGAACCAGATGTCCACACCTTACTCTGTGCTGGCTTTGGAAGGCGGAGTGTGGGGCCCAAGAGGCCCCAACAGAAAGGGTGAGCTCCTCTGGGAGAGACCAAGAATTCCAAAGCTGTCCTGTAATTCATGGTCAGAATTTCTCCCAAAGTGTGTCTTCAGGGAAGGCATTTTTTTTTTTTAATAAAAATCAGCTTTGAGGATCCCCAACTGAGTTTGGAAGTTTTACATATGAATTTCTGACTTGTCGTTTAAGAAAAGATGCCACGAGTGAAATCAATGAATTAAGGATTTGGCATAAGCTGTATCAAGTATCAAGTAATGAGCTTTCCGTTTCCCGTCACACATTCAGCGCTTCTCGATTCAGCCCAAATTGGCAAGAATCAAGCTGGTTATTAAAGCAAAACCTGGAAAAGGCAATTAAGCACTCCCAGGGTTAAAAGGTTGGATCCAGTGGAAACAAGAGTCATAAATTTTACTCACAGATAGACCTGCTATTCAGAGGCTGTGGCTTTCAAACACAGACACATATGAGGAGGAGGGCTTCTTGCTCAGAGCTGGGTGATAAAAAGCACGGGTTGTATGGGAGTCCTTCCTGGGAACCCAGTCCCGTGCTCTGCCCTGCTTCAGCAGGAGGAGGGAAGGTGGGAAAGAGTCAGGGTCTCCAGGGCAGCTTGGTGTTGCTCTACATGCTTCCCTGGAAGAGCCAGGCACTGCATGGGGCATCTTGTGTGTGCCTCTTCTTGGGCATTTAGAAATAGTCTGAGACACCATCCCCACTTGCCCAGGACTGAGGGGTATCCTGGATGAAGGGCTTTCCATACTATAACTAGAAGAGTCCCAGGCAAACTGGGACAAGTTGGATACTCTATAAATGACCTTGCTCTTTTTGCAAGATTCCTTATTACCTGCCCTCAAATCTTGCAAGATGTCTAAAACCAAAGATGCTGGATTTAGACTTCGTGCCCACACCTCTAGAGCTGTAAAGTGGAAATCACATATTCCACCTGGGGTTGTGTAAGGCTTAAGTGAGATTAGGTAGATGAGTGCTGAGCATGGGACACGGACTCTGACACAGTTGCTGAACAGCTGCAGAGTCCATGTATCATCTGGCCCTTGCTCAAGTGTGGTTGGTGTCAGGAGCCTTCCTCTCAACCCTGCAGCAGCCCAGAAACATGGCTCAGAGAAGTCCAGAGTCCTGCCCAAGAGCTACGTGAGTTGTGTTCTTCAAGCTAACAAATCTTTAAAAAAGAGGTAGGCAGTCCGGGCGCGGTGGCTCACACCTGTAATCCCAGCACTTTGGGAGGCCGAGGCAGGCGGATCCTGAGGTCAGGAGATCGAGACCATTCTGGCTAACACGGTGAAACCCCATCTCTACTAAAAATACAGAAAAATCAGCTGGGTGTGGTGGCATGCGCCTGTAGTCCCACCTACTTGGGAGGCTGAGGCGGGAGAATTGCTTGAACCCAGGAGGCAGGGGGTTGCAGTGAGCCGAGATCACACCACTGCACTCCAGCCTGAGTGACAGAGCAAGACCCCGTCTCAAAAAAAAAAAAAAAAAGGTAGTCAGTAGCTCGTGCTAGTTCTTTGTCTGGCAGTGGGATTCTTTTCGGATGAGCCAAAAGGAGGGCCAGTGTTTCACAGAGAATCAAATGTGCTGCCCTGAGAATGGCTTAATCAGTTTTCTGATTAAACATATTTTGAAAAATCTGCATCATGCAGGTGGAAAAATAGACAATCAAGATGGGTTATAGATTTAAGGAGGCTCTTTTAGTGTTCAAGAATTTGATCTCACTTTGTCCTCTCAGAGGGTTATTTGCTATTAAAAAGTGCCCCAGACAGAGGAGAAGTCACGGGAAAGGTAGGAAATGCCGTCTTTGAGAGCTTAGAGGAGCTGTCTTCTTGCATGTCTTAATCTCTTTGGAAAAAGTTACATAGCAGAGTATCTCACTCCAAATTTACATGCAATGCAGCCATCCATGGTGATGCTGTTTCTGCTAATAATCTAGCAATTAAAATAGAATGTGGCTGCTAATTAAACCTGCCACTCAACTAAGAGATGAATATCTGTTTTCCAATGGAGCTGGATTTGATCCTGCCTGCCTTCCACTGAGCTGAAGACTGAGATTTGGATTAGAATATAAGGTCCAATGAGTAAAGGTCCTCTAAGTGCTTTAAATTTTCCTCCTTTGAAGATGAAACCTTAATACCAGTTAAGATCAAATTAAATGCTCAAAACAAATTATCTTAAATTTCAAAAGTGTTTGTGTTTGGGATGCATTTTCATTGGTTCCATCATTCAGTGTACTTTTTCCTTGTTTGATTCTATTTGTGAGTGGAATTTTAATAACTTAAGATGTTCATGGTTTTTTAAAAATTTAAACTGTCTTCATATTTATATTTAATTAAAACTTCTACATTTGGCTTGGTATATTAGCAGGGATCTAAAGGCTGCATAGTCTACTGTGGTAAATGTTGACAAGAAGACTCTGGGTTGGAAACCTGTTTCAGTTGCTGTAAAGTTAGTGAATTTTGCATGAGGTCAAAGAAAGGAATGGGTCAGGCCTGAGTAGGCTGAGCAGTTCTCCTTGGTAGGGGCTGCCCTGTGAGCTCCACACTGAGGGGAACTGATTGGAATATGGGGACTGGTTCTGCCTAGTGACTCAGTAGCCTGAGAGGCTCAGCTACAAAGAAGAGGAAGATGCGGTGGTATGCCAGGTCTCTCTAATGTGTCCAGGCTTGCCAGCCTTGGGTAGGATTGACATGTGTACCTCCACAATCTTCTCCTGTGCTCAGGGCAGATATCACTAATCCATTACTTCACTCTTTCCTGTTGAGGCAAGACAGGCGCTGAAGCCCTGTTACCACCTGACACCACCCGTGCCAAGCAGCCACTACCAACTGAATGGAATTGACACCAGAGTGAAACATAGCTGCCCTCCTGGCTTTGCAGCAACCTGTCTGGGCATCTGCCATGGGAAAAAGGAGGGGGTCTGAGGGAATAGAGGAGGAAGGGCTGTCGGGGAGCAACCGTCCACAACCTGAATGAGGCCTGCTGGGTCCCTGCCCCTCACAGTGCGAAGGCGTGTGGGGCGATGGGCCTCCCCAGCCTCCCAGACAAGCCATAAGCCTCTCAGACTCTTTGTTCTGCAGGTTTCTGGGGTCAGCAGAATGAAACATTCTGGAGAAAAAAAAGCATTTCTTTACCAAGTGGTTTAGGAGATCCACTTGAAAGGCTGCGATGAGGGTGTGCCTGGTGAGCTCTAGGCGCTGAGCCCACCTTTTCCACCCTGCCAGGGGTGTCTTCCTAGACAGAATGTCTCACAGGAAGCCAAACAGCCACACGGTGGGCAGGAATGAATGGCTGGGCCTGCACAGAGACTGGGAGGGACTTTAAAGAAGACTCTTGGCTTCTGGATGAAACACCACGGGTCTCCTGGGCGGCCTGGTATGCTGTATTAACTATTTTTATTGAACCGCTGAGTACACAGATGTGTCCCGCCCACACAGGCTTCCAGAGGCCCCATCCTAGCCACAGGCTCTGTGGAGGGAGGGCTGCAGAGGTTAAAGCCATTTGAACCGTTTCCACCTTGAGGTACCTGAAGATGAAACCAGCTCCCCGTTAGAAATATCTAAGCATCCTTTATATATTTACATATTTAGGGATGTAAAATGGCTCCCCAGAAGCGGCTGCAAACAATAATGTTAAAATAAGAACTCTGTCAGCTCCCATTACTCTACTTTGCCTTTTGCTCCCTGGAAATTCATTAGCCACGTGGAAGCCACATTGATTATTTTATTTATTTATTTATTTACTTTTATTTTTATTTTTATTTTTTTGAGACAGAATCTTGCCTGTCACTCAGGCTGGAGAGCGGTGGCATGATCTTGGCTCACTGCAACCTCCAGTTCAAGCAATTCTCCTGCTCAGCCTCCTGAGTAGCTGGGACTACGGGCACATGCCACCATGCCTGGCTAATTTTTGTATTTTTAGTAGAGATGAGGTTTCGCCATATTGACTAGGCTGGTCTCGAACTCCTGACCTCAGGTGATCCACCCACCTTGCCCTCCCAAAGTGCTGAGATTATAGGTGTGAGCCACCGTGCCCAGCCCAGATGGATGATTTTAGAATTTAATTCTTCAAAGGCTTCCCAAGCCACTTAGTGTGAAATCCCAGCTCCTCACTGAGAAAACATACAGGCTGGGCATGAGCCAGCTGCTTGGGCCCATCACCCACCTCTCCTCCTGGCAGCCCTCGGCTTTGCATTTGCATCTTCCTGCTCCTCAAAGCACCAACCTTGTTCCTGCCTCACCTCGGGCAGCTGCGCTAGCTGGTCCCTCTGCCTGTACCTCTCTTCCCTGGATACTTGCGGGGTGGCTGCTTCTTGTCATTCATGAGTCAACTCCAAGTCCCCTCTTCAGAGACTGTCCCTGTCCATCCAGTCTGAGGTAGTGGCCTTCCCTTCCTCCAAAACCCTTCTGTGCTATTGCCCTGCTCTGTCTTCGCAGCCATCTGAAATTCTTGTGCTTTTTATGTTTTTCTTGCTTACTGTCAATCTCCTCTACAAGAATATAAGATCTATGAGAGCAAATCTGGTGCCTGGCACAGAGTCTGTTCTCAATAAGAATTTGACAACAGAAAAATTTGCTGGGTTTCCTGGGATCAGATAATTGTTTTCTTTCCCTGTATTTTCCCAGCATGCTTTGCAGGTGGCAGGTTGCAATGGGCACAGCCCCAGTCCTCCTGCCCCTGGTATGCCAAAATGATGCATGCACAGGCCTCGGTGGCCCTTCTCCCTTCAGCCCCTGCTCAACACTGAGAATGCACTGCCTCCCACCCACAGGGGTCTCTCTCTGGCCAGCCCCCACCTCGGGCAGCTGTGCTGGCACTTTCCTCCCATCTCCTGTGCTGGAGGCGGCTGTGTTTCTTCTTGGACCCCAGCCGGAGGACAGAGGCTCCTGGGAGTCTCCCCTCTGATGCTGGCCACATGTTTTTGCTCCTGCCCCGACCTTCTCTCCAGGATATGGGCCCTTGGGTTCAGAAGTAAACAAATTCCCAGCAGCTCTGGGATGGGAGGGAGGTCAGCTCTTAATCTTAGTCACTTGGCAAGAGAGAAAATGCAAAAGTCTCTCCAAAAGCAGGATGTTTGCCCCTTCACAGCTGAGACAGCCCATCCTAACCCAAGAGGACACAAGTCTGCAGTCTTTACCATCTGCCATGACATAGGGCAAATCCTGCTGCACACTGACCTCTCTGAGCCTCAGTGTCATCACCCACAAATGGGCATGGCAATAGCATTAAAGCCCAAGGGCGACTGTGGAAAGTAAACAGTGCAACACATGCACAGAAAGTGCCTGGCTCAAGCTCAGTATCAAATATCTGGGAATGTCAGGAAGTGTCAGCAGAATGCATTGCAGCAAGACCACCAGGTAGGGACCAGATTGACTTGGTGCACAGGGGATGAGCCAAAGAGGGGTGAGGCAGAGCCCTCCCTTCTGCTACCAGTTGAGGGCAAGCTGGGGACATGCGTCATCTAGGGACCACTTTAATGCAAAACTTGATAGTACTGTCAGGATGTTAGGTGCTCTGAGTGAGAAAGATCACTTATCTTGGATCACCTGTGCCAAATTCTGTGCCAGATACACAGTAGGTGTGAAGGAAGAGAGAGACAGTCCTGGCAGTGAATTCCAGAAGGGCAGGGATGCTCAGTGAATGCTGGGTGAGTGAATGAATGAATGAATGAATGAATGATTAAATCTAGAATCTTGGTCTCCTTGGCTCCCTGTGCTCTCTCTGCTGGGCCCTTCCCTACCTGCCAAAGCAAATCCACACAATGGAACTAGGACAGGTCCTGGATTGTCACTGGAGGCAGGTTCTAACCTTGGAGGAGACCCAACTGGGAAACTCTGCCACATTGTCCCAGTTCCTATTGAGGCTTCATTCACTCATTCCCTGTACACCTGCGGGAGGCCTCCAGGTATGCTCAGGGCTAGCCTGGGTCTTCCATACTGGGAAGCAGCTCCAGCCAAGCCTTTCCACCTCCTGCCAATCACTATGCCCAGTGCAGCCACAGGGGAGCTGGGTATGAACTGAAGGAGCAGGGAGATGGGGCTGGGAAAGGGCCCCTGGGGATGAGGCATTGGACAATTAAAATTTCATCTCCCAGTGTCTACCTCAAGGAGAAAAGAAAGGTAACAGTAGGATAATTGAATTTTTTAAGAAGAGAAAGAAGCAGAATGCCTAAGTGTTTAAAAAGCTCTATTTAAATTTCTTGTCTGTAGCATGTACTCTAACCTATAATTATGGTTTTGAAAAAAAGGATAATTATGAAAATTTCTGGGCTCATTAAAGACATACAATTGACATCCAAAATTATTTGAGTTAGAAATGATGCTGGAATGTGTCTCTTTTAAGAGACTCCGAGGAAGGAATTTTGCTTTTTAAAACTCTAAGTTCCAGATTAACCCTGAGTGTCACGGGTCACCTTAGGTAATGGTTCCCTCCAAAGGAGAGAGGCAACACAGAGGCTGCCCCTCCACAGTGCTATCTCAGCTTGGCTCAGCTCAGCTCTGCTCAGCTCTGCAAGGGTTGTTGGGCTTGGTAGGTGGTGATTTTCTGGTGCTTCCCACACAGGGTGGTCACAGCTCCTTGAGTCAAGGGCTGTCTGAGAGCCATGCTGGCTGCGTGTTTTGCTGGCTCATGACCTTGGCACATCTTTTCCCTTTTTGAGGAGTTAGACCAGTGGGAGTGTGCCCAGCTGGAAAACCTCCTTTGCCAGAGACTGGACCCTGTCCTTCTGTGAGCCCCAACTGCACACTCTCATCCCCTGTGCCAGTGCCATGATAAAAGTACCAGGTCCTACATAACGGGAAGGTAGACAAGTTGTATGTCAGATGTGCCAGCAGAGCCAGTGGCATTCAGGTTGCAGGCAGGTGCTTCCTGGAGACACAGGACGTGCCAGCAGCCTTCTCCCAGGGCCTGAAAGAGAGCTGTTCCTGGTGTATCTCCAGAGTGATAGGAATGCATCAGCAGGCTCCTGGCTGCCAGGTGAGCTGCCAGGGTTAGGCTCTCAAAAACTGGGCTGCAGGCATTTGTTCCCAAGATCACAACCTCCAAAGGCCTCTCTTCCTGGCTTCATGAGAAACCCATCCCCTCACGGCTTCCCATTGCCTCTGACCCAGGCTCCCACCTCACCTTGCCCTGGACCTACCACCCCAACTGTCCAGATTGTCACTGGGCCATGCCAGGGACTCTGACGTTCACAGCAATCAGGCCTCGCCACCTTTAGGTCTGCATCTACCTATGAGGAGCTGCCTAAATCACATTATCTACCAAGTTGTCAGTGCAGGGAGGCCTCTAACAACCAGCTGGGCTTCACGGGGGTGAGGGTCACCTGACACCCTCAGTGCTGTCTCCTAATGGTCACCATAAGGCCCTAGGCTGGGACCTGCTATGGTTCTCATGGTCACTGTAAGGTCACATTGTGGTGATTTGAGTTGGTAACAATCAGCTTAGTGCCCCATGGTTGGACACAGGGAAATCAACTTAGCTTTTTCTTTGGCTGGTGGTTCTTAAGCCAGCTCTCTGTGGCCTGTTGTCAGTCAGCAGAACTATGTGGCTGGGTCAAAGCCATGACTCTAACAAAAGTCTTTTCTTAGAACTGATACTATCTTCAGCCTGAAGCTTAAGAAAAGTCTGATCCTATAAAGAACTTGAGTGTTTCCTTATGGCTCTGAGCAACCACTACAGTTTTTAAAAATAATAATAATTTGAGATGGATCATAAGCCTAAATATAAAACCTGGAACCAAAAAGCTTCTTGAAAAAAAGATATTGGAAAGAATATCTTTATAATCTTGGGGTAAGCAAAGATTTCTTAGATAGAATACAAAGGGCACTAGCCGTAAAAAGAAACAAGAATAAACTGGTCATCAACAGTAAAAGTTTCTGGTTTTCATCCTCAGAAGATACCAATAAAGAAATGAATAAGTCATTTGAAATACATATATTTGAAATACATACATCTGATCAAGGAATTATATCCAGAATATATATTTTAAAACTTCTGTGGATCAGAAAAAAGGACAAACAAGTTAATTTATAAAATGAGAACGGAGATCTCACAAAGGAAGATATGTGAATGGCCAATGCACTCATGAAAAGATGCTCCAGATCATTAGTCATCAGGGAAATGCAAATCAAACCCATCCTAAAATATTAACTCACACCCAATAGAATGATGAAAATAAAAAGGACGGGTAACACCAAATGCTGGTGAGGATATGGAATGAATGGAACTCTCATACAATACTGGTAAGAACATAAATGATAAAACCGCTTTGGAAAACGGTTTGGCAGCATATCTATAATATGACCCAGTGATTTGATTTCTAATTATTTACCATAGAGAAGTAAAAACATATGTCCGTACAGAGACTTATACAGGAATGTTTATAGCAAACTTATTTATAATAGCCGGAAGCTGGAAACAAACCAAGTGTTCAACAGGAGAATAGATTTTTAAATGTGATGTGTATACATTACGATGTGATATTATGCATCAAGGAGAAAGAACAAACTACTAACACCTGCAACAATATGGATGAATCCCCCAAAAACATTACGCTGGGAAAAAAAAAAAGCCAGACATGGAAGAATGAGACCAAGAGATACATGACATGATTCCATTTACATGAAGTACTGGAATAAGCACAACTTGTCTACGATGATGGAAAAGTTGCCTCTGGGAGCAAGGAGGCAGAGCGTGATTGAAAAAGGGCACGAGGGAACTTCCAGGGTGACTGGAAATTGGGTCTGTACAATTATCAGCACTCATCAACTGGAACACGTGAGATCTGTGCATTTTATTATGTGTAACATGTTCTATATTTCATAACTTGATTTTAAAAACAATGGTAATAGCCAGCATGGACTGAAGACTCCCTCTGTGTAGCACAGTGATAGACTGCCTAGTGAGGGTCTCAGCAATGCTCACAGCCACCTGCTTGGTAAGTGTTGAGAGAGGAGCTTCTTAGTCATGCAGCATGCATTATTATCTGGTTCTTTAATATCCAGTCTCTTATTACACTTTCCAGTGCTCCCTGAAAGCTTGTATCAAAAGCTATCCTGACACCCTGTTTTTACCCAATGAGGAGATGGAGTCTCTGAGGGGTTACAAAGCCACTGAATGGTGGAGACAGAATCTCAACTCCGTGGCCTGAAGCCTTATTCCCTTTAATTCTGTCTGCCCCTCATTTTGTTATCTCTGAGTCCCCACCAGCATTTGACACATGGCCTTGCAGTCCTGCACTTAGAAAATGGTATTGGGCTGAGCACTGTGGCTCATGCCTGTAATCCCAGCACTTTGGGAGGCCAACTCCTGAGGTCAGGAGTTCGAGATCAGCCTGGCCAACATAGCAAAACCCCATCTCTACTAAAAATACAAAAATCAGCCGGGTCTGGTGGCGTGTGCCTGTAATCCCAGCTACTTGGGAGGCTGAGACAGGAGAATTGCTTAAACCCAGGAGGGGGAGGTTGCAGTGAGCCGAGATCATGCCACTGCACTCTAGCCTGGGTGACAGAGCAAGACTCTGTCTCAAAAAAAAAAAAAAAAAAAAAAGAAAGAAAGAAAAGAAAATGATATTGGACTGAAAATGTGAATTTTAGTCAGCCAAATATTGAGTGAATGCCTGCTAAACATCAAACGCTATGCTAGGGGCCGAGGACAGCAATGAAGGAGGGTGCCCAGCCTCTAGAGCCCATCTCTGGGAGAGGCCCCCACGGGCAGATGTCTGGTGGCCCCTGTGTGTTTGCTGTTCCTTGTGTTCCTCCCTGGCTGTCTCCAGCCCTAAGGCCCAGGCTTAGGTTTTATATTTTGTGGCCCAGGTTGTAAATACTGTTCTCAATGGTGCAGGCACCCTCCTCTCTTCATAGGCACCCTGTCTGAGGGAGAGTTCTGCAGTCCCCTCAGGCTCTGGGTGCCTACCTGGGCCTCTGCATGGCTCCCCATGTCTGCAGCTCTAGCAGGGGTGCACCTACCAGTAACAACACAGTGGATACCACTTGTGCACGTGCTCCGAGGCCTGCCAGGCCTGCCTCTGCTCCCAGCTGCTAAGGCAGATTTGGTGCAGGTTGAGGCATGACAGGGTCTCATAAATCGCAGAGGGCCTGGGACCTGGGGGAGCTCACTTTCCTGCCTTGGAATCAGGAGGCAGCTCTGCTGGGCTCCATCCTGCCTATAGATCTGGCAATGGGCCATCCTCCACTGCACAGAGTGACCTGGGGACCTGCAGCTCTCCCCACTCCTAGAGTATTGTCAGCCACCAGTTCCAGTAGTAATGGGCCGAGTAGCACCCATCTTCCTCAGAGTGTGGGCCGTCAGTCCTCCAGTCAAGAACCCCCAGGACTGATGCTCAGCCTGCCTGCCCTGGTCCACTTGGCCCAGGCTGTGTACCACCCTGCTCTCCCCTCATCGTCTCTGATTACTGGGAACCAAAGCTTCAGTGACATGGCTAGTGATGGCTCCATCTAGGTCACATCCTGAGGTTCAACAACTTCACATCTTGGGAGTTTTTTTCTGATAATCACCTCTACCCTGTTCTCACCCTCCTTGTTACCAAAGTTAGCCAAACTGCCTATGTCTAAGCAGGGGACCTGGTGACATATTGGGAGCAGTATTTTGAGGAACATAACTCCCCCCCGCCACCGGCCCCCACCACATATACACCCTGAACACTGAATTGCATATTGCAAAGCTTTTGCTGTGCATTTTCTCATTCATTCCCAATGTCATCCTTTAAGGTACACAATAAAGGACTGTCCCTCCCACTTTTAAAAGAGACAGGCCCCAAAACTCTTGGTAGCATAGGCCATGGCCTTTGATAGTGTCTGAGCCAGCAGACTAATAGGCAGCCCATGCTCCATGTTCCCTCGGCAAGGTCCTCATGTGGTCCAGATCTGGGCATTCCTCATATGTGGCTGGATGGGCTATATGGAGTGTATCCTTGGGTGAACTCGAGATGGAACCCAGCAAGATCAAAAGAGAAGCTGTCTTGCCCCTGCCAACCTGTCCTCCACATGGAAACAAGAGTGATTATTTCCTTCTAAAAAATTAATCTGACCATGTCACTCTTTTGCTTAACATCCTTATTGTGTGCCCAGGCACTGGGCTCCATGCTTTATATATTTATCTCTTTAATCTTGCAACAATTCTAAGAGGTAGGTGTTAGGATGTTTACATATGGATGAGAAAGATGAGCCTGGAGATACTGCATTTACTAACTTGCTGGAAATCATAGCAATTGCAGGGGTGGGAATTTGGCTACAAAGTCTATACATTGAGCCACCTCATGAACTGCTTCCTGCTTTTTCATTTTTCTCTAACTTACCTCTAGTGGGTTCCATAATATCCTCCCAAAAGATATGTCCACGTCCTAATGCCTGGTACCTCTAAATGTCACCTTATTTGCAAATGGGTCTTTGCAGGTGTAACCAAGTTAAGACGAGGTCATGCTGGGTTAGGGTAGGCCCTATATCCAATGACCAGTGTCCTTATCAGCAGGCCATGTGAAGACACAGAGACACAGGGAGGATGCCATGTGATGACAGAGGCAGGGATGGGAGTGATGCGTCTATAAGCCAAGGAAGGCTGAGGATTGCCAGCACCCACCAGAAGGTGGGAAGAGGCAAGAGCGGATTCTTCCCTGGGACCTTCAGCGTGAACACGGCCCTGCCAATCCCTTGATTTTGGATTCCTGGCCTCCAAACTATGAGATAACAAATTTCTATTGTTTTAAGCCACAGGCAAAGTTTGTGGTACTTTGTGATGACATCTGTAGAAAAGCAATGGACCATTTTATTCTTACAGTCAGGAGAGTCTGGACCATACCTGGTGCTGTGTCCTCCTCCTGGAGATTTTCAATGCCCAGCCACATAGGAAAGGCTCTGAGAAGTACCAAAGCCAGGAAGCCTGTACAATATTGTTAAATCATGCATTTCCCAAACAAATTTGACCTTGGGATCCCATTCTCACAAAACACGTGTTAGCGTGGCGTGGAGCTGGGGCTTCCGGGAGCACCCTTTGAGAAAGGCTATTCAACACCAAACCAGCCTCCTTCGTGGCTCACACAGGGCCAGAATGGAGTCACACACAGGACCCTCTTCGGGAAAACACCTTCTTTTTGAGTGAATGTACTTGAGCTTATTCATCATCTCTGACAGCCCCTTTGCACTCTCATCAGCGCTGGAAAATAAAAGGCCTCAAGAAATTTAATAATTATAGAAATGGCTATGAAAATGCCATTCACTGTGAGCAGTGAACAAGATGGTAATATGTAATACCGGACAGGGGCCCACGGGCAAATAGCAGAGGCAGATGCACAGGCTTGTGTTGTTTTGTCTAAAGTGTGAAAGACAGAAGTCTGAAATGTGGAGCTGCTCTGTGAGAACTCCACATTAGCTTCTGCAGAGGAATTGCCCCAAAGGCAAACCTGAAATGTTCAATCACTACTCAGGGATGCTTCAGCATGCCTCCATCTCTGAGCCAAGAATGCCTCAGAGACAACCCCACACGGCAGCCCAGTGAGGCCTCCCTTTTGTTTGCAGACAAAGGGTGAGAAGCTGCCTTTTCTTACCTTCTGAGGTTGCAGATACCAAGGCCATACACTTGCTTAGTCTGCAAGGAGCTGTTTCCGCACCTGGCCCTGCCATGTTCTAACAGGGTGGGCATTTTAAAACAAGCTCTGGTAACATGCCTGGCATCCTACCACCCACAGTTTTCCCCACAACCCGTCTCTGCCTGGTTAACCTCTCAGCAAAAATATCACTTCCTCCAGGAAACCTTCCTTGACTCTCCAGTCTACTCCATTCTCCTGCTTTACTTTCTCCCCAGGAAACCTGTGAGTGCCTCCTCCTTTGAGGCACTGACTGACACCACACAGTAACTTGTTCAGTGACTGGCCCTGCCAGACCGTGGGCTCTGTGAGGACTGGATGGTCACGTTCACCACTGTGTGCCCAGCACTCAGCATGAATACACATCTGCCCTCTTCTCCAGGGCCCACTCAATCTCCACTGCCTCACCCATTAGCATCCTTTTTCTGCGTACTGTGCCCTTAAGATCTGGGGGGAAAGGACCACAGAGTCATGAGCACCCTCTTGGTTCTCCTTGCACAATGCCAGACTCAGTGTTTGGTGTTTACAGCAGCCTCACATTCTTGCAAAGATTTCCACCCTGAGGTGCAGCAAATATCTGTGTCAATTTGGACCATTCAGTTAGTGTTCTGGCTGTCACATTCCATTTTGGACCTGACTTGAAGTTATGAAGAAGGCAAAGGTTTCAGTGATGGGTTCACACACTGTTCTGGGCGGCAGAGGCTCAGCGGGAGAGAGGAGCCTCTAGCTGGAGGATGTCGGGACCAGGAGGAAGTCCTTTGCTATGGAGCAAATTCCCTGAATGTGCATACTGGTGGCAAATCAGACTAAAAACAAGGCTGTTTTCTTCACCAGTTTGGCTTCTCAGTTATATCAGATGCCCCAGCCCTGGGCCTGTCTTTAACCCAGGCTTCAAGGCTTCAGACTTTTCAAAGATCTTTCTTATGCATCAGCAGCATAGATACTTTTGTTAAATATTGACTAGGGATGGTGACAACATCTCCATCTTAAAGGAGAGAAAGCTGAGGCCCAGAGATGTGTGGTCTTTTGGCTAAACTCAGACTTGAGATTTCTGACTTCCAGATCAGTGCTATTTGGCCAGTTACTTTATGGGACACATGTAAGGGTCAGATAGGACCAAAATTAACTAGCTTTATTATTTGTTTGTTTAATATTTACTGTGTTCCAGGAAGTATGTTAAGAACCTTACATGTGTGATCTCATTTAATCTCTCTAGTAAGTCTTGGGGGTAGATATTATTATTATTCCCATTTTACAGAAAAGGAAACTGAGGGACAGAGAGGTTAAATAACTTGGCCAGCATAACACGTTAATAAGTCACAGAGCCAGGATTCAAATCCTGTACTGGCTGATGGCCAGTGATAAAGCTGTGTTCTTAACTGACTTTTCTGGACGCTTCTACAAATGTCTAGGTAGCTTCCTGGCATTAGGCAGACTGCAGTGTGTGGTCTGGGTTGATGGTACAAATCCAGCAGTGTCTCTGACTGCCATTCAGGTGTTGGGGCTGAGAGGACTGCTGAGGATAGCCTGTGATATATGTGGGCATGGTCAGGATGGCTAAATGGGGTTCCAGGAGACCTCTTGGCCAAGCAAAGATGACCTGGGACAGGGAGGGATTGGTCACTGTCTCTTGGGTCCTGACTCTTGCTTGCTAGGCTCTAAAATCCCCTGTTGACATAACCCCCGTCCTCCCTGCGGGCCTGTTCTCAGAGCTCTCAGTCCTGGACCCCTTGATTCAGAGCTCCATTCAGGCCTGCATTTTTGAGATTGACTCACAGAGAGCAGTGGCCCTTGTGGCCTCTCTAGCTCAGCGCGGAGCAAGCAGCTGCTGTCATGGCAGTCCCAGTGATGCTGTCACTGTTGATAAATGGGAAGGCTGGCTCTGCCACCTCGTCATGTGAGGCTTTGGGCATGTTCTGGAGCTTATCAGAGCTTTGATTTCTTCATCTATTAAAGTGGGGATAGTAACATTTGTCTCATGAGTCATTGTGAGGTGGCAGTGAAATAATATATGCAAGGTGATTAGCACACTGTAAATATTCCGTAAGTATTAAATGATGGCAGCAATGATGATGACAAAGCATGAGGTATGTTTCCAGCAAGTTTCAATTCAAGCTAGACCATGCACTAACATTATTTAGTGCCTACATAAGTGGTAACCTTGCTTGGAAGAACAGATGACAACATAAAAGTACCTGTATATAGTTGGCTGGAGTCAACCTTATGGTTTGTTATATCTGGGCTCTGGCTCTTAAAAACAGTGCAAGTTTGAACAAGTTACTCAGCCTCTCTGAGCCCATCCACTCAGAAGAAATTTCACCTGCAGCATGAGGACTGGGCCTTTGTTCCCAGGAGATGGAACTAAGCCTTCCCAGGGTATCGGGGATGTCCTGCTCCTGAGGGGTGGCTGGTCCCCATGGCAAAGTCTCCCATCTGGCCACACTGGCAGGGTGGCAGAGGCTGTTCTTGAGGGTGAGCTGGCCTGGCTGGAACGCAGGCTGGTTTGTACAGCAGACGTCCCACCTTTGTTCTCAAGAGTCTCTCACCTGTAACTGCTTTCTTTGAACTGGGCTGTCTCTTCCCGGCTGCCCTTCTGGTCATCGGCCCAACCCTTTCTTTTCAAAGAAAGCCTCTTCTCTGTGAGAAGGTGCCCAGACTTTGAGGCCGCCCCACTGCGCCCTTTACACCTGGCACCTGGGTAAACATAGCCTTTCTCCTGGCCACTTCCTCCAAACAGGGCCTGACTGGGCTGGGCAGCCAGGAGGGAGATGTTTGTCATGAGCCTCCAGGACTCCTGGTGACTTGTGGCAGGCCCTGGGTTACAAAAGTGATTTACACCTTCTCTGCCCTTGAGTTGGGTGTAGGAGGTACCATACAGCAAGAGCAGGATCTCAGTGCTCAGGCAAGCTTTGAATCAAATTCTGGCTCTGCTGGTCATTGCTGTTTGTTTTGGTAAAGCACTTTTAGCCTCAGGTCCCCCATCTTTAAGCTGGTTAACAATATTACCCACCTCAAAGGATTGATGGGATAAGATGCACTTAGTACAGGGTCTAACACATAAGAAATACTCAATATTTATCAACCATCATCAGCGCGTTGCCATTCTTTCTTGAGAAGCTCCCAGTTGTTATGGAGGCATGAGACCAGTGCTCTAGCGTGGCAAGTACTGGATGTGGTGTGCGCATGGAGAAAGGGCACCTAGAGCTGCCTGGATGCCCAGAAGCTACCACCAAGATGCAGTGTGAAGAGGGAGCCCCCTGGGAGGACGAGAGGGGTAAGGGGCACGGTCCCCTCCCTCAAGCCACTGATGTGCAGACAGGTCTCATCTCCCCGATTGGGTCTGCATGACAGGCAGGTCATGACACATGTCACGAAAGAGATGAGGAACACTGTCAGGCAGTGGTGGGTGAGGGTAGCAGCCCCTCTTCACTTCAATAATTGGGAAGATCTTCATGGGACAAATGGAATTCATGACGGAGTCTAAGAACAGCTACTTGTTGACCAAATAGGCCAGGTAGAGGAAAGCACAAAGAAGACATGGAAAATGCAGGAGGTGAGGCCATGGGTGTGCAGTGAGTGGATGAGTGGGCTTTGAGAGGGGGCACTTCCAGTGAGGCATGACGAAGCCAGGGCTGGGGGTGTGGGCGGCAGGGGCCCCCATGTGCTGCAGGAGAAGTGGGGTAGGGTGGAAGCTGTCCAGGGAAGCTCCCAGGGTCCTTTATTCACTTCTGTTGGGCATGGCCCTGTGTTTGGAGACTGAACTCACGGCCTGTGGACTACTGAAGGAGGGCATGTCCCTAGAGCCTGACCCCATCTGATAAGCCAGCTTTGCAGCCCAAAAAGGAGGCCTTGTGCACTCTTGCTCCTGAATGTCTCCTCTCTTCACTGAAAACCAGAGTATCTGTGGCATTTCTTCTGCTCCACTCAGAGTAAAATCCAAACTCCCACTGAGTCTGCAAGCGCCTTTGTGATCTGCCCTGCCCAGATCCCTCCCTGAGTTAGTTCCTACTCCCTCCTGCTTAATGCACTTCAGCCACTTTGGCTTCCTTGCTGTTCTTTTCAGACTCCCGCCGCCCCCGCCCTTGGGTCCCCGCAGCCCACCAAGCACACTGCTGCCCTGGAGCCTTTGCACCTGCTGTTCCCTCTGCCTGGAACACTTTCCCAGCTACTTTGTCACAGACTCCCTTTGCTCAGGTCCTTGCTCCAACATCACTCTTCAGAGAGGCCACCTGTGACCCCCTTAGCAGAAGCAGCCCCTCCTTTCCTACCCTCCTGTTTATTTCCTTATGCCCCTCATCAGTCTGAAATGACTTCAAGTATTTGTTCATGTGTTCTTTTGTTCATGTGTTGATTGTCTCTTTCCCTCAGCTTGTCTGCGAGGGCATGTAGCCAGGGAGCATGACTGTCTTGTTGATTGCTGGACTCTGGTGCCTGGCATGGAGTAGGCTTTGAGGTAGGAGAACAGTAAATACATATTTATGAGTTGAGGGATGGATGGATGGATCGATGGATGGATGGATGGATTGGCTAGTTGAGGCCTCAGTGCCTGGAGCTGAGTGTGACAGAAGATGAAGTGGCCTGGGCAGCTGGGTGCCTGGGGCTGGGACATCATTTCCCTGCTGGCTCTATGGCACTGTGACATGCACCCGCCAGCCTTCCAGGCAGCAGGGGCCTGGGATAGGGATATAGATTCTATTCGTGAGCCCCCTTTTGTTTCCTAACTTTTTATTATAGAAACTTTTAAGCACCTGCAAAAATAGAATAGCATAAACCACACCTATGTACCCATCACTCAGCTTCAACAATGAGCAGCTCCTGGAAAATCTTGTTCATCTATTCTACACCCCACTTCACCTTGCAAAAGTTATTCCAAAGCAAATCTATGAGCACCTCTTTCATGTAGAGAGCTCAGAAATACTTCCCAGCAAGTTTTTTCTGCAGGCTCCTAGTATCTCTCTCTTCCCCATGTATCCTGAGTCCTCAGGTGCTTTGTCTTCTCCCTGAGTTAAACTAGCTCTCAATAAGAGACCTGCTAAATATATTCCCATTAAGCTATAAATGTCTGAGATTTGCATGGTCACTGTAATGGTGCATTCATCCAAATTCTCTGTGTTAATGGTGGAGTGTCAGGCCCCACCCCGGTCAGGCAGAGATGACCCAGCTATCCCAGGGCAACCCTGGACCACAGCTGGGTTCGAGTCTACAACATTGCTGCTGTGGTGCCCAGAGACTGGGGTAAGGGCAATGGAAGAAGTGGTTGCTGTGAGCCAGTCAAGACCTGAGCTGGGCCTGGTTTGGGGAGAGCCCAGGTGTCTTCAGAATCATTCTTCATGACTTCTGGTGGAAGAACACATTTGAGAGAGAGCGAGTGAGTGAGTACCATGAATCCTAGTGGGGCAGGGCAGAGCAGGCACTGCTTTTGAGAAGTGGGCTGGCTCTCATCACAATCATGGCTAGATGGGCTCCCTTTCCTTGTAGAATATGACATTTGCTTTGCTTAAAGTTAGTAAAATGCCATTTTATTGGTAGTGTTTTTATTTAGGCTGCTTGACTATCCTGCCAAGGTGATTTTATTATTACAAAATGTGGAAAACTCCATTCAAAGAAGAAAATAATACAAAACAGATTTTGGTTCACATACTAAAATTCATTGGAAAATTGAGATCTCAACCCACAACTATTCATGACAGTAAAACAAAGACCCCTGACAGCTCCCAAGGTATCCAGCCCCTGAGCCCACACCAGCTCCCTGCACTGCATTGTCCTGCTGCCCACTGAGTGGCAGAACCTGAGAACTGGCCTGCCTCTGGGAAGGAACTGGAATTGGCCTGGACTCCCTAGCCTTGGGCTCTTGGGCCAATTCCTCCAACCCCACCCAAGTCCTAGACTGACTCTCTGGCCAGATTCCCCCTGAATTTTGTGGGAAGTTGTGGGAAGAGCCCTGTTGGAGGCCAGTTCTTAACCCACGGGTCCTGGCTTGCAACCATTAGGGAGCAGAATCAGCCAGAGAGCCTGATACAAATCTAAATTCTTACACCCCACCCCAAAGGTTCGGACTCAGTACAGAAAGGGCAAGGCCCTGGAATCTGCATTTTAGTAAGCTAACTCTGGTGCTTTTGAAGCAGGGCGCCGTGGACCACATCCCAGAGGCACTGCTACGACAAGAAGCACAGCATGGTGTCTAAAGGGCAGGGTTATTGGAGTTTGAAATCCTGTGTTTGAATCTTGGCTTGCTGACTATGTTACTTAACCTTTCTGAACTCTAGTTTTCTCCTTTTAAATGTATATAATAATAATATCTACATTATATGATTCCTATGGTTTGTATAAGATAATGCCTTATGAGTTCAGCACAGTGCCAGGAACATTGTAAGTACTTGGTTCATGTTGACTGCTTTATTACTATTATTTTCCATCATTCCTCAACTGCACATCTGTTCCCTACTCCCACCTTTCTCAAGAATATTATCACCTAGGTCGTTGGGTTTTTAAAAAGGCTCAGATAAACGACATTTACCAATTCCTGTGGGGTAAATTCTCCCACCATGGTCACTGTAAAGCTCACAACATGATGACATTGAACACCAAGTTGGGAAGAGATGTGCACAGTTGGCCAATATAAGCTGGTAAAAGCTGGCTCTGGCACACCAACAGGAAGTCCCCTTTCACTGTGAGGCCCCAAGTGTGTCACTGCTGCCTTGGTTGGAGCTGGTAAATGCAGAGAGGGCTGCGAGCAGAGAGTCTGATGTAACTCTACCTCCTGCTGCAAAGGGCAGCTGGTTTTCGCACAGCTTTGCAGTCTGTATGTACTCATAGCTGATGCAGGAAATGGGAATTATAGCCTCAATTACTGTCATTGGGAACCTAGAGCAGAAATTATTATCAAAGGGGTGAGACGGCTCCAGCTCACTAATATTTACCATTTGCCATGGATTGCATGAAAGGGTGTGATGCCTCTGAAGCCATTGCCGTCTCTTTTGCTGGTTCTGGTTTTGTTCCGTCTTGTTTTGATCACTGACAAAGGCAGGCTTATGTCATGAAACAAGTGTGGGTCTTGGAGCCAGACTGTCTGGGATCAAATTCCAGCACTGCTACATAACAAGATCTTTGTGACTTTGAGCAAGTTGCCTTACCTCTCTGGAGCACAGTTTGCTCCTCTGTGCAAATGGGCATATTAATGAATGCATTGCAGTATTTTCAAATTAGACTTAACATAGGTTATGTGCATAGGAAAGGACCTGGAAGAGAAAAGAAGCTCAGTGAATGTAACCTCAACCTGTGACTTCCTGGGAAGAAGGCACTGGCCAAATGGCTTCTCTGAAGCCTTTTATCCAGGTGTTTAGATGCTCACTGATAACCTAGCCTCATTTGTACAGGAGAGAAGAGTGGACAGTTTCATAATACCAAGTTTCAAAAGTTTATTTCCTCCTCGAAGTATTTTTTTCTGCATAAAGAAATATTAAGTTCTTTCCTAAAAATCCATCATGTGGATTTTTTAAACCAAATTTGGAGGATATATTTGGGAAGCTTTGATTTGAAATATAAGTTGGATGGTTACATGGCACTTAGAAGCCTCGCCATAAAATAGGAAAAGCTGCAAGATGGCAGAGCCACAAAAATGGCCAAGTTCCCATTTGAGGGAAATGCCCAAGTTCCCATTTGAGGAGAGCAGTGCAAGAGTTGCCTGACCAGAAATATTCACTGTGGACTTTCTGTGAGAGAGAAATAAACCTCTTCTGCATGAAGCCATTGAGATTTGAGATATTTCTGTTGCATGAGCTAACATTAGGCAACCTTGATTAATGCATCACACAAGCAACATGCACTTTGGGAAGCTTGGGAGCCAGTCAAAGAGATAGTCAGTCATATTCCAGAGCAGCTCAACCAAGGCACAAGAGGTGTCCCCAAGTTACTGCACTTGTCTTAGGCATACAAGCAGCATCGAGAAGACGGGGGAAACCATTCGTAGCTTCAAATATGAACCCCAGCCTCTGGGAGAAGAATTACAAGCCTCTCCAGGGGCTGCTTCACAAGTTGCTTTTGGCCTCATGGGTATGCTGGTGGGTTCTCAGGAGTGCCATGTGATCTGCTAGATTCATGTTATTTGGAGGCAAGGAACGCTTCAGTGCTAAGACCATTAGACAATACTCTTTTAATTTACTTCATCTTTCTCCCAGGAACATATAGAACCTGCTTGTGCATAAAAAATGGAAGACTACTTTCAAGTTGCTACTGATCCCAAAGTCTTTCCAGCGCATTAAAATCTGTCCATCCTTTTGTGCCCTCTCCTCAGTGCCTGGACTGTATTCTTCAGTTACTGGGTTTGGCACCCCATGATTGCTGATGTCTCCTGCACCCTCATTCTGCTCCGTTTATTGATTACCCCATCCCTCTTCCTAAGGGCCACAGCTGCCACTTCCATAGACCTCAGAACTTTTTCACCTGGACTTCTGTACCCACCCCTTCACTGGCCCCCCTGCCTCTAGTGTCCCCCTCCCACCCAGGCATCCTGCAGGCCGCATTCTTCAGTCCCTCTGAAGCACAGTTCTCCCAACTTCTCGCAAGTCTGCTTGAAAACTTCCCACGTCTTTGTTGGCCTTGACCCTGAATTGTCGATGATTTTCTAATGGAATCAGAGCATCTTTTGTTCCAAAGTTTTCTCATTGTTTTCTTTCAGTGGGATTGTATCTCCCGCCAGGCACACCCTACTGTTTTTGTGAAAATTATAGGCTGCAAATAACTGCTTAAGTAAACTGCCAGACGAGGTACATTCTTCACATGGAAAATTCCAGCTGTTGAACAAGTTTATGGGCTTTATTTTTGGAGCAAAGAATTCATCAAGTGAAGAATAGAATCTTCCAGGTGCTCCACCTCTACTCCTATCATAAAGCGGGAGTATGTCTCTGAGTTTTCTGTGTCTTTCAAGGTCAAATTTATGACCCTAATACTTATTAACTCTCTGTTTCTGGTGACTTCCTTGGGCCCTTTCTGCAGCCTTACAGTAGACACTTTGGAGAATACACAATGAGAAACAAATACAAGAGACAAGAGAGAGGGCTTGAGGAAGAGATCAGTCTCCAGCAGGCTTCCCCTGAGACCTGACTGTGTTCACTGCCTTAGGCTCCAAGAGTTGATACCTCATCATGAGGATACTTCTGGCTTATGCCTGGTTATTCCCTCAACCCAAACAGTTTCAACTGAGGCTCACCAAAAGATCAGCTTCCTCCCCTTGAATGCTTGTGGGGAGGAGAGGGTACTCCAAAAGAAGTACTCAAGCTTTGTGCTCAGACCGCATCTGCCCCTTGCACTTGGGGCAAACCTGCCCTTCCACAAAGCATTCTAGACATGACTGAGGAGCACATGAAGTATGTTTACC
Organism: Homo sapiens; assembly: GCF_000001405.40. Taxonomy (NCBI): domain Eukaryota; kingdom Metazoa; phylum Chordata; class Mammalia; order Primates; family Hominidae; genus Homo; species Homo sapiens. The sequence continues at coordinate 135,712,822 of NC_000005.10, forward strand.
TGTTCCCTTCTTCAGACTCCGTTTCCCTCCAGTGCCCCTGTGTCTCACTCTGCAAAGCAACTATGCATGCATAGACCATCCTCCATAGCCACCATTCAGGGAGGCTCTGTATGCCAGAACTTGCCCAGTCTCAGGCACCCACCCCATCAAAACTTATCCATCCTATGTTCCCCTTCTGCCAAATTCTGCAATCAGCTGATCTGATAAACCAACTTATATTTTGGGTTTAACGAACAGTGATCGCTCAGCATTAACCTAAGAACTTGCTATGCAATATATGTTCCCCAGGCCAGTAGCAGTGCCATCACCTGAGAGCTTGTTGGAAATGCAGAATCTCAGGCCCAGCCCAGACCTTCTGAATTGCAACCTGCATTTTAACAAGATCCCCAGGAGATTCAAATGCACATTAAATTCTGAGAAGCACTCACCTAATATATATTTTGCTCTTTTCAGCAGTATAATGGCTTTCAACGCTAGGCATTTCGTGTTAATGATGCTAGTAGTTTGGTATTTCATACTTTTACGAAACTTTTTCACAACTATGAACTTGTGTGGTTATCAGAGCAGCTAGACTGAGTTCTCAGAGGCACCAGGGGCCCTTCTGAGGCCTCCCAGCAGCCCTGATGAGGCTTGTCATTGGAAAATTGTTTAGTAGCTGAACAAATGAATAAACGTAGAACCTCCAAAAGAGACAGGACACGGGACATTATGTATTTTGCAAGTGAAGAAACTAAGGCTCAAATAGGTCAAGACTGGCTCTTTATAGCTTATAAGTAGCAGTACCGATGCTCCAACCTCAGGCTTCCAACTTTGCATCTCCAAGTGACTGAAGTTAGTTCTTAGGGTGAGGAGGCGTTTTGAAGCTCTGTAGCAGACAGATTTGAGTGTTCCTCCCTCCCCCATCATATTTCAAATTCTACAACGAGGTTTGAATTTGTGTGGAATGACACTCCTACTCTGGTGGGGCAGAGAATCCCATGCACTTTGCACAGCCTCACCTGGGAGCCTCCCTCCTGCACTGGCTGCAGGCCCTCTGTCCACAGGACATCTTCCCCTCGAGGAGCCTCCGTTGGGTTGGTCGTGTGGGAAACCATGCAGGGAGCTGTTCCAGGAGATGGAAACACTTGCTTCTCATCCCCTGCGAGTGAAAGGAAGCAGCCCCAAAGGCTGGAGCAGGAGTGCGGGCGAGATGCAAGGCAGGGCTTATTGAAAATGGTCTCCCGGTTGTGAGACTGATGAAGTTAGAACCATCTATGCCTGCCCGCCCCACCCCTACCATTCCCTGGGGGCGCTGGGCTCCAGCTATCCACCTGGAGCTGGTGAGGTGTGGCCAGAGTGCAGAGAGGCGCATCGGCTGAGGGGTTGGCATGCCCCTGTTGGGAGGCCAACGGATGGGCAGTGTAAAGGAAGGGCAGGGAGGTCTGAGTGCGGAAAGCCTGGACCACAGGAATGTGCCTAGCCTCCCTGGGGACCAGACAGAAGCAGATGAGGGCTTTGTGGTCCACAAATTCCTCCAGCCCCAGCCCTCGACTTGGAAAAGACGTGCTCCAGATGTCTCTCCCCATGCAGTGCCCTCTCTGCCCTGTTCCACAGTCCTGGCCCATCCTCCAGAGATGTCCTGCAATCTATTCAGTGTGGCGCCCGCTGGAAGCTCCACCCACCATGTCGGGCTTGCAGTGGAAGCCAACAGCAGTGAGGCTGCTCAGGGCATGTGCAGTTTGGTGGGTATGGGGTCCAGGGTGTATTACCTTCCCTTGAACCTTCACCCACACTTTGACTTAGGTGCCCTGGCTGCAAAAAGCAGGTGGACAAAGTTCATAATTGTTAGTGCTACTTAACACTGAGCATTTCCTATTCCAGGCACTCTTCTAAATGCTTTACAGGCATTACATCATTCAACCTCCAGCCCGACCCTGGGAGACAGGAAGGCCATTATTATCCTATTCTATAGATGGAGCAAAGGAAGCACAAAATGGCCAAGTACTTGCCCAAAGTCACTGGTGAGTGGAAGAGCCCTATGGCCCTGTGCAGAGCAGTAAGAAGACCTGTGCAAAGGTGACACACAGACCATTCTGTTCAGTGCCCTGGGCTCAGGCCTGGGGTCTGTGGGCAATGACATGGAGAAAGGATGCTGAGGGCAGACTGCTGAGTCGGAGCTTCACCCTGTAACAAAGGGGAGTCTCTGGAGGGGAGGAAAGAATCTGCCCCATGGTTCAGGTAAGCATTTCTGGGGCCGCATTGGAGAGGCAGGAGACAGGAGGCCTGGAGGCCCCAAGAAGGCTATTGCAGCAGGGCAAATATGAGGAGGTGAGGGCTGAACTGGGGCAGAGATAGTGAGGCTGATGAGCCACTTCGAAAAAAACAGCAGAGGTGCAATGGATAGAATTTGGCTGCTGATTTGATATTTACAATGGGTTCCTTGTCTAGGCTGGGGTTTCTGGTGCAGAAGGGGCACATTTCTGTCTCTTCCCTGCATAAGCTGTGAGTCACTATAGCAGGGGATGAAGTGAGTGGGGACTTCATTCAGGTTTCTGGGGTTTGACCCAGTGGCCCCAGTCCTAGTCAGGGTGGTACAGCTCTCCCCAGCAAGCCTGATGACAGTGGGTGTGCCTTGTGCCTTGGGATGGCTTCTGTTGACTTTAGTGGCCTTTCCCACCCCACCCCTTTCCCAGCATTGCCCCTTTGTGGGCTATTACAGACACTTGTAGCTGCTGGGTGAAATGCTGCCCAGGAGCGGGTTGGGAGGCTGTGACCGGTCAGAGGTGACTTCACCTTACTGGACGCTCCAAAGCCCCAAGAAATGAATGGGATGTTTGGGCACTAGAGTGTTGGCATGCCAAAGGGCATTTGTAGGAGAAAACAAATTTCTTAAACTACTAATCCGTCAGCTCTATGCTAATGCCTCCTGAAAGAAAACCTTCAACTTGGATAACACTGCCTTTTCTCTCTTAGAACCACTTGTGCCTATAATTAGGCAGCAGTGCCTCATTAAAGCCATTTCCTGTATTATAAAACTGAAGACCTGGCTTGACCAAGGTGTGGCTTTCTGAGGCTAAAATCAGCTTGACATGCCTGTGCTGTGATGTAATCCTGTTTCTCTGGGCTGTGGGGCTCCACTTTGTATTTCCTGGCTTTTACTTGGAATAAGTAGGTTCCTGTGAGATTTGATTGTTTAATTTCTAGCACTAATAACTGCCAGTTATCCAGAAGTGCAGTTTCCAAGGGTTTCAAGGCTTTGTGGTACCTGCAGCTTGGACCCCTTGTCACCTGGTGGTGTATTCCTACATTGTGAAAAATTCTCACTGTTGACAAAGCATTTTGGCCGAACTATCCTCCTTTCCTCAAGATGGAGGCTGCTTCCTACAGGAAAAAGTGAACCTCATGCTTACCTGGTCTGGGACAGCCAGCAGGATCACCATCAGGGAAGAGAAGCAAAACTTAGCACAATTACTGAGAAAACTGGGAGAGAACTGCTCCACTCCACCACCCGCTCCACTGTGCACATGGCTGCTGCATTGGCTTAGACAGTTGGGTTTTTTATCAACACATTTATATGGGCCAGCAGGTGCATGGTAATCTGGGTTTCAAGAAGAGGGTGAGCCTATTGCTGACTTATGCTCTCTGAGAATCTCTTGGGCTTCCCAAGAGATTGGGGTAGATAAATCTCCTCAGAGGGACCAGACATTCTCTGCTCTCACTGCGGATCATTTCCTGCACCTTAGTGTGAATGAGTTTGCCTCTTCTCCACCTCCCTTAGTAGATGTCTGGCCTTGTTTCCTCTTCAAGAGGTTTCAGGCATCTGTCAGCCAGTATCAGGTAAAGAAAGGACTCTTGTCCAACAAGGAGTCTTCCAAATAAAAAGGCAGTCCCTGATTCTATCTATGTAAAAGGTCGATTAGGGCAAGGCGTTGGGTCTGAAGCCTTAAATTACAAACATAGGATTTGGGTTGTGGAAAGCTCTGGACTAGGAAGGATGGCCTTTGAGACCACTCATCCCCAGCTCCGGCCAGCATAGCCTTCCCTCCATAGCAGCATCTCTCAGCCTTTTTTCTTTATTGCTCCTGAAGGAGCCTATTTAGAAATGTTTCCCCTAATCACTCCTTCCCATAAAATTTTAATACAACAACAACATTGTATACCGGTTTATGTACTATGGGCCTTGGGAGGGCATAACCATTATAATAGCTAAGATTTTTTTTGCAACCCCCAAGCATGATGTTTTGTCCTGTTGGGGCTAATCTCACCCTCCTTGAGAAAGTGTGTCTGCTAGCATATCCCTGATCAGTAGCTGTCCACCTTCGGGCAGATGTCGCTAGCATCAGGGAGCTCACTACCTGCTCTTCCTCAGGGCAGCCAGGTCCATTCACAGGTGGCCAGCTCTGGCAAGAAACTCGTCTCCTGCAGGTCCTGCCCACTGGTCCTCTTTCTGCTTCTTGCGGTCACAGACAGCACATTGCCTACTCCCTCTGCCCTGTCAACCCATGAGCAGATTGTGAGAAATCGCCACAGGCCACATCTGTGCCCTGCTTGAAGGTATCACTCCAGGCTGTCTTGTACCAGGGCCCGTCCACCCCAGAGCAGATGCTGAGATCTTTGTGGGCAATGTGGTGGACCGAATTTGCCCCCAAAAGATATGGAATCCTAACCCCAGTACCTGTGAATGGAACTTTATTTGGAAATAAGATCTTTGCAGATGTAATTAGTTAAAATTGGTTACATTGGATCAGGGTGGATTCTAACTCCAATAACTGGTGTCCTTTTATTAGAGAAAGGAGAGGGAGACTCAAACATGGCTACACAACGCACAGGGAAAAGTGTCGCATGATGGGGGATGCACAGGTTGGTGTAGATACAAGCCAAGAACTCCAAGGCTGCTGGGAGCCATCAGAAGTGGGATGAGAAAAGGGAGGGCTCTTCCCAAGACCTTGAGAGGGAGCACAGCCCTGCTGATCCCACGATTTGATTTCGGACTTCTTGCCTTCAGAACTGAGAGAATACAGTTCTGTTCTTTGAATATTGTCAGTTCTGGTCCTTTGCTGCAGCAGATCTAAGAAATGAATATGAACAGGTAAAAGGAACGTCAGGTAAACGGCGTCTCTCCTCTCTGCTTGTCTCTCAGCATATGGCCACGTAAGTCAAATTTAAAAAGTCAATTTTCTGGAAATTAATTGTGGGCTTGAGACTCCTTTTTTGTTGTTGTTGTTGAGAGGGAGTCTTGGTCTGTCGCCCAGGCTGGGGTGTAGCGGCATGATCTCGGTTCACTGCAACCTCTGCCTCCTGGGTTCAAGCGACTCTCCTTCCTCAGCCTCCTGGGTAGCTGGGACTACAGGTGCGTACCACCATGCCTGGCTAATTACAAGGAGTGACCTCAGGCCTTGGTGAGGGGTGAGGGAAGCTGAGTCCCCTTGGCTCCCCAGCAGGCTTTACTTCATGGAACCCTGTGGAAACTTTGCTGCCTCTATCCTTGATGAAAAGTAATAGCCGGGCACTAGGCTCACATGACAAAGCCTTTTCCTTGCATCAAGCCGGTGAGTCACTGGTGAGGACTGTGGTAAAGATGTGACATAGCTCATCTCAAACCACGTAGGTTGCAACAATCTGGGAAGAATCTCTCTCTTTGAGGATCACCTTGTTAATCTCTTTGCACCTCATCTGTTTCTTCTGTAAAATGGGAATAACAGTAATATGGATCTCTATGCTGAAATGAGAATTATAGAAGAATTTAGCACCATGACTGTCACACAGTAATAATGAATATAAACGTGTTTTTTATTATTATGATGATTCTAATTGTAAAAAGAGAAATCCCTTTATTAAAAAGAACAGCCTTGGAATAGTACCCAGCAATTAAAAGAACAAACTCTTCATACATCCAACAACTTGAATGAACCTCCAGAGAATTATGCTGCCTGAAGAAAAACCAATCCCCAAGGGTTACTTACTGTATGATTCCATTTATGTAATGTTTTTCAAGTGATGAAATCTTAGAGCACAGATGAGTAGTTGCCAGAGGTGAGGGGTGGGAGGGAAGTGGATGTGGTTATCAAAGGGCAAGGGGGGCCCTGTGGCTTTGGAGCTGCCCTGTGTCTTGACTGTAGTTGTGAGTACACAAAACTATATGTGTGATAGAACTATTGAACACACACATAAATGAGTACAACTGGGGAGGTTTGAAGATCGGTGGATTGCATGAACAAGATTATCCTGGTTGTGATTTTATACCATAGTTTTACAAGATGTTATCACTGAGGAAAACTGGGTAAAGGGTACACAGGATTTCTCTGTGTTATTCCTTACAAGTGCATGTGAATCTGCAATTATCTCAAAATCAAACATTTAATTTAAAAGATGGGCTAACTCTAAAAATAGAAATGTAAACACAGTAAGTTGAAGAGCCTGCGTTTACATTTTACAAATCCGGGATTTATTTTTCCCTTTGAGATTTTCCTAGAACCCACTCTCTCATTGCATTCAGTCAAATTGACTTGAAAGTTGTATGTTTGGGCCCACTAGTGTACCAGAGGCAGTAGGTGTGTATGGGTATGTGTCAGTGTCTCAGGAGTGGGCTGGGGATGCTGAGCAGGCATGCCGGAGAAGCAGAAGTTGGGGAGAAGCACAAAGAGTGGAATCCTGGCTTCCACCCCTCCCCATGGAGCCCAAGGGAAGGGATGCAGAGAGGTAGTGGGGGGACACCAGGAGAGATGCTCCCTACACCAGGGAGGGAAGGCACCCTCATGCTGCTACATGAAGAGAGAGCCTGAAGAACCTTCACCCAGGGGATCTGAGCCCAGCCCTGCTCAGGAATGTGTCCTGGAGTGTGGGACAGGAGAGGGAGGACTGGGAGTAAGGAGGAGAGTGCAGTGCTGTTTATGGCTGGTCCTGATTGCCAGCTGAGGGTATGGCCTCTCTCCCTGAGGTGGGCTGAGAAGGGGCTCGGATCAGCATACCTGTGGATTGCATCTGCATTGACCCACTGCCCTCCTGCAGTCCAGCCCTGGAGGTGGCACCAACCACCTGCCCCTCGCTGCCATCTCCTGCAGTAGAGATGACACCACCTTCCACACTGACTTGGTGGGAGGTCACGGTGCAGAGGCACTGTCTACCTGCGGGCAGGGCATGGCTGCAGTCCACCCAGCAAGGCTTTCTTTGAAGCAAGTTCTGAAGGGGCTTGTAGATGAGCTAGATCAGTAGTCTCCCCAAAACCATTTGTTTTGTAAGCCAAGTATAAGCCTTTCAGTATTCCATTTTTTCATTTAGTCAGCTAAAGGCTGAAAAACGCAGTAGCTCAAAGTCACTCCAGCTCCTGCTCATTGTAGCAGTGGAGCTCTTGACTATGGGGTGGGATTTCCCTCCAAGGGTTCTCTTCCATCCTGAGTGATTCAGTTGACTCAGACCCATTCTTGGGTCCAGGGCAGCTGAGGTAAGACAGCTGCTGGGACCCACAGGAGGGGTCTGTGTTGCCAGGGCCCGGAAGGGTGCTTTTGAAGCAAATGTGGAAGCCCCAGTTGGCACAGAAGCACTGGCTGGGCCCAGGCCCTTTGTGAAAGGAGGATGTGGAGTTGGTGGTGGGCACCAGGCCATGTGACACATGCAGCTGCCTCTACTTAGGTGTCCTTCCACCTAAACTGTGCCACCCCTTTGGTGACCCAGCCAGCCTGTGTGACTCAGGACACACTTAGGAGTCAGGAGTAAAGTGACTTTTCACGAGAATCAATGACCCTGTGAATCCAATGTTCACTGTCACTGATACTAAAGAACCATGGGTTCCCCAGAATGGGTTGATGCTGTGGCTCCCGATATCCATCTGCCCCATGCATAGCCCAGCCCTGCAAAATCGTGGTGGATCCTGGTCACATGATCATCTCCCCCAATCCATTGCACGGAGAGACCAGGGTGAAAAAAAAGGGAAGAGAGGAACATAAGCCAGGCCTGGAAACCACTGAACAAAAATGGGGAGTGGAGCAGGGTGGTGTAGGGAAGGGAGAAGCGTGCACTTTGGAGTTCTCCTGGTGGTGGACGGGGATGGATGTGGTGGTGGAAGTCTCTGGCTGGACCTGGTAACCCTGGGTTCTGGCCCTCCCTCTGACACTGGCATGTGAAATCCTAGCATTCCTGAGTATATCAGGAACACAAATGATGCTTAAAGAATGGGGTGCTCTTAGGGTAGGTAGCAGAGGGAGACCTGGCTAGAGGGCTCTGAGCTCCCATTCCCTTTTTTATTTTTATTTTTATTTATTTGAGGCAGAGTCTCTCTCTGTCGCCCAGGCTGGAGTGTAGTGGCCTGATTTCAGCTCACTGCAACCTCTGCCTCCTGGGTTCAAGCGATTCTCCTGCCTCAGCCTCCAGAGTAGCTGGGACACCATGCCTGGCCTTTTTTTTTTTTTTTTTTTTTTTTTTTTTGACAGAGTCTTGCTCTGTCGCCCAGGCTGGAGTACAATGGCGTGATCTTGGCTCACTGAAACCTCCATCTCCTGGGTTCAAGCAATTCTCCTGCCTCAGCCTCCCAAGTAGCTGAGATTACAGGTGGCTGCCACCATGCCTGGCTAATTTTTTGTATTTTTAGTAGAGATGGGGTTTTCCCATGTTGGCCAGGCTGGTCTCGAAATCCTGACCTCAAATGACCTGTCCGCCTAGGTCTCCCAAAGTGCTGGGATTACAGGTGTGAACCACCGCACCCGGCCTCCCACTCACATTTTAACTGGAGTTGTTCCACTTGTGTCTCATTACACTTTGGGACCCATGTAAGATTCATTTCCAAAGGATTCCACAGCTGAAGCTGTGTAAAAGCTACCAGCTGGATGGTGTGAGCACTGCATAATTGAAATGGATCCCTGCTCTCCAAAAGCAAGCGTAAGAGCTGGGAGGGCTAGAGGGGGACAGTTCCTGCAGGAGGAGGAGACTTCTCAAGGGGTGCAGGTGAAGGGGAGGAAGAGGGCAGCAGAGAACTGTGTGTCCACAGCAGGCTGCTGACAGCCCTGCTCACTGACTGGGAGGGTGCCAGAGCTCTGGGAAGGTGAACCCTGGCCACAGCCCAAGAAGGATGGGGTTGTGATGCCCTGGAATTCTTCTTTATTATAAGATGTGCTTTGGTGACAAACATGTTGCTGAAAACCAGAAATGATCCTCAGAGAGGCCACTGAGCCCAGGTATGTGGGGCCTGGGGCCCCCTCTCTGCTTCCCCAAGGCTGTTCCAAAGCAATCCTCAGAGTTTAGTCTAAAGGGCTCTCTGGACTCCATGTTGTTGTGAAATTGTATACTGTGGTTTTGCCGTTGTTGTCAACAATATCAGCAGGCTTAGGACAGAAATAATTTAAAATGAAGTATCTTCTGAATCTATGTAGAAACATGCTAACTGAGCAGCCATGGGTCAGGAATCTGTTGTCTTCTCTTTCTTCGAAATCTCTCACATTTACTTGTGCTTGCTCTATCTGAAAGCAGCACTTTGCCAGGCTGTTTGGGTGTTTGTCTCTCTGATGGTTCAACTATCGGAGGTTCTATACTACCTGCCCCAAGCTTCTTACACTATTAGCAGCACTTTGGGCAAACTTCTAGGCAGTTTGATTGTGTAACCTGACTGGCTGAGGGACCTATGAATTTGTGTGTTTGTAGCAAAAGGTATTTGCCTGCGATTTTTATTTTCTTTCTCTTTTCAGACACCTTGCCACGTGTTTACATTTTTTATTATGGTGAACAGGCAGGAACATGGTGTGGAACTGAATCTCATTCTGTCATCTACTGTGATGTGTGGCCTTGAATCTTAGGCAAGTTACTAGTCTCTTCGGAGACTGTTTCCTCACTGCTGAAAGGGAATTACTAATGGTGCTTTCTTTACAGTATTATGAGGGTTGAATTGAATAACGCATGTAAAGCTTTCAGAACAGTGTCAGGCCTGTAGTGAGGTCTCATGATTGAAACAACAGCAGCAATGACCTCATCATTGTCCGGACAGTTAGGGGATCTTAGAGGGTGCTCTGGAATGCCAGCCTTGTCCTCCTTGTCCCTGGTGTCCGGTCAGGTTGACCTCAGCTCAGCTGTGATGGGCTCAGGCTTTTCATCTCATTTAGCTTTTCCCAGGCAGAGTCCATAGGCCATCTAGAGGGAATGAAGCGCTCCATGCTGGCTGCCCATGAGGGGGTCACCCCCAGATAGGGCCAGACTACATGGCCTGATGTTCCTGCATGACCGCTTTGCTCACCACAGAGCCCCTGCCCCTCTTTGGAGAGGCCCGCATGGCTAGGTATCTTCTTGCTGAGGAAGGAGCCAGCCCCTGTGCACCCATACCTGAGGGCTCAAAGCTTCCTGACACAAGAGGCTTCTAGCAAGCTCAATTCCAAAGTCTGGCGCCCCAGACTATGTATTTGCTCTTAAGTCTTTTTAACTCCCCAGTGCACTGACAAGCTTGAAGACAAAGCCCAACAATGGGTTTTCATTGGCGAATCAATTCACTATTCTTTCAGCTACTAGAAATTTGCAAAAATCCCCATTCAATGGGAGCTGAAACTATTCTGAATGGTATCCAGTGGAAGGGAGTCTGTCTCTCACTCTCTCTCTCTCTCTCTCACACACACACACACACACACACACACACACACAATGGGGAGGGGGACAGCTCTAGGGACGTCTGAGGTACATGCATTCCCCTGCAATCCCTTTTCTCTTTTTTTATTTAAAAAAGGCACAAACCATAGTATGACAACTGCAGTCCTCTTTTTTTTTTCACTAAAAAAAAAAAAAAGACACAAAACCACACTGTAAAACCATAACAGAAATGTTGCTTTAATCACTCCTAATCCCATCACTGAAGCAAATCAACTGTTTTTAATCTTCCCTTCCAGGGCCTGCCTGTAAGCAGACATGTTTCTAAACAACTGTAATCATAACACAGTTTTGCATTCTGTTTCTCCCTTATATCTTAACCCTTGCCCTGCAGTCTTCATAGGCATCGTTTTTAATGGCTCACTCAATTCCATCAAGTGGGGCTTCTGGAATTTACTTATCAGCCGCCTAGCTGACTAGTACATCATTTCCTGGAAGAGCCCACATTAGCTGAGAAACAAACATCTAGGTGATTTCTATAATTTCTCAATGCTATTGAGCTCTAGAAATACCTGGCCTTAAAAAGCTTCCTTGGGAAAGATACATTATTGACCCAAGACTGGAGGTCTTCTCTACTTATTTAAATAAGTGTCTTTGTTTTCTAAGGAGGCTCAAGCCCAGATCCCTTGCACACATGGTTTTGTCTTTTTCAGCAGCACAACCAGAGACTGTCCTTTTCAATGGCTTTTCTCAACGGGAATTCAATTTGTTCTCCATTATCATCACCACCATCATCATGATCATTTTTCTAAGAGCTGCCATTTATTGAGCGTTTTCCCTGTGCCAGGCACTCTAAATATTATTTTTGCATCATTATTTTGTTTAATGCCATTAGTTGCCACTGTTATTGTCCTCAGTTACAAATGAGGAAACTGAGGCTCAAGATGTTGAAGTGGCTTGTTCAAAGTCTAATGGCTCTTAAATGTCAGAGGCTGCCTGCCTCATCTCATCCCATACCTCCTTGGAGCCCCCTCAGGTAGGCGTGAGCCCCTGCGCCACCCAGCTCCTCGAGTGAGGGCCTTTCCTGCAGGGTAGAGTTTGGTCTAAAGCTCGCAAGATGGGCTGCTAAGCCCAAGGTGCCTTCCCCACAGTGCGTCTCTCTTTGGGTAGAAAAGCCAGCCTTCCTCCACCCCACAGGAACCCTGGACAGGACAGTGTGTGCCTGGCTGACATGGGGACTTAGAGGCCTGTGTCTGGCAGAAGTTGGGGCCCAGAGACAGGAAAAGCCTTGCCTAAGGTCACAGGGTGAGTCATTGGCCCTGATAGGCTATAACCTTGGTCTCTTGACCTATGACCAGGGTTCTGTTCTCCTCGTTGGGAGATGATTTCAACAGACTGCATTTGAAATGGAAGGAGAGGCTTTAGAGTTGGCCAATAGCTCTGCCCTTGGAACAGGCTGGTGCCATCATGTAACCAGACAGCCCATGGCAGAAACTGGAAAGAAGGCAGTGACTGGTGCCCAGTGTGGTGAACAGAGGTGGAGAAACAGCACAGACTCGGGTGTGTGAGGAACACAGAACAGGGCCCAGCCCAGCCTTGGCTACTGGCCTGCCTGGTCAGGCTTATCACAAGAGCTCCTGCCAAAGGGATTTCCTAAAAGGAAAAGGCTTTTTGCTCTTTTGAGTCTTCCACAAGTAGTAAAAATCCTGAGAGGGACCTTCGTGATGACCATACCTTTCCTGGGCAGAAGCAGAGACTGCTACAGGAACAGAGACAGCTTTTGCTACTGATTCTTTCAACAGGTATTTATTGAAGCTTTCTGTGTCAGATAATGGGGTTAACTGAGGGAATAAGACAGACAAGCTTTCTATCTTTATGAAACATCTATCTTAGCACGGATCATAAGCTAGTCAACAAGCAAGATACTTCCTGAAGACAAGTGATGTGAAGGAGACAGTCTAGGAGGTGTGGAAGAGACTGTGACTGGAGTGGGGGCTGGTGGAGTGGTCAGGGATGGCCCTTCTGAGGAAGTGCAGATCTGGGGCAGAGCACTCAGGCAGGGGAAACAGCACGTGCAAAGGCCCTGAGGTGGGAAACAGCTAGGCAAGTTTCAGGAACAGAAAGGAGGCTGAAGGGACAGATTTTATTCTAGGTTCAGCATTAGTGCCATTTAGAGTAAGAGGATTCCTAACCTGCATCTCTCAAATGGCCTCCCTCTCCTTCCTCAAGTTACCTGTTTGGGCTGTATTCCTCCTTTGCCTCTATAGTCATTACTGTTTCCCTCTCGTGGGCTCCTGTGTTGGCACACAGCAGTCAGAGGTGTTAGCTGTAGCTCTAGGGCAAGCAGTAACTGTTCTAAATGTCATGCTCCCTCCAAACTTTCAGACCTCTCCGTCTGATGGCATGTTTACATCTCAGATAGCTGTGTCCTCATCAGAGGCAGTTAACAGATCAAAATAGCATTTCTTGGACCTTGCAAAGTGACAAATCATGTTATGTTTACCTTAGGAACGCTAGGGTTTTCAAAAAAAAAAACTCCACTGTGGTTATTTAATTGGAGAAAGCTACCCTTGTTAATGGCTCTTAGTTAAACACACCATTAATGCCAGGGGAGACAGCACTGACAAGCTGCGCCTACTTATTGGCTGGTTGCTGATGGACACTGACAGACTCGAGGATCTCCCCGTGAAGAGACAGTGTAACTGTTGTGGGGTTGATCCAGGTGTGCACCACACTTACGACTATAGCCAGAGTCTGGCCCTACCAGGCCAGCAGTGCCTGAGTGCACACTGGAGGCCTCTGATGAAGCCCCAGCAGTGTAGCAGCAGGGCCATGTCTGCCAGTTTTCTGGGGACAGTCTCATGCTATGTCCTTTTTATTTTAATTAAGCTTTTAATTTTGAGATCATTGTAGGTTCACATGCAGTTGTAAGAAGTAATACAGAATCTACGTACCCTTTACCCAGTTTCTTCCAATGGTAACATCTTGCAAAAGTATAGTACAATATCACAATCAGAATATTGACCTCCATACAGTCAAATGGAGACATTTCCATTTCCATAATCACAAGGATCCCTCATGTTGCCCTTTTTGGCCTCACCTACCTCCCTCTTGCCTCCATTCCTTCTTAACCATTTGCAGCCATGAAACTGTTCTCCATGTCTGTAATTTTGTCATTTCACGAATGTTGCATAAATGGAATCCTGTGGTATGTAACTCTTTGGATTGGCTTTTCTTACTCAGCGTAATGCTCTGGAACTCCATCCAGGTTGTTGCATGTGTCAATAGTGTGTTCCTTTTTATTGCTGAGTAGCACTCCATGGTGTGCGTGTACCACAGTCTGTTTAACCGTTCACCCACTGAAGGACATCTGGGTTATGTCCAGTTTTTGGCTACTATGAATAAAGTTGCTATAAATATTCATGTACATATTTTGGTGTGAACATCTTCATTTCTCTAGAATAAATGCCCAGAAGTGCAGTTGCTGGGTTCTCTGGTAGTTGCATATTTGGTTTTTTGAGAAACTGTTTCCCAGAGTGGTTGTCCTATTTTATATTTTCACCAGCAATGTATGAGTGATCCAGTTTCTATAGATCCTCGGCAGCATTTGGTGTCACTATTTTCAGTTTTAGCCTTTCTGACAGGTGTGTAGTGATATCTCTTTGTGATTTTAATTTGCATTTCCCCAATGGCTAAAGACGTTGAACATCTTTTCATGTGTGTATTGGTCATCTGTATATCCTCTTTGGAGAAATGGGTCTTCTTGTCTTTTGTCCATTTTTAAATTGAATTTTTTTTTACTGTTTTTTACATATATAGCCACAGGCTATATATATATATATATATACGTGTGTATAGTAAAAATAATATAGATATATATGTATGTGTGATAGTAAAAAAAACACTCTAAAATACATATATATGTATGTACACACACACAGAGTCTAAATTCTAGTCTTTTGTCAGATATGTGGTTTGCAAATATTTTCTCCTGCTCTATAGCTTGCTTTTTAATCCTCCTAGCAGGGTCTTTTTCGGAGCAAAAGTTTTTAATTTTGATGAAGTCCAATTTATCAGTTTTTCCTTTTAATGATCGTGCTTTTGATGTCAAGTTGAAGGACTCTGCCTAACCCTAGGAAAGATTTTCTCCTATTTTTTTTTCTAAAAGTTTTATAGTGTTTCGTTTTACACTTAGGTTTATGAGCCATTTTTAGTTAATTTACATATAAAGAGTGAGATTTGGGTCAAGGGTTTTTTTGGCTCATATATTGTCAATTGTTCCAACATCATTTATTGAAAAGACTATCTTCTCTCTGTTGATCTGTGTTTGTAGTTTTATCAAAAGTCAGTTGGACATATTTGTGTGAGTCCCATTTTTGGGTTCCCTTTTCTATTTCATTGTGTGTCTCTCGGCCAATACCACAGTCTTGATTGCTGTAGCTATAAAAGTAAGTCTTGAAATCAGGGAGAGTGATTCTTTCCATTTTATTTTAGCAATTCCAGTTTCTTGTTTCTTTGCCGTTCCAAATTTTAGAATAATCTTGCCTATATCTACAAAATAATTTGCTGGGATTTTGATAGAAATTTTGTGTTCTGTCTTTTAAGGGAACGTGGCTGGCCGTGCACGGTGGCTCACACCTGTAAACCCAGCACTTTGGGAGGCCGAGGCAGGTGGATCACCTGAGGTCAGGAGTTTTGAGACCAGCCTGGCCAACCTGGTGAAACCCCATCTCTACTAAAATACAACAATTAGCTGGGCATGGTGGTGGGCGCCTGTAGTCCTAGCTACTCAGGAGGCTGAGGCACGAGAATAAGTGGAACCCAGGAGGCGGAGGTTGCAGTGGGCTGAGATCGCGCCACTGCACTCCAGCGTGGGTGACAGATCGAGACTCTGTCTCAAAAAAAAAAAAAAAAATGTGGCTTTCTATAGTTAGCATGTATTTTGTATTTTTAATAGGTTGAACATTTAAAATAGCAAAAAAGAACTAAAAACATCTGTAAATCTATCACAGTGTATACAACCTATATAGACTGCTTTATAATCATCTTTCACCCAACAATATAAGTGAATATGATGACCCTTTTTCCGTGGTGATAGTTGTAATTTTAAATCATTTCATACTATTCTCTTATGTGGATACAGCATCATTTATATGGCTAATCCCTCACTGTTGCATACTTAAGGGTGTTTCTTTTTTAAATTTCTTGTTTGTGTATTTAATTTTTCCTGTCATAGACAAGCTGTGATAAATATCTTAAAACTATGTCTCTGAAAACATACTCAATTACTTCCTCAGGAAAAACTTATTTGAGTGAAATTGCTGGTGCCTTCTTGATTCTTCTGTTTTTCTGATGTCAGATGAAGATCCAGTTCTTTGAAGTGAAACTAGCATTTAGTTATCAGCTCAGGCCACTTTCTACCTCTGACTTGCCTTTCACCTCAGTTTCATCCTCTTGGAATTTCCCCTGAACACATACACAAATACACACACACACACACACACACACACACACACACACACACACATACACACACACCCCAAGGCTTGGATAGAGGAGTTAAAACAGATGAGAGCTCCACATTCTCTAAACTCTCTGTTGTTAACATCTTCTTTGAGGCTCTTCCTGTAGTTCAGAGCTCTGTGTCCTACTGCTAACCCCAGATGCAAAACAGATGCGAAACGGGTCCTGTGCTTTATTCCTTTTAGAAGATTTCCCCATACCCCTTCCATGTGCCTAGTAATTCTCTGGGGGCCGCTCTTCCTTTCTGAAAGGAGGTACATGGGGACTTCTGGGGCCCTACTGTAGAGCTTTGACTCCCATTGTCACTTAGGCCCTCTCCACACCCTGAGTAGCATGTGACTATTTTAAGAAAATTCCTTAAGGCCTTCAAAGAGTAATAGGATAGTTTTCTGGGAAGCTTGTTAAAATTCTTGAATATGTTCAAGGGATTTACATTTTCAAAGAGAGAATGTTTTGTTTGATGTTGAGGAAAGATTTTTTTTTTTTTGGTCCCTGGGAATTTAAATAATTTGCTTGACTTTCTAGTGGAAAGACCGCAGTGTTCTTAGATTCTGAATGTGGCATTTGTTAGAATCCTCCATGATTGATTGCAGGGAAAATGTGTGTAAATGATTTTGCAATACATTTTTAAACCAAGGGTCATCTGTAAGTTGTCAGCCTAAAAAAGTGGCATCTTGCTTGCATAAGTAAATTTTATTTCTTGGAAGGAGACAGTTGCTTAAAATGAGAAATATCAGTTTTAAATGATCATTAATGATGACCCCATGGATACCTTCCAGAAGAAATGGAATCAGTCTACCCCCTTGTGGATAGCTCAGAAAGTTCCTCATTTTCCTCACTAAAAGTTACATGTGAGAGTTCTGAGGGAACCACAGGCTATATGAGTTTCCTTCTCATCTAAAAGTAATAGGAAGTACATTTTATATAAAATTTGTGTTAAAGTAACTAGACATATCTTTGTAATAGCTAATTGGCCTTGTGACTGGTATTTTTAAATAACACAGTAAAAATAAATAAAAGGGGTGATGTTATACATTCATTATATGTAATATATATTATGTAGTGGTTCCTGTCTCACGTGCTCAGAGCAATGGGCAACTTCATCAGGTAAATCACTCTTCATGTCCCTGCCCAGAGCTCATAAACTGACAGGTGTAAGGTATATAAAGAGGTTGCAGGCAAGAAGCTTTGGGGCTCAGACCGAAGAGGTGATAAATAAAAATCACCATGATTTTGGGGGAGATTACTAGAGTCCAAGTGCTATTCTTTTTCTTTATGACTATTCTCTAAATTAATTCCTATAACAAACCTCTGCTGTTACTGTTCCAATTTGATATGGTTTGGCTGTGTCTCCACCCAAATATCATCTTGAATTCCCACATGTTATGGGAGGGACTTGGTGGAAGGTAGTTGACTCATGGGGGCCAAGTCTTTCCCATGCTGTTCTCATGATAGTGAATAAGTCTCACAAGATCTGATGGTTTTAAAAAGAGGCATTCCCCTGCACAAGCTCTCTCATTTTTTGCCTGCCGCCACCCACTTAGGATGTGACTTGTTCCTCCTTGCCTTCTGCCATGATTGTGAAGATTCCCCAGCCACACAGACCTGTAAGTCCAATTAAACCTCTTTCTTTTATAAATTGCTCAGTCTTGGGTATGTCTTAATCAGCACCATGAAAACGAACTAATACAGATTTTGGTACTAGTAGAGTGGAGTGCTGCTGAAAAGATACCTGAAAATGTGGAAGCAACTTTGGAACTGGGTAACAGGCAGAGGTTGGAGTAGTTTGGAGAGCTCAGAAGAAGACAGGAAAATGTGGGAAAGTTTGAAACTTCCTAGAGACTTGTTGAATGGCCTTAACCAAAATGCTGATAATGATATGGACAAGAAATCCAGGCTGAGGTGGTCTTAGATGGAGATGAGGAACTTGTTGGGTACTGGAGCAAAGGTGACATGTGCCTAGAAGGTGAGTATCATTATCTCTGGTTTACAGAGGAGGAAACTGAGGTTCAGAGGGGACCAGTTCAATAAGTGGGGAACAGAGCTGGGACATAAACTGAGATCTTCCGGCCCCAACCAGGGCTCTTTCCAGTATGCCACAGGGCCTGCTGTGGAGTTTCACTCATGTCCATGTGAAGAGACCACAAAACAGGCTTTGTGTGAGCAACAAGGCTGTTTATTTCACCTGGGTGCAGGTGGGCTGAGTCCGAAAAGAGAGTCAGTGAAGGGAGATAGGGGTGGGGCCATTTTATAGGATTTGGGTAGGTAATGGAAAATTACAGTCAAAGGGGGTTGTTCTCTGGCTGGTAGGGGTGGGGGTCATAAGGTGCTCAATGGGGGAGATTTTGAGCCAGAAGGAATTTCACAAGGCAGTGTCATCAGTTAAGGCAGGAACAGGCCATTCTCACTTCTTTTGTGATTCTTCAGTTACTTCAGGCCATCTGGATGTATACCTGCAGGTCACAGGGGATATGATGGCTTAGCTTGGGCTCAGAGGCATGACATTCCTGTCTTCTTATATTAATAAGAAAAATAAAACAAAATAGTGGTAAAGTGTTGGGGCAGCGAAAATTTTTGGGGGTGCTATGGAGAGATAATGGGCAATGTTTCTTGGGGCTGCTTCAAGCGGTATTAGGGGTGACGTGGGAACCCAGAGTGGGAGAGATTAAGCTGAAGGAAGATTTTGTGGTAAGGGCAATATTGTGGGGTTGTTAAAAGGAGCATTTGTCATATAGAATGATTGGTGATGGCCTGGATGCTGTTTTGTATGAATTGAGAGACTAAATGGAAGACACAAGGTCCAAATAAGAGAAGGAGAAAAACAGATATTAAAGGACTAAGAATTGGGAGGGCCCAGGCCATCCAATTAGAGAGTGCCCAAGGAGGTTCAGCATGGCCCTGCCAGCAAAGATTATTTATTTACTTTAAGAGGGAGTTAAGAGTGGCTGTTTGGGGATAGCACCAGGAGATATCAGCTGTGATGGCCTGGAGAAACAGTGTAAACCAGCAGTGTAAACAAGAGTAGGGCATTTATGAGTAGTTGAGTACGGTGAATAGGAGTATGACTAGACAGAAGATAGTAGAGATGACAAGTTTTTGGGGTGCAGTCCAAGTTGGGCTGGTGTCTGGAATAAGACTGGGGCCTAATAAAAAGGAGTGTCCATACAGGAGCTCAAATGGGCTGTACCCTGTAGCATTCCAAGGACAGGCCCGAATTTTGAGAAGGGCAAGTGGTAAAAGTATTGTCCAGTCCTTTTTAAGTTGGTGGCTGAGCTTGGTGAGGTGTGTTTTTAAAAGACCATTAGTCCATTCTACCTTTCCTGAAGATTGAGGACCGTAAGGGGTGTGAAGGTTTCACTGAATACCAACAGCCTGAGAAACTGCTTGGGTGATTTGACTAATAAAGGCCGGCCCATTATTGGACTGTATAGAGGTGGGAAGGCCAAACCGAGGAATTATGTCTGACAAAAGGGAAGAAATGACCACGGTGGCCTTCTGAGGCCCTGTGGGAAATGCCTCTACCTATCCAGTGATAGTGTCTACCCAGACCAGAGGTATTTTAGTTTCCTGACCCAAGGCATGTGAGTAAAGTCAATTTGCCAGTCCTGGGCAGGGGCAAATCCCCGAGCTTGATGTGTAGGGAATGGAGGGAGGCCTGAAAAATCCCTGAGGAGTAGTAGAATAGCAGATGGAACACTGAGAAGTGATTTCCTTAAGGATAGATTTCCACGATGGAAAGGAAATGAGAGGTTCTAAGAGGTGGGCTAGCAGCTTGTAACCTACATGGAAGAGGTTATGAAATGATGACAGAATAGAAGGGGCCTGTGAGGCTGCGAGGAGATATTTTCCTTGGTGCAAGAACCATTTGCCTTATGTGGGAAGAGATTGATAGGTGGAAGTTTCAGTGGGGGAGTAGGTGGGAGTGGCCAGATGAGAAGGAGAAAAACTGCCGTGAGGGATAGAAGTTGGAAAGCTAGCTGCTTTTTTAGCTACCTTATCAGCATAAGCATTGTCTTGAGCGATGGGATCTGATGCCTTTTGATGGCTCTTGCAGTGAATGACTCCAGCTTCCTTTGGAAGTAAAGTGGCTTTGAGAAGAGTTTTTATTAAAGAGGCATTAATGATGGAGGACCCATGCATAGTGAGGAAATTTCTTTCTGCCCATATAACAGCATGGTGGTGCAGAATATGGAAGGCATATTTAGAGTCAGTATAAATATTGACACATAGTCCTTTTGCAAGGGCGAGGGCTCGAGTTAAGGCAATGAGTTTGGCTTGTTGAGAGGTAATGGAGGGGGGCAGAGCAGTAGCCTCAATGATAGGTGTGGAAGATACTATAGCATAGCCTGCCTTTGCCGGTGAGTGGCGATTAGGCCTGGTGGAGCTGCCATCAATAAACCAAATGTGATCAGGGTGAGAAACAGTAAAGAAGGAAATGTGGGGAAATGGGGTGAACGTCAGGTGGACCAGAGAGATATAGTCATGGGGGTCAGGTGTGGTATCTGGAATAATGTGGGAGGCCGGATTGAAGTCCGGGCCTGGAACAATGGTAATTGTGGGAGATTCAACAAAGAGTGAGTATAGCTGAAGAAGCTGGGGAGTAGAAAGTATATGCATCAGGTGGGAGGAAGAAAATAGATTTTGGAAGTTATGAGAACTGTAGAGAGTGAGTTGAGCATAGTTTGTGATTTTGAGGGCCTCTAAAAGTATTAAGGCAGCGGCAGCCGCCACATGCAGACATGAGGGCTAGGCTAAAACAGTAAGGTCAAGTTGTTTGGATAAAAAGGCTACAGGGTGCAGTCCCAGCTCTTGTCTAAGAACTCTGACCACACAGCCCTGCACTTCGGCTGTGTGTAATGAAAAGGTTGGGATGATTTAGGGAGAGCTAGTGTGGGAGCAGCTTTTAGGGCTGTTTTTTAAGGAATGGAAAGGGGAGTGGGGAAAGGATTTAGGATTTATGGGGTCAGCTAGGTTTATCTAGGACAGAATGGGTTGTGGAGGGAGGTATTGAGGATAGAGGAGAGTATATGGGTTTGGCACCCTGGGGTGGATAGGTAAAACAATTTGGTTGATAAGGCGCAGATCCTGAACTAACCGGTAAGGCTTTTCTGGTTTTAGGACAGGTAAAATGGGGGAATTGTAAGGAGAGATTTTAGGCTCTAAAAGGCCATGGTGTAACAGGCGAATGATAACAGGCTTCAATCCCTTTAAAGCCTATTGTGGGATGGGATACTGGCATTGAGCGGGGTAAGGGTGATTAGGTTTTAATGGGATAGTAATGGGCATGTGATCGGTTGCCAGGGAGGGAGTGGAGGTGTCCCATACTTGTGGGTTAAGGTGGGGGGATACGAGAGGAAGATGCAAAGGAGGCTTTGGGTTGGGAAGAAGGGTGGCAATGAGGTGTGGCTCTAGCCTAGGAATAGTCAGGGAAGCAGATAATTTAGTTAAAATGTCTTGGCCTAATAAGGAACTGGGCAGGTGGGGATAACTAAAAAAGACTTCATAAAAGAATGTTGTCCAAGTTGGCACCAGAGTGGGGGAGTTTTAAGGGGTTTTGAAGCTTGGCTGTCAATACCCGCAACAGTTATGGAGGCAAAGGAAACAGGCCTTTGAAAAGAAGGTAATGTGGAGTTGGTAGCCTCCCTATTTATTAAGAAGGGGAAGGGGCCGGGTGCGGTGGCTCACACCTATAATCCCAGCACTTTGGGAGGCTGAGGCGGGTGGATCACGAGGTCAGGAGATCGAGACCACAGTGAAACCCCGTCTCTACTAAAAATACAAAAAAAATTAGCCGGGCGCAGAGGCAGGTGCCTGTAGTCCCAGCTACTCAGGAGGCTGAGGCAGGAGAGTGGCGTGAACCTGGGAGGCGGAGCTTGCAGTGAGCTGAGATCGTGCCACTGCACTCCAGCCTGGGCGACAGAGCAAGACTGCATCTCAAAACAAAAAAAAAAAAAAAGAAGAAGAAGAAGGGGACGGACTTAACCTCCACTGTAAGAGTTACCCAAAGCATCTGTGATGGTCCAGGAAGCTTCTGAGGCAATTGGGCAGCGTCAGCCTTCAGCCGCTAAGCCGAGAAGATCTGGGAAGGAGTCAGTCAGAGAGCCTTGGGCCAGAGTTCCAGGGGCTCTGGGAGTGGCTGCCAGGCGAGTTAGAAAGTCCGATTTCCAGTGGGGTCCCGCACAGATGGGACACGGCTTAGGAGGAATCCCAGGCTGAGGGCATTCCTTGGCCCAGTGGCCAGATTTCCAGCACTTGAAGCAAGTTCCTTGGGGAGGGGGTCCTGGA
This sequence comes from Homo sapiens, assembly GCF_000001405.40. Lineage (NCBI taxonomy): Eukaryota > Metazoa > Chordata > Mammalia > Primates > Hominidae > Homo > Homo sapiens. Next base: position 135,735,166 of record NC_000005.10, read on the forward strand.
GCAATGCCTGGCCGCTGCGGTTTAGGTGTTTGGAAGTTCTTGTGTGCTGGAGATGTAGCTGGGATTTTGTCTCACGGTGGAGGCAAGTAATTGTAACTTTTCTCTATTATTGTACAACTTGAAGGTGAGGTTGATTAATTCCTGTTGTGGGGTTTGAGGGCCGGATTCTAATTTTTGAAGTTTTTTTCTAATGTCAGGAGCTGACTGGGTGATAAAATGCATATTTAGAATGAGACAGTCAGAAAGCCTGGGCCTTCAAGGTCTAGGGCTGTAAAGCATCTCAGGGTTGCTGCCAAATGAGCCATGAACTGGGCTGAGTTTTCGTCTTTACCTTGGGTAGTTTCTTTAAGCTTGTCATAATTAACAGCTTTGTAAGCTGCCTTTTTAAATCCTTCAACTAGGCAGGAAACCATGTAATCTCACCTAGCTATACTTGGGGAATCTGCCTGATAGTTCCATTGGGGATCCTCTCGGGGAACTGCGCTAATGCCTTCCTGGAGGTCTGGTTCATGGAGCCAGCGGTTGTCAGTGTGAGATTGGGCCAGAGAAAAAATTTCCTGTGAATCTGGGGAGAGGGTAGAAGTTAGGATGACATTTAAGTCACTCCAGGTTAAATTGTAGGACAGAGTTAGATATTGGAATTCCTGTATATATTCAGTAGGGTCTGAGTGCTGACTGATCTGAGAGAGGTCTGAAAGAGAAAAAGGCACATGTACCCTGACTGTGCCTTCAGCTCCAGCCACTCTCTAAGAGGAAATTGTTGGGCAGCTGGAGAAGAGCTAGTCTTGGATCCAAACTGTAAGACAGACTGGGTGTGAGGATGGGAGGTGATCGAAGGATTATAGGGTGGAGGAGCGGAGGCTGAGGAAGAATTGGACCTGGCTCAGCCTGGCGATGAGCAGCCTGGGGAGGAGGGGAGAGGTCGGATGATCTGTAGAAAAGGAAGATTGGAAAGACTCAGCGACACTTGGGGTTGGGACTGAGGGGACAGGCAGGAGGGAAAGAAGGAAGATTTGGGAGGAATCGCATTGGGTACAGAGACTAGGGAGGGAATGAAGTGTGAAAAATGCCTGGATGTAAGGCATCTCAGACCATTTGCCCATTTTTCGACAAAAATTATCTAGGTCTTGTAGGATGGTGAAATTGAAAGTGCCGTTTTCTGGCCATTTAGAGCCATTGTCAAGTTTGTATTGGGGCCAAGCGGTGTTGCAGAAGAAAATAAGGCATTTAGGTTTTAGGTCAGGTGTGAGTTGAGGAGGTTTTAAGTTTTTGAGAACACAGGCTAAGGGAGAAGAGGGAGGAATGGAGGGTGGTAGGTTGCCCGTAGTGAAGGAGGCAAGCCCAGAGAAAAGAGAGAGTGGAGACATGGAGAGAAGGATTGGGGAGTGCTTGCCCCTAAGAAAAGCGGAAAAGGGGTAGAGACACAGAGAGAAGGGGTGGGGGGTGCTTGCCCCCAGAAAAGTGGTGCTTGCTGCTATGGGTGAAGGACCAAGGCAGGCATCCCCGTGTGATCAGACACCTCTGAAACATGGGTGAATAATAAAGCAGGCATCCCTGCATGATTAAACACCAAGGGAAGACTGTCTTCCCAAGTCTGTGACCGGTGCCGGAGTTTTGGGTTCACAGATAAAACGCATCTCCTGTCTCTACCAGAAAAGGAAAGGAACTGAAATTAAGAGAAGGGAGAGATTGAAAGATGGCACCAAGACTGAAAGGAGAAAGAGGTTGAGGGATAGTGAGAGAGGGAGGAGAAGAGAATAAAAAGAGGCCGCTTACCCGATTTAAAATTGGTGAGATGTTCCTTGGGCTGGTTGGTCTGAGGACCCGAGGTCGTAGGTGGATCTCTCTCATGGAGTAAAGAGCAGGAGGACAGAGGATTGATCTCCCGAGGGAGGTCCCCTGATCCGAGTCACAGCACCAAATTTCACTCACGTCCGTGTGAAGAGACCACCAAACAGGCTTTGTGTGAGCAACAAGGCTGTTTATTTCACCTTGGTGCAGGCAGGCTGATCCGAAAAGAGAGTCAGTGAAGGGAGATGGGGTGGGGCCGTTTTATAGGATTTGGGTAGGTAGTGGAAAATTACTGTCAAAGGGGGTTGTTCTCTGGCTGGCAGGGGTGGGGGTCACAAGGTGCTCAGTGGGGGAGACTTTGAGCCAGGATGAGCCGGGAGAAGGAATTTCACAAGGTAGTGTCATCAGTTAAGGCAGGAACAGGCCATTTTCACTTCTTTTGTGATTCTTCAGTTACTTCAGGCCATCTGGATGTATATGTGCAGGTCACAGGGGATATGATGGCTTATCTTGGGCTCAGAGACCTGACATGGAGGACAAGAGTAGAACCTCTAGCTGAACCCTGACCAAGCCCTATTTTCCTTTGATCCTGAAGATGAATGATGGTTTAGATTAAACTTTCAAAACAGAAACTTAAAGATGGAAACCTGGAAAAGCTCTTTGTTTGTGACTCAGGTGCAGCTTCAGGTGACTCCTTCCATCCCAAACCTTCCCCTCTGGTACAGGAGGTCTGAGACAACCTTCCGGAACATTTTGAGAACAGGGCTAGTATTCATCTTGAAAGCTGCAATGACTCGGATCCAAAGTGCTGCACCTCCGGGTCACTTTTTAACTTGCCCTGAATTAGTTTCTTGCCTTCCTCTTCAATCCTCTCAACAAACCCAGCCTCCTACTTCATCAGCACCCAGTGGTGTCTCAAACCTGTGCATGGGAAAATGCCATCCACAGACCAGGGCTGGCCTCGGGCACCTTCTACAGGACCATCCGAGGAGCTCAGCAGAGCGACATCATTGGAAAACCTGACTTGTTCTCTCAGGACCTTGATACTTGGGACTGATGTGTCAATGATCCACGGGGAAATGACACCATCACTATGACTGTGATAGAGACTTTCCTCGATACTCTCAGGTTTCTAGCTACTCTGTCTCCATGCCCTTCCTTCAGGGAACACTTTAATCAGTTCCCTTTAGAGGAATTTCACTCCCTTGGGGAGTGAATCTTGAGCAAAATGATGTAAGGATGCGAAAAGCAGATCAAGTGCACTCATTCCCGTGGCAGGCCCAAGAGGCTGTTGACATGCTCCTGCTACCCAGATGGCCAGGGTGGCTCTGTGTCCTGTCTATTCAGACTTCCTGTTGATCCTATTACTACCTCAAAATCTGTCCAATTAATTCTGCTTAGGTTAGGCCAGAGAAGCACAGCTGAGAGGAATGGCCTGAATTCCTCCACACCAGGACCCCTGGGCCCGTGTTTGCAGCTGATGGGAAGAGGTGACATTTGCTGCAGAAGGTGGAGGGATGGGGATGCTACAGGGCTATCAGGACCCAAAGCATCTCCTTTACTCCTTTTACTCTCAAACTGCCCCTGATGAGGAGGATAGGTGAAGACTGGTTTAGTCCCAACTTTTAGTCCTTGCACAAGTTGCTTCTGCTCTCTAAGCCTTGGCTGTCTGGGCTTCTGATCTGTGAGACGAGTGCTCCGGGATCATCAAGGCCCCTTCCAGCTCTGCAGTCCCAAGCCCCACAGGAGGGCCTCGCACACTCAGTCCTGAAACACCCAGTGCTGACTTTGTAATGATAGTTTGCCTTTCAGATCACAAAATCATAAATGTTTAATTTATGGTGGCCAGGTGCAGTGGCTCATATTTGTAATCCCAGCATTTTGGGAGGCCGAGGCAGGCGGATGATCTGAGGTCAGGAGTTCGAGACCAGCCTTGCCAACATGGCAAAACTCTGTCTCTACTAAAAATACAAAAATTAGCCAGGCATGGTGGCACACGCCTGTAATCCTGGCTACTTGGGAGGTTGAGGAAGGAGAATCACTTAAACCCCGGAGGCAGAGGTTGCAGTGAGCCAAGATCATACCACTGCACTCCAGCCTGGGCAACACAGCGATACTCCATCTCAACAAACAAACAAACAAACAAGTTTAATTTATGGACTTGTTATTCATTGTTTTTGAGGTAGGGTCTCACTCTGTTGCCCAGGCTGGAGTGCAGTGATGTGATCATGGCTCACTGGAGCCTTGACTTCCCAGGCTCAAGTGATCCTCCTACCTCAGTCTCCTGCATAGCTGGGACTACAAGTGCTCACCATCATGCCTGGCTAATTTTTTTATTTTTTGTAGAGATAGGGGTCTCACTTTGTACCCCAGGCTGGGAGTCGGTGACTTTTGTAGTAGAAGATGGTGTGTTACTCTTTGCTGTCTCATGGCTCAGACTTATGCTACAGAGGCTCCTCCTGCCTTCACCACAACTTACACACTCCCTGGCCAGCCTGTGATTCGTCAGGGGTGTTTTCTAATTCTTCTCTCTCTTGATCCAAGGCCGTTTGGCAATGAGATGACAGACACCTGCCTGCCTCAAGCACTAACAGGGAATGGCCTTGCATAGAGTTAGAGCCAAGCTTTCACAAGATGGCAGGCAGAAAAGGGTCAGGGTGTGTCCCATCATCCTGCTGGATTTAGGGCAGGGAGAAATCTGTGCTGCTTGACTTTAATCAAGACATATTCAGCATTTTCCATGTGTTGACACTTTGCAAATAGTGATATCACTGTCATGAGCAGTTCTGCCTGGGGAAAACACACATTCCTAAATGCTGACTTCTTTTTTTTTTTAAACTACCACTGCATAAAGAAAAACAGCTGATCTAGCCATATTTCCACACTGAATGGTGTGTTTTCCTTCTGTATATTGCAAAGTCTAGACAGGCATGCAGCAAAGACATCAGAACATAATTACGTGAAAGTGAATGATATAAACAGTTGTCTACTCACAAGTGGTTACTTGCAAGTGGCCAGATGAAAGCCCATCCCCAGTGAGCTGTTTAAGAGTATTCCTGACAGCTTCAAAAAGCAAAGATTATTCTAAACTATATAGACAATCTGAGAAAGCAGATTTCTTAGTGAGCCCACCAGGTCAATATAAATTTGACCCTCAAATGGAAAGAGATTGCTAACAGAAGAATGAATCAACAAGTATATATGTGTGTGTGCATGTGTGTGTGTGTGTATGTATATATATATATGCATTCTTTTCAGACGGTGTCTCGGTCTGTCACCCAGGCTGGAGTGCAGTGGGGTGATCTCGGCTCACTGCAACCTCTGCCTCCTGGGTTCAAGGGATTCTCATGCCTCAGCCTCCCAAGTAGCTAAGATTACAGGTACATACCACTACGCTCAATTAATTTTTGTGTTTTTTAGTGGAGACAGGGTTTCACCATGTTGGTCAGGCTGGTCTTGAACTCCTGACCTCAAGTGATCCACCTGCCTTGGGCGGGGGGTGCATGGCAACATATTCAAGCTTATGTACAAGGCATTTGAGGTCAGGGCATGGAAAAATACTGAGGCACTGTGTGCATGTTATTTGTGCATGAGAATGAAACTCCTTGACCCTGAAAACAGGACAGGGAGTGGAGTGTGTGGTGTGATAACGAACACTGAAAACAGCCTCCTGAGAATGCCGTTTGAGTGCTTTTACAAGGCCACAGGTGTCTCACAACCCAGCCTCAAAAAAGCCATCTAGGGGGTGTTTGTGGTTTAACAAGCTCTTTCAATAAATACTTGGTGGACAGATGCTGGGGTGGACTCTGTCAGAAAAGCTGCCCCCCAGCCCTGCTCAGCTGGAATTGTCTAAGAACTCATTCTTGGCATTCACTGCAAGCTGTAAACTCTGCATGCCTTGCCTCTCAAAGTGCTGGGATTACAGGCGTGAGCCACTGCCCCCAGCCCAAGTATATTTTGAATCTACTCAATACTGTACTTTGGGTGGGCTACAAACTCATCTCTAAGGCAGATAAAATCATCATCCCTTCATATCCAGTTAGTGAAATAAAGTAATAAAAATGGCCATCACAGATATTTACTGAACATTTACTATTTGTCAGGCCCTATGCTAAGTGCTTTACATGTGTCATCTCACTCAGTCTTCAGAGTCCCATTTTATAGATGAGAAAACGGAGGCAGAGTAAGCCTGGTAACTTGCCCAAGGTCACAGCAGTGGTGTGGATGGAGCTGGGACCTGAGTTTGGGGTGTCTGACTCCAAAGTATGTGTTCTTAGCTACCCACAACCCCTTTTATTAAAGTTGACATCCAGAGGGCAGCACAGGGTAATTTGAATTTTCATGCTCATCTGTATACTTGGGTGGAAATGAATAAACTCATGTAAGGTCCAGCAAACATTTTCCGCAAGGGCCAATAGAAAATATGTAATTAGGCTTTGTGGGCAAAATCAAGGATCATATGTTGGTACTTAGGTACTAATTTAAAAATTGCAATTTTAGGCCAGGTGCAGTGGCTCATGCCTGTAATCTCAGCACTTTGGGAGGCCAAGGCAGGGGGATGCTTTGAGTTCAGAAGTTCAAGACTAGCCTGGGCAATATGGCAAAACCCCATCTCTACAAAAAACACAAAGATTAGCCGGGCATGGTGGCAAACACCCGTAGTCCCAGCTATTTGGGAGGCTGAGGTGGGAGGATAGATTGATGAGCCGGGGAGATAGAGGTTGCAGTGAGTCCTGATCATAGCACTGTACTTCAGCCTGGGTGACAGAGTGAGATCCTCTCTCAAACAAAAAACATTTCAAAAATGTGAATGCCCTTCTTAGTTCACAGGCCATAAAATCAGGAGATGGGCTGGATTTGGCCCACTGGCTATAGTTTGCACATCCCTGGCTTCAAGAAAAACAAAAAGGGGTTAATAAGGAGGAAAAAGAAGCGTGAATGTAATGTAATAAACTATCCACGTGCAAGGAGAGATGTACATCTGCTAGCCATTTTCTTGGCTACAGAATCCAATGAAATGCTTCATTTGACTACTGGGCATTTCTTTGTTCTCTGCAGGGATTGAGATTCCAAAGAGGCCAATTCAACTTAGTCTAAGGAATCAGTTTTTTTAATTATTTTTGTTTATTTATTTATTTTGTATTTGAGAGTCTCATTCTGTCATCCAGGCTGGAGTACAGTGGCACAATTTCGACTCACTGTAACCTCTACCTCCTGGGCTCCAGTGATTCTCATGGCTCATCCTCCTGAATAGCTGGGATTACAGGCCTGTGCTACCACACCCAGCTAATATTTTGTATTTTTAGTAGAGACAGGATTTTGCCATGTTGGCCAGGCTGATCTCAAACTCCTGGCCTCAAGTGATCTGCCCGCCTTGGCCTCCCACAGTGCTGGGATTACAAGCATGAATCACCACACCTGGCCTAGGAATCCGTTATTTAATAGCCATCACGACCCTCAGATAGAATGAACATCTCCCAGTGGTTCCTGAGGTCTCACCTGTGTGTTTTCATCCTCTGCTAGGCCATGGGCAAGGTGGGCACTGAATGTGCTTTTCCCAACACTGCCTTTCCCAAACAATACCAAGATTTTGTGTTTTATGGTTTTCATTTTCTCTTTGATTTCCTCTATAGCTGCAAAGAAAGCCAAAGTTTAGGGGATGAGGTTTCTGACCGAACCTCGAATGTCACTCTTTCAGTAAGCTAGGAAGAGCTAAGTCCTAGTCCTGGGGCTGTTTAAAAGTATCCTCTGAAATACCTCTTAGTCAACAGTAGAAGTAAGTGCTAGGAAGAAAATAAGGCTATTATCACACTTGAAAGTGCCTCATTTATTGGTTTACACATTTGTCTCCCCCAACTAGAACATATTCTCCACAAGGGTAGGGACTGTCTGAAGCTTTCAGTGATGTATTCCCAGCTCCAGAAGAGAACTTTGCGTATAGTAATGGTCTCCAACTAGGGGACAAAATCCCCCAGGGACATTTAGAAATGTCTGGAGACCTCCCCCTCCCCCTCCCCTCCCTCCCCCCCCTCCCTTCCTCTCCCCTCCCTTCCCCTTCCCTCCCCTCCCCTCCCTTCCCTTTCCTTCCCCTCCCCTCCCCTCCCTTCCCTTCCCTTCATTTTTTTTTTTTTTTTTTTGACAGAGTCTCACTCTGTCATCCAGGCTGGAGTACAGTGGCATGATCTCAGCTCACTGCAACCCACCTCCTGGGTTCAAGTGATTCTCCTGCCTCAGCCTCCTAAGTAGCTGGGATTACAGGTGGCTGCCATCAAGCCTGGCTAATTTTTGTATTTTCAGTAGAGACGGTGTTTCTTTATGTTGGACAGGCTAGTCTGGAACTCCCGACCTCAAGTGATCCACCCGCCTCGGCCTCCCAAAGTGTTGGAATTAAAGGCATGAGCCACTACGCTCAGCCTGGAGACACTTTTCATTGTGACAGGAGAGGTACTGCTGGCATCTGATGGGTAGAGGCCAGGGATTGTGCTAATTGTCCTATGATACAGAGGACAGCCCCCCACAACAAAGAATAATCCTGCTCCAAATGTCAACAATGTGGAGGGTGAGAAACCCTGATAGATAGCAGGCACGTACTAAGTATCTGTCAATGAAACTATCTCATTTCAAATCCTTAACACACGAGGTATAATGGAAAATAAAATGTCTCATTACTGCTCAAATTCAAGTGAAAGTTAAGCCTGGAAACCTCCCAACACTGCTGTCCTCCTCCCCATCAACAGACAGCTGTTACTTCCCAACCTTGGATCAAAGCATTCTACATTAACTAGACCCCTGCAAAAGGCCAAAGGCCTCATGCATCTCCATCGTGGGATGACTGCCCTCACAAATTGCTCCTAAGGAGCTTCTTTGATGGCCCCTAAACCTTTGAAGATGAATATCCTCCCATAAACAAGGACATGTTAACTGTAACTTTAGGACTGTAACCTCAGTCTAACTCCTTGTCTGCTACTGATGTCTGTTAAATGTCACATTGATGATGTCCATCCATTACAAGCTTATCTTCTCACATGCCAAACAAAGACAGGATAAGATTAATCCTTCCTCTCCTACCCTGAGACATCTAATTAATTCTTCTTTTACTCCCTCTTTTGAATGTTTACCTTATCTTCTGTATAGCATAGATATACTGGGCTCTAATTTAAACCTCACAGGAATTTAACTAACTGCCTCAAGGCCTACTGCACTTTTTCCTGCATGCTTTTTCCCCTTTTAAAGAAATATATAAACACGAGCCTCCTGGAACCTCTCCAGGGAGCACAGGCCACAGACATTTCTGTGTTTTCCAGAGCATGCCCTCAAGCTCTGGCTCAATAAACCTCCACTGGTAGAGATGGTTCAGTCTCTCCATTGGATTGACAAGGTAACTATTTTTCTCTCCATTTTTTTTTTCTTTTGAGACAGGGTCTCACTCTGTCACCCAGGCTGGGGGGCAGTGGCATGATCTCAGCTCACTGCAACCTCCACCTCCCCAGTTCAAGTGATCCTCCCACCTCAGCCTCAAGAGTAGGCACGCATCACCATGCCAGCTAATTTTTGTGTTTTTAGTAGAGACAGGTTTCACCATGTTGGCCAGGCTGGTCTTGAACTCCTGACCTCAAGTGATCCACCTGCCTCGGCCTCCTAAAGTGCTGGGATTACAGGCGTGAGCCACCGCACTTGGCCTGTCTCCATTTTTGATGAGGAACCAGAAGCTCAGAGAGGTTATGACTATTGCTGATGGTCACACCACATGGACCCAAGAATCAAACCCAACTCTCTCTTTGAACTCCTTCAAGATTCTCCCCCTTGGCTGGGTGTGGTGGCTAACACCTGTAATCCCAGCTTTGGGAGGCTGAGGCAGGCAGATCACCTGAGGTCTGGAGTTCAAGACCAGCCTGGCCAGCATAATGAAACCCTGTCTCTACTAAAACTACAAAAATTAGCCAGGAGAGGTGGCGGGCATCTGTAGTCCCTGCTACTGGGGAAGCTGAGGCATGAGAATCACTTGAAACCAGGAGGCGGAGGTTGCAGTGAGCTGAGATCATACCACTGCACTCCAGCCTGGGCTACACAGTGCCGAGACCAGCTCGGTTGTGGAGACCCTAACCCAGCAGTGCTAGAGGAATTAAGACAAAGACACAGAAATAGAGTGCAGAGTGGGAATCAGGGGGCTGACAGCCTTCAGACCTGAGAGCCCCGAACAGAGTTTGACCCACATACTTATTGACAGCAAGCCAGTGATAAGCATTATTTCTATAGATCATAGATTAGCTGAAAGCATTCCTTATGGGAAACAAAGGGACAGGCTCTGGCTTGTTATCTGCAGCAGGAACATGTCCTTAAGGCACAGATCGCTCATGCTATTGTTTGTGGTTTAGGAACACCTTGAGCGGTTTTCCACCCAGGGTGGGCCACGTGTTCCTTGCCCTCATTCTGGTAAACCAACAACCTCCAGCGTGGGTGTCATAGCCATCACAAGCATGTCACAGTGCTGCAGAGATTTTGTTTATGGCCAGTTTCTCATGGCCTGTTTATGGCCAGATGTGGGGGGCCTGTTCCCAGCAACACAGCAAGATTCCCTCTGGAAAAAAGGCCAGCGGGGGTGGTGGGAAGAAAAAAAAAGATTCTCCCCCTGCCTCCTGCTTTTTAAGGTCCTTCTGAGCAGGCTCCTAAGGTCCTCCCATCCTTGAATCTGTGCTTCACAGCACTTAAAGCTGTGGTGGTTTAGTTGCTAGCTCACGTGTTTATATTTCCCCTGTTAAGCTAAACTCCACTAGGGCAGTGACCATGCCTGATCCCCAGCTGTGTCCCCAGCACAGCACAGTACCTACGAGGCGGTCAACACACTTCTGTTGAATGAACGGAAGAATCACTCCTCAAAAGGAAGAAAATTATGTCAAGAAAATAGCTGGCAGAGCCAGGATTTAAGTCTGAGGACTCCCTGACTTTGAAGCTTATCCCATTTTCTCTGTGGTCAGTTATTGTCACTCAAACTTCTGTCCCGGATCCTCTTAATTAATGTCCCTTCTGATGCTGCACAGGTTAGTCTTGGCCTCCATCCGTGCCACATCCTTTGCTCTCGCCTTCTACAGTCCTCCTCCCTGTCACTCATTTCAAGCTCCGCCCTCACGCTGCCTACTTTTCATGCTCAGCGCCCTCTAGGCCCCACTCCTCTCCGTATACAATACCTTCTAGCCCGTACCCATCACTCATTCTGCAGATCCCGCTCCCTCCCTCCCATGTGCAGCCTTTTCCAGGCCTGCGCCTCTCACTTCCTGTTGAGGCCTTGCCTTTTTCTTACCCGGGTCTGGGGTAGCCCCCACTCCAGAAGTGCACAGCCGCTGGTTGGGGCATCCCTGACATGAAGCACCTTGGCCTCCCTGGGCACTGAGGGCCCCTGGAAAGTCTGCACAGAGACAAGACCACAGTTACAGCAGCTCGCTACAGTTTTGCCCTGCCACCCACGCCTCCTCCAGGAACTCACGTGAGGCACCTTCTCCATTCTGTCGCCTTTGCTGCCTTTGTGGTCACCGGAACTGCTGTCGTGCATTTCCGCCTTGCAGGTACAATCCGATTCTCCGGTGCAAAATAAGTCTCCAAAAGAGAGGGCTGTGGGCACGCGTGAACCTTGGGCGGAGCGACTGGGACTCACTTCTGTTCCTTTTCAGGGATTTCCTATCATACATACTTCGGCAGTGCATCTCCTAAGAACACAGGCATTCTTCATGACCTCAGTGTCATTTTCATACCCAAGAGATTTAATATCGATGCAGTACTATTAGTCAATAGACAGTTTATATTCCAATTTTAATTGTTCCAAATAAGACCCCTCCCACCCTAGATTCACTCATTGCCTGGAGTTACGTCTCTTTGGTCTCCTTTAATTCAGATCAGTCCTTCCTTTTTTTAGGGGGAGTCTCATCACATTGATAATTTTGACAGCTCCAGACCCGTTGTCTTATAGAATATCCCATAATCTTGATTTGTCTGATCCTCTCCTCACTCTTGCCCCGTCATTAGATTCAGGTTAAGTATTTTTTGTTGTTGTTTTTTTTTCCTGCAGAACACACTTGGATAATGTCAATTTGTCCCGTTTTTGGTAATGTGAAGCTTGATGGCTTGGTAAAGGTGGTGTCTGCCCCATTTTTCCAGTGAATGGTACCCTCTGCCATTTGTAATTAACAAGTATTCTCTGGGGTGATGCACTGAAAGACCATGTGACCATCTTCTTCCCTATCAGCCTTTCACTGAGTGATTTTAGCAGCATTGATGTAATATATATAACTATAGATACAGTTTCATATATGATATCTATATATATATCTATATATCAGTTATATACCCTCTCTTTTTTTTCTTTCCTTTTTTTTTTGGAGTCTCACTATGGATTCCTGGATTTTTTTTTAATTTGTCTTTTATAATAAATTATTATTATGCTTTCTGGTCAATTTTTCCCCCCAAGTGTGGTCAGTGAAGCCGCTTCAAGACAGTTCTTATGTTCTTTGGGCACTAATACAACTTCTTTGAGCATTTTCTTGCTTTCTGATACAATAAGATATTTCAGTCATCCCTTCTCACTGCTGCAGTCATTTCTTCGGGGAGCCTTGGTTACTTTTAGCAGACAACAGTTCAGAAACCAAGATCTGGATGCCACAACTACTCATTGCTACTGGAATGTCATTGATCACAGGTTTGGCACCTGGAATATTAATGAGTGAACAAACTTTACCTGGCCCCAGACACTAAGAATATAGAAACATTTATTAAACTGCAATGTATCAGTTGCCTGTCAGTACTACTAATTATAGCCAGCATTTTGTAGAATACTTACTATTTGCCATCTACCATCTTTGTGCTTTCGTGTGAATTACCTAATTTATGTCCTTTTATAGTCCTACTGTCTCCATTTTGGATGAGGAAACTGAGGCTTAAAGTAGTTAAACTACTTTCCTAAGGTCACACGACTGGTGGCAGGGGAACCATGGTGATAAAACTGGTCTGTCCGGCTGCAGAGCCTGCACTTAGTAACACATGGTCCCAGCCAGCACTGAGTTAGATTCCAGACTGACCTGCCCCCTGCCATCTGGAGCCCAATCTGGTCAGGAGAAGAAGAACAGAGTGATGGGCCATCAGCAAAGGCCTGGAGAGCAGAGAGGAAGTCACCTATCAGGTAGGGACTATTGTCATTTCCATCTTACAGGTGATAAGATGGCTGCCAAGATTTACTTGCCCACAATCTGAGAGGCAGTAAAGAGCAGAACTGGGTTTTTAACAAGGTCTGATACAGGGCCTTGGCTCTTAATCACTATACTATACATTGGAGGGCAGGATGCAAGTTATTCTTTTTATTTTTATTCTCTTTTGAGATGGAATCTCACTCTGTCACAGTTGCTCACTGCAACCTCCGCCTCCTGGGTGCAAGCGATTCTCCTGCCTTGGCCTCCCAAGTAGCTGGGACTCAGGTGCCTGCCACCACGCCTAGCTAATTTTTTGTATTTTTGGTAGAGACAGGGTTTTGCCATGTTGGACCGGCTGGTCTTGAACTCCTGACCTCAGTTGATCCGCCTGCCTTGGCCTCCCAAAGTGCTGGGATTATAGGCATGAGCCACCGTGCCCTGCTGCAAGTTATTCTCCTTTCGCTGAGGAAACTGAGGGTCAGAGAGGTGAAGTGACTTGCTTAAGTTCTCACAGCCAGCAGGCTCCACTGGAACTCTTCTGACCACAGGATCTTTTTCCTCTGTCACACTTCAGAGGCTTGAGACAGGTAAATTTTTTTTTTTTTTTTTTGAGATGGAGTCTCTGTTGCCCAGGCTGGAGTGCAATGGCACGATACTGGCTCACTGCAACCTCCGCCTCCCAGGTTCAAGCGATTCCCCTGCCTCAGCTTCCTGAGTAGTTGGGATTATAGGCACACATCACCATGCCTGGCTAATTTTTGTGTTTTTAGTAGAGACGGGGTTTCGCCATGTTGGTTAGGCTGGTTTTGAACTCCTGACCTCAGGTGATCCACCCACCTGGGCCTCCCACAGTGCTGAGATTACAGATGTGAGCCCATCTCAGGTACTGTGGTGCCTGGCTGAGACAGGTCCATTTTGTTCTTCCTTCCTGATGTCCCTTAAGACATTTCCTGGCGGGCTCCTCCTAGCTGTTTCCAGCAGTGACATCACTTTAGATCTCTCTTTTGTCTCTAGTCACACAGGGTTCTCCCACTCTGCACTCAGTGAGTCTTTGCACAGTGGCAAGGAAGAAATGCCTACTGTTTTTTGTACCTTTCCCTTGCTTCTCACCCCTCCCCACAACAAGGCTATTAAAATGATCAAGTGTTCCACACACAAAAAAAAACCCCAAGAAAATGAAGTAAACCTTCTCTCAACCTTGCTCCAGGTTTCTCCCACTGTCCCCCTCCCCCAGCCAAACCCCCATCTCACCTGGGATGGAATTTTCCATCCCTAGTATTGGGAGCAGAAGGACAGAGCCTAGATTGCAAAGCAGATTCCCAGGCCCCATCCCTGGCCTCCTGAATCAGAAACTCAGAGCTGGGCAGGAATCTGATCTGCATCTTGATGGTCTCAGCAGATGGTGATCACATCCACTAACACCTGAGGACCACTTCTTTTTTTATTGTTATTTTTTTTTGGGGTGGGGTGGTGGGGGTGCGATGGAGTTTCACTCTTGTTGCCCAGGCTGGAGTACAATGGCATGATCTTGGCTCACTGCAACCTCTGCCTCCCGGGTTCAAGCGATTCTCCTGTCTCAGCTTCCTAAGTAGCCGCGATTAGAGGCGCACACCACCACGCTGGGCTAATTTTTGTATATTTAGTAGAGACGGGGTTTCACTATATTGGCCAGGTTGGTCTCAAACTCCTGACCTCAGGTGATCCGCCTGCCTCGGAATCCCAAAGTGCTGGGATTACAGGTGTGAGCCACCTCGCCGGCCAGGACCGCTTCTTAAGGTGAGTGCTCCCCAAGACTCTGTTCTTGGGACACTTCCAGTCCCACTTCCCACTTCCTCCTGGGCAAGCAGCTGATAGCCCTGACACCATCCATCGTCTGTCTCTAGCTCCAGCACCTCTTTCTCTGTAAGTTCAGATCTGTGTATCCTACCTTGTGCCTATTGGATTTTATTGCATGGATGTCCCACAAGCATAACAAATAAATGTCTGCAACTTTTTCTCAAGCCAGTTCCTGCCTCTGGGTTTCTTATCCCTGGAAAGGGCGTTGACCCCTGGGCTAAGAACTCAAGCCATAAATCTGAGCATCAGCCTTGCTTAGTTTTCTCCATTTTCATCAGTTATCAAGTGCTGTGTAACAAGTCACCCCAATATGTAATGGTTTAAAACCACCATGGTTTATTGCTTCCTGTGACTCTTCTGGTTTCACCTGGGCTCCCTTAATGTGGCTTCATTCGACTGGGGGTTGGCTGGAAGGTCCCAAATGGCCTCACTCTCCCACTGGCCTTGATTCCCTCCTAGTGGCCTCCCTCTCTCAGTATTCAGTGGTCTAGCCTGAGTACCTTTAAATGGCAGCTGGGAATGACAAAGCTGGGAAGTGGCAGTCACTTTCACCATATTCTCTCCGTCAAAGCATCACAGGGGCAGCCCAAGTTCAAGGGCTGCAGACACAGACTCCACCTCTTGATGAGTGGGGTGGCATACCTATACAGGGATGGGGGGCAATGTTGTCCATAGAGATGCCCACAGCACCCCCTGTATCCAATCGGACATCAGGCCAGCAGCTGCGCCCCCAGGTGGTAGACTGGTAGCACACATGACCTCAATTCTTTCCCCCATCTGGATCTGTGCCCTTGGCTGTCTAACTTTGCCCTCCTACGTGTGGGGAGGGGGTTCTATTCTACCCCTTAACTCTGGGCTCAGGCATGTGACTTATTTTAGCAAATGTGACACAAGCAAAAACTTATAATAGGGCTTTTGCCTGTTTCACTCTCTCTCTGGCTCTCCTGCAATCACTAGGAGAAGGTCTGGGTTGACCCACGGGAGGTAAAACATGTGGAACTGAGCTGAGCCACCTCAGTGCTCTCAGCCAAGGCCATCTTAAACCAGCGGCCCTGAGACACATGAGAAGAATCCAGCCAATAGCTGCAGATCCAGCCATCCAGATCCACAGCTGGCTGTAGATGCATGAGTCCAGGAGAACCACCCAGCCCGTGCACTGGCTGGTGAACTAGCTAAATGCTGATTGTTTGACACTGCTGAATTTGGGGTGGCTATAGACAACTGACACTCCGTGCCTTCCAGCATCCCTCCTGCCTCAGCTCAGGCCCTCCTCCTTCTCCTGGGCCTGCAACAGTGTTTGTTTCAGCCGGGATATGCTAGTCTATGCTGCTAAAACAGACATCCCCAAACTGAAGTGACTCAAGGCAACTAAGTTTATTTTGGCACTTGCTCCATATGTCACTTCATGGACAGAGGCCCCTGCTCCCTGTGGTTCCTTAGGGACACAGACTGAAACTCCACCGTGTCCTGTGGCCCCTTTTGAACACAGAGGACACAAGCCAGGGGTTTTACACTGGTTTTGAAATGTTTCCACTAGAAATGACACCTATCTGCCAACTTTTCATTGGCTATAATTAGTCACACAGGTCAGGTGCAGTGGCTCACACCTGTAATCCCAGCACTTTAGGAGGCCAAGGCAGGAGGATTGCTCGAGGCCAGGAGTTGGAGAACAGCCTGGGCAACATAGTGAGACCCTGTCTCTACAAAAAATGTAAAAATTAACTGGGCATGGTGGTGCGTGCCTGTAGTCCCAGCTACTTGGGAGGCTAAGGCAGGAGGATTGCTGGAGTTGGAGGCTGCAATGAGCGATGAGCTATTATCACACTACTGCACTCCAGCATGGGCAGCATACTGAGACCTTGTCTCATAAAAAAATTATATATATTTAAAAATAGAGTCCAGAAATTGTTCACTGATTTTCAATGAAGGTTCAAGGTTATTTTTTGGAGAAAGGCTAGCTTTTTCAACCAATGGTATTGGAACAATTGGATATCCAAACAGAAAAAAATGAACTTCAACTATATTTCACACCACATACAAAATTTACCTACAAAAATTTACTCCAAATGGATCAGAGACCTAAATGTCGAGTCTAAAACTATAACATGTCCAGAAGGAAAAATAGGAGAAAATCTTTGTGTTGTTGTATTCAGTAAATCTTTCTTAGATATAATATCAAAAACACAATACATAAAAAAAGAACAAATAAAATCTCATCAAAATTAAGAATGGCTCTTCAAAAGACACTTTTAAGAGAATAAAAGGACAAGCTACAGTCTAGGAAAAAACATTTGTCAAACACATAATTGATAAAAGACTTCCAGCCGGGTGCAGTGGCTCACCCCTGTAATCCCAGCACTTTGGGAGGCCAAGGCAGGCAGATCACCTGAGGCCAGGAGTTCGAGACCAGCCTGGCCAACATAGTGAAACCCCTATCTCTACTAAAAATACAAAAATTAGGAGTAATATCTTTCTACAATATTACAAATAGTATCACAACGTGTCCACACATGGTGTACACCCACTGTGATATCTGGAGTAATATCTTCCCATGATATTACAAGTAATATCACAGGGTGGTTTCCCACTGTTATATTAGGAGTAGTATCTTCCTACAGTATCACAAATAATATCACAAGGTATACACACATTTTGTACACACAGTGTGATATTAGGAGTAATATCTCTATGATATGAAAAATAACACAGGGTGTACACCCAAAGTGATTTCAGGAGTAATATCTCCCTATGATATTAAGATTAATATCACAGTGATGTTAGGAGTCATATCTCTATGATATTATGAATAATGTCACTGGGTGTAAACACATGGTGTACACCCTCTGTGATATGAGTAATCTTCTATGATATGGATAATATTACATGGTCTACACACTCTGTGATATTATGAGTAATCTTCTATGATATGGATAATACTACATGGTGTACACCCCCTGTGATATTAGGAGTAATTTCTCGAGGATATATTTTACATAATATCACAGGGGTTTACGCACACATGGTGTACACACCCCTATGATATTACCAGTAATGTCTTGAGGATATATTATGCATAATATCACTGGGGGTGTACGTACATATGGTGTACACCTGCTATGATATTAGCAATAATTGCTCAAGGATATATTATGCGTAATATCACAGGGGGTGTACAGAAACAGGTATACTCCTTCTGTGATATTAGCAGTAATGTCTTGAGGATATTTTATGCATAATATGTGTACACCCACTGTGATATTACCAGTAATGTCTTGAGGGTATATTATGCATAATATCACAGGGTGTACACCCACGGTGATTCTAACAGTAATATCTTGAGAAATTATGCATAATAACAGAGAGTTACCCGCACTATGATAGTAGCAGTAATATCTCGAGGACGTTATGCTTAGTATCACGGGCTGTACACACAGAGCGCAAACCCATGGTGTTATTAGTGGTAATATCTCAAGGAAATTATTCCTAATATCATGGGGTATACACACAGGTTGCACACTTAGGGTGATATTAGCAGTAATATCTAGAGGACATTAAGCCTAATATCGTGGGGTGTACTGACAAGGTGTGCACCTTTGGTGACATGAACAGTAATATCTCAAGAATATTATGCCTGATATAACAGGGTGTACACACAGGGTGCACACCCACAGTGATATTCGCAGTCATATCTCGAGGATATTATGCCTAATATTACAGGGTGTACACACAGGATGTACATCCACTATGATATTAGCAGTGAGAATATTATGCACAATATCACAGTGGTTGTACACCCTGTGTGTACACCCTGTAATATTAGCAGTGTGATACCGCACTGTGATATTAGCAGTCATATCTCGAGGACATTATTATGCATGACATCACGTGTACACCCACTGTGATATTAGCAGTCTTATGTCAGTGATATTCTTATGCATGATATCTCAGGGTGTACATGCCAGTTGTATACCCAATGTGACTTTAGCAGTCATATTTCGAGGATATTTTTATGCATGATATCACAGGGTGTACGCACAGGCTGTACACCCACTGTTACACCAGCAGCCATATTTTGAGGATATTATTAATCGGGATATCACAGGGTGTACACCCACTGTGACAGTGGCAGTCATGTCTCAAGGATATTATGCAGGACAGCACAGGGTGTATGCACAGGGTGTACCCTTACTGTGACAGTAGCAGTCATATCTCGATTATATTATGCAGGATATCACAGGGTGTACACTGTGTGTACAGTGTGTACGGTGATAGCAGCAGTCATTTCTCAAGGGTATTATTATGCAGGATATCATAGTGCGTTGACACTACATATGATATGATAAATGCCATTTGCCTGTCTACACACAGGGTTATTATTGTGATATTACTGTGTGAAATTACTGTGATATTACTGAAATATCCCTCTGGTATTTATCATATTACAGTGTTGACATGGAGTGTTTATGCTGTGATATTAATGAAATATCACTCTGATGTTTATTATATCACAGTGCTTACACACTGTGATATTAATAAAATATCACTCTGATATTAATAAAGTATCATTCTGATATAATATCCAATGATTACACACTATGATATGAATGAAATATCACTATGATGTTAATATCACAGTGTGTACACACTGTGATTTCAATGAAATATCACTCTGATATTTATAATATCCAGTGTTTATACACCATGATATTAATGAAACATTGCTCTGATATTTATAATATTCATTGTTTACACACTGTGATATTAATGAAATATCGCTCTGGCATTTATAATATCGAGTGTTTATACACTGTGATATTAGTGAAATATCACTCTGGCATTTATAAGATCCAGTGTTTACACACTGTGATATTAATAAAATATTGCTCTGACATTTATAGTGTCCAGTGTTTATACACTGTGATAATATTGAAATATTGGTCTGACATTTATAATATCCAGTGCTTACACACCAAGATATTAATGAAATATCCCTCTTCTATTTATAATATCCAGTGTTTACACACTGTGATATTAATGAAATATTGCTCTGATATTGATAATATCCAGTGTTTACACACTGTGATATTAAGGAAATATTGCAGTGATATTTATAATATCCAGTGTTTATACACAGTGCTTACACACTGTGATATTAATGAAATATTGCAGCGTTATTTATGATACCCAGTGTTTACACACTGTGATATTAATGAAATATCGCTCTGATATTGATAATATCCAGTTACACACTGTGATATTAATGAAATATCACTCTGATACTTATAATAGCCAGTGTTCACA
The DNA here is from genome assembly GCF_000001405.40 of Homo sapiens. Classification (NCBI taxonomy): domain Eukaryota; kingdom Metazoa; phylum Chordata; class Mammalia; order Primates; family Hominidae; genus Homo; species Homo sapiens. The sequence continues at coordinate 135,755,268 of NC_000005.10, forward strand.
CACAGTGTTTACACCTTGTGATATTAATGAAATATCGCTGTAATAGTTATCATATTTAGTGTCAATGCACTATGGTATTAATGAAATATCACTGTGGTATTCATCATATCTAATGTCAAAACAGTATGGTATTAATGAAATATCACTGTGATATTTATCATATCTAGTGTCAATGCACTGTGGTATTAAGTAAATATTGCTGTGATACTTATCATATCATATCTAGTGTTGATGCGCTATGGTATTAATGAAATATCACTGTGGTATTTATCATATCTAATGTCAACACACTATGGTGTTAATGAAATATCGCTGTGATATTTACCATATGTAGCGTCAACGCACTATGGTATTAATGAAATATCGCTGTGATATTTATCATATCTAATGACAACGAACTATAGTATTAATTAAATATTGCTGTGGTATTTCTTATATCTAGTGTCAACGCACTATCTTATTAAGGAAATATCGCTGTGATATATATATATGGTCATACGTAGTGTCAATGCACTATGGTATGAATGAAATATCGCTGCGACATTTATCTCATATCTAATGTCAATGCAGTGTAGTATTAATGAAATATCGCTGTGATATTTATCATATCATATTTAGTGTCAACGCACTATGATAGTAATAAAATATCTCTGTGGCACTTATCATATGTAGTGTCAACGCACTATACTAATGAAATATCACTGTGCTATATATCATATCTATTGTCAACGGACATGAAATTTCACTATGATATTTATCATATAATATCTAGTGTCAATACATTATGGTATTAATGAAATGTCGCTGTGATATTTGTCATATCTAATGTCAACACACTATGGTATTAATGAAATATTGCTGTGATATTTATCGTATCTAGTGTCAACACACTATGATATTAATAAAATATCATCTAGATATTTATAATATCTAGTGTTAACACAAAATGATATCTATAAAATAAAGTCTACATGGTATTTATAACATCTAGTGTTAACACTATGATATTAAGAAAAATATCATCTTTGTGATATTTATAATATCTAGTGTTGACACACTATGATATTAATAAAATATCATCTATATGATATTTACAATACCTAGTGATAACACACTATAATATTAGTAAAATATCGACCTTGTGTGGTGGCTCATGCCTGTGATCCCAGGCCAAGGTGGGTGGATCACCTGGGGTCAGGAGTTTGAGACCAGCCTGGCCAACATGGTGAAACCCCATCTCTACTAAAAATACAATTATCTGGGCGTGGTGGTGCGTGCCTGTAATCCCAGCTACTCGGGAGGCTGAGGCATGAGAATCACTTGAACCCAGGAGGCGAAGGTTGCAGTGAGCTGAGATTATGCCATTGCACTCCAGCCTGGGCAAAAAGAGTGGAACTCCGTCTCAAAACAAAAAATTATCTGTATGATACCTATAATATGTAGTGTTAACACACAGTGTTAACACACCATAATATTAATAGAATATCATCTAGATGTTTATTTATAATATCTAGTGTTAACACACTATGACATTAATAAAATATCATCTAGATGATATTTATAATATCTAGTGTTAACACAGTGTTAGCACACTATATTAATAAAATATCTAAATGATATTTATAATATGTAGTATTAACACACTGTGATAGTAATAAAATATCATCTAGATGATATTTATAATATCTAGTGTTAACACACTATGATGTTAATAAAATATCATCTATATAATATTTACAATATCTAGTATTAACACTATATTAATAAAATATGTATATGATATGATATCTAGTGTTAACACTATGATATTTATAAAATACCATGAGATATTTATAATATCTAATTTTAACACAGTGTTAACACACCATGATATGAATGATATGAATAAAATATCTTTATAGAATTTATGTCTAGTGTTAACACATTATATTAATGTCATCTATATTATATTCAAAATGTCTTGTGTTAACACACTATAATATTAATAAAATATCACCTATATGATATTTATAATGACTAGTGTTAACACACTATGATATTAATAAAATATCATCTTTATGGTATTTATAATGTCTAGTGTTAACACACAATAATATTAATAAAATATCATCTATATGACATTTATAATGTCTACTGTTAACACACTATGATATTGATAAAATATCATCTATATATTTATGATGTCTAGTGTTAACACACAATAATATTAATAAAATATCATCTATATGATATTTATAATGTCTACTGTTAACACACTATATTGATAAAATATCATCTATATATTTATAATGTCTAGTGTTAACACACAGTGTTATTACTATATTAATAAAATATCTTCTAGATGATATTAATAAAATATCTAGATATTAATAAAAACATCTAGATGATATTTATAATGTCTAGTGTTATCACACTATGATATTAATAAAATATCATCTAGATGATATTTATACTGTCTAGTGTTAATTCACTACAATATTAATAAAGTATCATCTAGATTATATTTATAATGTGTTATTACACAGTGTTAACACAGTAAGATATTAATAAAATATCTATATGAAATTTATAATAGCTAGTGTTAACTCACTATGCTATTAATAAAATATTATCTAGATGATATATTGTGTAGGGTTACACAATGTTACACTATGATATTAATAAAATATCTACATGATATTTATACTGTCTAGTTTTAACACACTATGATATTAATAGAATATCATCTAGATAATGCTTATACTGTCTAGTGTAACACAATGATATTTATAGAATATCATCTCTATGATATTTATAATATCTCTAGTGTTAACACACGATGATATTAATAGAATATCATCTGTATATTTATAAAATCTCTGGTATTGTTAACACACGATGATATGAATAGAATACCATCTCTATAATATTTGTAATATTTCCAGTGTTGTTAGCACACAATGATGATATTAATAGAATATCTCTATGATATTTATAATATCCCTAGTGTTTTTAACACATGATATTAATAGGATATCATCTCTATGATATCTGTAATATCTCCAGTGTTAACACACTGTGGTATTAATAGAATATCATCTCTATGATATCTACAATATCTCTAGTGTTAACATACTGTGATATTAATAGAATATTATCTATGATATCTATCACATCTCTAGTTTTAATATACTGAGATATTAATAGAATATGATCTCTATGATATCTTTACTATCTCTAGTGTTAACACACTATGATATTAATAGAATATGATCTTTGTGATATCTATCATACCTCTAGTGTTAACACACTATATTAATAGAATATCATGTATTTGAATAATATCTAGTGTTAACACACTATTATATTAATATGATATCATCTATGCTATGAATAATATGTAGTGTTAACACACTATGATATTAATAGAATATCATCTATGCTATGAATAATACCTAGTGTTAACACACTATGATATTAATAGAGTATTTTCTATGCTATAAATAATACCAAGCATTAACACATTGACGTTAATATATCATCTGTGCTATGAATAATATCTAGTGTTAACACACTATGATATTAATAGAATATTATCTATGCTATAAATAATATCAAACATTAACACATTATGATATTAATAGAATATTATCTATGCTATAAATAATATTAAGTGTTAACACATTATGATATTAATAGAATATTTATGCTATAAATAATATCAAGCATTAATGCATTGTGATATTAATAGAATATCATCTATGGTATGAATAATATCAAGTGTTGACACACTATAATATTAATAGAATATCATCTATGCTATGAATAATATCTAGTGTTAACACACAATAATATTAATAAAATATCACCTATGATATGGATAATATCATTTTGTGTTAACACATCTATGATATGAACAATATCATCTAGTGTTAACATACTATGATATGAAGAATATCATTTATGATATCTGTGTGTGTATATATATATGAAATAAATCATTAATACCATACAAAGCATTTTCCACATAACAAATGCTCTTGGAGACCATACCACTTCGAGTTATAAACATCTCTTCCTTTTTGGTAGCTGTGTAGTACTCCATGGTACGGATGTACCATTATTTATTTGACCATTCTCTATGGCTGAGCATTTGAGTTGTTCCCTGACTTCTGCTACTACAAGCACTGGTGCAATAAATATCTTTTCTCGTGCAATTTCTTTAAGTCAAGTTTATTGAGGTACAATGTTCACGCAGTGAAATTCTCCTTCTTCAGCACATAGTTACTGAGTCCTGAATAAGTCATACAGGGATGCCCCTACTCACAGCCAAGATTAGAGCATTTCCATCACCACAGGGAGTCTTCTTGTCCCTTCCCCCTGCCACCAATAGGGCCCTTGGTCCTCACAAATGCCACATAAAAGGAATCAAGTAAGATGCAGTCCTTTGAATCTAGTACTCTCACTTAGCATAATGCTAAAAGCAAATATCCTTCCATATACGCATCTGGGCATGTGTGAGAACTTCAGAAGAAGCTGCGGGATTGAAGAGCGTGTGTATTTTTTACTTGTTATATATCATCTTTTTTTTTTTTTTTTTTGAGACAGAGTCTCACTCTGTCGCCCAGCCTGGAGTGCAATGGCACGATCTCAGCTCACTGCAACCTCCGCCTCCCAGGTTCAAGTGATTCTCCTGCCTCAGTCTCCTGAGTAGCTGGGACTATAGGCATGCACCACCACGTCCAGCTAATTTTTGTATTTTTTGTAGAGATGGGGATATCACCATGTTGGCCAGGCTGGTGTCAAAATCTTGGCCTCAAGTGATCCACCACCCTCAGCCTTCCAAAGTGCTGGGATTACAGCTGTGAGCCACCGCGCCCGGCCCCTGTTATTATATCATCTTGATGATTTCTCGCTCCTACGGACCTCTTGTTATACACTTTATTACTATGTACTTTTTACATAGTGCATATATTCCTGTTATAGTTACATAGTGCATATACGTGCATATATTCCTGTTCTAAGGGTCTCTATGGGGAGCACACAGGGTTTTCCTTGAGCCCTGGCTCAGTTGCCAACAGATCCCACTCAGGTGTGGCGGCTTCTGCCTGTTTGACTTGGTTGGGATCCCAGTGGTCTGGGTGTTGGGGAGCTCAGGCATGAACACCAAGGCCAGAAAGTGGCTCCCCAAGATTCCCCCAAACTGATGCCAGTTACAGGGCTGCTGTGGAGGGGAAGGCAGAGCCTTAGAAAAACACAGCAAGAGGCCAAAAAATGCCCGTTGGTGATTTTCAGAGTGGACTGCTCTCTGCAGGCTGGAAGTGTCTGGGACCTTGCTCAGCTGGGCTCCAGGTCAGCTGCTGGAGTGATCTGGGAAGTTGAGTGAGGATAGATGCCATGAAAGTCTGCCATCCACAGAGTGAAACTAAGTCACCCGGGAAATTGAGCCGATTGTCGGCCACTTGGGGCTTTTGCCTGATTTTCCTAAGCAAGGTGGGGCTTCTTGAAGGAAAGAATTAATCTCAAATTTCTGATATTCGACTTTGGATATTTAACATATGTAGATAAAATATGATCTCTACTTCCATGTGTGTACGTGTGTATAACCCGTGTGCATTTTTCCCTGGTGTAAAGAAAAATAAGAACCTATGTCAAGAGTATAACAGTAAAGCAGAGTGCAGTCTGCAAGGTGTAGTATTTTTGTTTGGAAAGTGACATTTTTAGTTCCTCCATGAAATCTTTTACTGATTCCAAATAATGTATTTAACATTGACCAGGCATGGTGGCTCATTCCTGTAATTCCAACACTTTGGGAGACCAAGGAGTGGAGGATAGCTTGAGCCCAGGAGTTCCAGACCAGCCTGAGCAACATGGTGAGACCCCCCCATCTCTAAAAATAAAAATAAAAATAAAAATTAATTAGCCGGGCATGGTGGCGCACCTGTAGTCCCAGATATTCAGGAGGCTGAGGTGAGAGGATCACTTGAGCCCAGGAGGTTGAGGCTGCAATGAGCCATTATCTCACCACTGAACTCCAGCCTGGATGACAGACCAAGACCCAACCGCATGGGGGAGGGATAGCATTAGGAGATATACCTCATGTAAAGGACGAGTTAATGGGTGCAGCACACCAACATGGCACATGTATACATATGTAACAAACCTGCATGTTGTGCACATGTACCCTAGAACTTAAAGTATAATTAAAATATATATATAAAAAAAGAAGAAAGAAAAAGAAAACTGAACTATATTCTCCTTTTATTTGTTAATTGTTACAAAACCATAAAACTAACCAAAAATGTAACCATTACTGAAAATGTTGTACAGTAGAGGAAAGTGTTTAAAAAAATGATCTACTCCAATGCAAATACCCTAGCTCCACCACACCACTGCTTAGAGGCCTCTCGTCCATCACCAGAAGATTGTTTTCAATCTCTCTTAAACCGTATTCATGGGAAACACATTCTCTTTCTGAAATGCCAGATGGCTGGCAGAATCCTACCCTGTGTGGGCAGTGGAGGAGGAGGGTCGGTGAGATGGAAGAGGTGAGACCTCACTGTCCCCAGGAGCAGGATTCCAGATCCTGCGCCCCCCACTTGGCCTCCCACACTTTGGATGCTCCAGGCCAAGGTTGATGGGCCATTTTCCTGCCATCGCTGCCTGGAACCTGCCCAGATTGTTTTAAGACAGCTGCTTGAGCTCCATGGGCTGGAAAGGGACTGTGCTGCATCTGTGAACCTGATATGAAACCCATCTGTCTGCCGAAGGAACGCATTGGAGACTGTCTTAGGTGACAGCTGGCACAGCACTGTCCGACAGAAGTTTCTGTAGAAATGTGCTGTTCTGTAGAAATGTACTGTTCTGTGCAGCCACATGTGGCTACTGAGCACTTGAAATGTGGTTAGCCAACTCTTAATTGAAATTTAAATGGCCGCACGTGGCCAGTGGCTATCATGTTGAACAGCACGGGGCTAGGAAATCTATGTGTGCTAATGTGGAATAACCATGCAGATGGATGCATGAGGTGCAGGGAGAGGCAAGGGCCCAATCTGCTGTTATTTGCTGAAAATGGGGGTGAAGGGTGGTGTTTGCAGAGGCACACATCGTGCTGGAAGGACTGAGGACAGGAGAGGAGCTGGCAGAGGGCAAGAGGGAGATTTTCCAGGTGTGCTCTTGTGTACATTTTGTATTTTGAACCACGCTAATGTATTACTAATTCCAAATATTGATCTATTGAAAGATATTGCTAAATGGCTGCAGGGGAGGAGCAGAACATTGCTGGGTATTATTATAGCAAATGGGTATATTATATGCTATATGGGTATATTATAGTATATAATATGTGTCTTGGGTCAGGGGATGTGTCCACAGTGAGTGTGCGGGTAACTATGAAAGAATGGGAGTGTGAATGTGAGTGCAGGAGTGTTGAGTATATAAGAACGGGAGTGAGAATGAGTGTGTGCGTGTGTAAGTTGAATATGAGTGTGTGCATATGCAAATACAAATTGAGCATGTGTGTAGGTTAGAGGATGGGTGTGTGAGAGCATAGTGTGAATGTGTATAAATGTGAGTGTGGATGTGTGAGTTTGTAAAAGAATCAGTGGGAGAACTGCAGTGTGTGAGTGTGAGAAACAGCAAATGTGAGTGTGTGAATGTGTGTTTGTGTGGCTGAGTATGGGTGTGAGTAGGGGTAAGTGTGTGTGACAGTGTAAGAGTATGTGTGTGCATGTGTATATGTGAACGTGAGAGAGTTTGAGTTCTGTGTGTGAGAGAGTGAACCTGGAGGGGCGTGAGGCTGTGTGTCAGTGTGGGTGAATATGTGTGTGCATTGTGTGTGAGATCAGGCATGGGAGTCATCCAGGAAGAAAAAGACAGTTGAAACACAAACCCTGACCGTGGAGAGCTCACAGCCTGGCATGGGAGGAGGACGGGAAATCCCTCAGTGAGAACCACACAATAAGATGGTGGAAATTTAATTTGCTGGCATTTGACTCACGGGGCTAGCTGTGCTTGGAGAAATGCTTCCTAAGGGCCTGGCATACAAGGTGGTAGCAGCAGCAATGGCATCTGTTAGGTTTTGAGCCCCTGCCATGGCAGAGCCTCCTGAGTTGAGAACTTCATGGTGTCATCCCCCTGCCATGTCTACCCACAGCCCCAGCTCAGGACCTGCCCGTAGTGGGCACCCAGCACCCTCCAGCCAGCCCAGGAGCAGCTACACAGCCTCACTTGTCCCTGTTTACCCAGCCCCAGATCCCACAAGCGCTGGAGGCAACGTGATATTCTATGGAGGAGGAGGAGGGGAAGAAAGAGGGAATCCCTCGAGGAGGGGAAGAAAGAGGGAATCCTTCAGATCAAATGAGCCCTCAGCACCACTCAAGCCAACAGGTGTTCCACTGGCCCACCTTATGGCAGGCAGGAAACTTGTCTAAACTTTGTCTTTCTCGAAGCCAAAATTTGTGACTGGAGGTGGCTCCAAGCAGTGCTTAGGAAACCGGAGAAATAGGAACACACACATACACACACACACACACACACACACACGAGAGAGAGACAGAGAAAACCCAGAAAGAACCTGCTCTGCTTACAATTCAGCATCCGTCTCAATTTGTGTCACTCAATTCTATTTACTTATTTATTTTTTTGAGACAGATTCTCGCTCTGCCGCCCAGGCTGAGTGCAGTGGCGCGATCTCAGTTCACTGCAACTTCTGTCTGCCGGGTTCAAGCAATTCTCCTGCCTCAGCCTCCCGAGTGCGGGGGACAGGGTGATATTACTCCCCATATTTCGGGGGATGTGATATGGTTCATAATATCCAGGAAGAAAGAGCGTGATATTACTCCCCATATCGCAAGGGGTGTACACCCCTCTGTGATATGGTTTGTAATATCCAGGGAGGTAGAGGATGATATTTCTTTCCATATGGCAGGGGGTGTACATCCCCCAGTGATATGGTTCCTAATATCCAGAGCAGAAGAGGGTGATGTTACTCCCCATATCGTGGGGATTTAACATGGTTCGTATTAACCACAGAAAAACATAGTAATATTACTCCCAATATCGTGGAGGGTGTACACCCCCCTGTGATATGGTTCATAATATCCAGGGCAGGATAGGGTCATATTACTCCCCATATTGCAAAGGGTGTACAGCCCCCTGTGATATGGTTCGTAATATCCAGGAGGGTGATATAACTTCCATATCGTGGGGGTTGTACACCCCACTGTGATATGGTTCATGATTCTCCAGCAGGTGAGAGGGTGATATTACCCCTAATATCACGGGGAGTGTGATATTGTTCGTAATATCCAGGGAGAAAGAGGATGATATTAATCCCCATATCTCGGGGAGTGTACACTTCCCTGTGATATGGTTCGTAATATCCAGGGGGGGAGAGGGTGATATTACTTCCCATATCGCAGAGGGTGTACACCACCCTGTGATACAATTCATAATATCTGGGGGGGAGAGTGATTTTTGTCTCCATATCACGGGGGGTGCACACCCCACCTGTGATATGGTTCATAATATCAAGGGCGAGAGAGGGTGATATTACTCCCCATATCACGGGGGGTGTGAGATGGTTCGCAATATCCAGGGAGGGAGAGGGTAATATTACTTCCCATATCGCAGGGGGTGTATATCACACTGTGATGTGTTTCCTAATATCTAGGAGAAGAGAGAATGATAGTACTCCCCATATCACGGGACGTGTACATCTCCCTGTGATATGGTTCATAATATCCAGAAGAAAGAGGGTGACATTACTCCTCATATGGGGGTAGTGTACACCCACCCATGATATGGTTCGTAATATCCAGGGGGAGAAAGGGTGATATTACTCCCTATATCACAGAGGGGCATACACCCCTTTGTGATATGGTTCCTAATATCCAAAGGGGAGATGGTGATATTAATCCCCATATCGCGGGGTGTACACCCCTCTGTTTTATGGTTTGTAATATCCAGGGTGGGAGATGGTGATATTACTCCCCACATCGCAGGGTGTGTACACCCCCCTGTGATATGATTTGTGATATTCAGGGGTAAGAGGGTAATGTTACTTTCCATATCGTGGGGGGTGTGATATGGTTCTTAATATCCAGGGGAAAAAAGGGTGATACTACTCTTCATATCGCTGGTGGTGTACACCCACTTGTGATATGGTTTGTAATATCGAGGGGGGTGATATTACTCACCATATCGCAGGGCGTGTACACCCCCTTGTGAAATTGTTGGTAATATCCAGAGGGTGAGGGGGTTATATTACACCCCATATTGCTGGGGTGTAATATAATTTTTAATATCCAGGGGGAAAAGGGTGATATTACTTCCTGTATCACAAGGACTGTACACCCCCCTGTGATGTGATTCATAATATCTCGGTGGGAAAAAATGATATTTCTCCCCATGTCTCTGGGGGCGTACACCACCCTGTAATATCTTAAGGGGAAGAGGGTGATATTAGTTTCTATATCACAGAGGGTGTACACCTACCTGTGATATGGTTTGTAATATCTTGGGTGGGAGAGGAGGATATTACTCTCCATATTGCAGGGGGCATACACCTTCCTGTGATATGGTTCATAATATCCCAGAAAGGAGAGGGGGATACTATTCCCCACATTGCAGGGGGCATACACCCTCCTGTGTTATGGTTCAAGATATCCCAGGGGTGAGAGGGTCATATTACTTTTCATATCGTGGATTGCATACATCCCCCCGTGATATGGTTTCTAGTATCCAAGGCGGGAGAGGGTGATATTACTCTCCATATCACAGGGGGTGTGCACCTCCCCCAAGGATATGGTTTATAGTATCCAGCGGGAGAGAGTAATATTTCTCCCCATATCGCGGGGGATGTACAGCCCCCTGTGATATGATTCATAATATCTAGAAGGGGAGAGGGTGATACTCCCAATAACGCGGTTGGTGTAGTATGGTTTGTAATATTCAGGGGGAAGAGGGTGATATTACTCCCCATATCGCGGTGGGTGTACATCCTCCTGTGATATGGTTTGTAATATCTGGGGAGTGGGTGAAAGGATGATATTAATCTTCATATTGCGGTGGTGTACACCCCCCTGTAATATGGTTTGTAATATCAAGGGGGGGGGAAGAATGATATTACTCCCCATGTCGGTGTATTGTACACCCTCCTGTGATATGGTTCATAATATCCAGGGAGGGAGAGGGTGATATTACTCCTCATATCACAAGTGGTGTGATATGGTTCATAATATCCAGGGGGGAGAGGGTAACATTACTCCTCATATCGTGGGGGGTGTACACACCCCTGTTATATGGTTCATAATATTTAAAGAAGGAAAGGGTGATATTACTTCCCATCCCACGGAAGGTGGTACACCTCTCTGTGATATGGTTCATAATATCCATGGGGGAGAGGGTGATATTACTCCCCCATATCACGAGTGATGTGATATGGTTTGTAATATCCTGGGGGAGAGTGGGTGCTATTACTCCTCATATCCCCAGGAGTGTATACACCCCTGTGATATGGTTCATAATATACGGGGTGGGAGAGGGTGATATTACTTCCCATACTGCCGAAAGTGTACACCATCTTGCGATATATTTTGTAATATCCAAGGAAGGAGAGGGTAATATTGTTCCCAATATCAGGGGGTGTGTACACTCTCCTATGATGTGGTTCATAATATCCAGGTGGTGAGAGGGTGATATTACTCTTCATACCACGGGAAGTATGATATGGTTCGTAATATACAGGGGAAAAGAGGGTGATATTACTTCCCATATAGCTTGGTGTGTACATCCCCCTGTGATATTGTTCATAATATCCAAGGGGAAAGAGAGTGATGTTACTCCTAATAGCGCTGGGGGTGTACATTCCCTTGACATGTTTTGTAATATTTAGGGGGGCAGAGGGTTATATTGCTCCCAATATTTCAGGACAGGTACACCCCCCCCCCGTGATATGGTTTGTAATATCCAAAGTGGGAGAGGGTGATATTACTATCTATATTGGGGTGGTCTTCATATGGTTCGTAATGTCCAGAAGGCGAGAGGATGATATTACTTTCCATATCGTGGAAGGCGTACACTCGCCTGTTACATGCTTCGGAATATCTGGGAGAAGAGGATAATATTACTCCCCATATTGCGGGCGGTGCACACACCCCTGTGATATGGTTCATAATATCCTGGGAAAAAAGGGTAATATTGCTTCTGATATCGTGGGGAGTGTACACCCCCTGGTGATATTGTTCATAATATCCAGAAAGAAAATGATATTACTTTCAATATCGTAAACACTCTGTGTACACCCTCTGTGATATTTTTTGTAATATTTAGGGGAGGAAGAGGATGTGATTACTCCCAATATCGCAGGGGGTGTACACCCGCCAGTAATATTGTTCACAATATCCAGGGGGAAAAAGGATGATATTACTCCTATTATTGCAGGGGGTGTACACCCACCTGTGATATTGTCCATAATATCTAGTGGGGGGAGTGGATGATATTACTTCTAATATCGTAAACACCCTGTGTGTACTCCCTTCTGTGATATTGTTCATAATATCCACAGAGAAAGATGATATTACTCCCAATATCGCAGAGTTTGTACACCCCCTTGTGATGTTGTTTATAATATCCATGGGCAAAGAAGAGGATACTACTTCCAATATCGCTGGGGTGTACACACCCCTGTGATATTGTTTGTAATATCCGGGGGGGGGAGAGGATAATATTACTCCCAATATCACAGCGGGTGTACACACCCTTGTGATAATGTTCATAATATCAAGGGGGGAGAAAGGATGATATTACTCCCAATATCGCAGCGGGTGTACACCCCCCTGTGATATTGTTTTTAATATCCAAGTGGTGAGAGAATGATATTACTCCAAATATCACAGTGGGGTGTACACCCACTGCGATATTGGGAGTAATATCGCAGTGGAGTGTACACCCCACTGTGATATTTTTCATAATACTCAGCGGGAAAGAGGATGATATTACTCCCAGTATTGAAAACGGTGTACACCCCTCTGTGATATTGTTTGTAATATGCAACGAAAGAAGGATGATATTACTCCCAATTTCCAGCGAGTGTACACACTCCCTTGTGATACTGTTCACAATATCCAGGGAGAGAGAGAATGATATGAATGTAAACACCCTTGAGATATTGTTCGTAAAATTAAGTAGGTGAGAGAAGGATATTACTTCTAATATCCCAGGGAGTGTACACCTTTCTGTGATACGTTTCATAATGTCTGGGGGAGGGGAGGATAATATTACTCTTAATATCGCAGGGGGTATACACCCCTCTGTGACATAGTTCATAATATCCAGAAGAGGAGCGGATGATGATACTCCCAATGTCGCAGGGATTGTTGACCCCCCTGTTATATTGTTCATAGTATCCAGGGGGAAATAGGATGGTATTACTCTGAATATCGCAGGAATGTGCACACCCTTGTTATATTTTTCATAATATCCAGGGAGGGAGAGGATGATATTACTCTCAATATCGCTGGGCTTGTACAACCCCTTGTGATATTTTTCATAATATCCAGGTAAAAGAGGATGATATTACTCGCAATATTGTAAACACCCTTTGTGTACACCTTCCTGTGATATTGGTTGTAAGATCCAGAGAAAGTGATGATGACATTACTCGCAATATCGCAGGGGTTGTAGATACCACTTTGATATTGTTCGTAATATTCATAGGGGGAGAGGATGATGCTAATTCCAATATTTCAGGGGGTGTACACACCTCTGCGATCTTGTTTGTAATATCCAGGGGGAAGAGGATAATATTACTCCCAGTATTGCAGGGGGTGTAAACACCTCTGAGATATTGTTTGTAATATTCAGGCAGGGGGAAAATGCTATTACTACCAATATCGCAAGGGGTGTACACCCCCCTGTGATATTGTTCATAATATTTATGGGGGGAAAGGAAAATATTACTCCTAATATTGTAGGGGGTATGCAGCCCTCTGTAATTTTGTTTGCAATATTGGGGGGGGAGAATGATATTACTGACAGCATCACGGGTGGTGTACATTCCTTTGTGATATTGTGATATTGTTGGTAATTTCCAGAAAGAAAGAGCATGATATTACTCCAAATATCCCAAGGAGTGAACACCACTCAGTGATTTTGTTTGCAATATCCAGTGGGGGAGAGAATGATATTACTCCCAGGAGTGTACACCCCACTGTGATACAGTTTGTAATATTCAGACAAAAAGAGGAAGGTATTACTCCTAATATTGCAGGTGGTGTACACCCTACTGGGGTATTGTTTGTAATATTCAGGTGAGGAGAGAATGATCTTACTCTGAATATGACAGGGGATGTACAACCCCCTGTGATATTGTTCATAATATCCAGTTGGGTAGAGGATGATATTACTCCGAATATCGCAGGGGTTGTACACCCCCATGTGATAATTGTTTGTCATATCCAGCGTGGGAGAGGATGATGTTACTCCCAATATCGCAGGACGTGTACACCCTCCTGTGATACTTTTTGTTAGATCCAGAAAAAGAGAGGATGATATTACTCCCAACATCGCAGGGAGTTTACACCCCCTGTGATATTGTTCGTAATATCCATGAGGGGAAAGGATAATATTACTCCCAATATTGCAGGGGGTGTACACACCCCTGTGATATTGTTCGTAATATCCAGGGGGGAGAAAGTATAGTATTACTCCCAATTTCGCAGGAGGTGTAAACCACCCTGTGATATTGTTGGTAATGTCTAGGTGGGGAAAGAATGATATTACTCCCAATATTGAAAGGAGTGTACAAACCCCCCACGTGATATTTTTCCTAATAGCCGGGGGGGAGACAATGATATTATTCCTAATATTGCAAGGGATTGTTCACCCACCCTGTAACATTTTCCTAATATTCAGAAAAGAAGTGGATGATATTATTCCCAATATCGCAGGGGGTGTACACTCCCCCTGAGATACTGTTCCTAATATTTAAGAGGAGGAGAGGATGATATTACTCCCAATATTGCAGGGGGGTAAACCCCCTCTATGATATTGTTCCTAATATGCAGGGGGAGAGGATAATATTACTCCCAATATCGCAGAGGTAGTACATTCCCCCTGTGATATTGTTCATAATATTCTGGAGGGGAGGATGATATTACTCCCAGTATCGCAGGGGGTGGACACCTCTCCTGTGATATTGTTTCTAATATCCATAGGCGGGAAGGGTGATATTACTTTCAATGTCGCCGAGGTTGCACAAACCACCTGTGATATTGTTTGTAATATCCAGGTGGGGAGAGAATGATGTTACCCCAATATGGCAGGGGATGTACACACCCCTGTGATATTGTTCCTAATATGCCAGTGGGAGAGGATGATATTACTTCCAATATCCCAGAAAGTGTACACCCCCTCGCGATATTGTTTCTAATATCCAGAAAATGAGAGAATAATGTTGCTCCAAATATCAAAGAGGTGTATACCACCCCTGTGGCATTGTTCCTAATATCCATAATGTGAGAGGTTGATATTACTCCCAATATCGCAAAGGGTGTATACCCTCCCTGTGATATTGTTCCTAATATCTAGGGAAGGAGTGTATATTACTCCCAATATTGCAGGGGGTTTACACCCCCTCTCTGATATTGTTCTTAATATCCAGAGAAAAAGAGAATTATATTACTTCCAATATCTCAAGAGGTGTTCAACCCCCTGTTATATTGTTCCTAATATCTAGAAGAAAAGAAGATGATATTACTCCTAATATTGCAGACAGAGTAAATACCCCCTGCGATATTGTTCTTAATATTTAGGGAGGGGAGAGAATGATATTACTTTCAATATCGTGGGGGTGTACACCCCCCCGGTGATGTTTCTCCTAATATTCAGTGGGGAAGAAAATGATATTAATTTCAATATCGCGGGTGGTGTACACCCCCCTGTGATAAGGTTTGTAATAGCCGGGGGGGAGAAGGTGATATTACTCCCCATATCACGGGAATTGTACACCCCTCTGCGATATGGTTCATAATATCCAGGGAGGTAGAGGGTGATAACACTCTCCATATCGCGGAGGGTGTACATCCCCCTGTGATATGGTTTGTAACATCCAGTGGGGGATAGAGTGTATTACTTCATATATCACGGGGGGTGTTCACCACCTTGTGATATGATTCGTATTATTCAGAAGGGGCAGGGTGATATAATTTTCCACATCATGGGAATGTACACTCCCCTGTGATATGGTTCGTAATATCCAGGAAGTGGGGAGACGGTGATATTACTCTCATTTTCGTGGGGGGTGTACACCCTCCTGTGATATGGTTCCTAATATCTAGGGGGGAAGAGAATGATATTACTCTTTGTATCACAGGGGGTGTACACTTCCCTATGATATTGTTTGCAATATTACAGGAGGAAGAGGGTGATATTACTCCCAATATTGCTGGGGGTGTACATCCTCATGTGATATTGTTTGTAATATCCAAGGGGAGAGAGGATGATATTACTTCCAATACGGCAGTGGGTGTACATTTTCTTGTAATATTGTTTGTAATATTTAGGGGGGGGAGAACATAATATTACTCTCAATATCTCAGGGGTTGTACACAACCCTGTGATATTAGTAATATCCAGGGTGGGAGAGGATGCTATTACTTCCAATACCACAGGTAGTGTACAACATTCTGTAATATTGTATGTAATATACAGGGGCAAAGAGGGTGATATCACTCCCAATATCATGGGGGCTGTACACTCCCCTATGATATTGTTCATAATATTCATAATGGGAGAGGATGGTATTACTCCCAATATCACAGAAGGTGTACACCACCCTGTGATATTATTCATAATATCCAGAGGGAGAAAAAATAATATTACTCCCAGTATCACAGGGTGTGTAAACTCGCTTGTGATATTGTTCGTAATACCCAGGGTGTGAGAGGATGACTTTACTCCCAATATCGCAGGGAGGTGTACACCTTTCTGAGATATTGTTTGTAATATCAAGGGGGGAGAGAGGATATTACTCCCACTGTCACAGGTAGTGTACACCCCAATGTAATATTGTTCTTAATACCACCTAAAGAGATGATCATATTACTCCCAATATGCAGGGTGTGTACACTCCCCTATGATATTCTTCATAATTTCCAGAGGGGAAGAGGATGATATTACTCCCTATATCGTTGTGGGTGTACAGCCTTCTGTGTTATTGTTCATAATATTCACGAAGAAAGAGAATAATACTACTCCCAATATTGCAGCGAGTGTACGCCCCCTATGATATTGTTTGCAACATCAAGGGGTGAGATGATAATATTACTCCCAATATCGCAGGGGGTGTACAGAGCCTGTGATATTGTTGGTAATAACTGGAGGGGGGGAGAAAATGATATTAATCCCAAATCGCCAAGGGTGTACACCTCCCTGTAATATTGTTTGTAATATTCAGGAAAGGAGAGGATAATATTACTCTCAATATCGCAGATGGTGTGATATTTTTCGTAATATCCAAGAGAGGAGAAGATAATATTACTCCCAATGTCTCAGGGGTTGTACAACCCTCTGTGATATTGTTCAGAATAACGAAGAAAAAAGAGGATAATATTACTTTCAATATTGCAGGGGGTGTACACTCCCTTGTGATATTGTTTGTAATATCCAGAAAAGGAGAGAATGATATTACTCCCAATATTGCAGAAGGTGTACACCTCTCTGTGATATTGTTCATAGTATCAAGAAGAAAAGAGGATGGTATTACTCCCAATATCGCAGGGGGTGTACACTTCCCGGTAATATTGTTTGTAATATTTAGGAAGGAGAGGATAATATTACTCTCAATATCGCAGGGGGTGTACAATCCCCTGTGATATTGTTTTGTAATATCCAGGGTGGTAGAGGATAATATTACTCTGAATATCGCAGGGGGTATACACCCTCCCTGTGATATTGTTCTTAATATTATTGGAAGGAGAGTATGATATTACGCCCAATATCTCAGAATGTGTACACTTCCTGGAATGTTGGTATTACTATCATCTTCTTTTCCTGTGGATATTAAGAAAAATATCATAGAAGGGGTGTACACACCTTGGATATTATGAACAATATCATAGCGGGGTGTACACCCCCTGTGACAATATCATAAAATCCAGGGGGCAGAGGATGATATTACTCGCAATAACGCAGGGGGTGTACACCCTCCTGTGATATTGTTCATAATATCCAGAAAGGGAGAAAATTATATTACTCCCAACATCACAGGGGGTGTACATTCCCCTATGATACTGTGCGATCCCCCCACCCTGGGTATTACGAACCATATATCAGGGAAGAGTACACCCTTTTAGATATAATGCGAGAAGATTGATATTACTCCCAATATCCCAGAATGTGTACACCCCCTTTGAGATATTGCTTCTAATATCCAGGAAGGGAGAAGATTATATTACTCCTAATATCGCAGGGTTGTACACCACTGCTGTGACATTGTTTCTAATATACATGAAGGGAGAGTATGATATTACTCCCAATATCACAGGGGGTGTACACCCTCCTTGTGATTTTGTTTCTAATATCCAGAGGGGGGAGGGTAGGATATTGCTCCCAATATCACAGGGACTGTACACCACCAATGTGATATTGGTCTTAATATCTATAAGGAAAGAAGAAGATATTACTCCCAATAACCCAGAGGATGTAAACTTCCCCTGAGATATTGTTTCTAATATCCAAGGGGAAAGAGGATGATATTACTCCCAATATCGCAGGCAGTCTACACCTCCCAAAATAGCAGGGGGTATACACTCTCCCATGTTATTTTTCCAAATATCCAGGGGAATGAGAATGATATTACTCCCTATATCGAAGGGTGTGTACACCCCCCTGTGATATTGTTCCTAATATCCAGGGAAGGAGATAATAAAATTACTCCAAATATCGCAGGGGCTGTACACCCCTTCTGTGATATTGTTTCTCATATCCAGGGAGGAAGAAAATAACATTAGTCCTAATAACGCCAGAGGTGTACACCACCCCTGTGATATTGTTCCTAATATCCAGGATGAAAGAGGATAATATTACTCCCAATATGTCGGGTGGTGTACACTCCTTCAATGATACTGTTCCTAATATCCAGGGTGGGAGAGGATGCTATTACTCCCAATATCGCAGAGGGTGTACAACCCGCTTGTGATATTGTTCTTAATATCCAGAAGGGGAGAGGATAATATTACTCCCCATATTGCAGGGCATGCACATGCCCCCTGTGATATATTTTCTAATATCCAGGGAGGGAGAGAATGATATTACTCTGAATATCACAGCGGTTATACACCCCTCTTCTGATATTGTTCCTATTATCCAGAGGGAAAGATGATGGCATTGTGATCAATATCCCAAAAAGTGTATTTTGGGATATTGATCCTGTACTATTGTTCCCAATATAAGGGGGTAAGAGGATAATATTACTCCCAATACCACAGGGAGTGTACACCCCCCCCGTGATATTGATCATAATATCCAGAGGAGAAGAAGATGATATTACTCTAAATATTGAAAGGGGTGTACACACCCCTGTGATATTGTCCCTAATATTGAGGTAAGGAGAGGAAGTTATTACTCCCAATATTGCAGAAGGTGTACACACCCCCGTGATATTGTTTCTAATTCCAGATGGGAAGAGGATGATACTACTCCCAGTATCATAGAGGTTGTACACCCCGCTTGTGATATTGTTCCTAATATCCAGGGGGTGACAATGATATTACTGTCTGTATCCCAAAGGATGTACACACACCCTATGATACTGTTCCCAATATATAGTGAAGGAGAAGATGATATTACTTCCAAAATTGCATGGGGTGTACACGCCATTTGTGATATTGTTTTTAATATCCAGTGGAAAAGAGGATGATATTACTCCCAATATCACAAGGAATGTACAACCCTCTTGTGATATTGTTTCTAACATATAGGGTGGGAGAGAATGATATTACTCCCAATATCGCAGGGAGTGTACAGCCCCTTGTGATATTCTTTCTAACATACAGGGGGGAAGAAGATGACATTACTCCCAATATCGTAGAATAGGTACACCCCTTCTGTGATATTGTTTCTAATATCAAGTGGGGGAGAGGATGACATTACTCCCTATATTGTTTCTAATGTTCAGGGGAAAGAGAATAATATGACTCCCTATATTGAAGAGGATGTACACCCCCCTGTGCTATTGTTTTTTATATCCAGAGAGGAAGATGATAAAATTACTCCAAAT
Organism: Homo sapiens; assembly: GCF_000001405.40. Lineage (NCBI taxonomy): Eukaryota > Metazoa > Chordata > Mammalia > Primates > Hominidae > Homo > Homo sapiens. Next base: position 135,775,528 of record NC_000005.10, read on the forward strand.
ATCGCAGGGGCTGTACACCCCTCATGTGATATTGTTCCTAATATCTGGTGGGGGGGAAATAATAGTAATCTTAATAACGCAGGAGGTGTACCCCATGCCTGTGATATTGCTTCTTATATCCAGAAGGGGAGAGGATGCTATTACTCCCAACATCGCAGAGGGTATACAACCCTTTGTGATATTGTTCTTAATATCCAGGGGGGAAGGGATAATATTTCTCCCAGTATCACAGGGCATGTACACCCCTCCTGCGATATGTTTTCTAAAATTTAGGAAGGGAGAGGATGCTATTACGCCCAATATCGTGGGGGTTGTACGCCCCTTTTGTGATATTGTTTCTATTAACCGGGGAGGGGGGAGATGATGGTATTACGATCAATATCCCCAAAAGTGTACACCCCCACTGTGATATTGTTCCTCATATAAGAAGGTGAGAGGGTGATATTACTCCCAATATCACAGGGGGTTTACACCCTCTTTGTGACATGGTTCCATATATTGTCCCTAATATCAAGAAGAGGAAAGAAGGTTATTACTCCAAATATCGCAGAAGGTGTACACGTCCCCTGTGATATTGTTCCTAATTCCAGGAAAGGAGACCATGATACTACTACCAATATCGTAGGGATTGTACACCTCACTTATAATATTGATTGTAATATCCAAGCGAGTGATGATGATATTACTGTCAATATCTCAAAGGGTGTAAACCTACCAGAGGATATTGTTCCTCATATCTGGGGGGTGGGGGGCAGAGAGAATAATATTACTTCCATTATCACACGGGGTATACACCTCACCTGTGATATTGTTTTTAATATAAAGGGGAAGAGAGGATAATATTACTCCCAATATCGTGGGGAATGTACACACCTTCTGTGATATTGTTCCAAATATAAAAGGCGGGAGAGGATGACATTACTTATAATACCGCAGGAGGTGTACAGCCCTTTGTGATATTTTTCCTAATATCCAGGGGGGAAGAAGATAACATTACTTTCAATATTGCAAGGTATGTACACCCCTTCTGTGATATTGTTCTTAATATTCAGTGAGGGAGAGGATGATATTACTCCTAATATCGCAGGGGATATACACCAGCCCATGATATTGTTTTTTACATCCAGGGGGAGGGAGAGTGATATTTCTCCCAATATCACAGAGGGTGTACACACACCCTGTGATATTGTTCCTAAAACCCGGGGGGTGGGGAAAGAAAATGATATTACTCCCAATATTGCAGGGGTTGTACGCATTTCTGGCAATAATGTTCCTAATGTCCAGGGGAAAGAGAATCATACTACTCCCAATATCAAAATGTATATACAAACCCCTGTAATGTTGTTTCTAATATCCAGATAAAGATATGATAATGTTACTGCAAATATTGCAGGGGCTGCACAGGCTCCCTGTGATATTGTTCCTAATATTCAGGAGGAAGAGCATGATATTACTGCCAATATGGCAGGGAGAGTACCCCCCTTTTATGATGTTTTTCCTAATATCCAGGGGAAGAGAGGATTATATTACTCCCAATATCGCAGGGGTTGTACATTCTCCCTGTGATATTGTTTTTAATATCCAGGCGGGGAGAGGACGATATTATTTCAAATATCACAGGAACTGTACACACCCCCCGTAATATTGTTTATAATATCCAGGCGGGGAGAAAATGAAATTACCTCCAATATCGCAGGGAGTGTACTTTCCTCCTGTCATATTGTTTCTAATACCTAGAGGGGTAGTAGATGATATTAACTTCCAATATCGTAAAGGGTTTACAGCCCCACCCCCCAATATTGTTCCCAATATCCAAAAAGAGAGGATATTACTCCCAATATTGTAGGGGGAGTACAGCCCCAGTGTGATTTTTTATTATATCCAGAGGGAGAGAGAATGATATTACTCCCAATATCTCAGTAAGTGTACATCCCCCCTGTGATATTGTTTCTAATATCCAGGGGGGAGAGGATAATATTACTCCAATATCACAGAAGGTATACACACTCCCTGTGATTTTTTTTAATATTTAGAAAAAAGGAGGATAATATTACTCCCAATATTGCAGGGCATGTAACCGCCCCCTTGTGATATTGTTCCTAATATCGAGGAGGAGAGAGGATATTATTACTCCCAATATCTCACAGGTGTACACCACCTGTGTAATATTGTTCCTAATATCCAGGTAAAATAGAATTATATTACTCCCAATACCGAATGATGTGTACAACCCCCTGTGATATTATTCCTAATATCCGGGGGGGGGGGGAATGTTAATATTACTCCAAATATTGCAGGGGCTGTACACCCACACTGTGATATTGTTCCTAATGCTTAAGGAAGAAAAATAATATTACTCCCAATATCACAAGGGGTGTACATCCCACCTGTGATATTGTTCCTAGTATCCTGGGCTGAGGGACAGGATGGATATTACTGCCAATATCGCAAATGGTGTACACAGTCCCCTGTGATATTGTTTCTAATATCCAAACGGGGAGAGGCTGATATGTCTCAATATTGCAGGAGTTGTACACCACCCCTGTGATATTATTCCTAATATTTAGGAAAAAAGAGGATAATATTACTCCCAATATAGCAGGGGGTGTACATGCGCCCCGTGGTATTGTTTCTAATATTAAGGGGGGGAGAGGATAATATTCCTTCCAATATCGCAGGGCGTGTACACCCCCTGTGTGATGTTTTTCCTAATATTCACGGAGAAAAAGGATGATATTGCTCTCAGTGTTGCAGGAGGTGTACACCCCTCTGTGATATTGTTCCTAATATCCAGGAAGGGAGAAGGTGATATTACTCCCAATATCGCAGAAGATGTACACCCCCGATGTGATATCGTTCCTAATATTCTGAAATGAGAAGATGATATTACTCCCTATACAGCAGGTGGTGTACACCGCCACCCCACCCCGTCCCCCCGCTGTGATATGTTTCCTAATGTCCAGGGAGGAAGAGGATGATATTACTCCCAATGTCGCAGAGGGTGTACACCATCCTGTAATATTGTTTTTAATATTTAGAAGGAGACAGGATAATATAACTCCCAATATTTCAGGCGGTGTACACCCCTTCCAAGATACTGTTCTTAACTTTCAGTGTGAGAGAGGGTGACATTGCTCCCAGTATCACAGGGGCTGTACACCCTTTTGTAATATTTTTCTTAATATTCAAAGATGGAGAGGATGATACTACTCCCAATACTGCAGGGGATGTGCACCCCTCTGTGATATTTTTCTAATATTCAGGGGTAAAGAGGATAATATCATACCCAACATCGCCAGTGGTGTACACACACCCCCCCCGCCCCGCCGTGACATTGTTCCTTATATCCAGGTGGTTGCAGGCTGGTATTACTCCCAATATTGCAGGAGGTGTACACCTCCACTCATATATGTTTTAGTTCTCAAGGGGGGAGAGAATATTTCCCCAAATATCACATAATATACATCCCCCAGTGATATAGTTCTTAATATCCAGAGGGTCAAAAGATGATATTACTTCCAATATCACAGTAGGTGTACAACCCCCTGTGATATTTTTCTAATATTTAAGGAGAAAGAGGATTATATTAATCCCAACATTGCTGGAAGCGTACACCCACCCCCTCTGTGATATTGTTCCTAATATCCAGAGCATGAGAGGATGATATTACCCCCAATATTGCATGGGGTGTGCACACCCCTGTGATATTGTTCCTGATATCTAAGGGGAGAGAGGCTGATATTACTCCCAATGTTGCAGAGGTGAACACTCCCCCTGAGATATTGCTCCTAATATGCAGGGAGGGGAAGGATTTTGTTACAGTCAATATTGCAGGGGGTGGATACCCCCTGTGTGATATTGTTCCTAATATTCAGGGGGGTCAGGATGACATTACTCCCAATATCACAGGGACTGTACACCCCACCTGTGATATTTTTCCTAATATCCAAGGGGAGAGAGGATGATATTACTCCCAATATTGCAGGGGGTGTACATGCCCCCCTGTGATATTGTTTCTAACATTCAGGCGGGGAGAGGATGATATGACTCCAAGTATCTAAGGGATGTACACTCCCTACATAATATTGTTTTTAATATCCAGAAGTGGAGAGGATGATATTACTCCCAATATCGAAGGGGATGTACAACCACCCGGTAATATTGTTTTTAATATTCAGGGCTGGAAAGAATAATATTAATCCCAATATCTCAGGGGTTCTACACCCCCTTTGTAATACTGGTCTTAATATCCAACTGGGGAGAGGATAATATTGATCTCAATATCGCAAGGGGTGTACACCTTCCCTGTGATATTGTTCCTAATATCCAGGAAGGGGGAGGAGAGAGTGATATTGCTCTTAGTATTTCAGGGATGTACACACCCATGAGATATTGATCCCAATAGGTAGGGTAAAGAATAATATTACTCCCAAGTTCGCAGGGGCATACATCCAATACCCCATAATATTGTTTTTAATATCCTGTTAGGTAGAGAATGATATTACTCCAAATATCTGATAGGGTGTACAAAACTCCCTGTGATATTGTTCTTAATATACAGGGGAAAAAAGGATGATATTATTCCCAATATCGCAGGTGGTGTAAACCGTGCCTGTGTTATTGTTTCTTCGTCTTTTTTTTTTTTTTTTTTTTTTTTTGAGACATTCTCCTGCCTCAGCCTCTCAAGTAGCTGGGACTACAGGCGCCCGCCACCACGGCCGGTTAATTTTTTGTATTTTTAGTAGAGACGGGGTTTCACCGTGTTAGCCAGGATGGTCTTGATCTCCTAACCTCGTGATCCGCCCGCCTCGGCCTCCCAAAGTGCTGGGATTACAGGCGTGAGCCACCGCGCCTGGTCAGATATTGTTTCTTATATGCAGGCAGGGAGAGGTTGTTATTACTGTCAGTATCGTAGGGGGTGTACACCCACACTGTGATATTGTTCCTAATATTTAGGAGAGGAGAGAAAGACGTCACTCCCAATATTCCAAGGGGTGTACACCTCCCCTGTGATATTGTTCCTAGTATCCAAAAGGAAGAGGATGATATTACTCTCAATATCGCAGGTGGCATATAACCCCTCTGTGATATTGTTTCTAATATTTTGGGGGGGGAGGAGATGATATTATTCCCAATGTCATAAAGGGTATATATTCACTCGGTGTTATTTTTCCTTATATCCAGGGTTGGGAGAGGATGATATTATACCCAAAATTGCAGGGGGTGAATACACCCTCTGTGATATTTTCCTAATATCCGGGGAGGTGGGGAGAGGATGATATTACTCCCAATATCGCAGGCGGTGTAGACCTCCCCTGTGACATTGTTTCTAATATCCAAGGTGGGGAGAGGATAATATTACTCCCAATATTCCAGGGAGTGTACATCCCCCCGTAATATTGTTTTTAATATTCAGGGTAAGAGCGGATATTACTCCAAATATCTCAGGGAGTGTACACTACCCCTATATATTGTTCCTAATATCCAGGGGGGAGATGATGATTCTACTTCCAATATTGCAGGGGGCGTACACCACCTCTGATATTGTTCCTAATATTCAGGAATGGAGAGAATGTTAATACTTGCAACATTGCAGGGGGTGTATATCCCCCTGTGATATTGTTCCTAATATTCAGTGGGGAAGAGGATGATATTGTTCCCAATATCACAGGCGATGTACACCCCCGCTGTGATATTGTTTCTAATATCCAGGCGGGGGGAGTGGGTGATATTACTCCCCATATTGCAGAAAGTGTACTCCCCACTGTTATCTAAATCGTAATATGCAGAAGGGGTAGGGATGACATTACTCTCCATATCGCGGATGTGTACGCCTCTCTGTGATCTGGTTCATAATATACAGGGGGTAGAGGATGATATTACACCCAACATCACAAGAGGTGCACAACCCTTTTGTGATATTGTTTGTAATATCCAGGAAGGGAGAGGATGATATTTTTCCCAATATTGCAGAAAGGGTACAACCACCCTGTGATATTGTTCCTAATATCAAAAGGCGGAAGTATGATACTATTCCCAATATCGCAGTGGGTGTATAACTCCCTGATATATTATTCCTAATATCCCCGTGGGTAGAGGATGATATTACATTCAATATCGCAGTGGGTGTACACCTCCCCTGTGATATTGTTCCTAATAGCCAGGGGAAAAGAGAATGATATTACTCTCAATATTGCAGGTGCTGTACACTACCTTTGTGTTGTAGTACCTAACATCCATGGGAAAGAGGATGATATTACTGTCAATATCACAGGAAGTGTACACCCTTTCTGTGATATTGTTCCCAATATTTACAGGGGGAGAATATAATCTAATTCTATTATTGCAGGGGGTGTTCACTTCCCATGTGATATTGTTCCTAATAATCAGTGGTTGGGGGGAGGGGTGGAGGAGAATGATAATACTCCCAATATCACAGGGGTTGTACAACTTCCCTGTGATATTGTTTCTAATATCCAGAGAAGAGGATGCTTTTATTCCCAATATCACAGGGTGTCTACACCTTTTCTGTGATACTGTTTTTAATACCCAGGGCAGAGATTAGGATACTAGACCCAATATAACAGGGGTTGAACATCTCCCCTGTGATATTGTTCCTAATATCAAGGAGGGGAGACGATATTATTCCCAATATCGCAGGAAGTCTCCACCCTTCTTGTGATATTGTTCCTAATATCCAGGGAGGGAGAGGATGACATTACTCCCAATATTGCAGAGGGTATACACCCCACTATGGTGTTGTTTTCAATATCTAGGTGGGGAGAAGATAATATTACTTTTAATATTGCAGGGTGTGTACACCCCCCTTTCTCGTTCCTAATACCCAGGATGTGAGAGGATGATATCACCCCCAATACCGCAGCAGGTGCACATCGCTTCTGTGATATTGTTTCAGATATCCGAGCAGGGGGAAGGTGATATTACTCCTAATATTGCAGGGTGTGTACAACATCCCTGAGATTTTATTCCTAATATCCAGGGAAGGAGAGGATGATATTACTTTTAATATGGTAGGGAGGGTGGTTAACCCACCCTGTGAGAGTGTTCCTAATATCCAGGTGTGAGGGGAAGATATTACTCCCACTATCGAAAAGGCTGTATACCCCTCCCGTGATATCGTTCCTAATAACCAGGAAGGGAGAGGATATTACTCCCAATAATGCAGGAGATGTACACTCCCACTATGATATTATTTCTAGTATCCATGGTGAGAAAGGATGATAGTACTCCCAATATCCCTGGGCGTGTACGCCTCCCCTGTGATATTATTCCTAATATCCAGAGGGGAAGAGGATGATATTATTCCCAATATCATACCAGCTGTACAACCCCCTGTGACATTGGTTCAAAATCCAGGGGGTGAGAAGATGATATTACTCCCAATATCGCAGGGGGTGTGCACCCCCACTGTGATATTGTTCCTAACATCCAGGGGGGGAGAATGATATTATTTCCAATATCACAGGGTGTTTACACCCCCACTGTGATATTGTTCCTAATTTCAAGGTGGGGAGAGGATGATATTACTTCCAATACCACAGCACAGTTACAACCCCCATATAATATTGTTTCTCAATCCAGGGGGTCAGAAGATGATATTACCCCCAATATCGCACAGGGCGTACACTTTCCTTGTGATATTGTTCCTAATATTTAGTGAGGGAAAGGATGATATTACTCTCAATATCGCATGAGGCATACATATCCACTGTGGTATCGTCCCTAATATCCAAGGAAGACAGAGGATCATACTACTCCCAATATTGCAGGGGGTGTACAATCCCCACTGTGACATTGTTTCTAATATCCAGAAGGGGAAAGAATGATATTACTTTCAGTATCACATGGGGTGTACACCATCCCCCTGTGTGATTGTTTCTGATATCCAGGGGAAAAGAGCATGATATTATTCGCACTATTGCAGGGGCTTTACATACTGCTGTGATATTCTTTCTTATATCCAAAAAGGAAGAGGCTGATATTACTCCCAGTATGGCAGGGGGTGTACACCCCCTGTGTGATTTTGTGACTAATATCCAGTGGGGGAGAGGATAATATTAATCCCAATATCAAATGGGTTGTACTTCCCAGTGATATTGTTCCTAATATCCACTAAAAAGAGAGGCAGATATTACTCCCAATATCGAAGGGCGTGTACCCACCCCATGTGATACTGTTCTTAATTTCCAGAGGGAAGGAGGATAATATTGCTTTCAATATCGCAGCTGGTGTACATCCACCCTGTAATATCATTCCTAATATACAGGAGAAGAATATATTAATTCCAATATCGCTGGGAGCGAACACTTTCCCTGTAATATTCTTCTTGGTATTCAGGTGGGGAGAAAATGATATTATTCCCAATATTGCAAGGAGTGTACACTCCCCATGTGATATTGTTGCTAATAATCAGGGGGGAAAAGGATGATATTGCTCCCAATATCGCAGGACGTGTACACTTATCCTGTGATATTGTTTCTAATATCCAGGTAAAGAGAGGGTGATATTCCTGTCAATATCGCAGGAGGTGTACACCCCACCTGTGATGTTGTTCCTAATATCAACAAAGGGAGAGGATGATATTACTCCCAATATCCAGGGAAAAAGGGGACGACATTACTTTCAATATTGCAATAAGCGTACACCCTAACACTGCTTTGTTTTCTTCTATCCAGGGAGAAAGAGGATGATATTACTCCCAATAGCGCAGAGAGTGTACACCCCACCTGTGATATGTTCCTAATATAAAGAAATGAGAGAATGATATTACTCCCAATACCCCAGGAAGTTTCCACCCCCCTGTGATATAGTTTTTAATATCCAGTAGAAGAGAGGTTGATATTACTCCCAATATCCCAGCAAGTATACACCCACCCTGTGATATTGTTCCTAATATCCACAGTGGGAGAGGCTGTTACTCCCAATATCACAGAAAGTGCACATTCCCTGTGTGATATTGTCCTAATATCAAAAAAGGGAGTTGATGATATTACCCCCAATATTGCAGAAAGTGTACACCCACCACGTGATATTGTTTCTAACATCCAGAGAAGGAGAGGTTATTATTACTCTCAATATCGCATGGGGGGTATACCCACCCTGTGATATTGTCCCTAATATCCAGGATGGGAGAAGATGATGTTACTCCCAATATCGCAGGAAGTGTACATTCCCTCCATAGTATTTTTCCTAATACCCAGTGGAAGACCCAGTGTACACCCCCTCTGTGATATTGTTATTAACATCATAAAAGTGAAAGCATGATATTACTCCCAATATCGTAAGAAATGTATACCTCCCCTGTGATATTGACTGTAATATCCAGTTAGAAAGAGGATGATATTACAAGCAATATTACAAGGAATGTACACACCCCCATGTGACATTATTTCTAAAATCCAGGGGGAAAGAGGATATTACTCCAAAAATAACAGTAGTTGTATACAAATATTTTTCTTAATATCATAAGGTGGACAGGATGATATTACTCCCAATATCATAGGAGATGTACACACGCACTCTAATAAGGTTTGTGTTATACAGAGATTGAGAGGAAGATATTACTCCGAATATCATAGAAGGTGTACAACCCCTTATCAGATTGTTCGTAATATGTAGGAAGGGAGATAATATCATTGCCAAAAAAGTAAATACACTGTGTGTTCACCCCCCTTGTCCCATAGATCGTAATGTCCGGGTGGGGAGATGGTGATATTATTCCCCATGGAACGGGGGATGGAACACCTCCCTTGCTCCATGGGTCGTAATCTCCAGGGAGGGAGGGGCTGATTTACTCCCCTTGGGGCGGGAGGTGGAACCCTCCCCGCCGCTTGCCCTATGGATTGTAATATCCAGTGGGGGAAAGGGTGATATTACTCCCTATGCGGCGGGAGGTGGAACACCCCCTTTGCCCCATGGATGGTAATATCCAGGCGGGAGGGGGTGATATTACTCACCATGGGGCAGGGTGTGGAACACCCCCTTGCCCCATGGATCGTAATATCCAGGGGGGGAGAGGGTGATAATGCTCCCCATGGGGCGAGGGGTGGAACACCCGCCTTGCCCCATGGATTGTAATATCCAGGAAAAGAGAGGGTGATAATGCTCCCCATGGGGAGAGGGGGGTGGAACACCCCTTGCCCAGTGGATCATAATATCCAGAGGGGAGAGGGAGAGGGTGATGTTACTCTCCATGGGGCGGGGGTGAAACATCCCGCTTGCCCCATGGATCGTAATATCCAGGGGGCGAGAGGGTAACATTACTCCCCATAGGGCGGGGGTGGAACACCTCTTTTGCCTCATAAATTGTAATAACCAGGTGGGGAGGTGGTGACATTACTCACCATGGGGCGGGGTGTAGAGCATCCTTCTTGTCCCATACATTGTAAATCAATGGGGAAAGGGGGTGATATTACGGCCCATGGGGCGGGGGTTGAAACACGCCCCTTGCTCCATGGATCCAGTGGGGGAGACGGTGGTATTTCTCCCCGTGGGGCTGGGGGTGGAACACCTTCTTTGCCCCATGGATTCTAATATCCTGGGGTGGGGGAGGGTGATATTACTCCCCATGAGCAGAGGGTGGAACACCCCCCTTGCTCCATGGATCATATCCAAGTGGGGAGACGGTACTATTACTCCCCATGGGGCAGGGGTGTAAAACCCTCCTTGCACCATGGATCGTATATTCAGAGGGGAGAGGGTGATATTACTCCCAATTCTTAACATGATACTATTCGTAATATTTTAGGGTGATGTTTTTTCTAATGTCTCCGTGTGTGTACACCATGTGTGTACACCTTGTGGGGTTTTATGCAGTATCTTTGAAAAATGTTACTCCTAATGTCACAGTGGGTCTACGCCATGTGTGTATACTCTGTGATATTGTTTGTAATGTCATAAGGGGATATTACATGGGTGCACATTGTGTGAAATTATCTGTAATATTCTAGGGGTTGTTTGTCTTAATGTCACCGTGGCTGTATCTGATGTTTTTACATCCTGTTTTATTGTTTATGATACTATAGGGGGATGTTACTTCTAATGTCACAGTGATTGTACACAATGTACGGTTACCCCTAGTGATACTAATTGTAATTTCTTAGGGGGATATTTCTCCTAATGTCACAGTGGGTGTTCACCATGTGCGTACACCCTCTGTGACACTGTTTGTAATATCCTGGCGAGATGTTATATTTAATGTCGCAGTGGGTGTACACCCTGTGTCATTATTTGTAATATCCTCTGGGGATTTTATACCTAATGTCACAGTGGGTGTACACCATGTGTTTATGCCCTGTGATATTATTGGTAATAGTCTAAGAAAATGCTACTCTTAATGTCACAGTAGGTGTACACCATGTGTGTACATCCTGTGATATTATTTGTAAAATCCTAGGTGGATGTTACTCCTAATGTCACAGTGTGTGTACACTATGTGTATACACTCTGTGATATTATTTGTACTCTCCTAGGGGGATGTTACTTTTAATGTGACAGTGGGTGTAACCCATGTGTGTTCACCCTGTGGTATTATTCGTAGAATCCTAGGGGGATGTTACTCCTAATTTCACAGTAAGTGTACACCATGGGTGTGCACCCTGTGATATTATTCATATAATTACAGAAGGATGTTACTTCCAAAATCACAGTGGGTGTACAACAAATGTGTTCACCCTGTGATACTATTCGTAATATTTTAGGGGGATTTTACTCCTAATATCACAGTGCTTATACAGCCTGTGTGTACAATCTGTGATATTATTCATAATATTTTAGGGAGACACGACTTCTAATATCTCACTGGGTGTAGACCCTGTACCACAGTCGATTTACAACCTGTGATATTAGCAGTAATATTTTAGGGGGATATTACACCTAATATCACAGTGTGTGTACACCCTGTGTTATTATTCGTAATATCTTAGAGGAATGTTACTCCTAATATCACAGGAGATGTATAACCTGTTATATTATTTGTTATATTCTTGGGTGATGTTACTCCTATTTTCACAGGAGGTGTACACCCTGTAATATTAATTGTAATTTTCTAGGGGGATGTTACTTTTAATTTCACAGGGAGTGTATACTCTGTGATATTATTCGTAATATCCTAGGGGGGATGTTACTCCTAATGTCACTGGGGGTGTACACTGTGATATTATTCGTAACATTTTAGGGATATGTTACTCCTAATGTCACAGGAGGTGTACACGCTGTGATATTGTTCATAATATCCTAGGGGGATATTACTCCTAATGTCACAGCTGGTGTACATTTTTTGATATTATTCTTAATATCCTAGGTGGATTTTACTCCTAATGTCACAAAGGGTGTACACCTTGTGATATTACTGCTAATAGCCTTGGGGGATGTTACTCCTAAAGTCACAACGGTGGTATACCCTGTGATATTATTCATAATATTCTAGGGTGATGTTACTCCAAATGTCACAGGGGTTGTAATTTCTGTATATTATTTGTAATATCTTAGGGTGATATTACTTATAATGTCACACCCCCGCTATATGGTTAGTAATATCTGAGGGGAGACGGTGATATTGCTCCCCATGTGGCGAGGGGTGTACATTCCCCTGGCATATGGTCCGTAATGTCCGGGGTGGGGGGAAGGGTGTTATTACTTCCCTTGTAGCGGGGGTCGTAGCACCTCCCCGCTGTATGGTCAGTAATATCCAGAATGGGGAGAGGGTGATATTATTCACTATGGGGTGGGGGATGTACAGCCCCTTGCCATATGGTCCGTAATATCCGGGGGGAGAGAGGTGATATTACTCCCCATGGGTTGGGGGGTGTACACCCCCCCGCCATATGGTCCATAGTATCCAGGGAATTGAGAGGGTGATATTACTCCCCATGTGGCGGCGGGTGTACCCCCTCCCGCCATATGGTCCATTATATTCGTGGGGGGAGAGGGTGATATTTCTTCCCATGGGGTGGGGGTGTACACCTCCCGCCATATGGTCCGTAATATCCAGGGTGGGAAAGAGAGTGATATTACTCCCCTGTGGAGGGTGGTGTACACACCCCCGCCCTATGCTTCGTAATATCCAGGGCAGGGAGAGGGTGATATTCCTCCCCATGTGGCAGGGAGTGTACACCCCTCCACCATATGGTCTCTAATATCCAGGGGGGGAAGAGGGTGACATTATTCCCCATGTGGCGGGAGGTGTACACCCCCCTGCCATACGATCCGTAATATCCGTGGGTTGGGGAGAGGGTAATATTACTCCCCGTGTGGTGGTGGGGGATGTACACCCCCCTCCCTGCCATATGGTCCGTAATATCTAGGAGGGAGAGATGGTGATATTACTCCCCATGTGTCGGGGGGTGTACACCCCCACGCCATATGGTGCGTAATATCCGGGGGGAAGAGGGTGGTATTACTTCCCATGTGTGGAGGGTGTCCACATCCCTGTGATATGGTCTGTAATATCCATGAGTAGGAGAGGGTGGTATTATTCCCCATGTGTTGGGGGATGTACACCCCCATGCCATATGGTCTGTAATATCCGAGAAGAGAGAGAGAGGTATTACTTCCTATGTGGCAGGGGGTGTACACATCCCTGTGATATGGTTCGTAATATCCAGGGTGGGGAGGGTGATATTAGTCCCCATGTTGCGGTGGGTGTACACCCTCCCCCGCCACGATATGGTTTGTAATATTTAAGGGGGAAGTGGGTGGTGTTACTTTCCATGTGGCAGGGGGTGTACACCCCCTGCCATATGTTTCGTAATATCCAAGGGAGAAAAGGGTGGTATTACTCCCCATGTGGCGGGGGGTGTACAACTTCCTGCCATATGATTTGTAATATCCAGTGAAGAGAGGGTGTTATTACTCCCCAGGTGGCCGGGGTGTATACCCCACTGCAATATGGTTTGTAATATCTAGCCAGGGAGAAGGTGGTATTACTTCCCAGGTGTACAACCGCCTGCGGAATGGTTTGTAATATCCAGGAGGGGAGAGGGTGGTATTACTCCCCATGTTGCTGGGGGTGTACAACCCTGTGCGATATGGTTTGTAATATCCAGTGGGGAAGAGGGTGGTATTATTCCCCATGTGGCGGGGGGTGTACAGCCTTTTGCGATATGGTTTGTAATATACAGGGAGCACTATTACTCCCCATGTGGCAGGGGGGTGTACACCCTTCTGTGATATGGTTCTTAATATTAAGGGGGGATAGCCTGGTATTACTTCTCGATTGTACCTTGCGATATGGGGAGTAAAATCTCTGGGTGTACAATCCTTTGTAATATCTACATTGGAATAAGCTATAACAGTTTCCTAGAATATTTGGAATAATTTCACAGGGTGTACACCTCTTGAGACATTAGGAGTAAGATCTCCCTACAATATTACAAATAATTTCTCAAGGTGTACACTCACTGTGACATTAGGAGTAACATTTCAGTATAATACTATGAACAATACCACTGGGTGTACACTCCCTGTGAAATTAAGTGTAACATCTCAATAGGATATTAGTAATAATATAACTGGGAGTACACCACGTGTGATATTAGGAGTAACATCTTTCTTGGATATGATGAATGATATCTATTATTATTATAATTATTAATTATTTTTCATAATAGTTATTTTAATTCTCAATATGATATTATTCATAATAATCTAGGGGGATGTTTTTCCTAATGTCACAGTGTGTTTACACCATGTGTGTACACCCTGTGGGGTTTTACGTACTATCATAGAAAAATATTACTTCTAATGTCACAGTGGGTTACTCCATGTGTGTATACTCTGTTATATTATTCATAATGTCCTAGGGAAATATGTGGGTGTACATTCTGTGAAATTACCTGTATTGTCCTAGAAGTTGTTACTCTTAATGTCACAGTGGGTGTACACGATTTGTGTACATCCTGTTTTATTATTTATAATACTATAGGGGGATGTTACTTCTAATGTCACAGTGAGTGTACATAATGTGTGGGTACTCCCAGTGATACTAACTGTAATTTCCTAGGGGGATATTTCTCCTAATGTCACAGTGGGTGTACACCATATGTGATGTTATTTGTAATATCCTGGCGAGATGTTACATTTAATGTCACAGTGGGTGTACATCCTGTGTTATTATTTGTAATATCCTCTGGTGATGCTACTCCTAATGTCACAGTGGGTGTACACTATGTGTATACACTGTGTGATATTATTCATAATATTCTAGGAAAATGCTGTACACCATGTATGTACACCCTGTGATATTATTTGTAAAATCCTTGGTGGATGTTACTCCTAATGTCACAGTGGGTGTAGACTATGTGTATACACTGTGTGATATTATTCGTAATATCCTAGGGGGATGTTACTCCTAATGTCACAGTTGGTGTTCGGGGGATGTTGCTCCTAATTTCACAGTAAGTGTACATTATGTGTGAATACCCTTTGATATTATTTGTATAATTACGGGGGGGGTGTTACTTCTAATGTCACAGTGTGTGTACAACATATGTGTTCACCCTGTGATACTCTTTGTAATATTTTAGGGAGATTTTACTTCTAATATCACAGTGGTTGTACAGCCTGTGTGTACAACCTGTGATACTGCTTGTAATATCCTAGGGAGACATGACTTCTAATATCACACTGAGGGTACACCCTGTATCACAGTGGGTGTACAACCTGTGATATTAGCAATAATATCCTAGGTGATATTATGTCTTATGTCACAGTTTGTGTACACTCTGTGATATTATTCATAATATCTTAGGTGAATGTTACTTCTGATGTCACAGGTGATCTATAACTTGTGATATTATTTGTTATATTCTAGGATGATGTTACTCCTAATGTCACAGCGGGTGTAAACCCTGTGATATTTATCATAATTTCTTTGGGGGATGTTACTTTTGATTTCGCAGGGAGTGTACACCCTGTGATATTATGCGTTATATCCTAGGGAGATGTTACTCCTAATGTTACAGGGGGTGTACACCCAGTGATATCATTCATAATATCCTAGGAGTATGTTACTCCTAATGTCAGAACTGGTGTACATACTGTGATATTATTCTTAATATCCTAGGTGGTTGTTACTCCTAATGTCACAGAGGGTGTACATCCTGTGATATTACTGGTAATATTATAGGGGGATGTTACTAAATTCACATTGGGGGTACACACTGTGATATTATTGGTAACATCCTAGGGTGATGTTACTTCTAATGTCACAGGGGTTGTCTTTCCTGTGATATTATTTGTAATACCCTAGGATGATATTACTTATAATGCCACAGGGGGTGTGCACCTTGTGATATTATTCACAATTTTCTAGAGGTTTGTTACTTTTAATGTCACAGGGTATGTACATTCTGTGATAATATATGTAATATCCTAAGAAGATATTACCGCAAACATCACAGTGCATGTACACACACGGTGTACACACTGTGATATTATTTGAATTACTTTAGGAAGATATAACTCCTAATATCACTGTGGGTGTTCACCTCCTATGTTAACATTCGTAATATTCTAAGGGGATATTACTCCTAATGTCACAGTGGGTGTACGCCAAGTGTGTACACACCCTGTAATATTATTCATAACATCCAAGGAGCATGTTACTCCTAATGTAACTTGGGTTGTACACTATGTGTGTACACCGCTGCGTTATGTTATTCCTAATAACCTTTGGTGATTTTAACTTTAATATCTCACGGGTTCTATAGCATGTGTGTACAACCCCTGTGATATTATTCGTAGTAAGCTAGGGGGATATTATCTCTAATATTTTGGTGGATGTTACTCCTATAAAACAGTGGTTGTACGCCATGTGTGTACACCACAGGGGGTGATATCATTTCTATTATCCTAAGGGGATGCTGCTACTAATGTCACAGTGCTTGTACACCATGTGTACAATCCCGGTTATATTATTTGTAATATCTTAGGGGGTTGTTAATCTTAATGTAACCCTCTGGTTACATGTAATGTAACCATTATGTGTATACACTCTCTGGGATATTATTTGTTATAGTTTTGGAGATATTACTCTCCTAATGTCACTGTGCATTTACACCTTGTTTGTACGTCTTTGGATATTATTCGTAACATCCCCGGGAGATATTCCTCTGCTAATATCACAGTAAGTGTTCACCATATTTGTACTCCCTGGAATACTATTTGTAATATCCTTGCGAGATATTACCTCCTAATATCACAGTGGGTTTACACCATGTGTGTACACTCTGGGATATTATTCCTAATATACTGAGAAGATATTATTCCTAATATTACAGTCAGTGTACACCCAAATATATTATTCATAATATCCAGGGGAGATATTACTTCTAATATCACAGTGGGTGTACACCCTGGGATATGGTTCGTAATATCCTGGAAAGATATTATTCATTATGTCACAGTGGATATACACCATGTATGTACACCCTGGGATATTATGCATAATATCCTGGGGAGATATTATTCCTAATATCACAGTGGGTGTACACCAGGTGGGTACACCCTGGGATATTATTTGTATTATCCAGGGAAGATATTAGTCTCCTAATATCACAGTAAGTGTACACCATGTGCGTACACTCTGGGATATCGCTCGTAATATCCGGGGGAGATGTTATTCTCCTAATATTACACTGGGTGTACACCATGTGTGTACACCCTGGATGTTATTTATAATATCCTTGGGAGTTATTACTTTCCTAATACCACAGTGGGTATACAATATTTGTGTACCACCTGGAACATTATTCTTAATATCCTTGAGAGATGATACCCTCCTGATGTCACAGAGGGTGTACATCATGTGTGTACACCCTGGGATATTATTCGTAGTATTTTGGGGAGATATTACTCTCTTAATGTTACAGTTTGTTTACACCATATTTGTACATTCTGGGATATTATCCATAACATCCTGAGAGATATTACTGTCCTAATATCGCAGTAGGTGTTCACCATGTTTGTATACCCTGGAATATTATTCGTAATATCCTTGGGAGATATTTCTCTCCTAATGTCACATTGGGTTTACACCATGTGTGTATACTTTTGGATATTATTCATAACATTTTGGGGAGATATTACTCTCCTAATGTCACAGTGCATTTCCATCTTGTTTGTACATCCTGGGTTTATTATTTGTAATATCCTGGGGAGATATTACTCTCCTAATATCACAATAGGTGTTCACCATTTTTGTACACCCTGGAATATTATTTGTAATATCCTTGGGAGATATTACTCTCCTAATATCACAGTAGGTTTACGCCATGTGTGTACACTCTGGGATATTATTTGTAATATCATGTGGAGATATTACTCTCCTAATATCACAGTGAGTGTACAACATGTGTGTACAACCTGGGATATTATTCGTAATATTCTGGAGAGGTAACACAGTTTGTGATATTACACCCAGTATCGCAGAGGGTGTATACTATTTCTTTGATATTGTTCCTAATATTCAGGGGGGAAATTATATTACTCCTAATATCACAGGATTTGTACACCTCCCTTGTAATATTGTTCCAAATATCTAGGGAAAGAGAGAATGATATTACTCAAGATATCCCAGGGGATGCACATTCCCCAGTGAGATTGTTCCTAATATCCATGAAGGAGAGGATGGCATGACTCTCATTATCGCAGGTGGTGTACACCCCTTCTGTGATATTGTTTCTAATATCTAGGGGGGGAGTGGATGATGTTACTCCCAATATTGCGGGGGATATCCTTTGTGATATTGTTCCAAATATCCAGGGGGTGAGAGGATAGTATTACTCTCAATATCACAGGAGTTGTGCACCCCTTTGTGATATTGTTCTTAATATCCACGAGAGGAGATGATGATATCACTGCCAATATCGCAGTTGGTGTACACCTCTTCTGTGATATTGTTCCTAATATCTTTGAGGGAAGAGGATAATATTACTTTCAGCATCGCAGTGGGTGTACACCTTACTTGTGATATTGTTCTTAATATCCAGGGGAAAAGAAGATGATATTACTGTCAATATTGCAGAAGGTGTACACTCCCCATGTGAAATTGTTCCTTATATTTAGGTGGAGAGAGAATAAATTTACTCCCAAGATCGCAGGGGGTGTACAACCCCTGTGATATTGTATCTAATAGCCGGGGGGAGAGGATGACATTACTTAAAATATCACAGGGCGTATACACCCCTCCTGTGATATTGTTCCAAATATCCAAGTGAAGAGATAAAAATACTCCCAATATTGCAGGGGGTAGACACTCCCCACATAATAATGTTCCTAATATTCGGGGGGGAAGTATAATATCATTCCCAGTATATCAGGGGGTGAACACAACCCTTTTGATATTGTTTCTCATATCCTGTGGGAAAGAAAGTGGTATTACTACCAAATTCACATGGGGCGTACACCATACCATTCTGTGATATGGTTCCTAATATCCAGGTGAGGAGAGGATGATATTACACTCAATTTCCCAGGGGTTATACACCCCCACATTGATATTGTTTGTAATCTCCAGGAGAGAAGAGGATATTACTCTTAGCATCACAGGGGCTGTACACCACTCCTGTGATATTGTTCCTAACACCCTGGGTGGGAGAGGATGTTATTACTCCCAATATCGCAAGGGGTGTACACCCACCATGTGGTATTACTTCTCATATTTCATGGGGGAGAGGAAGATATTACTCCCAATATCGCAGAAGGTGTACACCCCACCTTGTGATATTGTTCTTAATATCCAGTGGGGAGAGGATGATATTACTCTCAATATCACAAAGGGTTTACACCCCCCATGATATTATTCCTAATATCCATTGGGGGAGAAAATAATATTAATCCCAATAACGCAGGGGGTGTACACTCTTCCTGTGATATTGTTCCTAATATCCAGGGAGAGAGGGGATGGTATTACTCTCAATGTCCCATGGGGTGTGCACCCCTCCTGTCATATTATTCCCAATATTTAGAGGAAAGAGATTGATATTACGCTCAATATTGCCATGCATGTACACTCCCCTCCCACGTGATACTGTTCCTAACATCCAGGGGGAAAGAGAATTATATTACTGCCAACATCACAGGGGTTGTACACTTCCCTGTGATATGGTTCATAATATTCAGGGGGGTAGAGGGTGATATTACTCCCCATAACGCGGGAAGTCTACACTTTCAGGTGATATGGTTCATAACATCCGGTGGGGGAGAGAGTGTGACTGCTCTCCATATCACTGGTGGTGTAGACTCCCCTGTTACATGGTTCATAATATCCAGGGGGGAGAGGGTGATATTACTCCCCATATCGCTGGAGTTGTACATCCCCGATGATATGGTTCATAATATCCGTGGCGGGGGTGGGGGTGAGGGTGATATTACTCCCCATATCGTGGGGGGTGTACACCCACAGTGATATGGTTCATAATATTCAGGGGTGGAGGGGATAATATTACTCCCAGTATCGCGAGGGGGGGGTGGGTGTAACTGCCCACTTATGATATTGTTCCTAATATCCAGTGTCGGAGAGGATGATATTACACCACTTATCACAGGGGGTGTACAGCCCCCCTGATATGTTTCACAATATCCATGGTGGGAGAGGGTGATATTACTTTTTATATCGTGTGGTGTGTTCAGCCCCCTGTGATATGGTTCGCAATATCCATGGAAGAGAAGGTAATATTACTCTCCATATCACGGGGGGAGTACATCACGCCGCGATGTGGTTCACAATATTCAGCGGGGGAGACGGTGATATCTAACTCCCCATATTGTGGGGGGTGTGCACCCCCCTGTGATATGGTTTGTAATATCCAGTAGGGGAGAGTGTGATATCACGCCTTTTATCGCAGGAGGCATACAGCCCCCTGTGATATGGTTCACAATATCTAGGGGTGGAGAGGGTGATATTACTCCCCATATCCCAGGGAGTGTACACACCCCTGTGATATCATTTGCAATATCCTGGGGGTGAGAGGATGATATTACTCCCCATATCGTTGAGGGTTTGATATGGTTCATAATATCCACAGGGGGAGAGGGTAATATTACTCCCCATATTGCAAGAAGTGTGTTATGGTTCGTAATATCCAGAGGGGGAGATGGTGATATTACTCCCCATATCCCGGGGGGTGTACATTTTTCTGTGATATGGTTTGTAATATCCATTGTGAAGATCGTGATATTACTCATAGTATTGCGGGGTGTGTAACCACCCACTTGTGATATTGTTCCTAATATCCAGGGGGAAAAAGGATGATATTACTCCTAATATTGCACGGGTGTGTGCCACCACTGTGATACTGTTCCTAATATCTAGGGAAGGAGAGGATGATATGACTTCCTATAGTGCAGTGAATGTACACCCCTCCTGCGATATTGCTTTTAATATCCAGGGGAGGAAAAGAATGATATTTCTCCCAATATCAAGGGTGGTTTTCACCCCCCCATGATATTGTTTCTAATATCCAGGGGAGAAAAGGACTAATATTACTCCCAATATCGAGAGGGGTCTACATCCCTTCTGTGATATTGTTCCTAATATGCGAAGGGGAAGGATATTACTTCCAAAATCACAGGGGTATGCACCATTTCTGTGATATTCTTCCTAATATCCAGGGGTGAAGAAGATGATAATACTCCCAATATCGCAGTGGGTGTACACCCCCATGTGATATTGTTTCTAATATCCAGAAGTGGAGAGCATGATATTACTCCCAATATCACAGGGGCTGTGACATTGTTATATTGTTTCTGTTATATTGTTTCTAATATCCACAGAAGGATATTGCAGGGGGTTTACACACCCACTGTGATATTATTTCTAATATCGTGAGGGAGAGAGGATGATAGTAATTCCAGTATTTCAGGGGGTGTACACCCTTGCTGTGAAATTGCTTTTATATCCAAAGGGCTAGAGGCTGATATTATTTCAGTATCACAGGAAGTGTACACTCACCCTTTGATATACTTCCTAAAGTTTAGAAAAGAATAATATTACTTTCAATATTGCAGATGGTATACACAGTTTCTGTGATATTGCTGTCAGTATCCAGGGGGAGAGAGGGTGATATGACTTCCAGTATCACAGGGAGTGTACACCTCCCTTGTGATATTGTTCCTAATATCCAGGGCAGGCAGAAGATGATATTATTACAAATATTGCAGAAAGTGTAAACCCCCCCCGTGATATTGTTCATAATTTCCAGGGGAAGAGAGGATGATATAACTCTCAATATCTCAGGGGATGTACACCAGCCCTGTGATATTGTTTCTAAAATCAAGCAGGGGGGAGGATGACATTACTTCCAATATCGCAAAAGGTGTACACCCCTTCTGTGATATGGTTCCTAATATCCATGAGAAAGAGGATGATATTACTCCCAATACCGCATGGGGTGTACACCCCCTCTATGGTATTGTTTTTAATATCCAGAGGAAGAAAGGATGATATTACACCCAATATTACAGAGGGTGTACACCCTCCCGTGATATTCTTTTTAATATCAAGGGAAAAGAGAATGATATTACTCCCAATATCAAAGGGTGTGTGCACCACCCCTGTGATATTGTTCCTAATATCCAGGGAGGAGATAATAAAATTATTCCAAATATCACAGGGGCTGTACACCTCTCCTGTCATATTGTTCCTAATATCTAGGGTGGGGAGAAGATAACATTATTCCTAATTACTCAGATGGTTACACCATCCCTGTGATATTGTTTCTAATATCCAGGGGGAAAGAGGATGATATTACTCCCAATATCGCAGGTGGTGTACAGCACCCCTGATATTGTTCCTAATATCCAGAGAGGGAGAGAATGTTCTTACTCCCAATATCATAGAGATTGTACAACCCTCTTGTGATATTGTTTGTAATATCCAGAAGGGGAGAAAATGATATTACTCCCAATATCGCAGGTTGTGTACATTCCCCCCTGTGATATATTTACTAATAACCGGGGGGGAGAGGATGCTATTACTCTCAATATCGTGGAGGTTGTACACCCCCCTTGTGATATTGTTCCTATTATCCAGGTGGACAGACGAAGGTATTATGATTAATATCCCCAAAATTTTGCACCCCCTGCTGTGATAGATTTCCTAATATCAGAAGGTGAGAGGATAATATTACTCCCTAAATCGCAGGGGGTGTACACTCTCCCTGTGATATGGTCCCTAATATCTATGGGGAAAGAGGATGTTATTACTCCCAATATCGCAGAAGGTGTACATCCCTCACACATGATATTGCTTCTAATTCCCGTGGGAGAGAGGATGATACTACTCCCGATATTGTAGAAGTTGTACACTTTGCTTGTGATATTGTTTCTAATATCCATGGGGATGACGATGATATTGCTGTCAATATCCTAAAGAGTGTACACCTGCAATAAGATATTGTTTCTAATATCCGGGGGGGAGAGGAAGATACAACTTCCATTATCGCAGAGGGTGTACACTTCGCCTGTGATATCGTTTTTAATATCCAAGGGAAGAGAGGATGATATTACTCCCAATATCGCAAAGAATGTACACCACTTTGGTGATATTTTTCCTAATGTACAGGGCGGGAGAGGATGATTTTACTCCCAATATCGCAGGGGATGTACAGCACCCTGTGATATTCTTCCTAATATCCAGAAGGAAAGAGAATGCCATTACTCCCAATATTGCAGGGTGTATAAACCCCTTCTGTGATATTGTTTCCAGTATCCAGGGAGGGAGAGGATAATATTACTACCAATATTGAAGGGCAGATGTACTCCCTCCCTGTGATATTGTTCTCTATATCCAGGGAAAAGAAGATGATATTACTCCCAATATTGCAGAAAGTGTACACAGTGCCCCCCCGCCCCGTGATATTGTTTCTAATGCCCGGTGGGGGGAGAAGATAATGTGACTCCCAATATTGCAGGAAGTGTATACGTTCTCGGTGATATTGTTCCCAATATCCAGGGGAAAGAGAATCATATTATTCCCATTATCGAAGGATGTGTACACCCCCCTGTTGTATTATTCCTAATATCCAGGTGGGGATATGTTAATATTACTCCAAATATTGCAGGGGCTGGTCACCCACCATGTAATATTGTTCCTAATACCTAAGGGGAAAATAATATTACTCCCAATATCGCAAAGGGTGGACATCTTTCCTGTAAATTTGTTCCTAATATCCGCTGCAGAGAGAGGATGATATACTCTCAATGTCGCAGGGAGTGTTCATCCCCACTTTAATATTGTTCCTAATATTCAGTAGTGGAGAGGATGGCATTACTTACAATATCGCAAAGAGTGTACAACCCTCTTGTGACATTGTTCCTAATATCCAGGGGAAAATAGGATGATATTACTCCCAATATCTCAGGGAGTTTACACTGCCTCTGCGATATTGTTCCTAACATCTAGATAAGAAGAGAATATCACTCCCAAAATCGCAGAAGGTGTGCACCCCAAGTGTAATATAGTTCCTGATATCCAGGGGGGACAGGATGATATTACTCCCAATATTGCAGGAACTGTACACCCCCCTGGTGATATTGTTTCTAATACCCAGGTGGAAAAACGATTATATTACTCCCAATATCCCAGGGGCTGTACAACCCGCCTGTGATATTGCTTTTAATGTCCAGTGGGGGATAGAACTCTATTACTATCAATATCACTGGGAGAGTACACCCCGCCCAGTGATATTCTTCCTAATATCCAGAAAAGGAGAGTTTGATGTTAGTCCAAATATAGCAAAGGGTGTACAGCCCGCTTGTGGTATTGTTCTTAATATTTAGGGAGCAGAAGATAATATTATTCCCAATATCGAAGGGGGTGTTCACCATTTCTGTAATATTGTTCCTAATATCCAGAAGCTAAGCAGATGATATTACTTTCAATATCACAGAAAATGTCCACACCCCCTTGTGATATTGTTCCTAATATGCAGGGGAAGAGAGGATGACATGAGTTTCAACATCGCAGGGGGTGTACACCCCGCCTGTAGTATAATTCCTATATCCAGAGGAAGAGGGAGGATGAAGTTATGCCCAATATCGCAGTGGCTGTACACCCACCCTCCCGGGTGATGTTGTTTCTAATATCCAGAGGGGAGAATATATTACTTCCAATATCGTAAACACCTTGAGTGTACACCCCCCTGGGATAGGGTTTGTAATATTTAGGAGGGGAGAGGGTGATACTACTCCTGATATCACGGGGTGTGTACACTCTGCTGTGAAATGGTTTGTAAGATCCGGTGGGGAGTGGATGATAATACACCCCATATCGCTGGGGAGTGTACACTCGCCTGTGATATGGTTCGTAACATCCAGAGGGGGAGAGGATGATATCACTCCCCATATCGCAGGGGCGTGTACACCCCTCTGTGATATGGTTCATAACACTCAGGGGAGGAGAGGGTTATAACACTCCCCATATCTTTGGGGTTGTACAACTCCCAATATCGCAGGGTGTGTACACCCTTCTGTGATATTTTTCATAATATCTAGGCGGGAAGAGGACGATATTACTCCCAATATCTCAGGGGTTGTAAACCCCCCTGTGATGTTGTTTGTAATATCCAGGGAAGGAAGATGATGATATTACTCCCAATATCACAGAAGGTGTATACCCTCTGTGATATTGTTTGTAATATCCAGGGTGGTAGGGGATGATATTACTCCCAATATCACAAGGGGTGTACACCCCCTGTGATATTGTTTGTAATATCCGGAAGGGTAGGGAATGATATTACTTCCAATATCGCAGGGGGTGTATACTCCCCTGTGATATTCTTCAAAATATCTAGAAAAAAAAGGGGATGATATCACTCTCAATATCGTAGGGGGTGTACTCCTTCCTGTGATATTGTTCATAGGAGGTGTACGTCTGCTTGTGATATTGTTGGTAATATCTAGGGGGCGAGAGGATGATATTACTCCCAATATCACAGGGTGTGTAAACCCCCTGTGATGTTGTTAATAATATTCAGTGGGGGAAGAAGATGATATTACTTCTTCTTATTAGACAAAGGGATGATATTACCTCCAATATCGCAGAAGGTGTACACCCTCTGTTACATTTTTCATAATATCCAGGAGGGGAGGAGATGATATTACCCTCAATATCACAGTGGGAATACACTCCCTATAATAAGGTTTGTAATATTAGAAGGAGAGGGGATGATATTACATCCAATATCACAGGGTGTGTGCACCCCGCAGTGATATTGTACGTAATATGCAGGGAGAAAGGGAATAATATTAGTCCCAATACTGCAGAGGGTGTACATTCCTCTATCATATTGTTCGTATTATCCGGGGGGCGGGGATGATATTACTCGCAATATTGCAAGAAGTGTACACCCTCTCTGATACTTTTCATAATATTTAGGGAAAGAGGGGATGATATTACTCCCAATATTGCAGTGGGTGTACACCCCAATGTTATATTGTTCATAATATCCAGAAGGAGATAAGATGCTATTACACCCAGTATTGCAGGGAATGTACAAACCCCTGTTACATTGCAAGGGTTGTACACTCCCCTGTTCATAATATCCAGGGGAAGAGAAGATATTACTCCCAATACCCTCATATCCTACGGAGATATTACTCCTAATATCACAGTGGGTTTACATCATATGACTACACCCTGTTATACTATTCATTATATCATAGGGAGATATTTCTCCTAGTATCACAATGGGTGTACACCATGCATGTATACCCTGTGATATTATCTGTAATATCCTAGGAAGATATTACTCCTACTATCACAGTGGGTATACACCATGTGTGTAGACCCTATGATATTATTTGTAATATCCTGGAAAAATATTACTCCTATTAACACTGTGAATGTACACCATGTGCATATACCTTGTGATATTATTTATAATATCCTAGGGAGGTATTACTCCTACTATCACAGTGGGTGTACACCATATATGTACACTTTTTGACATTATTTCTAGTATCCTTGGAAGATATCACTCTTAGTATGACAGTGGGGGGTACACCATGTGTGTACACCCTGTGATATTATTCACAATATCCTAGGGAGATATTGTGAATATCACAGTAGGGGTACACCATGTGTGTTCACCCTGTGATATTATTCATAATATCCTAGAGAGATACTACTCCTAGTATCACAGTGAGAATACAGAATCTGTGTACATTCAGTGAAATTATTTATAATATCCCAGGGAGATATTAATCCTAGTATCACAGGGAAGGTACACAATGTAAGTACACCCTGTGATATTATTTGTAATATCCTAGGGAAATATTACTCCTAGTATCACAGTAGGGGTACACCATGTTTGTACACCCTGTGATATTATTTGTAATATTCTAGGGAGATATTACTCCTAATATCACAGTGAGTGTGCACCTTGTGATATTCATAATATCCTAGAAAGATATTACTTCTAATATCACAGTAGGGTACAACATTGTGTACACCTACTGTGATATTATTCATAATAACCTAGAGAGCTATTACTCTTAATATCACAGTGGGTATATACAATGTTATATAATTAGTAATATCCTATGGAGGTATTACTCTTAATATCACAGTGGGTGTACACCTTGTGTGTACATCCATTGATGTTATTCATAATATTCTAGGGAGATATTACGTGTAATATCACAGTGGGTGCACTCTGTATGATGTTATTTATAATATACTTGGCAGATGTTATTTATAATATTCTTGGCAGATATTATTCCTAATATCACAGTGGGTGTACACCTTGTGAGTACAATCTGTGATATTATTCATAATATTCCAGGGATATATTAATCCTAATATCACAGTAGGTGTACACTCTGTGATACTATTCATAATATTCTAGGGATATATTACTCCTAATATCACTGTGGGTGTACACCCTGTGATATTATTTTTAATATTCTAAGGAGATATTACTCCTAATATCATAGTTGGTGTGCACCCTGTGATAATATTCATAATATTTTAGTGATAATATTTTTTAATATCACAGTCAGTGTACACCCTGTGATATTATTTGTAATATTCTAGGGAGATATTACTCCTAATATTACAGTGGGTGTACACCCTGTGATATTATTTGTAATATCCTAGGGAGATATTACACCTAATATCAAAGTGTTGTGATATTAAGTGTAATATCTCCCTAGGATATTATGAATCATATCAAAGGGTGTACAGGCACTGTAATAGGATATCGCCCTGTGTGTATACCCACTCCGATATTATATGTAATATTCTAAGGAGATATTACTCCTCATATAACAGTGAGTGCACATCTTGTGTATACCTTGTACACTCACTGTCTACACCCTCTGTGATATTAGGAGTATTATCTTCATAGGATATTATGAATAACCTCACAGTGAGTGCACACGCTGTGTGTACACCCACTGTGTTCTTAATATTCTAGGAAGATACTACTCTTAGGAAGATGTCACAGGATGTCTACACATGCTGTACATTTTCTGTGATATTAGGAATCATATCTCCCTAAAATATTACAAATAATGTCACATGATCTCCACACATGATGTACACCCCCTTTGACATTAAGAGTACTATCTCCCTATGATATTATGAATGATGTCACAGAAGGTGTCCACAGACAGGGTACACCTTCTGTGACATAGAAGTAATATCTCCCTAGGATATTATGAATAATGTCACGAGGTGTCCACAAACGTTGATCACCCCCGTGACATTAAGTGTAATATCTCCCTAAGATATTACAAATAATGTCACAGGGTTTCCACACATGGTGTATACCCCCGGCGACATTAAGAGTAATATCTTCCTAGAATATTATGAATAATGTCACAGGGTTTCCACCCATAATGTACACCCCCTGTGACATTAGGAGTAAGATCTCGCTGTGTGTGTGTGTACACCCACTGTGATATTATTCATAATATGCTATGGATGTAATACATCTAATATCATAGAGGGTGTACACCCTGTGTGTGCACCAACTGTGATATTATTTGTTATATCCTAGAGAGATATTACTCCTAATATCACAGTGGGTGTAGAGATATTACCCTTAATATCACAGTGGGTTTACATCATGTGTTTACACCCTGTGATATTATTCTTAATATCATAGGGAGATATTCCTTCTAATATCACAGTGTGTGTACAGTCTGTGATATTATTCATATCATAGAAATATATTACTCAATATCACAGTGAGTGTACATCATAAGTGTACACCCTGTGAAAATATTCATAATATTTTAGAGATATATTACTTTTAATGTCACAGTGGGTGTACACCCTGACATATTATTTGTAATATCCTAGTGAGATATTGCTTTTAATGTTAATGTGACTGTACACCCTGGGATATTATCTGTAATATCCCAGGGAGATTTTTCTCTTAGTTTCACAGTAAGTGTACACCCTGGGATAGTATTTGTAATATCCTAGGTAGATATTACTCCTAATATCACAGTTAGTGTGCACCCTGAAATATTATTCATAGTATCCTAGGAAGATATTACTCCTAATATCACAGTTGGTGTACAGCCTGTGAAATAATTCATAATATTATAGGGAGATATTACTCCTAATATAATATCACAGTGGGTGCACACCTGTGTGTGCACCCTGGGATATTCTTTGTAATCTCCTAGGGAGATATTAATCCTAACATCACAGTCAGTGTACACCCTGTGTGTACACCCGGGATATTATTTGTAATGTCCTAGGCAGATATTATTTTTAATATCAGTGTATGTACACATTGTGTGTACACCCTGAGATATTATTTGTAATGTCATAGGAAGACATAATTCCTAATATCAACATGGGCATACACCCTTTGTGTACACCCTGAAATATTATTTATAATGTAATATGAAGATATTACTCCTAACATCACAGTGGGTATACACGCTGTGCATACACCCTGGAAAATTATTCGTAACAACCCAAGGAGATATTACTCCTAATATCACAGTGGGTGTACACCACATGCGTTCACCCTGTGATATTAGTTATAACATCATAGGGAGATATTACTTTTAATATCGCAGTATGTGTACACACTGTGATAATATTTCTAATATGTTAAACAGATATTGCTCCTAATATCACAGTGGAGGTACACCCTGTGATATTATTCATAATATCTTAAGGGGATATTACTTCTAATATCCCAGTGGGTGTACACCCTGTGATATCTGTAATATTTTAGGCAGATATTACTTTTAATATCCCAGTGGGTGTATACCCTGTGTGTACATGCTGTGTTATTATTTGTAATATTTTAGGGAGATATTACTCCTAATATCCCTGTGGGTGTATACCCTGTGTGTATACCCTGTGATATTATTTGTAATATCTTAGGGAGATATTACTCATAATATTCCAGTGGGTGCACACCCTGTGTGTACATCCTGTGATATTATTTGTAATATCTTAGGGAGATATTACTCCTAATATCCCAGTGAGTGTTCACCCTGTGTGTACACTCTGTCATGTCATTTGTAATAGCTTAGGGAGATATTATCCCTAATATCTCAGTTATTGTACACCCTTTGCATTCAGCCTTTGTTGTCGTTTTTATCATCTTAAATAGATATCACTCCTAGTATTTCAGTGGGTGTACACACTGGATGTACACCCCGTGATATGATTCATAATATCTAGAAAGATATTATTCCTAATATTCCAGTGGATGTACACCCTGTGGGTATGTACTCTGATGTGGCTATAACGGATATCATGGATATCATGCAAAATATCATCAATATTTTATTAATATCATAGTATGTTAAAACTAGGTATTATAAATATCATGGATATTTCATTAATATCTTAGTGTGTTAATACTGAGTATTAACATTTGTTATTATAAATATCATGTATATTTTATTAATACCATAATGTGTTCACACTGTGTTAACACTACATATTATAAATATCAAAGATATTTTATTAATATCATAGTGTTTTAACACTGGATATCATAAATATCAAGATATTTTATTAATATCGTGTGTTAACACTAGATGTTATAAATATCATTGATTTTTTAATATCATAGTGTTTTCACTAGATATTATAAATATTGTAGATATTTTATAAATAACTTAGCACTGTGTGTTAATACTAGATATTATAAATATCATGGATATTTCATTAATATACTGTGTTAACACTGTGTGTTAATACTAGATATAATTATCACAGATATTTTCTTAATATCATAGTGTGTTAAAACTAGACATTATAAATATCATTATATTTTATTATTATTAGTAATATCTCAGTGTGTTAACATTAGGTATTATAAAATCATGGATATTTCAATAATATCACAGTGTGTTAACACTAGATATTATGAATGTCATTGATATTTTATTAATATCGTAGTGTGTTAACACTAGATATTTTGAATATCATAATAACTGTGTTAAAACACAGGATTAACACTAGATATTATAAATATCAGAGATATTTTGTTAGTATCATAATGTGTTAACACTAGATATTATAAATATCAAATATTTTATTAATATCATAGTGGGTTTAACACTGTGTTTTAACTCTAGATATTACAAATATCAAAGATATCTTATGAATATCATAGTGTGTTTACATCAGATATTTTAAATATCATGGATATTTTATTCATATCATAGTGTGTCACCACTAGATATTATAAATATCATGGCTATTTCATGAATGTCATAGTATGTTAACACTCTGTGTTAACTCTGGATATAGTAATTATCATGTATATTTTCTTAATATCATAGCATGTTATCACTAGATATAAATATCATATCTTGTTAATATCTTAGTGTGTTAACACTAGATATTTAAAATATTATGGATATTTCATTAATATCCTAGTGTGTTAACACTTGATATTATAAATATCATGGATACTTTATTAATGTCATAGTGTGTTAACACTATGTGATACATTACATATGATTATTATGGATTTATTATTAGTATCACAGGTGTTAACACAAGATATTATAAATATAATGGATATTTTATTAATAGTATAGTGTTAAAACTGAATATTTTATTAGTATCATAGTGTGTTAACCCTAGATATTATAAATATGGAAATTTTATTAATATCATAGTTTGTTAACACTAGATATTATAAATATGGAAATTTTATTAATATCATTGTGTGTTAACACTGTGTGTAAACACTAGAGATTATAAATATCATAGATATTTTATTAATATCATTGTGTGTTTACATTAATAAATATCATAGGTATTTTATGGATATCATAGTGTGTTAACACTGTGTGTTAACTTCAGATATTATAAATATCATAGATATTTTCTTAGTATCATAATGTGTTAACCCTGTGTGTTAACACTGTATATTATAAATATCTTAGTTTTTTTTTAATATCATAGTGTGTTTACACTGTATGTTAACACAAGGTCATGTAAATATCATACATATTTTCTTAATATCATAGTATGTTATCACTACCTAAGACAAATATAAAGATATTTTCTCAATATCATAGTGTGTTAACACTAGATATTATAAATATCATAGATATTTTATTAATATCACAGTGTGTTAAAACTAGATATTTTAAATGTCTTAGATATTTTATTAATATCATATTGTGTTAACACTAGATATTATAAATATTATAGATATTTTATTAACATAGTGTGGTAACACTGTATTAACACTTGATATTATTATAAATATTTTAGATATTTTATTAACATAGTGTATTATATATGATATTATCTATATATATGCTATATATCTATGAATTATCTCTGGAAAGGATATCTGATAATATTAATTATATCTGGGGAGGCTACAAGAAGCCAAGGATGATAAGAAACCCTAAATTTCACTTTATACTTGTTGATGTTACACAAAAAAACTTTTTTTCCCTCACCTCCCCCCTCACTTCCCTCCAAAGAATACTTTACCATAACCATTTAGTGCTTAAAAAAATACCCAAATCTTTTTCATCCATCTCTTGGCTGCCTTCTGCGTGTAGGCCCTCCTGTATGTGACATCCCATCTTAGAAAATCCTGAGGGGTAAGTGTTGTGGACATCGAGAGGACCAGAGCCCGCTTGCTTTTCTGATCCTGTCCTGTAAGATGTCGGTGTCAAGTCTTCCTTAAAGGTTTGCTGTGGAAATGAAATAAATTTGTACATGTAAAGCACAAGAACATGGAAGGTGCTTACTAAATGTTACTTATCTTTACTTTCTCTGCCTTGGTCCTCTCATACCCACTCCTGATTTTAGGTGATTGGGTGGAAATGGCCATTGAACATCATACTCTACTAACAAAGACCATTTGAGAGTTAGATTAATCTCTTTCCCGTTTCAACAACAGGAAGAAGCCCCACAAATCAAGTATTTCCCTTGTTCTATACCTTGTCATTTTGTTGCTACTCCCACCAGCCAAAGAGGGAGGAAAGTTTCTTGGTATAATTAAAATGTTATAGGCTGGGTCGGGGGGGCTCATGCCTGTCATCCCAGCACTTTGGGAGGCTAAGACGGGAGGATCGCTTGAGGCTAGGAGTTCAAGACCAGGCTGGGCAACATAGTGAGACCCATCTCTACAAAAAAAAAAAGATAGCCAGGCATGATGGCATCCATCTGTAGTCCCAGCTACTTGGGAGGCTGAGGCAGGAGGATCACTTGAGCCCGAGGGTTTCAGGCTGCAGGAAGCTATGATCATGCCACTACACTCCAGCCTGGGCAATAGAGCAAGACTGTCTCTCTAAAAACCAAAAATTGTTATAGAATATAGAGTTGAATAACTTTTCTGGAATGAGAAAGCTCTCATTTTAGATATCCATTCATTCATTCATTCAATAGTGTGCTGGATGCCAGGAATTTAATGGTGAGGAAAATAGACATGATCTCTGCCTTCTGAGGCTCAAGATCCTCCCTCTATTTTTAAAAATCAGGTTTATTGAAGTATAATTGATGTACAGTAAAATTTACTGTTTTTAGTGGAAACTTCTGTGGGTTTTGGCAAATGTGTAACCAACACAATTAAGATCTAGAACATCCTGTCTCTCCCCTCCCAATTTTCTTGTGCTCCTTTGGAGTCAACAACTCTCCCCCAACCTCTGGCCCCTGGCAACCACTGATCTGTCCTCTGTCCATGTGGATTTGTCTTTTCCAGAATGTCATATAAATGGACCAATACACAATATCATCTTTTGAGCCTAGCTGCTTCCACATAGTTTAACATTTGAGATTCATTTGTGCTGTTTTGAGTAGTACTGGTGAGTGGTACTCCACGGTACCAATGGACCTTCTTTTTTCTTGGAGAAAGAGTCTTGCTCTGTTGCCCAGGGTGGAGTTGCAGTGGTACAATCACAGCTCACTGCAGCCTCCACCTCCTGGACTCAAGCGATCCTCCTGCCTCAGCCTCCTATGTACCTGGGACCACAGGCGCAGGCCACTGTGCCCAGCTCGTTTTAAAATTTTGTGTAGAGATGGGGTCTCAATACATTGTCCAGGCTAGTCTCAAACTCCTGTACTCGAGTGATCCTCGAGTCGCAGCCTCCCAAAGTGCTGAGATTACAGTTATGAGCCACTGTGCTTTGCCTCAGATGGACCATTTTGATGCCATGTTGGGGACAAAGAAAGAAAGAGAACAACTCACTTTGACCAAATTGGCCCTGAGCTGATTGAATTCACTGGCTAAACTACATTAGTTTTCCTCCCATGGGGCCCAGTTAGGTCTGGGGACATAATTTAGTTGTAATAGAAAGATAAAAATGTCACTTCCTGCAACCTAATCTGTGGATTGTGAAACTCACATTCACTTGCCAATTACTGTTTTTGTCTTTTTGTTTTGGGTAATATGGCCCCAGCTGGCCTGTAAATGAGCAAAGGCCCCACTAAAAGTCCCTCTCCCCAGGCTTTATGCCACCAGTTGAGGCTGCAGCTGCCTGATCTGTCTCCCTCTGGAATTTTCCTTATGACAGAAAAATAAATTCCTGTTTGGCTAAGCCACTGTTGTCAAGTATCTATTACATGCAGCCAAAAGCAATCCTAACTGAGCAGGGAGATGACTGGCTCCTCTCTTTCTGCTCTGCCACACACAGCATGTGGTTTTTGTCCTACTCTTCCCAAGGAGGTTTCGTATTTTATATTGCAAGTCCCTGTGTGCCAGGGGCCTCTTGATATTCTCATTCGAGGCAGGAAGGCAAGGGTAGAACAAAGAGCAGACACATCACTGAACGCCTTCGCTTTTTATTAGGGAACGTCTTTTCCAGAAGGCCCATCATGTGTTTCCATTTTTAGCCCATTTGCCAGCACTCGCAAGGGTTCTCTGGCTGCAAAGGGGTCTGGATAAGCGAATGTTTCTCACTGAATCCAGGAGAAAATCATGGGAGGGGTTGAGTGGACACTGGGTAAGGAACCAGCAGCACCTACCGGAACTGACTTTGGCCACACAGGACGATGATCGGCTGCTCCCTGGAGTGTGTAGGGGAACTCGGGACTTCTTGCCTGGAAGCCTCCTGCAGCTACAGGGGCTTCTGTAGGAGGGATCCTGCCTCTGGATCCCCCTGGGAGACATGGCATAGGTTTCCACCACTCCAGGACTTCCAAACCCATGAAATGCAAGGAGCGGAAGGAGGGTTCCTCTGTTTCCCTATCCCCACCCCTAGATTCTCCCTGGGAAGGAGGATGGGCAGGGCTGCTTCTCAGAGCAGGAAATCCTGTCATTTGTGACATGGATGAGCCTACAGGACATTTTATAAAGTGAAATAAGTCAGGCCCAGAAAGACAAATATCTCATGATCTCACATATATGTGGAATCTAAAACAATCGAATTCATAAAAGCACCGAGTAGAATGGTGGTTACCAGAGGCTAGGGGTGGGGGATTGAGGAGATATTGGTCGAAGGGTACAAAATTTCAGTTCGTCAGGAGGAATAAGTTCCAGAGATCTGTTGTACAACATGGTGACCATAGTAACAATGTATTGTGTTATTGAAAATCACTGAGATTTTAAGTGTTCTCACCACAAAAAATAAGTATGTGAGGAAATACAAATGTTAATTAGTTCAATGTTTTAAAATATACATGTAATTTCAAAAGATCAGGTTTTACATAATACAGCATATACCATTCTTGTCAATTAAAAATGAGTAAGTAATTTAAAAAAAAATAAGTGCAGGAAAAATGCAATAAAAGAAAGACACCGTCCTGTCCCAATTCTTCCTTTGGTAAAATTTGCCTGTTTAAATATGAGTATTTAGGCTAGGTGCAGTGGCTCATGCCTATAAGCTCAGCACTTTGGGAGGCTGAGGTGGGCAGATCACCTGAGGTCAGGAGTTTGAGACCAGCCTGGCCAACATGGTGAAACTTTGTCTCTACTAAAAATACAAAAACTAGCTGGGTGTGGTGGCATGGGCCTGTAATCCCAGCTACTCAGGAAGCTGAGGCAGGAGAATTGCATGAATCTGGGAGGCAGAGGTTGCAGTGAGCTGAGCCCGCACCACTGCATTCCAGCCTGGGTGGCAGAGTGAGACTCTGTCTCAAAAAAAATAAATAAATAAACAAATAAATATGAATATTTAAGGGATTTTATTTACTGAATTGATTTTTATTTATTTTATTTTATTTTTTAAGCTTCTATGGGTACATAGTAGGTGTATATATTTATGGGGTACATGAGATATTTTGATACAGGCATGCAATTTGTAACAATCACATCAGGGTAACTGGAGTATCCATCCCCTCCAGCATTTATCATTTCTTTGTGTTACAAACACTCCCATTTATACTTTTTTAGTTATTTTTAAATGTGCAATGAATTATTGTTGACTGTAGTCACCCTGCTGTGCTTAAGGTTTTTTTAAGTGAATTAATTTATAGACAAACTGTAGACAACAATAGTCCTGGTGATAGGTGGGATTGTGAGAAATTAGGACAGGGGCACACAAATTATTGAATTTCAACTCTGTTTTTCTCCTTTCAGCTATCATCCCTCCTGTTATATTTGCATCTTCTCTGCACACCTCCACCTGTGATGTCTTCCTAGGACTCTCCAATGTGTCTGGCCCTGACCAAGCTTTTTGCCCTAAGTGTGGCTTATCTGCGATGTCTTTCTCCCTAACATCCAGTTCCAACCCCTTTGCGGGGTCCAAGGGCTCCTGGAGGAGGAGATGACTTCTGGGGCACAGCAAACCAAGATGTGTGCTCCCCAGAGCTGACTTGGAAGCTGTCCGGCCCCTCTGCATTCACCCCAGCTGCCCATGTACACCAGGCAGCAGGAGGGACAGCCACTGCAGGCTGCCAGCCTGTCCTTTGCTGTCTGTGTCTGTGTCAAGAGTGAATGAAGTGATAAAACCAGGAGAGCAGTGTGCTGTGAAAAAGTTAAAGGTGAGTGCCAGCTGCAGGTGGAGAAGAGGCGGCTGCTTCTGGGGGAACTGGATCCAAGGGCTTAGCTACGGGCCCCAAGCCCCGTAAAACTCAAGCCTGCCTTTAATTATGAGAGGGGCCCCCGGGGTTGTTGGGATACCACTTACCTAATCTTGTTAGAACATAAAGCTGATTTCTTTTGAAGACTCCTGGCTCAATGCATCCACCAGCTCCCTTCTGGAGGTGCCCAGCGCCTGGCCTTGCTACCTAATACCACTCACCCTCTGCCATCTCCCAAGGTTCATAACTCAAATGGGGAAGCCACAGGCTAAGAGGGGCCTCAGGAGTGATGGGATGAAGTCAGAATTTTAGAGAAAGAAGCCTGGTAGCAGCGTGGGTTGGGGGAGTGTTGAAAGTTGGGACCAGCTGAGAAATGCGGTAGTTGTCCACAGTCAGAGTGAGGGTGGGAATGAGAGTGGTTGAAGACAGGGCCAGAAGTGGACCCCAGAGAAGGAATAGCACACAGTGACACAGAGACTGTGCATGGGGTATCCAGATGACACTGTCTGATAGGTGAGAGATGTCAGGGCCATAGATGGGGCGAGAGGGAAGGAGAGCTATAAGACCCTTGAGTAGCACTGGTGTTGTTACTATGACCAGGATCTATTATATACAGCCATGGCTTTGATTTGTCAGTGTTGAAAAGGGGACATTACTCTGAAAGTTTGTCCTTCGGACACGACAAACTTCTTATCTGAATTGGAGAAGAGAGTTGGCAACCAGCTCATCTGGTAGTCAGGCAGAGAGGGAAAATTAAACACAACATCAATCCTTTCAGGCAGAAATCCTGGGCGGGAGGAAGAGCAATGTTGGGAAAAAGGGGAGAGAGGAGAACTTTCCCAGAGGGCAAGAGGAGGGTGCTGCGCTGAGTGCAGGCGCTCAGGAACAAAGGCACTTGATGTGCCCCACAGAGCAACTGCACCAACCCCCAAGCCGGCTCTGGGTGATGAGTGGTTGGAGACAAGGTCAGAAGTGAATCCCCGAGAAAGAAAAGCACATAGGTGACACAGAGTGTGCTATTCCTGTCACTCCAGGAAAGGAAACATGAAGGGCTGCTTTGATCAGAGGCACCCATGTGGCGGGTTTGGGGATATTTTCCCCCCATCATGGAAAACCAAGTTGCAGATGAAATGGAATCTGCGCTGCAGTTGAGCCAGGTGTTGAGAGTGACTTCTCACTGAGCTGAGGGTCCATGCCCATGAGCACCATTGCCATGGATGTCCCTGACTGGGCTTCTGCACCCTGGGCCTTTTCCATGCTCCATCCTTTGGCTGCCTCTGCTTGGGCACTTGTCCCTTAGATCCATTCCCTGAAGATTCACTCAGTTTGGTCACAGTCCAGCCCTTCTGCCTCTTGCAGACAGCCTACTCTGATCACTCCAGCCTTTGCTAACCTCTGCTTTCTGAGAACTCCAACTGCACGCAGCAGTGAGGGGATCATGTGTTCCTGGGATCATGTGTCCCAGGACAGTAGGAATGTCAAACATCCTGCCTGTGCTGTCCTCACCTGCTTCTTCCAGGATGGGTCAGATGGTCCCTGTTACACAGACAAAATATGAGTCATCAGAAAGGCTAGTGTCCCTCTCCTTCTAGATGGTGCAGTCTGTCTGGGCAGCAAGCATGCTTTTCCTGCAGAGTAGGGGCTAGAAGCACAGGCTCCGGAGTCAGAGGGACCTGGGACCAGGCACCCAGACACACTGACCTCAAGTGCCGCATCTCCAGGATGGTGCTCTGAATCCCCAGCCCTGGTGTGATGACAGTTACATGTGAGAGTATGCTTAAACTGTTTCCTTGGCACAGTTCCTGGTGCTGATTCCCACCTCCATCATTCTACAGCCCTGGACAAGTCATCGTTTGTCTCAGCTGGATCATCCAGGCTGGTCTCTGGGCATGAAGGCCTAGTGAGGATTCAGTGAGGCCATGGGGCCATGGGAGGCCACTGCCTCGTGAACTGGCAGGGCCTTACTGTGATGGGCCCACAGAGTACTGTGGGTTCTGCTAGACCAGATGCTGGAGCTGTGGGCCTTTTGTTACCTCCCAGTTTGATTAAGTTTCATCTTACACAGTGAATTATGTGCATTTCCTCTTGGGCTCTGTGCTGGCTGGGATAACTGAGGGCCTGCTATGGAGATCCTGGAACCCTGACTTTCACAGCATCTGTGAGGTGGATGTACTCTAAAGCAGCGGTCCCCAACCTTTTTGGCACCAGGAACCAGTTTGGTGGAAGACCACTTTTCCACAGAGAGGGGGAAGGCATGGTTGTGGGATGAAACAGTTCCACTTCAAATCATCAGGCATTAGTTAGAGTCTCATAAGGAGCATGAAACCTAGATCCCTCACATGCACAGTTCACAACAGGGTTTGTGCTCCTATGAGAATTTCATGCCCCCCACTGATCTGACGGGAGGTGGAGCTCAGGTGGTAATGTTCTCTTGCCAGCTGCTCACCTCCTGCTGTGTGGCCTGGTTCCTAAAAGGCCACAAATCAGTACCAGTCCATGGCCTAGGGGTTGGGGACCCCTGCTATAAAGGCACCAAAAGCTGCTTGCAGGTAAGGAAGAGCATCAACCACACAGAAAGGCCTGAGGGGCTGCCTTTGAACTCTCTCTATGTATGGGTAAGGGCAAAGGCTAGCACATATTGTGGAATGAAGAAAGCAAGTTGCAGTGAGAGTTTCCTTTATGTAAAATTAGTTCTATCCATCCATGTCTACAGATGCACATGGACACAGGGGCAGGCCTGGAGCCACATTCACCAAGCCAGAAGGGATACGTGTAGTCAGTGCACCTTCCCAGAGTGCAGATATTCTCTGTCACCTGCATGTTCTTGCCATATCTGATTATGACCTGTAATACAGATATTTAAACAGACTCATATTTTTATTTTAAAAAAATCTACTCACTCTTGTCCCAAGCAAAAGTATCTGAAAAATCATGGCTTAGATGTTGTATTAGTCTATTTTCACACTGCTGTGAAGATACTACCTGAGACTGGGTAATTTATAAACAAAAGAGGTTTAATTGACTCACAGTTCCATATGGCTGGGGAGGCCTCAGGAAACTTACAGTCATGGCGGAAGGTGAAGGGAATTAGGTGCCTTCTTCGCATGGTGGCAGGAGAGAGAGAGCGTGCAGGGAAAGCTGCTATTTTTAAAACCATCAGATCTCGTAAGAACTCCCTCACTATCACAAGAACAGCACGGGGGAAACCATCCCCATCATCCAATTACCTCCCACCAGGTTCCTCCCTCAACATGTGGGGATTACAATTGGAGATTAGATTTGGGTGGGGACACAGAACCAAACCATATCAGATGTGGTAACTATATTTTTTCTAACATATATTACATAAAATATATTACATTAATTTGCTACTAAAATAAAAACAGTTAACCTGTGTGTCATCTAAAATCGTTTTTCATATAGTGCTTTTGTACAACTGGCAAAGTGATTAAACACTTCGCTTCAGAATCCAACTACCAAAATTTGAATTCCAGCCCTGCCATTTGCTACTGTCTATTACTCAATAAATTCTTACCCTCTCTAAACCTCATTTTCTTATCTTTACATAGGGATGATCATTGGTAACTACCTGATAAGATTATTCATAAGAAATAAAATAATCAATGAAGAATGACTAGTGTAGTTTCTGGCACAGAGTAACCACTCAAATAAATGAGACTGTTAAAAGTTGGTTATTAGGGACTTCTGCTTATAGTCATGGTGAGGTAACTGGTACTAGATTTGCCCTCCCACTATAAACAACAAGAAAACTGAATAAAATAAGAAACCACTATTTAAAGATGATGGAAAACAGAAAACACAGGACAATGATCCAAAGAGAAAGAGAACAAATGAGGTGAGCCCTAAAATTACCTCAGCTTTCAACCTGAAGGCATTCTTTAGAATGTAACATTGTATTTGACAATTTCACTGTACACAATTAGATCTCAATAAAACCAGCTAAAAAAGAGAGACATAAAAACCCCAAAATATTTAGAGATAAATTTAACATATATGAAACTGCAGAGGACCTAGAATATATTTTTGTTTATATTGTAAAAATATAAAAATGTATTTTAGAAAGAGCAAAGTTGGCAGACTATCCTAGCTATCAAGGAATATAGCAAATTTATAGCAGCAGTGCTCAATGGGGCCAATTTCCCCCCCAGGGAACATCTGGCAAAGTTGGGAGACATT
Source organism: Homo sapiens (assembly GCF_000001405.40). Classification (NCBI taxonomy): domain Eukaryota; kingdom Metazoa; phylum Chordata; class Mammalia; order Primates; family Hominidae; genus Homo; species Homo sapiens. The sequence continues at coordinate 135,817,163 of NC_000005.10, forward strand.
CTTTATTGTCATTACTCTGGAGGGAGGAGAGCAGTATGATATTGGCATCTAGTAGGTAGAGGCCAGAGATGCTGCTAAACATCCAACAGTGCACAGGACAATGGCCCGAAACAAAGAATTATCTGGCTTAAAGTATCAATAGTGCCAAGGCTGAGAAACTGTGATCCACAATAAGGCAGTGAGTAGAGATCAATGGAACAGAATAGACAATCCAGGTATGAATCCACATGTATATTACTGATTTTTGACAAATATGCCAGTGTATATCAATGAGGGAAAGAAAAGTCTTTTCAGCCAGTGAGGCACAATAGCTATCCAAATGGAAAATATAGATAAATCTTGCTCCCAAACTCAAATAGCATCAATGAACTCAAATGGAATCACAGGCCTAAATATAAAAGCTGAGGCTATAGAACTTGAAAAATAAGGTAGGAAGAAATGTTCACAATCTTATGGTAGGCAAAGATTTCTTAGATAGCATACAAAAAACACAAAAAATAATAGATTCCATCAAAATTTAAAATTTCCATTTCCTAGAAAGACTTTGTTAATAAAATAAAAAGTCAAGGCACAACCTGGGAGAAAACATTCACAATACCTATTTCTGACAAAGAACTTGTATCCAGCATACACAAAAAGCTCTTACAACTCAACAGTAAGACAAACAATCTTACAAGAAGTGGGCAAAATGAAGGTCATAGCATGATAGCCTAAGCTCACTATGGCCCATTTTCCCACTTACTATACCAAAAACTCTATACAAAACGCAAAAACTAGCTACCCGAGAACTCTAAAAAGTAAACAAAAACATTGTGGAGGAGAGGCAAGATTACTTGGACTTAAGACAGTGATCCATGCAGGGGAGAGTTTCCCAGGTTTGTTCTCTCTGTTCCTCTCTCTCTCTCTCTCTCTCTCTCTCTCTCTCTCTCTCTCTCTCTCTCTCTCTCTCTCTCTCTCCCTCTGTTTCTGTTTCTTTCTCTCTCAGCTTTGCCCAGAAGGCACATTCTAATTACACAACAGCAATGCAGTGGTGGCAAAAGGATGGCTACTCTAGAAGAAATCCAGTATTTCTGGTCAAATGAACCAGGACAGAGACCCTGGAAGGAAACAAAGCATGAGGACATCCAGGAGGGAAGGTAGCCAGAAAAGCAGTCCTCTAATTCTGTGAATAAATGCCTACAAGTCTCAGCCTAACTCCTGAGTTATGCATGAGTGGGATAGATCTAAACCAGAATAGAAAAGCCTTCAGAAAGAACCCAACTAAGATTTAAACCATGTGCACACATCTTTTTATCCTAATTGCTAAATAATGCATCCAAAAAACAGACCCAAATGAATACAGCAAATGCTTAGAGAACTGAAATTTGCACCACTGTAGACGAAAGACAAGACAGAACTTGCAGCTCAAACCTAACTAAATTGATTTCCTGATAAAGCTAAAACATCAGCTCTCTACAGAGGATTATGTACCTGACCCAAAGTCTACACAAAATGATATTCAAAATGTCTAGGACAATCTAAAATTACCCAGCATACAAATGACCAGAAAAATGTGAACAATTCTCAAGGGAAAAGACAACTAATGTCAACCCCAAGGTGGGCCATGTGTTGGAATTATCATCAAAGACTTCAAAATGCTATTACAACTACGTTCTGTGAGGTTAAGAAAAACACATTTGGCACGAATAAAAAGAAGTTCTCAATAGAGAAATAGCAACTATAAAAAAAAACCAAATGAAAATGTTAGAACTGAAAAATACGAAATGTGAAAAAAAATTTTCACTGAATGATTTCAGTAGCAGAATGGTGATGTCAAGAGGAAAGAGTCTGTGAGCTTAAAGATAGATCCATATGATTTACACAATCTGAAGGACACAGAGAAAAGGTTAAGAAACAAATGAGCAGAGCCTCAGGGATCCATGGAAAAACATTAAAAAAAAAAATCTAACATACATGACATTGGAGTCCCAGAAGGCGAGAAGAAATAGGCTAAAAAAAAAAATTTGACAAAATAAAGATCTAAAGCTTCCTAAATGTGGTGAAAAATGTAAATCAATGTACTTAAGAGGCTCTGTAAACCCCAGAAAGGATAAGGTCAATGAAAACCATGCCTAGACACATTATAAAGTGCTAAAAACCTTATCTGTTACCACTTACAAAGCTTAAAGAAAAACATCTTCAAAACAGCTAGAGAAGAATGGCACACTACATACAGTAGAATAACAACAGGGATATATCCATGCAGTGGAATAGTGCTCAACAAAACAGGAACAAACTATTGATTCGTGCAACAGCATAGATTAATCTCAATAGCATTATGCTAAGAGAAATCATACAAAAGCATACACTTTAGATTCCATTTATATAAAATTCTAGAAAATGTAAAATAATCTGGAGTGACAGCAGATCAATGGTTGTCTGTGGATGGGAATGGAGGGAAAATGGATTATAAAACTGAATGAGAAAATTTTGGGGGTTGATATAAATATTTGTTATCCTGACCATGGTGATAGTTTCTGAGGTGTGTACATATGTGAAAATTGATCAAATTGTACACTTTATGTAGCTAATTGTACTTTAATTATAACAATAAAGTTATTAAAATGGGAAAAGATGTAAACCCTTAAATGAAAATATACAAATTGGCAGTATGCACATAAAAGAAATGCTCAACATCATTAGTCATCAAGAAAATGCAAATTAAAACCAGCGTGGTATCTATACACCCACGAGAATGGCAGAAGTTAAAAAGTGGTGGTAAGAATGTGAAGAAACTGGAACTTTTACACATTACTGTTGGGAATGTAAAATGAATGGATCATTTTATATTCCATAAAATGGAAACAGTTTGGCAGTTTCTTATTTAGTTAAACATACACTTACCATGTGATCAAACTACTCAAATCCTAGCTATTTACCTAAGAGAATGAAAACTATACCCACTCAAAGACTTGTACCTAACCATTTCTAGCAGCACTATTCACAATGGAAACAACTAGACTGTATACACAGAAGGCTAGATAAGCAAATTGTGTTACGCCACATAACAGTATACTACTCCTCAATAAAAAGGAGCAAACTGTACCACAAAAAGGATGAATCTTAAAAACATAGTGCTGAATATTAGATGCTCACTAGGCACAAAAGAACATGCACTGTGTGATTCCGTGTATTCTAGAATAGGTAAAATGAATCTATAGTATCAAAAAGCACATCAGTGGTTGCTTGGAGTTGGGAAGCAAGAGAGCAGATTACCTGAAAAGAGGCATTTCTATATATTAATTCAGAGGTTGTTATTTGGTGTATAAATTCATGAACAGCACACTTTACGGTGTATATAAATTAGACCTCAATGAAGTTGAATTTTTAAGAGGTGATGACATAACATGAATTAAATTTATATAAAACTAAAGAGATCAAAATAATATGGTATTGGTACAAAGAGAGACAAAGAGATGGATAAAAAAAATCATAAAAATGGACAAGTTTGCAATAGCTAAGAATTTAGAATGTGTCTATTTTGGTATTTCAAATCAGGTTAGGGACAAATAATTTATTCTTAAGTGACGTTGAGTCGAGTGACTATTCAAAATATAAAATAAGAGGCTTATCTATTACCATTTACAACAACTAAATTTGACATAGATTAAAGAGTTAAGTCTATACAAAAGAAAATGGCCCAGCAGTAGATGGGGACCAGGGTCTGAGGGCACAGAGTAGAGAGATGTGGTAGCCATGCCTGAGCCTGGAGAACCCGGCTGGGTCACTCCTGACTTGGACACCAGCCCTGGGGAAGTGTGAGGTCCTGGAGATGTCTCAGCCTCGTGACCATCAATGGCATTCCAAGGCTTTCTTGCCTCAAGCCCTAAGGCTAGAAACTAACTAGAGCCCCCTTTTCAGGCTGGTTCACCTTCCTGTCCCGGCACTGAGGCTCAACTCTCCAATCTGCAAAATGGCATGACAGTGGTGCACTTTCTTACTTGAAGATTTGTGGAGAGGACTACATGACACACCACATGGGAACTTCCCTGGGCAGTAGTTAACACTTAGGAGCACCAGGCCTGGGAGAGGAGCTGGGGACGGTGGCTCTGTGGGACAAAGCAGATGTCCTACATCATCAGCCCTCCCATGACTGCTCCACTTGTCTTGTGTCCTGCCAGCAAGTGACTGGAGAGGAGCCACAGAGGAGAGGCAGCTGAAAGCGAGTGACAAGGGCAGAGACTGGTGTCTCAGCCCCACCCTGAGCGGACTGAGGCACCCCAGAGAGCAGCGGCCCATGCAGCTCACTCCAGTTCCCTGGACTTGGGGGAACAGATCCTTGGGGCCCTTCCTGACCATCTACTGGAGGTGCTGAGTCACTCTCACAGTCTCTGGGCAGAAGTCCCAGGTGAGCTCACTGGCCCCCAGTCATGAAGAACTGATCAGATTCCAGAAGATGTTTGCATTCTCTTTGTTTCCCCTGAGTCTCCTGGGGAGATGTGGATTAAGCTGAATTAAGAGACAGGTGATGATCACAGGTGTTGGGTGCTTGGGTGGAGTCTCCATGGTAACAGAGCCATCTGGCTTTCTTGCCTGGCACCAGACCTTATGACTTCATGATGGAATCTTCTCTCAGCAGGCAGAGGGGGATTTGCCAGGGTAAAGAGGAGGCTGGGAGGAAGAGGCCTGCCGAGGGAGGCTTTGTCTTTTCAGCCAGAGTTTGACAATTAGGCTTCATCATGTCACGATGCGGTGCTACTGCTGACCCCAAAACACAACGCCGGAAGTGGTGCTCACTAGAGACTGTGAGTGGCATTGTGCACCTGCCATCTTGCTGAGGCCTCCCAGGGGAGCTCAGAGGACACCTGGCCTCCTTCAATCCAGGACTCACTGTTGAAGTGGAGCCGGGGCCCTCGCAGGAAAGAATGAGCTGTGGGAGGGCCACTGGTCCACCACAGGGAGTCTGTGCTGTCCAGTGCCCACTGGATGGCAGGAAGGGTAGGGCCTTAGGTAAGCCCCCCCAACAGAGTGAACCTTGGCCATGGCAATGGGCCTCTCTCCCCAAGCTGCTCACAGGGTGGTGCTGGGAGAGCCCTCAAGCCTGTGCCAAATCCCTTTATCCCCACAAATGAGCCATCCAGCAAACCCACATGAGTTAGTGTCCTAGGGCTGCCAGAACAAATTAACACAAACTTAGTAGCTTAAAACAACACACATTTATTCTTTCACAGTTCTGAAGGCCAAAATTTCAAACTCAAGGTGTCGGCAGAGTTGTTTTCTTCTTGGGGTCTCAGCAGGGAATCTGTTCCTTCATGCCTCCCTCCTAGCTTCCTGTGATGATGCAATTCTTGATGTGCCTTGGTTTGTGGCAGCATCATTCCAATAGCTTCCTCCATCATCACATGACATTCTACCTGTGTGTCTGTGTCCAAATTTCCCTCATCTTATAGGGACAAGCCATTGGATTTAGGGCCCACCCTGACCCGGTGTGACCTCATCTTAACTTGATTGCATCTGCAAAGATCCCATTTCCAAATAAGGTCATATCCACAAGTGCCAGGGCTTAAGACTTGAACATGTCCTATGGGGGACACACAACAACATATAATTCACAGCGAACAGAGCACAGGCTTCAGAGTGGGTCAGACCTGGGTGCTGCCATTTAGCCTGTCCCTTCTGCTTGGCACAGTGAGGTTGGAAAGGCAAGTCTATCCTGGTGGGCTTCCTAAGGATTACCTGAGAGAGAGGACCACAGAGCTCTGCAGAGTGTCTGGGAGTGGTAGAAACTCAGCAAAGATGGCCCTGAGCTGGGTCTCTGGGACTTGGAGGAGGGGGCCTGGTTCCTGCTCACCAGAAGCTGGCAGTCTATGGGCCAGTAGGCACTTACCAAGGAGTCTGGCTTAGGACAGGGACCTCAGTGGTCAGGCTGCCTGCAGGGAGTTGGGGGAGAGCATGGACCACAGGAGCATGTGTCAGGGGCGGGGACTCAAGGCCCAGGGGCTAGGGTGGGAGTCGGGAAGGCCAGGGTGGGATTCACGAAGGCTGGGGGCTAAGCCACCATAAGTTCTTCCATGGGTCAGGAGTCCACAAGTGGAACAGCCTGGGGGCTTGCTCAGGATCAAAGGGGCCCCCTGCCATGTTCCTGATGGGCTCTGGGTCTGGCATAGTCAATGTGGGAATGAGCTGGCTTTTCACTACCTGGCACTCTGGGCCACGTGTCCCCTCTGGGCCTGGGAAGTAATTCCTCATTCCGCTTCTCCACCCTCTCCCCAAGACGTGACTTCTCCCTCCTATCACCATGGAGTCTGATAAAGACTTCGTTCCTGGCCAAGGTGTTCTCTTTTTGTCTGCCTCTTTCCTTCCCTCCCACCCTTCTTTCCTTTCTTCCAATACTTGGTGTCTACCATATGCCAGGGTTTTTCTAGGCCTTCGGGACACAGAAGTGATCTAGACAGATGGGCCTTGCCTTGGTGGAATTTGTAACTAACAGGATGAGAGATATTAATCAAGAAACCACACAGTCAAATATTTCACAGCAGAGGAACGGGTGCTCTGAATGAGGGGTATGAGGGTGGTGGCAGTCATGAAGAAGGTGATGCCACTAAGCCAGGGACATTAGGGAAGTGACCTTAACCAAGCGCTGAGGAAGTCACCACCTAGGAGAAAGGAGAAGGAAGAGACTCTGGGCAGAAGCATTAGCCCATGCAGAGCCCCTGTGGCAGGAGGATGCTTGGCAAGTGAGATGGATCAAGAGAAGGCCTGTGTGGCTGGACTGGACAGAGTGAAGGGAATATGAGTTGGACTGAGAGCCAGCAGACTAGTTGAAAAAGTGTCAGTTGAGTTCCTATTGTGAACGAGAGGCACCAGACAGATAAGACAGATAAGACCACCCCACACATGAAGCAGGCAGACCACACAGCCCAGGAAGAGCATGCCAGTGATGAAATGATCTGGAGTCACCCTGCAGGGAGGCTGGGGCTGGGAAGGCTCTTCTGAGCTGAGAGTCCAGGAGCAGATCTTGGCACAGGCTCTAAGGGAAGGACAAGTTTGGTGTGACTTAGGAATGGCAAGAAGCCCTGAGTGCTTGAGCAATCTAGCCATGGTTGAGGCCCATTGCTGGCTTTTCACAGAGGAGAACCACAGTCAGGTTTGGGCTTTGTAAGACCCCTCTGGACTCCAATGTAGGCAGGGACTGGGGACAGAGCTGGTGTGGTTAGGAATTCAGGATGCAGTAACAGATGGAACGTCCTTCTTTTCTCAGATGTGTCAGAACTGTGACGCTGAATCCGGAGCCCCAACCTCTCCTAGCCTCCTAGAGGAGGATGACCCAGGACCCTTGTCCTCCCAACAGCAGGCCACCAGTTCAAGGGACAAGAAGCCCCTAAGCTCCCTCCACCTTTCACATAGGGCCCAGGTGGCCTTGGAGTACCTGCCTTTCTTCTGCACCTATGGGTGCCTCCTGGAAGAGGAGGGGTTGGTCCTGCAGCCCAAGACACCGCTCCAGGAGGACTCAGAACTGCTCAGTGGGTTCTTCCCTTACTACCGCTCTGAGGAGGAGAGTTTGCCCAGCCTGGCCCTTCCTGGCTGGTCACACAGGGGCTCCCAAGATCTGCCCACTGAGAAGGAGGCACGGGCTGGCTGCTTCTGCAGGACAACAGTCAGGGACGAATGCTCTGTGAGTTGAGGAGGCCATAGAGGGTGGGGGGAGCAGCACTAGGCCCCCGCATCCTTCAAACCTCTCTGTCCTGGGGCCCAGACTCTAACAGGCCCCTGGACAGGCCCCTCTCAGGGCTGCTGCGGCCCTTGGAGCAAGGTGTCACTGGTTGGGAGCACAGACACTGCAGGAAGACTGTCCTGTTCAAGCCCAGCTTGACCACCTGCTAGGAGAGCGGCCTGGGGAACGTGGTTTCCTTATAAAAGAGAGAACAGCAGCAGCAACAATAAAGCCATTGTGAGAATTACATACAACCACGTACCTAAAGTGCTCAGCAGGATGGTGAGCTCACAGAAACATTTATTTGGTCCTTATGACTTGCTAGGCTCTCAGACAAATGTTTCATTAGCATCATCTCATTTAATCCTAATAGTAATCCTATAAAACAAGCCGTACTATTATTCCCATTTTATGAATGAGAAAACGAGTCTCAGAGAAGTTAAGTGACTTGGCCAAGGGCACATAGCTAGCAAGTAGCAAACCTGGGATTTGACCCGAAGCTTGTGGTCTATAACATTCCTAATCACCACCATGCAGCTGGGCACTGTGGCCCATGACTGCAGAGACAGAGGAGGCAAGGCCGGTGGGTTTTAATCCCAGACACACCCCTCCCAGCAGGGTGCCCTTGGATGGGTGAGTGACATTGCTGAGTGCTTCCTGGGCTGTAGAGCAGACATGGGCCTGTCCTTTTCTGGGACTGCCACTGTGGTGTTGCAGGCACAGGCTGGTCCCGGGTATCTGGGCCTGAACCTGGGAGGGGGGCTTGCATCGGGCTGACCTTCCTGTTCCTTCATACCCAGGCTGCCTCGGCACACTAGGACCTCATCTCTGGGTCCCCACACTCACTGGCCTGCTGCCCCGTCCTGCAGGTCTCGGCAGAGTTCCCCCGTGACAGTGACCGGGATGCCCCTCTCTCCAGGGACCATGGTCTTTATGCCTCAGGATTTGTGCATTACTACAGAACCCCTGAGGAGGGGTTACACACTAGCCCTGGGCCTCCTGCCTTTCCATCTGGGAGCCAGGGGCCCTCAGGGGCTGCCCAGGGCTGGTGCAGTCACACCACGGGGAAGCCGGAGCTGACTGCAACAGAAACCACTGGAGAGCAGGCCCCCAGCACCCACTGACTGTCGAGGGATGAAGGTGATTGCGGGGAGGCTCCCAGAGGTCAGTCAGTTTGCCCTGGGACCAGAGCTGGCCTGGGACCCTGGCACTCAGGCCTGTATTCTCTCTGTCTCAGTGCCCATGACCATGGATGAGGGGCATCCTACCCCCCTTACCCAGCAGAGCCAGCAGGAAGAACCCAACCCTTGGCAGATTCTCCCAGCCCCTCTCAGCCCACCAGGCTGCTCCCTGCCAGCATGAGGTGTCCCACTCCGCAGGCCTAGGGTTTGCCTTTCTCCTCAAGCAGCAGAGGGGAGAAACTCAGCCTGTGCCCCATGTTCAGCCACTCCACCCCCAGGAAGAGACCCATCCCGCCCCACGCTGCCACCTTCCTGTTCTCCTAGCTGGAAAAACTGCCACATGAGAATTGAACAGCCACACCAAAAGTGGCTTTGGAGAGAAGTGTCCATCTTGTCCAGCACTCTGACCTCAGACCATTCCTTTTGTAGCCTGACCCAAGCTCAGACAGAGGAAGCAGGAGCCACCTGAACAACTGAAGGGTGCAGACACCCAGAAGCTGGTTTTGTAAATAAATCGTGCACCTTGGCGCTGGTGCACTAATTGGATGCTTTGGAGTAATACTTGCAGCTTCCATTTATTAAGCATTTACTTTGTACTAGGCACTTTACAGAGATCATCTCCATAATCATGGGTTGTAGACACTGGTGTCATCTCCATTCTACAGCTGAGTAAACAGGCTAAGAGATGTTACATAGGGTGCCCGAGCTCACACAGCTAGCAGACAGCCGGGAACTGTGGAGCTGGGATTCACACCAGCTCTGTCTGACCTCGGGCCAAGTACTTAAGCACCTCCTCACTACATTCTTCCTCAGTGGGTCTATGCATAGCAAGAAATGAGCCACGTGCTCCCCTAGACCCATCTTGCTCTCTCTTTTTCCTCATTGCCTCTGCACCTTTCCTTCCCCTGCCCCTGCCCTTGGGTAGAGCAGGTAAGGATGGTGACTCTGCATGTGTCTGCTAGGCCCTACCTCCTTGGACCTTGTGGACCTGTTTTCTGGTGCTCCAGCCCAACTTCCAACCCCAGGCTCACCTGGTGAGTGGCTGAATCACACTGGGATTTTGAGAGTATATGCTCATCCCACCTACCCCGGGACCAGACACTTAGATGCTGATTCCTGTTTGAAAATCCTTTAGTGCCAGCCACACTGGCATGTCCCAAGTTCACAGCCTCTCTGTCCCGTGGCGCTGGTTTTGTGTCTCCTCCCCGGGTGTAGGTTCTTTGTTTGCTTTGACACTCACACACCTCTGACCACTGGATCCCTGCTCCTCCACCCGATGGCTGCTTGTCTGGAATGCCCTCACCTGCTCACATGCTTCCTGAGGATGAGGACTTTAAGAAAGAGAGAGAAATCAATCGGTCACACTAGAGTTACATCAAAGAAATTCTTTTTAGAAAATCTATTTTTTACTATTTCCAAGGCACTCCTATGACTTCCCATTGGGTTTGGGGATTTGGGATTTGGAGTATGATGGGAGTATGAAGAAATAAAGGTACCCTTGCCAGGAAAACTCGTCTTTGTTCTTGGGGTGAGGCAATAGGACTGTTCCCTTTATTTTCCATAAGGCTGGAAAACTCTTCCCGACTCCCCTTGCATTCTCCCAACTGGTGCTGCTCAGGAGGTTCCCTCTGCCTCTGTGCCCTTCTCCACTGCTCACAACTTAGCTTGTCATTTTAGTTTGGGGCCTCATCGAGGAGCTGGCATCTGTGGGCCCTCACTGCCCCCAAAGGAACAGACAGGTTGGGAGGTATCCAACCCTCTGCCTCTGTGCCCTTCTCCACTGCTCACAACTTAGCTTGTCATTTTAGTTTGGGGCCTCATCGAGGAGCTGGCATCTGTGGGCCCTCACTGCCCCCAAAGGAACAGACAGGTTGGGAGGTATCTATGTCTATGGTACAAACTGGGGCCACTCTCTCCTTGTGCAGCCCAAGCAGGGTCCGAGCCATGTCCCCTCCTCTCTTCCCATGTGTGTGCCATCCAGAACCCAAGGAGGGCCGAGAGCCCTGCAGTAGCCTGTCAGCAACCCCTTGGCGAGCTGGAGGTACCTCCCCTGCTCATGGGGATGAAGAGACCCGCCAGAGGTTTCCCATGCTGCAGAGCTCTCTAAGGGAGTAGTTTGCAGGAAAGATTTGGTGCAAAAGAGATCCCAGATAAGGGGCTGGCTCAGCTGGAAGGGCAGTTTGCTTCTGGCCCACCTGCCGGCCTTGGCTGGGAGCTGTCCATGTGCTAACACAGACGTGAACACTCAGGACACACAGGTCATAACGATGGAGAGATTTGACTTGCTGGGTGTGTTACTGCGTGCCAGTCATGGTGCAGAGTACTTGACATGCATTGACTCACTGAGTGTGTTAAGTGCAGCTTGAGTGAGGTACAGTTATCACCCCCATCTTACAGAGGAGGATGTCCAGGTGCAGTGGATTAAATGACCCAGTGAGCTCCTGCTGGGGGAGGCTGAACTGCCTGCTCTCAGGTGCTGAGGAGGATCATAGCCCTTCTGAGGAGCTGGACAGGCACAGGCCTCAACTTCCCAAGGGCAAGCCCACCAGTTCCCTGCAGAGAAAAATGCTGGTTGCAAGGAGCCTGAGCCAGCCTCAGCATGGGCTATGGAGGTTCATCCAGGTGAGATACAGCTAGCCCCAGAGATGGGCCTTTCATCCACTCGCAGAGCAGCAGCAGGACTGAGGACTGCCTCTAGCCTGTAGACGCCACTGCCCACAGAATCATGGCCTAGCCCCTTTCCTTGGCATTCAGGGTCCTCAGGAGCCAAACTCCAAGCCTTCCAGCTGCCCCTCCTACAGCCATGGGGGCTTTGGGTGAGCAAAACTCTTCCCGACTCCCCTTGCATTCTCCCACCTGGCACTACTCAGGCAGTTCCCTCTGCCTCTGCACACTTCTCCACTGCTCACAACTTAGCTTGTCTTTTTAGTTCCAGCTCAAATGCTGCTCCTTCCCGAGACTTCTGGGTTCTGCCCTCCAAATTTCCTATGGTCCTGGCCTCTATTTGAGGTCAGGCCTGATGTGAGATTTATGGGTCTCCCCCAGCCCAGCAGCTGATGTTTGATGACTGCATGATAGAGGAGAATGCCACATGGCAGAAGATGGAGTAGGCTGTCCCCAAACACTGGCTCTTCTGTCACTGTCAGCACTCAAACTCCTCTGAGTCCCAGGGAGTTTAGCATATAGCAGGTGCTCAGCCAGGCTTTCAGATGGGACCTTGACAGCAGCACGCAGCAGGGTCTCCTCCTACACTCCTACAGAAACCCCTTGATTCCAAACCTCTCCAACCTGGGCTGCCTGGTCCACTGACCTGCCTGGCCTTCAGTCAGGCGGACAGCAGCATTTCCTATTCTCAGATGTCCGCAGAGCCAGCCTCAACCCGCAGGTTGACTCTGATGGAAAGAAGCACATATGATTTTCAAGCTGATATCGCCGCGGCCCAGAATTTCAGACTTCTGTGGACCCACAGGACCTTGTCAGGAAAGAAAGGATAGAGGGCAGCCCAGGGCACTGGGATGGTATTGGGGAAGGGATGTTTTCCCCCTGATTAAACTGTTGCAGGAGTCCTATGAATATGGCACAGTTGGACAGTGTTAGTACCATCACACTGATAGTGGAGAAACTGAGGCAGAAAAGTTAGGGCATTTATGCAGAGGGGTGGGGGTGGGGGCAAGGGTCTTTGGGAAAGTCACTTCTACTTCCCGAGTCTTGGCTAGGAGGCAGCACTTTTTTTAATAGCATGGACCCTGGAGTCAAACAGCAGGTGTGACTTCATCATCCTCCACTGACTGCTGTGTGGCTTTAGAGAAACTGCTTGACCTCTCTGGACCTCATTCTTCTCACCTACCCAAGGAGAACTTGCGTCAGAGAATTCAACAAGATGGTGTAAACGGAGCATGCAGCACTGGGCCAGCTCGGAGCCCTGAGGTGGAAGAAAGCCTGGGACATTCAAGGCTTCGATAGATCTACACAGGTACAGAGATTGGGGTGTCGCCTCCCATCCAAGCACACAGTACTCAAACACCTTAGATGGGTTCTCATCAAGCTTCTCCGAGGTTTGCTCTGGCACCTCAGACTCCCCTCTGAGCCTCCTGGGCCAGCATCTCCTCCACGGCCCACACATATACTGAGTGTGGCTGTCTGCCAGCCAGTGCCAGGCAAACCGGGCCAGGAAACTATCCAGAATGAGCAGCCACGCTTGTCTTTTCCGCCCGAGAGCCTCAAGCGCTGCGCAGCAGCGCCCTCTCCTGGCGCATCTTGATGAGACCTCCGCAGCTGATATCCCCGTGGCCAAGAATTTCAGACTTCTGCAGACACCACCTAAGAGGAGATCGTCCTTACCTTCCAAAAAATAGAGGAAGAATTAAGGCCTGGACTTTCCCAAGATGCCCAGAGAGGCAGCAGCAGCACTAGGACCAGAGCCCAGGCAGCCCAGCTTTCCCGCCAGCTGCTTCACCCCCTCACTTCACAGCCACTTACCTCTGCTTCTTGACTGCCAGCCTCAAGCTGAACAGGTGATGGGCCAGATTCAGTCTGCACATGCTCTGCACATACTTTCCCAAAGTGCCATCAACAAAGGAAGAAATCCTGCTCCCAATGAGAAGCTCGAAAATCGTGTGCTCCTTTTCCTTCCCATCAGAGTCAAGGAGGGAGCTCAGAGCTCCCGTTGTCTGAGGCCAGTGCAGGAATGATGCAGCTGGGGCAAACACTCAAAGAAGAAAGACAGCACAAGCCCGTGGTCCGGTTTCATTAATCCTTTGAACTCGGTCCTGAGTAATTGCTGTCTGCCTGCTCTGTGGCAGAGCCCGAAAATGTCACGGTGGCAGATAGGTCAGACGGGTCCTATCTATCTTCCTGGAGCAACCAAGCATTGCACAAGGACTGAGCGGCATGGTGAGAGTTGGAAAAAGAAGCAGGGGTGCCTTGAGAGAGGGCAACCAGGTCGTGACCTCCTGTGAGGGGCCTGGGGAGGCCTCCTCATGCAGAAGATGCTTTGGTATAGATCTGAAGGAGGTAGGAGTCGGCTATGAGGAGGGCAGGGAGAGGGAGCTGCAGGTGGAGGGAGTGATCAGTGCAAAAGCTCTGTGGGGGAAATGTGGCTGGTACCTTTGAGGGCCTGAAAGAAGCCGGGCTTCTGTGATGCTCCAGGAAAGGCCAGGGGGAGTCCTCACACCTGGGAATGATGTGACCACCTCTTCAGCTCTGTCTTGTATCCAGACACCCTCCTTGTCTGCCAGCCACCAGCAGGACCTTCAGACTTTTCCCCATGTCTCCTCATTTAAGGCCCAGCGGACTAAGCAGTGACTGACTGCCCATCAGGCCTGCGCCAGGCTCTGCAGGTCCAGTGCAGAATGAGGCAGTACCCTCTTCTCAGTGGGCTCACAGTCTGGATGGGAAGACAATCAACCACTGAGTCTGACAGCAGAGATACAGATATGCTCAGAATATTCAGGAAACACAGATGAGATCTAGAAGATACCATGTGGCATAGGGTGATGAGGAAGGCCTTCAAGAAAGGCCTGTCAGGAGGTGACAGCTGAACTGAGTCTTAAAGAAGAAGGGGGCAGGGATTAGCCAGGGGAGGAGGGAGAGGGTGTTCCCCACAAGGGAATAGCATGTGCGCAGTCACACACATGCACAGAATGTGAGACATTGAGGTGCAAAGTGGAAAAGCAGCCAGACCCAGTCCTACTGAGCTACACACAACACACTGGGGAATTGGAATTTATGCTCAAGATCACAGAAAGTCATCAAAGTTCACTAAACTGAGCAGATTCAAAGTTTCAGAAGCTCACTGGGGCAGTAGGACAGGGGCAGAGGGACCCAGGAACCCGTGTCCACTGTGATCCAGGCAGGGCAGTGGCACAGGGCTGGGCTGAGCCACATTCGGAGACAGCAATGAGGGCTGGGTGTCATTGAGGGGATGGACACTCAGGACTTTGCGGCTGGTGGGATAAGACCTTGGGAGAGAGAAATGGAGGATGGCATCCAAGGTTCTGTTTTGGGTGGCCACTGGGTGGAGGTGTGTTTCTCTAAGTTGAAGAGGCACTGGCGGAGGAAGAGAGAGTTCATCGAGGGATGCGCTAAGATGACCCGAGCCACCCAGGTGGAGGTGTTGAGTAGAGGGATGTCTGGACTCTGAAGCAAGGTGTGGGGGTTATACGCTGAGAGATGGGAGGTACGGGTGGGTGAGGGTCCAGATGGGGCCCTGAGGAATTCACACCTAAGCATGAGAAGGGGCCATGGCACCAGGGAAGAAGATGAGAAGAGCTGGAGAAGCAGGAGGAAAGCTGGGTGAGGGCAGGAATCTGGAAGCAGAGGGGAGCAGGCGGCATGGGCAGCGCCTTCACTGCAGCAGGTCAGGCATGGACAGCTGACCCAGGCCTTTGCTGCCCGAGTGTGGCAGGTGGACATGGGGAGGGGATTGTTGGCTTGCCTGAGAGAGTGGTTGGGGAGGTGGGAGCTGTGGGGCTGTGTAGACTAAAGGTGCAGCCAGGAGACTCCAAGTTTGGAGAGCCTTCCCTGATTGCTTCCTGTAGAACGATGGACTCCCTCTCCAGTGCTCTTACAGCCACCTCTGTGTAGCATCTCAGATGGATTGTCTCCTCTCAAACAGAGACTTTCCCCAAAGCAAGGCACTAGCACAGACTGATGCTCAGGAAATTGCTGTGGCCTGAAAGGGTAAATAAGAAATGGGGAGTGGGCCACTAGTTAACAAATGCTATCAGCATAGCCCATCTGCATGTCCTGCTACTGAGGAAAGTGCTCTGAGAGGTCATCATTGGGGAAGGAACTGAGGGAGAAAGAAAATGGGGTTGCTTTCTGGCCCTAGTCATGCAGGGAGTGGATCTCTGTGGAGTTTCTTTCTCTCTGTAATGGCCAGTAGCTGCCCTGCCCTCTCCCGAGTGTAGAATGCAAATGTGAATGGCAGCACACTGCAAATGGTGCTCTGAAGTGCGAAGGCCAGGAAGAAGGGATGGCCTGGATCCTGGCCACAGAGCCAGCATTCTGCCTGGGCTCATAGCCCTGTGGTCTGGGATTCTCCAGGCCTGGCCATGGTTGCTGGTAAACCTAGGGTCCTCCCCTCACTTCCCTGGGTGATGCGCCCCATGGGCAGGTTTGTGGCATGCATATGGGAATGGAGCACAGTAATTCATTTTGGAAAGCAACCCACTCCTGCTCTGCTCCAGCTCGTTAGTAGTTCAAGCAGCAGCTTTCTGGGCCTGGGAGGCCATCCTGGGCTGCCAGGGACACTGCCTGCCAACGTAAGACCTCCTCAATTGGTGCTGACACAGGACTGAGGGGATGACAAACTGCCTGGCACCCCTTAGGTGGTCTTCCAGAGGAGTGGGTTTTGAGAATTGTCAGGCTTTCCACTTGTGGATGCATTCCAATGGTGAACTCAGTAAAAGGCCACTCTTCAGAGACCTGCATTTCTCATAGCAGCCCTAGGCATATATCCCGGGCATGACAGGGCACAGCTTGGGGTTGATGCTGATGGCAACTCTGAAGCCTCAAGACTGAGTGGGTCACCATAAGCAGCAGGAAGTTGAGGTGCCGGGATGGGGTGTGATGCTTCCACTCCTCCCTGGAACTTTGCAATACTTCCCTAGCCAGGCCGGCGACTCCATCCCGGGCTGTCCTCTCCCGATACAGGTCCACTCTCTGTGTGCCGGGGCAGGGGAGGGAGTGATGCTGCAGGAAGGTCCCTTCACCTCCAAGTCCCCACTCCTCAGTGGACAGGCCTTTGTAGGATCAAGCTTCGGTGGTCAGGCTCTGTCTTGCTTTGGAAGAAGGAGGTCTGGCTGGCTGTCGCTTCATATTAACCTGGATGACGTGACATGAATATGCCCAGTGGGACAAGAGCAGGCCCAGCAGAGGCCCCTTCCTCCTGACCATACCCTTCACCATTCTTGTCAACCTTGGGGTGTCTTGGCTGAGACCCACAGCTGAGTCCCTGCTGGAAACTAGCAGAACGCTGGGGGGCTTCGAGTCTTCTTAGGAAGGGAGGAAAGACACTCTCATTGTAATCAAAAGCCTCTCCGCACAGCAGGCCACTTCTCCAGTGAGCACGGACCCCTGGCCTGGGGCCTGGCTGAATGTAGGGTCTGCCTACAGAGAGGGAGTTTGAGGTACAGAGCACCACCTCTGCCTTCTGTTGGCCCAGGGCGGACAGTGTAGGGTGAGCCAGGGCCAGGCAGGGAGCTGGGCCCCTAGAGAGCTGTAGCTGAAAGTTAGACATGACCCTGAACCACCAGGTGCCTGCTCTAGGCACGGGGTACTGAGTGGGACATGGCTGAGATGAACAAAAAGGCATCACTGCCCAGAGTTGGGATGGGAGAGAGTCCACAGCTGATTGGAATCAGCATTGTCAGCACAGCACAGTACAGGGAGATACGCGCATTGCCGTCTCTGGATGGGCGGCTGGCACTTTCAGTTCAAAGGCGCTGAGGCTCTGAAGTTGGCAAGGAAGAGGATAACCCGGAGAAGGGAGGACTAAGAGAATTTCACTTGATGACCCTTGCCTCTTTGTGTCTGGGATGAGCCGCGCGGAGCGCACCCTTATCCACCCAGAGTGCTGTGCCTTTAAGGTCCACTGGGGGCGTGATGTCAGCCGCCCTCCGGCACTTGGAGAGGTGAGCGCGGCAGCCCGCGCAGCCGGTGACTGGGGGACTGGGTTTGGAGTAGGACCTGCGGCGTGCTCGAGACTCCGACTTCGGTCTTGCGGCGCGCTCGCGCCCGCGGGCCATGCCCCACTGACTCTAAGTGGGCACTGCCCCGGCTCCGGGAGGGCGAGACCGAGCGCCGGCCATGGGAAGCTTCCAGCTGGAAGACTTTGCGGCGGGCTGGATCGGAGGTGAGTGTGCTTACCGGGGACCCCCGGTCAGAGAGAGCGAGCCTGGCGGAGTTTGCCTCTATGCTCTGAGGAAACTTTGCCTCTGTGCGCTGCCATCCCGCTCCCCGTTGTGCGCGCAGCCTGCTTTGGGGAGTGCCCGGCCCCGAGATCCCCCTGGTGGTCTTGCAGTTGCCAGGGCTAAATTCTGAGAGCTTCACAGCGTTTCGGGCTGAGCTTCTGATTTGCTCATTAAGTTAGGATCCGTGGGACTTGATGAGGTAATGATTAAACAGCTCGTCAAAGCCCACAGCCAATGGAGGCTCCTGGCGGCGCACACACCCTTCAGTGACCTGGTGCACACCTGAATTGCGGACGTGGCTCGCGGGAACTTATGTATGAGGGTAGCGCTTGGCTGCTGATCCCGGGGCGCAGGGTGGTGGGAGCCAGGCTTCGAGATTAGGCCGGCCCAACGGGGCGTCCCGACTGGAGGGAGCAGAGCTCTCACAGCAGGGAGCGGAGCGCCGGCTGCAGGTGCCCATTGCCAGGCTGCGAGGAGCACTTATTGCCTTCAGCCGCCGCCAACCGTCAGCCATCGCCTACCTCCAAGGCCCCTTCTCCGGGCACTGTTGGGTCTGCTGATCCCTTCGCCACAGCTCCCGAAGCCACTCTTTTACTGGGCCTGGGATGGGTTGCCTGGGCGAGAGTTGCATTCATTTCCTTGCTTCTCCATTTTTCTTTCCAATTGGTCTATCCCTCTTTTCTCAGCTATTAGGAAAGGGGGAAGTTTGAGGGACTTTGCTAATTGTAAAAAAAAAAAAAAAAAAAAAAAAAAGTCTTTCTTTGGACCCATCTAAAAGGGTTATCCTAAAAGGGATGTTGGCAAATGTAGCCCCTCACCAAAGGGGTGAAAAAATAAGATGAAAAGAACAACAAACCAGATTGGATCCCAACTCCTCCCCTCCTACCTAGCAGGAGACCACCTCTCTCCCGAGACCGGTGGCTGCAGGGCCCTGCTTCACACCTTCCTGAGCAGAGGTGGCTCCTTTCACCTTGAGTAAGTCTGTTGGCACAGATGCCCTTGGGTGGGGCTGAGACCCGCCTCTCCTAACTTTCCCAGTTAGGGGGC
This sequence comes from Homo sapiens, assembly GCF_000001405.40. Classification (NCBI taxonomy): domain Eukaryota; kingdom Metazoa; phylum Chordata; class Mammalia; order Primates; family Hominidae; genus Homo; species Homo sapiens. Next base: position 135,835,999 of record NC_000005.10, read on the forward strand.
TGCAGCCTGAGGCCCGCTGGGCATATCCAGGTCCTTTTTGACTGGACAATTATTCCACCATTCAGCGGGGCAGGCAGAGAGAGGAGACACTTCCGTGGGCTGCCCCTTAAATAAGCAGACCACCTTCGGTAGGGATGCAAATGGCTTGGTTTGAAAAATGCCCTGGAAGGTAGGGCTGAGTCAGAGTAGTTCCAAGACTCTGATACCCCTCCCCATCCCCAAACGTGATAACATGTGAACCCTCCCCGACTCACAGCAAGTAGGGGATTTTTGTGCTTTATTCTGGTCCTTACTTTGGTGATGTTATTGAAAGTAATGGCAAAAATCGCAATTACTTTTGCACCAAACTAATAACATGGCTTTTTTTTTTTTTGGCTTCCATGAAATGATGGTAAGTGTTTACTACACTTGAATACTTACTAGGTGCCAGGTATAGTTTAAGTGCTATATGTATTCTTTTAAAACAATTTTATCAAGGTTTATTTTATGTATTATAAAATTCACCCATTTCAAATGTACAATTCAATGTCTTTTAGTAATTTTACAAAGAGGTGCAACCATCACCATAAATTTGTTTTAGAACATTTTCATCCCCCAGTAAGATCCCTCATTTGAAGTTGAATGCTGTTCCCTCTCCTTAATCTCCTTTCTGTAAATTTGCCTTTCCTGTATATGTTATGTCAATTGAATCTTGCAATATGTGATCTCTTGTGTCAGTTTATGTATAGTTCTTTAATTATTATAACAACCCCAAAGAGGTAGGTACCGTTGCATCCTTATTTTACAGATGAGGAAACTGAGATACAGAGAAATTCACTGACTTGCCTAAGACCATGCATCTAGCATTGGCACCAGGATTCCAACCCAGGCTGCCTGGCACCAGAATCTGCCATCTTAATTTCATCTTAACTCTTTCTGAACAACCTTGCATAACAAAATTTTGCCCTTTTTTTGATATTATCCCCCCCCCCACCCCCCCCCCCCACACACACACACATTTTGTTTGAGATTTTACTGGTTTGTGAAGTGCCAAGGTCTGGAAATCACTGACCTTATAATCCCATTTTTTTAAATCTCAAATCCCCTGCTTTCAGATGGGTGGGCTAATAAGTGGCAGGGAGATGTTGGCCCAAGGCTGGATCTAAGCCTGCCCTGAGCTGAAGGATGTGTGCACTCACTATGGGGGAAGCCATGGAGCCTGAGGACCAGCGCACCTCCCCCCACTACTGGGAAGGGTTAATTACTGCCATCACCTCTCTGCCTCTGCCCAGTTTAGTAGGTAGGAGGGGATAAGAGGGGACAGGTGGTTCTGGACCCAGGGAATCATTGTTCTGGGATTAGCTGGTTTCTTTGTCCCTATAAATATCTAATATTCCAGGAGCCCTTAGCTACCTGGTTAAATCACCTCTACTAACACAGATATTTCCTTCCTCCTCAGTGTTCTCGGGAATTTGTCTTTGAAGAACAGTTTCCCTTTCAATTTCAGTCACTAACTGCTGCAACAAGGCTGATACGGTTTGGCTGTTTCCCCACCCAAATCTCATCTTGAATTGTAGCTCCCATAATTCCACATGTCATGGGAGGGACCCCTGTGGGAGGTAATTGAATCATGGGTACAGGCTTTCCCATGCTGTTCTCATGGTAGTGAATAAGTCTCATGAGATCCAATGGCTTTATAAAGGGGAGTTCCCTACACAAGCTCTCTTTTTCCCTGGCACCATGTAAGATGTGACTTTGCTCCTCTTTAACATTCTACCATTATTGTGTGGCCTCCCCAGCCATGTAGAACAGTGAGTCAATTAAATCTCTTTCATTTGTAAATTACCCAGTCTCAGTAATGTCTTTATTAGCAGAATAAGAATGGACTAATACAGTAAGTTGGTACCAGTAGAGTGGGATGTTACAGTAAAGATACCTGAAAATGTGGAAGCAACTTTGGAACTGGGTAACAGGCAGATGTTGGAACAGTTTGAAGGGCTCAGAAGAAGACAGAAAAATGTGGAAAAGTTTGGAGCTTCCTAGAGACTTGTTGAATGGTTTTGACCAAAATGCTGGTAGTGATATGGACAATGAAGTCCTGGTTGTGATGGTCTCAGATGGAGATGAGGAACTTGTTGGGAACTGGAATAAAGGTGACTCTTGCTATGTTTTAGCAAAGAGACTGGTGACATTTTGCCCCTGCCTTAGAGATCTGTGGAACTTTGAACTTGAGAGAGATGTTTTAGGGTATCTGGTGGAAGAAATTACTAAGCAGCAAAGCATTCAAGATGTGATTTTGGTGCTGCTAAAAGCATTCAGTTTTATGTATTCACAAAGATATGGTTTGGAATTGGAACTTATGTTTAAAAGCGAAGCAGATCATAAAAGCTTGGAAAATTTGCAGCCTAACAATGCAATAGAAAATAAAAACCCATTATCTGGGGAGAAATTCAAGCCTGCTGCAGAAATTTGCATAAGTAACAAGGAGATAAATGTTTATCACCAAGACAGTGGGGTAAATATCTGCAGGGCATGTCAGAGACCTTGGTGACAGCCCCTCCCATCACAGACTCAGAGGCCTAGGAGGAAAAAATGGTTTCCTGGGCTGGGCCCAGGGACCTCTGCTCTGTGCAGCCTAGGGACTTGGTGCTCTGTGTCCTAGCCACTTCAGCCATGGCTGAAAGGGGCCAAGGTACAGCTTGGGCTGTGGCTTCAGAGGGTGCAAGCCCCAAGCCTTGGCAGCTTACACATGGTGTTGAGCCTGTGGGTGGATAGAAGTCAAGAATTGAGCTTTGGGAACTGCCATCTAGATTTCAGAGGATGTATGAAAATGCCTGGATGTCCAGGCAGAAGTTTGCTGCAGTTGGCTGCAGGGGTGGGGCCCTCATGGAGAACCTCTGCTAGGGCAGTGTGGATGGGAAATGTAGGGTGGGAGTCCCACACAGAGTCCCCACTGGGGCAATGCCTAGTAGAGCTGTGAGAAGAGAGCCACCATCCTCCAGACCACAGAATGGTAGATCCACTTACAGCTTGCACCATGCACCTGGAAAAGCCACAGACACTCATTGCCAGCCTCATGGGTATTATAATTTTTTATAAAATTATTTTTTAAAAAAGAAACCCCATTTCCTTTCTCCCTCAGTTTCTTCCCTGATGGTGACCTCTCAGAGCACTTTCCTTTGCAGTGGGGCATGCAGATGAGCTATGTTGATAGCATTTGCTAACTCCTGGGAGACACTCATGCCAGCAGCTGGGAGGAAGGCTGTACTCTGCAAAATCACAGGATGGAGCTGCCCAAGACCATGAGAACCCACCTCTTGCATTAGTGTGACCTGGATATGAAACATGGAACAAAGGAGATCATTTCAGAGCTTTAAGATTTGGTTGCCCCACTGGATTTCAGACTTGCATGGAGCCTGTAGCCCCTTTGTTTTGGCCAATTTTTCCCTTTTGGAACAGGTGTATTTACCCAATGCTCGTACCCCCATTGTTTCTAGGAAGTAACTAACTTGCTTTTGATTTTACAGGCTTATAAGTGGAAGGGACTTGCCTTGTCTCAGATGAGACTTTGGACTGTGGACTTTTGAGTTAATGCTGAAATGAGTTAAGACTTTGGGGCGCCGTTGGGAAGGCATGATTTGTTTTGAAATGTGAGGACATGAGATTTGGGAGGGGCCAGGAGTGGAATGATATAGTTTGGCTGTGTCCTCACCCAAATCTCGTCTTGAATTATAGCTCCCATAATATGTCATGGGAGAGACCCATGTGTCATGGGAAAGACCCAGTGGGAGGTAATTGAATCATGGGGGCGAGTTTTCCTGTGCTGTTCTTGTGGTAGTGAATGAGTCTTATGAGACTTGATGGCTTTATAAAATGGTGTTCCCCAAGCTCTCTTTTTGCCTTCTGCCATGTAAGACATGACTTGCTCCTTCTTCACCTTCCACCATGATTGTGTGGCCTCCCCAGCTATGTGGGACTGTAAGTTGATTAAACTTCTTTCCTTTATAAATTACCCAGGCTTGGGCATGTCTTTGATAGCAGCATGAGAACAAACTAATACAAAGGGCTTCTTAATCTAAGTGGCCTTAGGGCAGCCTTGGTTCTCTTCAAATTGTACAGGTCTTTTGAGTGTGTGTGTGTAGGTATTTTTTTCTGTGAAAAGGTACAGTGTATTCATCACTTTTCCAAAGAGGTCTTCTTTTAAAAAAATTCTATGGTGACATCACTCACATTTGAGCATCCTATAGGTGTCAGGCTCTCTGCTAGGTATTTTATATGCATTACTGGATTTCATTCTTACCATGGAAGCAGGAGGTAGGTGCTGTTATTATTCCCACTCTATGCATGCTAAAAGTGAGACATAGAGAAGTTAAGTAACCTGCAGGTAACTGAAAAGTTTTCAGGTTTTTTCTTTACACATACCCTACCCCGCTTTTTGAGCTGAAATTAATATAATAGAAAACCATTTGAAAGTGTATAATTCAGTGGCATGTATTACATTCACAACACTGTGCAACCATCACTTCTATCTAGTTCCAAAACATTTTTCTCATGACCAAAGAAGATGCTGTACGCTTCAAGAGTCACTCCCATTTCCACCTCTTCCCAGTCCTGGCAACCACTAACTTAGTTTCTGTCTTTATGGATTTGCCTATTCTGGGTAATTCATATAGGTAGAGTCACACAATACCTTGCCTTTTGTGTCTGGCCTTTTTAATTTAGCATAATGTTTTGGAGGTGCATCTATGCTGTAGCATGCATCAATAGTTCATTTATTTTTATTGCCAAACAGTATTCCTCTGTATAAATATCCCACATTTTGTTTATTCATACACCAGTTGATGGGCATTCATACACCAGTTGATGGGCATTTTTGGCTATTGTGAACAATGTTGCCGTGATGTGTGGTACTTGTACTTGTTTTAGTATCTGTTTTCTGTTATTGGGTATATATGTAGGAATTGAATTGTTGGGTTAGGTTGTAACTCTATGTTTAGCTTTTTTGAGGAATTGCCAAACTGTTTCCACCATGGCTGTATGATTTTACATTTCTACCAGCAATGTACAAGAGTTCCAATTTCTCTACATCCTTGCCAACAGTTCTTTTCCACTTTTTTTCAATTGTAGCTATCCTAGTGCGTGTGAAGACGTATCTCATTGTGGTTTCAATTTGCATTTCCCAAATGACTACAGATGTTGAGCATCTATTCATGTGTCTGTTGGTCATCTGTATATCATCTTTGGAGAAACGTGTGTGCAAGTCCTTTGCCCATTAAAATTATTTTAGTCAGTTGTAAGAGTTCTTCCTATATATGAATACTAAATCCTTATCAAATACGTGATTTCCACACATTTTCTTCCATTCTGTAGGATGTCTTCACTTTTGTGTGCAAAAGTTTTCAATTTTTATGAATGTTATTATTTCTTGTGTTGTGTAGGGGAGTTAGAGATAAACTCCAACCCCCTGTTTAGCTCCTACTGGGCTCTTCAGCTGAATATAAAAACCAAATTGACACCAGACTGATTAACAAGAGAAAAATAATACAGATTTTATTAGTTTTTCATGACATAGGGATCTTCACAAGAGAGTGAAGTTGGGAGAAGTGGCCAAAGCAAGATCTTTTCATACTTTTTAGACAAAGAGTGATCAATTTGAGAAGAAATGACAGGACAAAGAAAATCTGGCTAGGGTGGTGGAATTTTGCTAGAGGAGTCACTAGGAGATGTGTGGGTGGGGGGTATAAAACAGGTGGAAGATAAGGATTACTTCATTAAGTATGAATTCAGGGCCACTGCAGCCTTCAGTTCTGAATCCCAGCTAATAAGGGCTATTTTCTTACCCTGGTATGGAGAGGGTAACCCTCCCAGAGGAATCTTTATTGCTTGCTGCATGCAGGAAGAGGCAGGTCAGTTCAGCCTTTCAGAAGTTATGATTTCTCAATCTTTTCAACTTGAAATAATCAATGCACCCATCTGCTATATTTTGGTATGGCATGTCCTTCACTCCTTCGGTTGGTTGTACACTTGGTATCATATCTGAGAGTCCATTGCAAATCACAGGTCAAGATTTTTTTCTATGTTTTAGTTTAAGAATCTTATAGTTTTGCTCTCCCATTTAGGTCTTTGATCTATTTTGATTTAATTTTGTATATGGTATGAGGTAGGGGGTCTATCTCCACTCTTTCACCCTTTTGCCTGTGAATATCCACTTGTCCCAGTCCCTTTGCCTTCCTTTTATGGAGTGATTGCTTGTTTTACTCTATTTTCTCTGCCTTCCTTGGTGCATGGGCCAGTGCCTAGCACATTGGAGCCCACCCACTCCCCCTACCCCAGCAATTGACCGTTGACTAAACAAGTGCCTGTTTTGTCCCAAGAGCTGGCTGGTGTAAGCCAGGAGTCCAAGGGCTGAGTTACTAGGCATTCTTTTTTGATCCACAGGTGCAGCCAGTGTCATCGTTGGCCACCCTCTGGACACAGTCAAGGTACAGTAGCCATGTTTCCCATTACCTCTTAAAAAGAGGCATGGAGCTGACCTGCCTCTGGGACTATTCCTGCTGTTTCTAATCTCTCAGAGAGTCTTCTGCCCAGGGCAGACTCTCTGTTGCCAGTCCAGGGGGTGTTGGGTGCCAGGAGGTCTGGTTTAGGTTCAGAACCCTCAGAGGTCCAGGTAGAACTTTAGAAGTAGATTGGAGATGGGAACCTATCATTACCTGATGATGCACATGGGTGTGAGGACTCTGGGGCTGTTGGGACCTTCCTGGCATTGGGATTATCCAAGCCCCTTGTTCTGGGATGTTCCCTAGAAAGGGGAAGGGGCTCATCTCAGATCATACAACAAGTTAAAAACTGAGGTGCGAGATGCTGCAAAGGAGCAGTCTTTCACCCCATCCCCACCCCTGCACCCGTCCCCAGTGGTGAGCAGAATTTAGAGCTATGCTCTGGGAACGGAGCCATAAATTGTGCCTCCTCACTGCTGACTGCCTTCCAGATCCATTTCTAAAGCTCTGCCTGGATTGTGCACAGAGAGGAGCCTCACAGACCGTTTTCAAATGGCTGCTGCAATGTCCTTTCTCCCCATCTTGCTCCCTGTATGAAAATGGACCCTCTCCTAGGTCAGGGCCCATGCTCACCCTCTTGATGGGAAGATCAGCCTACCTGTTTTAAATATTTGAAGAAACACTTTAAGTAGTAAAGGGGGGCGTTTAGGCTCCCCAGGGGACATCCCAATGCAGGGGGATGGCAGGCAGGACCCAGTGCTGGGAGATGGGCACACAAAGTGGTGAGTGAAGCAGGCTTAGTCTACCCTCCTGAAATGGTATAATCTTCCCATTTTATATAGGAGGGGGGTAAGGTGCAGAGTTTAGGAACCTGCCCCAGACCTCAGAGCCGGGCATTGTAGTGCTGGATTCAAAGCTCCAAAGTAAATTTTACTTCTGGGCTGACCTAGGCTTTGAGGACTCAGGAGTGAGGGAGGCAGGCAAGGAGACAGATATTTTTAGGACACTGATGGACAATAATTAGGGAACACAACAGATGCACAAATCAGTTATGGACAGTGGTAGGTGCTGGGGGACAATAACACAAGGTGATGGCAAACACAGTGATGAGAGCCTTCTGTATTTTGAAGAGTCAGGGATGGCCTCTCTGCCAGGGAGGCAGCTAAGTTGAGACTCAGATGACACAAAGAGCCAGATACGCAGAACTGAGGTCAGAGTGCTATTCACAGAGGGACAAGCTAGTGCAAAGCCCCAAGGGTGGGAACAGGCTGCGATGTACATTCTCCAGGAAAACAAAGAAGGCCAGTGTGTGTGTGGTGCACACAGTGAGCTGAGCAAGTGGTGTGGTGCAGGTGCTTGGAGAGGCCAAGGGAGAATGGGATTGCAGAGTGTGCTAGGGGCCTTGCTGCGTGCCTCCTGCCAGCCCTGCACACCCAGGCCCTGGGTCCCAGAGCCCACCAAGGAGGGCTGTGCAGCAAGTTCATGTCTGAAGTGGACTTACTAGCATATCACGGCTGAGCCATTGCTGCCCAGAGTTAGGGCCCATGTCTGGCACTCCCCAGGGCTGTCCAGAGCTAAGCCAGGTCCTTAGAAACCTTTTCCACCTCTGTGGTAGCTGCCCACTGAGCCCTCTCCACCCTCCATGAGAGCTGGCTAGTTACCGTGCCCAGGCCTGGCTTCCCTAGCCTGTGGCCTCTGACTCTCTCCTGTTCAGAGTGCACCTCAGCACGGGGCTGGGCACAGCCTCCCTGGGTGAGTACCTGCTGAATGAGTGGCCATCTGGGACCTCAGCCAAGTTCAAGGTGCCTGCTGCATACCTCTCCAGGGCTGGGCCTTGGGGAGACTTGGAAGACTCAGATGCACTCCCTAATGTCTCCATGAGAGTGCTGGTTGTTCCTGGCAATTCTCACCCTCCCAAACTCACCTAAGTCATTCCCAGTCTGTCTTCTCCAGGGTTCATTCAACAAACCAGTTCACAAGAATGGATCAGTGGGGAGGCAGCATGGCCAAGCCAGAAAGCATGGGCTTTGGAACCACGCAGGCTCTAGGTGTGAATCCTGTTTTTGCCATTTCCTGATTGCATAGCCTTCTGTTAAACACGATACAAATCCTTGGCTTACAGGGTCAGTGTAAGATTATAAGCATTGTTTCTGGTACCTAGCAGGGATTCAAAATCGGTAGCTGCTATTTTTATCAACATCATTCGATATATATTAAGTTTTGCTCAGTTACCACATCATGTGACAATGTCCAGCAAGATTTTAACCAAAATTGGAGAATGTGTTTCAATTCTCTGATTTAAATGGTATTTATAAATTTCTCTTTGGGGGTCAGTGGGACACCTCAAAAGATGAACAAGCATTCTCCAAGTGGCATGCTCAGTCCCTGACCATGGAACTGCCTACCAGAGGCCTAGCATCTCGGCAAGGAAAAGGGCTGTTGTTTCTGTAAAACCCAGGCTGACTTAATATAAGTGAGTTGGTAACAAGTCACTGTTGGGTGTGAGGGATTTAATGGTAAAAATTTGAGGGTATGAATTAGTTTCCTTGGGCTGCTGTAACAAATAACCACAAACTGGGTGGCTTAAAACAGTAGAAATTTATTTCCTCGCAAGTCAGGAAGCAGGAAGTCCAAAACCAAGGTGTTGATGCCTTCTGGAGGCTCCGAGGGAGAACCTGCCACATGGTCCTCTACCAGCTTCCAGTGCCTGCTGCAGTGCTCGGCATTCCTTGGGCAGTGGCTCTGTAACTCCAGGCCCTGCCTGTCTTCATATGGCCTCCCCTCTGAGTCTCTGTGTGTCAGATCTGCCCATCCTTCCTAAGGACACTAGCCATTGGATTTAGCACAATTTACAGGAGTGGAGCTCCCTGGCCACAGTTGCCTGAAAAGGCTGGGCTTTCTCCCTTCTCTGCACTCTGCCCTGAAGCTCTGGAGGGAAGCCCTCCTGAAACATGACATCCAGTCTTTGTTCAGCCTGAGTGCCCCTGTTGCACTCCAGCACACCTTCTTTCCTTCCTTCTGGCTGATGTTTTCTCAACAGACCCTGTCCACCAAGAAAGGGCCAGGCAAGTCTGAATAACTGGAAATCCAGTCCTGGCCTTATCACCTACTCTCCAGTGACCTGGGCACAGCACTTAACCTTCCTGAGCCTTGAATTCCTTGTCTGTAAAGTGGGCAAGTAGCACCTCCCTGGTGGGGCTGTCATGAAGCTTGTTCATGGAGGTACTGAGGATACAGCAATGAGCGAGATGATGCTACTATCAAGAATAGACAGGCTGGAGTGCAGGGAGGCAGACAGTCACTTGTCTAGGGTCCGGGGACTCACCTGTGGAAGAACCCGGCTACAAGGGCCTGTGCTGCTGACCCAGGTGAAAGGCTTATTCCTGTGCCCTTGGCTGCGTGGTCTTAGGTTGAGGAGGCCTGGCTGGTGCCTATGTCTGATGCAGCGTGGCTAGGTTTTCTAGTCAGGGCTTGGCTGCCTCTAGACCAGGGGTCCCCAACTCCTATACCGTACCAGTACCAGCCTGTGGCCTGTTAGGAACGGGGCTGCACAGCAGGAGGTGAGCAGTGGGTAAGTGAGCATTACTGCCTGAGCTCTGCTTCCTCTCAGATCAGTGGCAGCATTAGATTCTCGTAAGAGCACAAACCCTATTATGAACTGCGCATGCGAGGGATCTAGGTTGCCCGCTCTTTATGAGAATCTGATGCCTGATTATCTGATGGTTTCACCTCAAAACCATCACCCCACCCTGGTCTTTGGAAAAATTGTCTTCCACAAAACTGGTTCCTGGCGCCAAAAATGTTGGGGATCACTCTTGTAGACCACTGGGACTGGACTGCAATGGACAGGCTTTGGGAGGGGGTGTCTGCCTCCTTCTCATGAACATCCCAGTGGGGGTTCTTGTTTTGCTTCAACATGCTCCCCACAATTCTAGGCTGCCCCCTCACTACCCAGTCCAATCTGGGGCATGCATCTTGGCCCAGGACAGCCAGGGCATGGCTTGCTCTGCCAGGTCAGGGGCAGGCCAGGCAGTGGCTCAGCTCTGAGCTCTGAGGCTTCAGCCACCTCACCTCTGACACTGAGCACTCATCCTCTTCTCCTTGGGTTTTCAGCTCTGGGATGCTGAGAGGTTCCAATGGGAGAGAAACCATGAACTGGAGTAGCATGAGATTCACAGCACCCCTGACATGAAGCTCATAGTTTTGGGCTAAATATTGCATGAAGGGCCATGATCTTCAAGATGTATCCACTGCATTCACACAATCCAGGGCTCCCATTCTCTATAAGGACCAAAGAAAGTGTCAGAGACCTGAGAAAATAGTATAGTATATAAGAAGAAAAGTACAGAATCAAAATTAATGCTGCACTAAATATTTACAAAATATAACCTCATGTTAAATAGTCAAATGCAACTCAGCTTTCATGGAGGTCTATGTGGATGATATTAATATGGGATGTACATTAAATATATACAATTATGCTTAATTTTATCTTACTTGATACAATATGAGCAGGTTTGCAAAAGCGAAAGAGTCCAAAATCTAAGCAAGTCTTAAAATGGCCTTGATTCTACATAACCAGGAGAGACGAGAAAGATAATGGCAAGACCATCAATTCTGTAGGCCCAAAATGAGTGCTCTGGACACCTCAGATTTGGAGATATTTTCCATAATAACTAAAAGCACTGAAGCTGGGCTAGGGAACCAAGCTCTCTTCTCTCTTGCCTTTCATAGGTGTTCACTGAGTATCTATTATATACCTAACACTATGTATAGGTCAGAACCCAACACTGAGGGCAGCCACACCTGGTCAAGAGCTTGGACTAGACTTGTTTTGGTCTCAGTAGGCTAGAGATTGGTGGGAGTAGCAGCCTCTGGGGTCCTGTGGAGTGAAAGGCCTTGGGGATGAACAAAACGAGGGGGCCAGGTTCCTGGGGAAACCATGTGAGGCAGTGTGGTTGACTGAATAATGGTCCCCAGATGTGCCTGTGTCCTCATCTGTGGAACCTGTGAATGTCATCTTATATGGCAAAAGAAAACTTTGCAGGTATGATTATGTTAAGGATCTTGAGATGGGAGGATGATCCTGGATTATCAGGGAGGTTCTTAAATGTAATTACAAGTGTCCTTATAAGAGGGAGGTGGAGAGAGATTTAGATTTCTTCCCACAGAAGAGGAAGAAAACAATGTGACAACAGAAGCAGGGAGAGAAGAGGAGCCATGATGCTGGGGCTCCGGGAAAGAGGGTGAACCCCAAAAGCTGGGGGAGACAAGAAAACACATTCTCCTCAAGAGCCTCCCGAGGGAGTGCTGCCTTGCCAGCATTCTGATCTTACCCCACTGAGACTCATTTCAGATTTCTGGTCTTAGAACTGTGAGATAATGCATTCATGCTGTTTTAAGCCATGAAGTTTGGGGTAATTTGTTACAGCAGCAATAGGAAACTAATATAAGTAGTCAGTTGTGTTCATCTGTAAGATGGGACCAGTATCCGTGCCTTAGAGCATCTGTGGGATTTAGTGAGGTCAATTTTATATGATGGTCAGTATGCAGTTGGTGCATAATAAATGCCTTCTCCTGCTATCACTGGGGGCCCTAGAGACTTGGGCTTTGCTGCTGGCCTCAGTGCCAGCCTACCCGAGTGCTCAGCATGCCTGACAGACCTTTGCTCCATGGCTTTGAAATTATTCTGTGATCCAGGTTTGGCTCTCAGGTTGAGTCACTTCATGTATTATTGGCTTGAGTGACTCAACCACTCAATTTTCTTAGCAGGAATTGATTACTTGTTGCAGGGGGTGGGTGGCAGTCAGCCATTTGTGGATTCACTTTCCAGGGACAGCCCTGGGAGAGTGTTGGACCTCATGACAGCCTTACATGGGGCACAGAGAGAGACCTGCACCCCTCCACCACCTGGCCCAAGTCATTGTCCTGGTTGTGGACATCCCACTCCGAGGTAGGCCTCTGTGGTTCTGCTTAACAAGAAGACCTTGAAGGCCCAGTTCTCATCTTGCTGCATTTTCCAGGGAGTCTCCCCCACTGAATTTAAAATTACCTTTTCCTTCTTATCACCCAGCTCTTCTTATCCTTGGTTTATTTTCCTCTGTAGTACTTGTCTTCATCTAAAATATATATTTACTTGGGAATTATTTTTTATTGACCATCTTTCCTGACTCCACTAGGTTGTAAGTTCCATGAAGGCAGACTCTGGTTTCTTTACTGCTGAATTCCCTGAGACTGGAATAGTGCCTCCAATAAAATAGGCCCCGAACAAATATTGGTTGAGTGAGTCAATAAACACACTTCTCTGATTATGAAAGTAATAATTATGAACAGGGTGATACTATTTCCTATATTTTTCCTATGGCTACATATGTTTATAAAACTATTCAAATGGATGCTTCTCAAACTCTTGGCCACGTTATTAGCCATGGTCATAAACTCAGGAGAGGAGTAGGGTGAGAGCGAAGGTGGGTCCAATGAAGCTTTAGCCTTACATGTGACATTAATTTGTTGTTGTTGTTTTTGAGAGAATTTATTTCCATACGAGTTGTGTACTTAACATTAGTTTTAAACTACATAAATTAAAAATAATGAAAGTAACATCTGCTTATCGTAGGAAAGTTGGAAAATACAGAAAAGTCCCATGCAGGAAAACATCGCCTGTGATCTTCACCTCTGAGATCACCATTTTAACTATATGTACTCTTCCAGGGCCTCCTCCACTTGTCTACAGAGCTGATCTCAGGCAGTTCATGTGAAGAGCTAGCCTGCTTTTCTGGGTCTCAGCCCCTCACTGCACACTGGGTTCCATGGGGATGGGCCAGTATCTCCTCTTTGGTGGTCTCATGGCTCCTTCATGCCCAGGCATGACATGCTGTGTGTGCTGACAAAGTGTTTTGATGGAGAATTATAGGCTGCACGTCTTAAAAGAAGTGGAACCCTCTAAGACTAGGGCAGGGGTACTCTTCGGTGGGCTTACTCAGACCCTCTATGCCTGTCAGCTCCTGCCCCTGGTCACCAAAGCCAGCTTCCATCAGAGGCCACCACACATTAGCCATACAGTCCTTGTTCAGTCAGTGCAAAGGGGCCACTATGCCAGGGTTGTGCCCAGCTCTGGGGATGGAAGGAAAGTAACACAGGTGGTCCTACCCTAGTTGGGTGGTCCTACATAAACTCTATATAATCAAATACATAGGGCCACTGCGACATTTCGACTCAGACCTAAAAGATGAGCAGGAGCTGGAGGAAGAGCCTTCCAGAAGTGGGGAACAGCAGGGGCAGCTGGCTGGAGGCAGGAAAGAATTGCTGCTCTAGGGTCTGGGAACATGCAACTCATGCAGGGCTCAGGGAGAGGAGATGGCATGTGGGGTGAGAGACAGGTGCCTCCCAGGCTCAGGGAGAATGCAGAATTTATCCTACATTTGATGGGAGGCCACTGGAGGCTTCATTGACCTTTGAAAATGATCAGTCTGCCTGTTGTGTAAAGAGAAATGGAGGAAGTGAGGGAGAAGCAGGAGACCAGGGAGGGCTTCAGGCCATGTTTCTGGTGAGGATGAGGGGTGAGGCCTAGGGTGGTGGTTCTAGGGACAAGAAGAGCAGGTGTCCCCCAAATATATTTTGGAGGGTGGAGCGACAGACAGCAGATAGGGTAGAGTCCCAGTTTAGGTTTTTGTACTCAAGAGGTGGGGATCATACAATCATTCGGCACAACTAGCTGGCCTTTGCCATTCTCTCAGCAAAGCAGGCTTCTCTGCATTGAGTGAGTCTGAATGGGACATTAGAGGGAGGCAGTGCAAGCTGGAGACAGGGCACCAGCCTGGCCAGGACTGAAACCCAGACCCTTTGCTGGCGGGGGTCACTATGAGCAGGGCCTTTCCCTCTGGGCATCTCCGGAGCAGTGGGGCTATGAATAACCTCTGCGCTGACCCATGTCCTTGCCTCTCTCCATAGACTCGCCTGCAGGCTGGCGTTGGCTACGGAAACACCCTCAGCTGCATCCGCGTGGTGTACAGGAGGGAGAGTGTAAGTGCCCCTTGGGCGGGTGGAGTGATGCCTGCCTGGGCCCCCACAGGCTGGGGACCAGGGCCACAGCCCCACACCAGCATGCAGGTGGGGGCCTCTCATCCTGCTCTTCACACTCAGCTTGATTTTCCCTACTTCATCTCACACCACACCTCAAATATTATGTGTTACCTAAACTCACCCCTGCCACTACCACAGCATAACTGAGGAAAAACTCCAGTTGTGTGTAACCTCTGTGGAGAAATCCTGAAGAATCTGGAGCTGCAGTGTGGAAAATTCCTGCAAAAACAAGGTGATGGCTCAGTTTTTCACAAAGGAATGAGTGACTGGCAAACCGTGTGCTGATAGACCTCCCTTTATCTGGCCCGGCCGGAGCCAGATGTGTCTGAGCCTAGACACCAGAGTTTACCTGCGCCCAGGTCACTTTAGACCATGCGACCTGAGGTATTCCTTTTCCGAAGGGAAAACTGAATGATGCTTTGTAGAAGATGCATCAGGCTCCCTTCTTGAGAATCAGCATGTGCTTCAGGAAAACTTTCTGAGGCCCCTCTTTGTGGAATTTAGAATAAATTTTAAAATTTTGAATGAAATGACCTGATTTAAAGAAACCATCAGGTGGAACCCTGTCGCAGCCCTCTGACTTTTCCCTGAGTCACTGGAAATGTGGTCCCACTGTAGCCATTGTCTCCACCGGACTCCATCCTAACAAGTGTCCTGGGGCTCGGAAGCCTCCTGCAGGCACCTAGAGTTTTCCCACGGATGAAGTGTGTCTTGCGTCAGGGTGGTGGTGTAACTCCCTTGATCGGCTGCTTTAAAATTGGGGCGAGCGCTGCAAGCCCAGCACTTGGTGTTCCCGGGTGATGCTGTGGGAGTCCACAGTCCCCTGAAAGCGGCTGTTGATTCTCCTTTTGGCACATGTTCCCGACAGTGTCTGCCAGTCTGTGTCCAAGCTCTGGGGTTTTGGTGGGGACTGCGGGCGGTTTCTCTGAGACATAGCAGCCCATGGCTAAGCCACATCCCAAGTTATCTGAAGGATCTTGTGATGGAAGAAGAGCATGAAGCAGGGTGTGTTCACGTGTGTGTGTGTGCATACGTGTGTATATATGCGTGTGTGTGCGTGTGCAGGTGTGTGTGAGGCATCCTGCCTCTGGCAGCCAGGGTACAGTGTGCGCAGTGAGGACTAGTGGGTTTGTGCACAGCCTGGAGTCTGCACAATAGCTTCCCAGTACTTTCTCACATTTGATTTGGCACGCGTGTGCTGCCCTGACTCCTCCAAGGGCCTGTGGAATTTTCCGGTTTTCCTCAGCACATCTGTGGTGTTCATCAAGAATGCCGTGTGGAAGGGACCGAACCCGGCCTGCAGCACCCCCTCCTCAGCCTCCTGCAGCCTGTGTGTGCGCATCCTGTGTCCTTATGTGGCCCCTTCAGCCACTTCTGTCAGAAGACACCCATGCTCATGGGCACTCATCTAGAGGCTGGCCCAGGCACCCCTCGGGGGTCTAGGGAACCCCTGTCTTACACCACAGGCTTAGTAGACTGCCTTTGTTGTAACTGCCTGTCAATTTGTCTGTTCCACACCTCACTTTCCCCAGATTATGAGCTCAGTGAGGGCGGAGGCTGTTTCTTCCTTATGGTTGCTCCCCAGGGCCTGGCCCCTGGCCAGTGCCTGGAGAATGTTTCTGTTGTGGTATATGAGGTGGGGGCGTGTGGTGCTTGGCCAGCCCACTGCTCCTAAGGTCTCCTCAGGATCCCCCTTGGCCACAGCCTGACTTCTTTCCAGCCCAAGATCACTGCCCCTCCCGGCGCATGCATGGCATGTGTGGGTTCCAGGCCAGGACACAACCCACAGGAAACAAAGCGGCCTGCAGAAGCCGGGCTGTCCTCGGAGCAAGAATGCCTGCCCCTGAGTGGTTCCCCACCCCCTACCTCCTGTCGCATCAGCACCCTCTTCCCCTCTCTTCATGGACACATGGGCAGATGTGTCCGGTGGTGTACCCCGTCAGCCTGCAGGCTCTGCGACGGCAGCCCGGGGTCCTCACGCCTCTTCCTTCTGGTTTTCACTGCAGATGTTCGGCTTCTTCAAGGGCATGTCCTTCCCCCTCGCCAGCATTGCCGTCTACAACTCCGTGGTGTTTGGGGTCTTCAGTAACACGCAGCGGTTCCTCAGCCAGCACCGCTGCGGGGAGCCAGAGGCCAGTCCTCCCCGCACGCTGTCAGACCTGCTCCTGGCCAGCATGGTGGCCGGCGTGGTCTCTGTCGGGCTGGGAGGGCCCGTGGACCTCATCAAGATCCGGTTGCAGATGCAGACACAACCGTTTCGGGACGGTAAGAGGCCAGGGGAGCGGAGGCTGGTGTCTGGGACTTGTGGCCCTTTCCTGGTTTGTGGGATCTGGGACATGGTTGTTAAAATCCTTTTATTGAGCAAGGCATCTACCTTGTCACCTAGTAGTCCGTAATTACAGGCATACCTCGGAGACATGGGTTTGGTTCCAGACCACTGCAATAATGCAAATATCACAATAAAAGTCACATGAACTTTTTGGTTTCCCAGTGCATTTAAAGTTATGTTTAGACTATACTGTAGTCTAAGTGTGCAATGGCATTATGTTTTAAATAAGTATATATACCTTAATTAAAAAATACTTTAGTACTAAAAATTATTGACAATTATCTGAGTATTCAGCGAGTCGTAATCTTTCTGCCAGAGGAGGGTCTTGCCTCGATGTTGATGGCTGCTGACTGATCAGGGTTGTTGTTGCTGAAGGTTGGGTGGGCTGTGGCAATTTCTTAAAATAAGACAACAATGAAGTTTGCCATATCCATTGACTTCCTTTCACCAAAGTTTTCTCTATAGCATGAGACGCTGTTTGATGGCATTTTACCCACAGTAGAACTTCTTTCAAAATTGGAGTCAGTCCTCTCAAACCCTGACGCTGCTTTATCAGCTAAGTTTATGGATATTCTAAATCCTTTGCTGTCATTTTAACAACATTCACAGAATCTTCACCACTAGTAGATTTCATCTGAAGAAAAACTGTCTTTCTCATCCATAAGAAGTAACTCTTCATCCGTTAAATATTATCATGAGATTGCACCATTCAGCCCCATCTTCAGCCTCTACTTCTCATTCTAGTTCTCTTGCTTTCTCCATCACATCTACAGTTCCTTCCTCCATGGAAGCCTTGAAGCTCTTGAAATTATCTGTGAGGGTTGGGGTTAACTACTTCCAAACTCTTGTTAACATTGCTATTTTGACCTCCTCCCATGAACCCCAAATGCTCTTAAGAGCATCTAGAATGGTGAATTTTTTCCAGAAGGTTTTTCAATTTGCTTGGTTCAAATACATCAGAAAAATGACTATCTATGGCAACTATAGCCTTAAGAAATATACTTCTTAAGTAACAAGACTTGGAAGTCAAAATCACTCCTTGATTCACGGGCTGCCGAATGGATGCTGTGTTAGCAGGCCTGGAAACAACATTCATCTCCTTGTGTATCTCCACCAGAACTCTTGGGTGACCAGGTGCATTGTCAATGAGCAGTAATATTTTGAAAGGAATATTCTTTTCTGAGCAGTAGGTCTCAACAGCGGACCTAAAATACTCAGGAAACCATGCTGTAAACAGATGTGCTGTCATCCAGGCCTTGTTGTTCCTTTTCTAGAACACACAGAGCAGATTGATTGTCATTCTTAAAGGCCCTAGGATTTTCAGAATGGTAAGTGAGCACTGGGTTCAACTTAAAGTCACCAGCTGCATTAGTCCCTAACAAGAGAGTCAGCCTGTCTTTTGAAACTTCAAAGCCAGGCATTGACGTCTCCTCTCTAGCTATGAAGTCCTGAAGTCATCTTTTTCCAATAGAAGGCTGTTTTGTCTACATTGAAAACCTGTTGTTGAGTATAGTCATGTTCATCAATTCTCTTAGCTAGATCTTCTGGATAACTTGCTGCAGGCTCTACATCAGCACTTGCTGCTTCACCTTGCACTTTTATGTTGTGGAGATGGCTTCTCTCCTTAAACCTCATGAACCAACCACTGCCAGCTTCAAACTTTTCTTCTGCAGCTTCCTCACCTCTCTCCACCTTCAGAGAATTGAGGAGAGTTATGTCCTTTCTCTGAGTTAGGCTTTGGCTTAAGGGAAAGTTGTGGCTCATTTGATGTTCTATCCAGACTACTCAAACTTTCTTCATACCAGCAATAAGGATATTTCACTATCTTATTATTTGTGTGTTCATTGGAGTAGTGCTTTTAATTTTCTTCAAGCATTTTTCCTTTGCATTCACAACCTGGCTAACTCTTGGGCAAAAGAGGCTTAGCTTTTGACCTGTCTCCGCTTTCAACATGACTTCCTCACTAAGTTTAATCATCTCTAGCTTTTGATTTAAAGTGAGACATCTATGAGTCTTCCTTTGACTTGAACACTTAGAGGTCATTGTAGAATTACAAACTGGCCTAATTTCAAGTTGTTGTGTCTCAGGAAACAGGGCAGCCTGAGGAGAGGGAGAGAGATAGGGAATGGCTGGCTTGTCAGTGGAGCAGTCAGAGCAACCATGATTAAGCTGACTCTCTTATATGGACACAGCTTGTTGTACCCCCAAACAATGACATTAGTAGCATCAAAGATCACAGATCATCATAACAGATATAATGATTATGACAAGGTTGAAAATATTGTGAGAATTATGAAAATGTGACATAGAGATAGGAAGTGAGCACATACTGTTAGACAAATGGTGCCGATAGCCTTGCTGGACTCAAGCTGACCACAAACCTTCAATTTGTAAAAAATGAAATATCTGGGAAGTGAAATGAAGTGAAGTACAATCAAACAAGGTGTGGTTTTATTACTATTTAACCTGATGCAGTAACTGTCATTGATTAAGTATTTGGTATGTGGCAGGTACTCTCTAGGACCTTTGCATATGTTCTCATAATTCATCTTGTAACAATTCTGTGAGGCAGATGCTGCTATCTCCATTTTACAGATGAGAAAACAGGCTCCCAGAGGTTAAGGTAGTTACTCAAGAACACACGATTAGCCACTGGTGAGTGAGAGCCACCAGTGAGAGTGAGGCATGGGAGGTTTCTGCAGGCAAATATTGCAGTACCCAGTGCAAAATGCTAAGGCCCCTTGTTCAAAAATTATGCCATATTTTACAATGGCAACAGCAAAGCACTAAGCCAAGCATGGTGCTTGTGTGAACACACTGGTCTCATCTGCACGAAGCTAGCCCCAGCTGAGCTGGGACTCATACGCATGTATGTCTCATCCAAAAGCCCAGAGTCCCGATCTCACCTGGCCCACATGCCAGGAAGTGCAGCAGGCGAGGCCTTGCTCCTGACCACCTGTCTCCTGCCCTTACCCACCCTTGCCTGTCCTTCAGCCCTTGCCTTTCCTGTTAGAGCTTCACTTCTTGTTGTGCGATGTAGCAATTTCTGCACCACAAACCCTCATCTCTCGTTCCTCCTTGCTGGGAAAGAGTTTTTTGCATCTTTCCTGGCAGTGGCTTTCCCAAAGGAGGGTAGAAAAAACAGGAAGGCACTTGCTGTGCAGAGCAGAGAGAGTGCCGGCTTTGGAGGAAGGATAGGCTTGCAGTGGTAGGAGACGTATTTCAGTACCTTGAGGTACTTTGATTCTCAGCTCTACCACTCAGTTCCCTGTCTCCTCAGGTTAGATACTGCCCTTCCTGAGGCTCATGCTCCTTTTCTGTGTAATGGAAAGGCTGGACCCATAGTCCTTTCCTGTGTAATGGAAGAAATGGACCCAGAGTCCTTTCCTGTCACCTCAGACATCTGATGGGGCTGACAGTCTCCAGCTTGATCTTGGCCCTTGTGGAGAAGACTCCTCTCCCTGGCAGCCTTCTGAGTAGCCCCTGTGTGACCCCTCTGCCCAGGGAGGCTGGGTTTCAGCATGTATCATGGTCAGAGCCCCAGCAGCTCACTCAGGAGCATCCCAGCCTAGCATCTCCTGCCCCAGCCCCGGAGCTGCCCAGGACAGGGTCTGCACATGCTCTAAGCATGGTGCTGCTGCTCCTTGCTGGGGTGCATGGAGGGCCTGAGGCCTGGCTGCCCCAAGGCTGTGTGTCACATGCCCCAAGGCTCATGGCCACTGCAGCACGTGGGGAGACGCAGGAAAACAAATGGGGCCATCAGGGAGACACAGGGCCGGCAGTTCTTCACCTTCATCTTCAGCATATTGGGTCATGTCTTGGCACAATTCAATTTGATTCAAGGGTGGCACCTCTGAGGAATGTTTGAACTTTGCTGATCTGTCCCATCCCAGAGGCATAAGCAAAGATGTAGAGGAATGAAGGCTGTCATGAGCAGGCTGAGAACCCAGGCATCCAGGCCCCTGTGCTGGCTCTTTGCTCTATCCCGACTGCTTCAGAAAAGCTTGCCTTAGGGGAAAGGAAATCTCCATACGTCTTAAAACTGTTTGGGGTTCGGTTGTTGGAAAAGGCTCAGCAATGAGGCTTTTTGGCTGCTGGAAGCAGCCCCGCCTCCTTTACCACCTGGCACCTTGTCCCTGGAAGGGGAGGAAATGGGGGTAGCTTTGCGAATATCTGTTTGCAAGTATCTGTTGGGGGCCCTCACCCAGCTGGGACGCCAAGGGAGGTGTTTCCCAATAAATACTTTCCTTAAGAAGGTCTGGGACATTTGAAGGTTTCTTGACAACTTTTTGTTCTATCCTCTGTCCTGCCCACCTCCACTCCAGCTTTCCCTGTACAGTATGCTAGAATGGTGTCATACCAGGCCCTGAGTGATAGGGGATTCTGAAGCTAGGCTAGAAGCATTTGGAGACTAGAGGAAGAATGGGAGGCAGCCAAGGGAGTGGCTGAATCCAAGCATGGCCTCCAAGCAGGGTGCACAGCTCCTGGCCAGTGTTAGGGAGCTGAGCAGCCACCATTAGCAGCTGCCAATGTGACATGCTCACTCTATACCAGACACCACATAAGGTACTGTCCACCCATCACCTTCTTTAATATCCACCATTACAGCATGAGGCAGATATGATTGCCATCTCTGTTCACGTATCTCCAAGATGATAGTTATGCACCTACTGGGTGCCAGGCACAGGGCTATGTGCTGAGAATGCAGTGGTGAACAAAAGACTGCATCCTGTCTCTGTTACAGTGTGGCATCCAGCTGAGAGCCAGAGAGGAACTGGGTGCCTACAAACCATGGTGGTAGGGAAATACAATGGGCTGTCAGGCTGGAGTCAAGGAGGGTTTGGGAGCAGGGTGGGAGAAGGGCTGGGAGGAAAGCCTGGAGGTCAGGGCTGTGCACCTGCCCAGGTAGTGCTGAGGGCCACTCAGGTCTGCCTTGCCTAGGTATGGGAGCCTGAGATATGGCCTACCTGGGGACCTTCAGATCTCTCATCAGGGAAGTCCTTAAAGGGATCCTTAAAGGGCCTTAAAGGGCCCTTTACCACCTGGCACCTGTCCTTAAAGGGCCCTGTCTTTTGGGTAAGCCTCTGAGCAGTGAGAACACAGGGACCCTGTCCTTCCACCATGGGGAGGTGCTGACATGTCTCAGGATAGGTAAGATTCCCCGAGCCTCCTGTATGGCAATCTGCCCATGGCCTGTGCCTTCAGGTTGTTTATTTGTCTGTGGTGCCAGAAGGAAACCAGTTCTCTTAAATAAACCCCCGAGGCAGCAACAGAAAATGAACATGTGTTTGTTCTGTTCTTCCCTGTGTGCCAGGAGACCAGCCTTTTGGGAGCTTGGAGAAGGCTCTTAGTAAGAGGCATGGAGGTTTCTGCAGGCAAATATTTCTCAACCCTGCAAAGCTTTGAGCCATTAGAACCTGGGCTCATCGGCTTAGCACAAAGAGCAAAGCCAAAGCCAAAGATGGTTCACCAAGTGCATGGAGGGAGAGTAAAAGCCAAGATTGGAGGACCCACCTCTGCCGTGCCCCCACAAGTTTCTGTGATCTGGACTGAATAAGAATGGTCTTGGCAGTAGTGGCTGAGTGGCCAGTGTTTACTGAACCCTAATTGTGTGCCAAACACAATGCTAGGAGCTTGGCATATGTTTAATCTTCACAACAACCCAATTCCTGGGGATTTACTATGGGGAGACTGAGGAACAAAGAGGTTTCATACCCCCAGGTCCCTCCCTTAGTGGGAGGTGGAGGAGGTCTGATTCAGAGGCACTGATGCTTTCTCTGCTTTTGCCCCAGGATTTGTAGAAGCTGAGGTTATGACAACGTTGATAACATTGGGCCACCTGGGCCTTTGCGCAAAATTGTCATGCACACAAATAGCTTCAAACTTTAGGGAGAAGTGAGCTGGGAGCATGTCCCCAAAATGACGTTGTCCAAGTAATGGGCACAGCTTGTGGGTTCCAAGGGTTGGGTGTGAATTCTGTGGGATCGGGCTGCCCCCTCTGATCTCCCTTGCCCTCAGTTGCTTGGGGGAAGGAATTTGGTGGCAGCAGGTGCTAGACAGGATCAACTACTGGAGAAGGGAGGGGAGGCTGACAAAAAGTCACCAGGCAGTGTTTTCTGCCAGGAATCCCTCCAGAAAATGAGAAGGAATGTGGTTTTCTTTCAATTGCTCCTCAGGAACCCTCTAGGCTAGAGATAGAAAACTCAGAGACTCATCACGACAGGGAGCTAACATACATGTAACCTCCTATATTAGTCCAATCTCTTGCCACTAATAAAGACATGCCTGAGACTGGGTAATTCATAAAGAAAAGAGGTTTAATTGACTCACAGTTCCACATGGCTGGGGAGGCCTCACAAGCATGGCAGAAGGTGAAGGAGGAGCAAAGTCACGTCTTACATGGCAGCAGGCAAGAGAGTGTGTGCCAGAGAACTCTCATTTATAAAACCATCAGATCTCATGAGACTTACTCACTATCATGAGAACAGCATGGGAAAGACCCCACCCCCATGATTCAATTACCTCCTACCAGATCCCTCCCATGACACATGGGGATTATGGGAGCTACAATTCAAGATGAGATTTGGGTAGAGACACAGCCAAATCATATCGCCTCCCCTGGCATTGCAGTAAATACAGAGTTTATTTGACACAAGGCCAGCCACACCACGTGGGAGACAGAGTTATTCCTCAAATCAATCTCATAGGAGGCTTATAAGTTAGGGCTTTTTCAAAGGCAGTTTGTGGGAAGGGATGGAGATGGCTAGGCAATGGGTGCTTGCTGCTGATTGGTTGGCATGCAATCATAGAGGTGTGGAAAATTGTCCTCCTATGCACATTGTTGCTTCTGGGTGAGGCCACAGGAGCAGGGTTTGTGGGTCCAGGAGCAGGGCTGGTGAGTTGGTGCCACTGGTGTCAGACATGCAAAAAGCCTGAAAAGATACCTCAAAGGGCAAATCTTAGGTTTCACAATACTGATTACTCCTGCAGTGATGTTATCGGCAGGAGTAATTGGGGAAGTTTGCATATCTTGTGACCTCCTAAATAATGGCTGGCAATCCTTTATGTCTATACCTTAGCAGAATTCAGGCTCCTCTCCTCCATACCTTAGCAGAATTCAGGCTCCTCTCCTCCCTCTAGCCTGTTGACCTCTCATTACTTTTAGGGAAGGGCGATTATCATTTAAAGTATAAACTAAATGTCTGGCAAAGTTAGCTCAGCCTAAGCCAAGAAATAATCAAGGCAGCTTGAAGGATAAAGTCAAAAGGGGGATTGGCTAGATTAGGTTGCCCCCACTGCCATAATTTTCTCACTGATCTAATTTTTGCAAAGGTAGTTTCATAAGTGAGAAGAGGTGTCTGGGGAAGTGAATCCTCTCCCATTTTTCTTGAGACCACAGCTCTCCTAATCTATGTTTCATTTTTCCTCTTTCGATTGAAACCTGGACACAGAACATATTTTATCTTCTGCCTCATTCTGCTATTAGAAAAGCAGTAGTTCAAGCCTGATGTGTAAGCTTCAGTGTCTGAGAGGCAGCTGGGAGTGGTGGGGACTGTGGCAAGCTGGGCCCACATCCTGTCCAAGGGAGTGGTCACAACCCCACTTTATCGGACTGTTGCCCTGTGGCCTGATGTGCTTGGATCCTCCGATTTTTAAGAGAAGGCAAAAAGGTAGATTTTTTTCATGAGATATTTTGGTTGGAATGATCATGTAATTCAGTGAAAACCAAACAGAACACCATAGAGCCCAAGGCTGTGTGAATTGCATAGAATGGGGCTGGGGCTGGCTGCAGTCCTGTGGTCTGCGCCCTGGGTCAGTCCCAATCCATGTGTTGACTGTGCTCATGTGGGCATTTCTAGGCAGCCTTGGGCAGGGCTTTTGAGACTGATTGGGTTTTGTGGTTCTGCCTCAGGATTGCCAGTCCACTTCCAGGGCGATCCTATGTGATATGAGAGACAGCACTCACATACGGAAGCCAGGTGCCAAGAGGCCTCTGGCTTCTTCGCTCTGGTACATATGACAGGTGGACTGGGGGCCACATTGAGGTGAGAGCCCAGCTCAGGTGGTTGGGGGACTGGCAAATATATAGCCAGTGTATATTCAGCCAGCCCCTCCTGATTGTCTCTTAGTGGTGATCCATGGTTAAAAATCTACAAGCTACAGAACATTGAAAGTAGAGGTAGAAAGTGCCCATTCATGCAATTACAACCACTGGTAACACATTAATGTGTTTATTTTTCCATTCTGTATACATAGATTAAAGATTTTAAGAAGCTGTGATCATGCTATATGGACAATTTCATGTCCTGTTTTTAACTCAGCATTATAATAGAAACACTAACCATGTTATTAAAATAGCATATAAAATTTTTTTAAGTAGATGGGCAATATTTAAAATGGATGTGCACTAGTCCATCAAATACACACGCACACACACACACACACACACACACACACTGAAAGAGTCTATGTAGTATGGTAAAAATTAAGCTTCCAGAATTAGACTACCTGCTTATAATTCTACTTCCACTGAACCCAAAAAAGGTTAGACAGCTCACCTAATGTCACCAAGCCTCAGTTAACTCATCTGCAAAGCAGGCATAACTATAGTAGCTACTTTATAGCTGGGATGCAATGAAATGTATTATACATGAAGACCTCAGCACAATGTCTGGCATATAGAAAATGTGAAATAAATGTTAATTATCAGTAAATGTATTATTTAACAATCTTCCTAATGGTGAATATTTAGGTTGTTTACAGTTTTTCCTCTTTTAAAAATAGTGGTATGATCAGCGAATATATTCATAAAGAGTTCTCTTTATTTAGGGTTATTTCCCTAAATGTGTGGGCTCTTTGATTCATGAGTGGGATAAGGGGTGTGGCCATTTTTAACATTCTTGGTACATATTGTGAAATTGTTATCCAGAAGAGTTTTACCAAATCATATAAGCAGTTGCTTACATTTAAAGGGAATTTCCATTTGACACTGACTACCATTGCACAATAACCAGTAGTTATGCCCCCATGTAAATGCTTCCAAATTAACAGAGGTATTCTCCTGGGGCCTCTGCCACTTGGCAAGCAAGGAGACATTGGCCTGTGTTCAGTTGTATGTGCCTGTGACAGTAAGGCACCTGTGAAAAAACCCTTCCTTTTAAAATCACTGCCCTTTGCATGGGCATGAGCCTAACTAGGTGGCCTGTTGGGCATGAGCCTAACTAGGTGGCCTGTTGGGCATAAGCCTAACTAGGTGGCCTGTTGAGCCTGAGCTAGAAGTCAGGGCTGTGACCCTGCAGACCAGTAGTCCCTTTGCTGCCTGAGCCATGTCCTTCCTAGAAGTTCATGGCTAATGACACTCACTCCTCCCCCATCTGGGAGTGTTTAGATCTGTTTTTCCATTGAAAGACTAATTAATGTGCAGATCACAAAGCCCTCCACATAACAGGAGGTTGGAGTTGGGAGGATCAGGGAAGGACTGAACATTAACTCTGTGCTGACTATCCTAATCATTGCACCAGGCCCAACTGGAGGCAAGGAGATGAGTGTTTACACCTGTTTGAATTCACTGTGAACTGTTCATTCACAAGCATTTCCTGAGCCCCTGCTTTGAGGCAGACACAGTGGGTAAAGAAGCGCTGGAAGCCACAGCCTTCAGGGTGTCCACAGTCTAGTGGGGAGCCAGATGTGTGCTTCAATGAGAAAGGCCTCAGGAAAGTCTTTGGAACCCCTGACTCTGGCTTGGTGGATCAGGAAGCCTCCAGAAAGGAAGAGGCTGTTGATCGGGTTTTTTAGTTCTACGTAGCATTTAGAGATGGGGACATGGGATGGCGAAGTGTTTTAATACTGTGGGAACAACATAGGGGAAGATTTAGTGGCAGGAAAATGTAGGCACATGGTGGGACAAGGGAGCCTTTGGTTAGCACAGACAAGCAATGCAGGGATGGTGGGGGTTTTGGAAGATGTGGAGTAAGTTGGGAAGCGCTTGGATTTCTTCGCTGAGGATAGGCTTAGATTATATTCAGCAGGCAGTGAAGCACTTTGGACACCAGAATGATGCAATCAGAGTGGTGTTGGAGAAGAGAAAACTGGCCTCTGGAAGGGGCAGAAGAGTGGTGGGAATTGTAGAAGTGGGTAGATTGATTTGAAGGCTATAGCCACAGACCTGGGGCCCTGGGCTTGGGAACAGAGACAGGTGGCAGATGCAGAGGCCCTGATGATATAGAAGCAGCAGGCCAAGCATTAGGCATAAGCAGGAGAGAGGAAAGTGTCAAAAATGACCAAAGACCCCAAAGTTGGATGACAATGAGACAAGTGGAACCCCCCACACAGGGAATTAAGTAGCAAATGAAACATCTAAGACGGTTCTTGGCATGGAGCAGGTAATCAATCAATGCTTACTGTGGCTGCTGCTGGAGGGGCAGACTTGAGTGAGAAGAGGATGAGTTTTGCCTGGTCTATGTAGTGTGAGGTGCCTGTGAGATTGCACCTGGAAGCATCAGGGCTGCAGGTAGAGGCACAAGTGCAATAGGCATAGAAGTGACAGTTGAGGTCATAACATTAGATGCAAACACCAAGCGAGCTGCAAATAAGGCAGAGGATGGCAGCAAAGAGAAGACTTAGTGAAGGAATTTGGGAAGAAGCAGAGAGTTACAGTAACACTAATAACTGCAGTTAAAATTATCGAGCTCATACCATGTATTGAGCTATACCACGTTAATGCCCATTCCATTATCATCACAGCAACCCTATGAAATAGGCCCACTTATCATCTTTATTTTACAGGTGAGAAAACCGAGGCTGAATTACATAATTTGTCCATGCTCACATAACTATCCCTTGGGGAGGTGGGGAATTACCCCAGGCTGTGCAACTCTATGACCCCTAGAAACTGAGTCCTGAGAAACTGGTGTTACTGAAGTAGGAGGAAGGAGCATGTGGAGGGGAAAAATGCTAAAGTTGGGGTGATGATGGGGACAGAGACAGAGGGCAATGGAGAAGGAAAAGGCGTTCATTTCCAAGTTGGGAGAGAAGAAGAAAGAAAGTAAAAATGCAGAGAGATTCTTGAGGGCAAGTGGGAGGAAGTTGAGGGAATTGATGTCAGAAGCCCTGGCTCCATCATACTGAAGACCATATGGATAGAAAGGAATCAGAGTGGGGCCAGGATTTGAGGTGAAGAAGGTTCTAATTTCTGGACATGACAAGAGCAGACAAGCTGGGCTGGATGGTAACAGCAGAGAGGGTCAGCCAAGAGGGGTCTCAGCCACAAAGCCATCTGAGCCCAAGAATCTGCATGGTGACAAAATAAGGCAAAAACATTTCTCTAGTTTCCCTGAATCCTCAGAGTTGCCTGGCTGGGAGGTCATCAGCTGTACCTCTGAGGCCCTGAGTGCATCCATTTGTCTCTTTAGCAATATTTTATTGCTACTTTGAAGATGTGTGGCAACCAAGGAAAATATTCTTCTCCAGGCAGGTTGACCTTGGGAAGGAACAGCAGATTTTCCAAGACTTTCCCAGTACAGGGTAGGGGTTATTGATGTTAAGATCCCTGAAGGGACACACAACCCTTAAAGATGAAACCTTATGTAGAAAGGCAGGAACCCTTGGAGCATGAAAAGGGACCCAAAATCCTGAAGACAACCCAGGCCTGTATAGCCTGGGCCTTCTCAAGTAGGCTGTGGGTTGCCAACAGCAAGTGAGAGCTGGAGCAATGGCAGCCCAGGAGTGAAGGGAGGAGGTTTGTGGAGAGGCCAAGCATATGGCCATGCAGTTCCAAAGAAGTCCTTGTTCTGAACGGTTTGACTAGTTTGAACCCTTTGAACAGTTTGTCCTTTTCAAACAGTTGTCCCACATAGTTACCAGACATTAATGATAGTGCATATTACACCATTGTACAAATTACGTACATTGGTGACACATGGTTTATTTAAAGCAATTGACAACAGCAAGTATTGTCCTGATTTCTGGACTTAACACCAGTATTGGTCATTCTTGGCCCCATGTGGGCAACAGTGATCTCCCACAGTAGACTTGGCTGCAGGTCACAGCTGCCTGCAGTTGGCAGGTCTGGCACTTCCAGAATCCAGAGTCATATAAGGACATGGTGATAAAAATAGGAATAAGAACTATTTGCCTTGAGTAAGGGACATTTGCATGGCATGTATTTCAGTAAAGCACATTTGTCAATATTCCCTTTTCATGTTCATAAAAGCCAAATGAGGTGGACAGGCCACTTATTCTCTGCCTTTCACAGATCATGAGGAAACTAAGACCCAGTGAGATTGAATCTCTTGCATGGGGTTGTACATTAAGTAGCAACTGAATAGGAATGCAAATCCAGGGCTCTTTCTATGAAAGCATCTGCCTATCTTGGGCCTCTCACGTCATGAGGAAACTGCTGGACTCTTAGAAACAGGAACTAGGTAGGAGCTTCCCAGCTGGTAATATCCTGGGAAGTGATCTGAGGGGTCCACCAGCCTGCTCAAGCTCAAACCCAAACTGAGGATGTTACAGCCAGCCTGTCTGCTGGAGGATGTACAGCCATGTTACTGATGCTTCCATCAAATCTAAGCAGTGCTGTAGGTGGGACCCTGATTTTGGAATTTCCTTTAATATCTAAAGCCTCTGACCCAAGGATCAGTCAGGGCCAGACTTTTGATGAATGCCAAGGGTGTGAGTCTTGGGAGTGCTGAGACCTGCCTAAGTCAGGCGCTCCATTGTCCATGGAGTAGATGCTGAGATATATATGGGACTCGGGCCATAGTGTATGATTCCTGTCATCAGGAAACTCACCGCCACACTAAGGGCAAAACAACACACTCAGAAAACAGTAGCAACAGAGGCAAGCCATACTAGGGGGCACAGCCTCAGGCATGGGCTGTGGGGACCTTTTTCTAAGAGCGCCTTGTTAATATGGAAAATGTGGTCCAACCCATCGAACAGCAGCTGTACTTTTAAGAGTTCGTGGACTAAGAAAACAAATATGTAAGGAAGCTACTATGGATTACTAATATGTTTAAGTAAAATCTTATTGTGTTACCTGTGATAGTACCCACACATATGAGAAAAATGGGCACATATGTATGTGTGAGACATTGTAGGAATTCTGTCAATGCATAATGCTCATGGATTGTGGGGTGCCTTGAAATGACTCCCACTGGCTGAGCCTTACTGGAATAGAACCCTCGTGAAAACCCACACATCCCTGACTAGTGACCCATAGGGCCTCATTTGTGGATGGCTGATTTGTGAAGGATTTTCTGTAGAAAGTGGCCTCTTGAGAAATTATGCTGTGTTCCCTGTCCCACCACCCACATACCGACATACCCACACAGCAGAGGAGGCTGGGAGCACTTTCCCTTCCAGAGAGTGGCCAGGCCTTTGTGCTCCTGAGGGCCAGCCCTGCTCCCCTCAGTGGCCAGCCATTGTGTTTCTGCTGGCCTTACTGTTTCCAAGGTCATGGCCCATTGAAGACATTGAATAGCATTGACTGAGAAAGGAAAATAAATGGAACATCTTTGTGTTTGTGTCTGAGGAAGGCACAGTGACTTTCTGTGGCTGGGTCCCTGGGTTCTGGAAAAGGGGCAATAGTGGTAGAGCTGGTGTCTCCTGTCTGTGTCCAGCCCAGCTCAGCCCTTCTGAAGTTGGATGTCCCCTAAGAGATGGCTGTATTGGTACCTGTTAGGATTGGCCAAACCTGGACCTACAACCACCACACCCCAAAATAAAACTCCCTGAAGAGGCATCTACCTCTAAGGGACCTCCCAGGCCAAACAGGAGGCCAGCAGTAAGGCACTGGCACTTCACAGAGAGCTGCAGAGCCAGATAGCCATGGCCTGTGGCTTTAGGTGTGCTGGCCGGGACTGAGCTGGACAAGGCAGGAGGCCTGGGCCCTCCTCCACTTCCTACGGCAGTGGGTTGCTATTTTCATTGACTTTGAACATCTTGCTAGTCTTGGTTACATAGGTGCAGGGGGCCTGAGATAGCCCTAACTGAAGTTGGGGAAATGAAGGAAACCACATGCCTCCTGAGTTTTTGAGGTACATAATCTCTATCTATCCTAATAAAAGGTAGTATGCCCTTGATCTAGAGAGGCAGCAGTTTTTGAGGTACGTAATCCATATCTATCCTAATAAAAGGTAGTATGCCCTTGATCTAGAGAGGCAGCAAAAGTTGGTCTCAAATGCAAAGCATTCATGATTTTAAAAAGATCAAAATTTGATTAATGTTTTAATCCTCATTACAGAATAAAAAATTCTAATTAGAGAAATTAGGTACACTTCGCTTGAGAAGGATATATATCTAATGCCAATCCTTTCGCATATGCATGTACACCCTGAAGGTTCAGAAACAATGGGCTGGGAGTTGGCAGTTTCCTGTGAGCTGTGTCCTGATCCGGCACCTCGTAGTCTTCCTCAGGTTCCTTGGACAAAGGACTTGCAAGTCCAGAGATCTCAGTTGTGCATATTTCCAAGACTGACTTACCAGTAACTTTTCAAATCAGCTTTTAAGAGTCATCAAAATTGGGTTTTCACAAACTAAAATTGGTCCCATGGTATCAGAGTACCAAGAACTCCGATCCAGTGTTTTCCTGAGGCTATCTGCTGAGGCTCCTGGCAACCCCCCGGCTCTGCCACCCCCACAAGCCAGAGAGCACTTAGCACCACATGGGCCACTGGCGGAGATTTCTGCTGTTTTCCAGAAGAAGGCTCTTCTGTTTATTCATCAGCAGGGCTATCTTATACTGGTCATAGTTTTCTATGGCTCCTACTCTTGCTGTTGAATTGAAAATCAGTATTACTATAAGTGCATCATCATGTTAGGTTTGTTGGACTTTGGGCCTCACCAATGGTGGTGGTGTGGTGCATTTTTATCTCAGGTATATTTATGCTTGGAATTATAATAACTACCTTTGATGACATTCTGCTCTGTGGACCCAATATGAATCATCCATACCACTATTGGTAGTGCTAGTGCTGATGGACTTGTAAGTTACAACCACTGCCCCAGAGAAAGGTTGCTTCTCAATGAGTGACACCTCATGATATCACAGAGTTGTTTTACCTTGAAAATCAGGAGAGGATAGTTAGGCTGTGGAATCACTGCTCTCCCTAACTGGGCTGTAAACAAAACAGTTTATTTCAAATATGAGAAGTCACTTCCATTGTAGAGTGTGATGACATAGGTGAATGCAATTGTAAAAACTCATCAATCGTGCACTTGAAAGCTTTACCTTTTATTGAATACAAAGTATAGTTCAATTAAAAGACAAACTGACAAAAAACAAAAATAAGAGGCCAGAGGAGGAGAACAGGGGCTTTTGAGAATGAGACTTAAGAATGGGGAGGAGGTCCAGCCAAGAATGCATGACCACAATGTAATAAGGAAATGTCAGACAAACCCCGAATCAGGAAAGCTCTATTAACAAGCAGAGGGGTTGTGTACTCTTAAAAAATGTCAGTGTCACAAGAAACAAAGAAAGGCTATGGAAATGTTCCAGATTGAAGCACTGGATCCTGTCCTGGAGGGGAAAATGCTATAAAGGGCATGCATGAAGATCAAATGACAATTTGATCATAGATGGTAGATTAAAGTATTGTCAAAGTAGCTATATGAAACTGGTAATTGTGCTATAGTTATATAAGACAATATCTCCATTCTTAGGAAATATTTTTCAACATATTTAGGGGTAAAGACTCTTCAAGTATGTAACTCACCCAGAAATAGTTTAGAAAATGAAGTTATGTATGAATGTGTAAAAATACATCTATGTGTATACACACACACACACATACACACACACACACACACACACACATTCCCTATTGCTTACCTTGGGAAGAAAAGAAGAAAAAGGATAAGTTTGGGTCTTGTTGCCAAAGTCAGTTCAAGGTTTGACAGGTGTTTTTGCAACATCTGCACCTCCAAGCAGACACAATGTTACCAGAATCCCCTCTTTCAATCAATAACTCCTGAAAGCCACATCATACCCATAGCTGATTCATGAAAACCTTGACTCCTGGTCAGGTCACTCTTACCTGGAAATGAATGGGGCTTAGGCAAAGTTTAGACACTGGGACAATTATATCGATTCAGTTGAATTGAACACACACGAGTGAGAAGGGAGGGAAGTGAAGAGAGTGGGAGAGAGAACCCACAAACAATAAGCAAATGAGCTTATTTGCTTATTGTTAGCAATAGATAAATCTGGGTAAATTGTATGTATGGGCATTCTTTATACTATTTTGCTTTTTATACTTCTTTTGCAAATTTAGAATTATTTCCAAATAAAAAGTTTTTTCAAAAAAAAATATTGTGAATGAAGGAGCTAGAAAGAATTCCAAGAGCTTCACAGTATAAACTTGGGTCAGTTTGGAGCTGTGTCAGTATCCTGGTGATGGGAGTCACCATGATAATTATACTGCACTAACAGCCATAAATGGGTAATTCCAAAGCAATAAAAGCTAGATTGGTTATGTGGCAAACCTGGGAGAATGAGAGAGAATTTCCTTATTGCTTACTCCGCAGGGAAAAGGAAAACAGTACAGGATTTTTGTTGACAAGGCCAGTTGGAGGTTTGGTGGGTGTTTTCCCATCTGTACTTTCAAACAAGCAGAATGTTATCAAGATCCTCTCCCTCAGTCAGTAACTCCTGAAAGCCACTATTTACCCATAGTTGCTTCATGAAAACCTTGACTCCTGGGTCAAGTCAGTTTTGCCTGGAGATGAAAGCAGTTCAGGCAAAATTTATACATTGGGACAATGACATCTATTCTGTCTAACGGCAGAATTTCTCCAGATGAACCAGGCAGTAGCACCATGGGTCTGGAAGAGGAAGGGGTGCCTAGTGATCTCTCAGTGGGCTTTCAAAGGCCATCATGTCTGATCTTGCTCAGAGGGGTCTTGTGCCCCCAAAGGTGGCTACTACCCCGGCTCACCTCCTATGGGATCCACTGTGGAAGAAGTTGGCTCCATCTCCTGTCCACACTGAAGTTGGCCTAATGGATATGGCAGGGGTTTACTCCCTTCCCCACTGGAAGATGGAAAATACAGCATGGGTTTGTTCAAGCATACTTCCCAGGCACGCAGAAACCACCCCCTCAACCTCACCTGCTTCTGGGATGAGTTAAAGTACAGATTACACTTTATTCTCCAATCTCTAGACTGTGGAGTCATGAAGCCGAATGCTTCTAACCTTTCCTCTGATAAAGATGGACTGTTTGGGGGACTTGGACATTGACCTATATGATGAAAGCTGTCTGCCTGTTTACCAGCATGTGTAAAATCAGATTGGAACACTGTACAGAGAATTAAACTCAGGTGGCAAAATAGGCTTGTGGTCGCAGACACACTTTATTCTATTTCTTTCCTGGTCATGTCACATTATGTTATTTCCTGGAGAAGGGAAAGTCAAGAACAAGAGCCTACTTTATCTGCACTGGGTCTGGAAGTTCTGTCTGGTCATGAGTCAAAGCCTCATAGTAGAGAAGGATCCATAGCAGAGAAGGGTCCGTAGCAGAGAAGACAAGCATCAGAGTGGGAGATGGGTAGCAAATGAGAGAGAGGCAGAGTCTCAGCTGGCTATGTGCACCCCTAGAAGAAGCTGGAGACAAACAACCCCTGAGCTGCCAGCATAGACTACTGAGGTTAGACAAGAAGATAGCAGCCCTGGGTCCCAGGACTTTGAGGGGCCAAGAGCCCCAGTGCTGCCCTACAACTGTTTAGGGCACAGCCTGGCCAGGGCTGGAGTGAGTCACTGAGAATATACCCAGCTCTCCAACCTGTGGGTCCTGCCACCAATTCATGTCAGCAACCTTGGTCTCAGTTGATAACGTTTTAAGCCCCTACAATGTTCAAATCACCATGCTGAACACTGTACATGTATTACCTTATTTGCACTCATGACAAGCTCCCCCTCTTTTAACATAAGGAAATGGGCTGAAAATGCTGCCTTGCCAAGGTAAATTTCGAATTATTTCCAAATAATTTTAATAAAATTATTTATTTTATTTTTATAAAATTATAAATATTAAATTATAGATTTTAAATTTTATGTATAATTTATAAATTATTTTCAATAAGCGGTAGAGCTAGGATTTGCAGCCAGGACAGTCTGGCTCCAAATCTCATATACATTTTGCTCCGCCACACTGTGCATAAATAAATGTGTACACAGACACACACACACACACACACACACACACACACACACACACACACACACACAGCATGTTGGATTTTCTAGCTTCAAAGAAGAGCTTAGTGTGGCTTGTCATAATTGATTCTAGACATTCTGAAGTCACATTTGCTTCGAAAGAAGTAGTGGTATTGACCTAAAGTAACTGGTGTTCTATCACGTGGCTGAGATCGTCCCCAGTCTGGCTGTGTATATTGGCAGGGGCTCTTGTTGGGACCTCAGTATCCTGGTTTGAGCTGCCAAGAAGGTCAGATTTGGTAAAAGCTGATGGGCTACATGAGAGGGAACTGTCAAAGGGCTGGGCTGGCTCCAGTGTCACGGAATGTCCAGTCTCTTACACCCTGGGTCACTTGCCACCTTCTCTCCCCTGTCTTTGCAGCCAACCTCGGTTTGAAGTCCAGGGCAGTGGCTCCTGCGGAGCAGCCAGCATACCAGGGGCCAGTGCACTGCATTACAACCATTGTGAGGAATGAGGGCCTGGCGGGGCTATACCGGGGGGCCAGTGCCATGCTGCTGAGGGATGTCCCAGGCTATTGCCTCTACTTCATCCCCTACGTGTTCCTGAGTGAGTGGATCACACCTGAGGCCTGCACAGGCCCCAGCCCCTGTGCCGTGTGGCTGGCGGGCGGCATGGCAGGTAAGGGCAGCAGCAGCTGGAGCCGCACCCCTGTGCAGGCCACAGCAGTGGGACAGCTGGGGAACTGCCATGCCCTTCTCAGCCCAGGGGGAGGGCAGGACACATTTAGGTACTCACCCAACAATTCTTTGTTAGGTACCTACTCTGTCCCCGGCCCTCTCCCACCTCAGTCTCATCCCTTCCCTATGCAGCTATGAGAATGGCAGTTCCCATTTGACTTTCAGGCAACAGATATATTTTGAACACATACTCTGTGTCAGGCATTACTAAGCTTTGGAAAGGAAATCCATTATCATGGTTCAGTTTATTAAATGCAATCTTTGTAATGTAAGGATGCCATTAGTTCTACAAGGTAGGAATCGGTTTCCCCATTTCACAGATGAGAAAACTCAGGTCCAGAAATGTTAAGTAGCCAATCCCAGGTCATACAGCTGGAGCTGACAGTATAGCAGGACTCTGCAGTCAGAAAGATTTAAGTTCAAATCCACACTTCATCATTTTGTGACCATGGACTTGTTGCTTAACCTCCCTGCTCAGAATCCTGCACCACATCCTTCTTTCATTTAAGGTAAAAGTTGATATCTTTGCAATGGTTTTCCAGGCCCTCAGTGATCTAGCTCCCTGTTCCCCACCCACCTCACTTCTACTCCTCTCCCCTTCCTCACTTTCTCCAGTCACACTGGTCTCTGCTGCAACTTGACCATGCCTGGCCCTTCCCTGACCACAGGGCCTTTGTACCTGCTACTCACCACCTCCTGAATTTAACAACGTGGAGACCACTGGGGATTTTGGCAAGGGCCATTTGATGGAGAGAAGGGTGTAAAAACCTGATGAAGTGGGATAAAGAAAGAATGGGATGAAGGATATTGGTGCACCCAAGTATACACAACTCTTCTGAGGGTTCTGCTATGCTGTAATGAGGAACAGAGAAACAGAGCCATAGCCAGAAGGGCCTTTGGAAGCCAAGAGAGGATACTTTTTAAGAAGGCTGACATCATGACATGTTTGATGTGATGGGAAAGATCTAACAGAAAGAAGAAAATCATGAATCATCCTCCTCCTCCTGCTCCTCCTCCCTCTCTTTCTCCTCCTCATCATCACAGTTTGCCATGCTGTCAGCTCATAGCAGACATATAACGAAGCTCATGTCTTAGCCACCTAACTACAGTTTCACGTTCTGGCCCCCAGGTGCCTGTGCTCATGCCCAGCTCCTAGTAAGAGCTCAGTCAGTACCGACTGGCAGAGAGGACGGCAAGGCCCCATTTGCTCTCACTTTTGCAGAGAGCAGGTGTGAATGGCCTGGCAGGCAAATCCCGTTTTGTGATGCCCTCACCCATGGGCTGAGGGGCAAGGGAGTGCACCAGGGCAGCACCTGGGGAAGTGGCCCCATTGTCCTGGCAGAAGGCACAGGTTTAGAGAGGCTCCTGGAGGACCAAGGGCAGGAGGCTGAGGGGACCAGAGGCCAGGATAGGCTGAGGGCCAAGGGCAGTCTAAGGTCTCTTTTGAGAGCTACTGCGCAGCAATTACAAAACCATGCAAACCAGTTGCCCTGGACTTTAACATCAATTTGTTTTTCTCTCCCCATCTAGGAATGTACCAATTTCTGTGTTTCTATAATAACCTGGCATTGTTTTCCTAGAGTTCCTTACCTGAGCATATCCCATGAGGATGACCTAGTGGCATGTGATCCCAAGGCTTCTATTCCACATACTTGAAAAAGAAAAGAGATTTTTCAAAAAGCTGTCCCTGCTCTCTTTTTGCAACCCCCAGGCTGGCCCTTCCTTTGTGAGCAGCCTGTCTGCCTGTGTTTGTTTAGCTTCTCTGTGTTTAGAGTAAATCCTGCCCTCAGTGAGCTGCAAACCTTCAGCCTCATGCCTCACCCTGGGCTCTCTTCTGGTGCCCTGGGAAGGTGCTCCCAAGTACCTGTGGAGCCTGTTACTCTTTCTCCAATAAAAACTGCTAATAAATACTGCCACGTCTCGAGCACTGGCTGTGGACTGGCACTTGCTCAATGCTTCACGTTCATCAATTCATTTGGTCCTCAAAACAGCCCCATAAAGATAGGTACTGCCATCCCATTTTACAGATGAGAAGCCCAAGGCTTAGAGAAGGGAGGAAACTTCTGCCAAGTCTCACAGCAAGTGGCGAGGGAGAATCAGAAACAAACTTTGCAGGTTCTAAGCCTGAGCTCTGTCCCTTCTCCCAGCTTAATGAATCTCTAAATGGTAGAAATCTGCAAGGAACCAGGCCCCTCCAGATCCTAAGGAGCTAGCCCCTGACACCTGTTTCTTTCTCTTTGCAGGAGCAATTTCTTGGGGGACAGCGACTCCTATGGATGTCGTGAAAAGTCGACTCCAAGCTGATGGGGTTTATTTAAACAAATATAAAGGTGTCCTGGACTGTATCTCCCAGAGTTACCAGAAGGAAGGTCTTAAAGTAAGCCCACAGCAGGCCTGCGGGGTCAGTGTCAGTCCCTGGAAGGTGGTTCACACATTTAGGGGGATGTGGGACTATAGAGAAGGGAATCAGGAGACCAGGGGGCTGCTGGTGATTATGTATCAGGTGCCACAAGTGGGTGCTTTGTCAAGCACTTCACCTGGGTGGTCTTTTCACATGGCCAGTGGAGGAGATAGGTATGTGACCTGACAGAGGTTCAGAGAGGGCTGGTAACCTGCCGCAGCCACACAGCTGGTCCATGGTGGCGCCTGGGCCTGGTCCATTTCTGTCTGTCTCCGCATTTTGCCTTCTCATCAAGATAGGTTGGGCAGCCCTTCCTCACTCATGGCTCAGTGCCTTCCCCACTCCTCCTCCCAGTGGGAAGTGCCAGAGCTGCCTTGCCTCCTTCCTGTCCTCAGTCAGCTCATCTCACCAGCTCCAGGCCCTGTGAACTGCCTTCTGCTCTCCCACCTGAGCCCTGACCCCAGACCTCTGGTCGTGGCTGAGGAGGCAGCCTCCAACACGTTTCCCTGGGCTGTGTCTCCTCTGTTCTTCCTACAGCTCAAGAGCTTAACTTAACACACACCCCTTCCCACCACCTGAAAAGGTGCTGCCCCAGGATAGACCAGACTTCCATGTCTGGTGTCCAAGGTAATACACAGATTCATCACCCTCCGCAGGAACTATCCTGCTGGCTCTTGCTTGCACGGGCTCCTTGCTTTCTTGGTGTGGCTCTTAGAGTCAGCAGACATGGGTTCAAAGTCAGATGTAGCTACTGTGAGCTGGCAGGATCCAAGCAAGCAGCTTCATGTCTCAGGGCCTCAGTTTCTCCCAGAATGATCATCCCTTCCATGAAGGGCGGGGCATTTGTGGGTTAATACAAAAAGCACTCCATTCAATATGTAACCCATAGGGAAGAGTTAACCATTTCTCATTTGCATTAGTATTATCAGTGTTGATTTTTTTAGCACCGGTATTACCCTGGAGCTCTGAGTCTTTTCTCACATGGCTGCCCCACCCCAGGCCCTGCCAGATGAATCTGCCCCATCCTTCCAGGCCCAGTGCAGTCCGCTGCCATTCCCAGGATCCATGTCCTTGGCTTGCTTCTCCTGTACCTCTCTCAAGGGGCTTCTCACACACCACCACGGGCAACAGCTATTTCTATACTGCCCCTTCTCTGCCTCTTACAGCAAGTTTTCTGACGTCCTGTTTTACTCTCTCCCCCAACTTGGGAAAGATCCAGAGTTGGATGACCCAGTGTTGAGGTAAATAACTAACATGCCACATGAGAGGGACAAGATCCAAAAGCTAGATCAAAGGGCCACACTAAAAGACAGAACTACCAGAAGTCACTGTAAAGTCCAGCCCTTAGTATTCAATCATGGATCAATCATCTCTGTAGAGGATGGGGCAATCCGATTTGATGAAGGCTTCTAGGGAAAAATGCCTAAGGGCTTTAGTTTTCAAATGCTTATTTTTAGAGCACCTAGTATGTGGTAGGCACAGTTCTAGGAGCTGGGGACAGAGCAGTAAGCAAAAGAGAAAAAGCCCATTCTCTGATCAGCTAATGTTGGCAGTGAGCGAACAGTGAGACCTGTCCTAAGGTTGCATTAATAGAAGTACAGTGGGTAGAATAAGGGAGGTGGAGGCCTCTGCCCTGACCAGATTGCAGCTGGAATGTTGCATCCACCTTTGGTCACTACCCATTAAGCAAGACCCTAGTGGTGCCCTGGGAATGAAGAGCAGGATATCATAGCATGTGAGGAGAAGCTGGACCCTGGTTAGTATAAGAAGATGTGATACGGAGGAAACTTGAGTTCTGTCTTTATGTTTTAAGGATGGAGAAACTCAAAGCTTTCCTATTCTCATTATTTTAAATTCCTTTTTTAAATTTTTAACAAGAGCTGCTCTGACAGAAGGGTGAAGCCCAGCCCTGGTGCGGCCTCAATTGTCTTTTGTATCTTTTTTTTCTTCTTCTTTTTTTTTTTTTTTTTTTTTTTTTTTTTTAGCAGAAATACAGTTTGTGATTCAGCCAATGAGTATAGAGGGATATAAAAGTGTTTCAAGTGGATGATTCATTTTTATTTGAGATG
Organism: Homo sapiens; assembly: GCF_000001405.40. NCBI lineage: Eukaryota > Metazoa > Chordata > Mammalia > Primates > Hominidae > Homo > Homo sapiens. The sequence continues at coordinate 135,876,248 of NC_000005.10, forward strand.
TTTTTGTCTACTTCCCCAAATATTAATGTGTCATAATTCGTAAAAAGTCTGTAGAGGCAAAATATATTGCTGATATTATTTCCTCTGAAAATTACTGTGCTCTTTTAAAAAAATGAAGTCCTGGAAGTCAGCTGAGGTCAGACGATTGGTTTCTTAATCTCGATAGCGTTTGGTCCTCACTGTTGGTTCAGAGACAGGTTTTAAGTCAAGATAATAATACTCAGCTTGAGTAACCACTGCATGATCAGACGGTTCAAGGTTAATTGTTTAAAATTTGTATTAATCAGTCAAAAATTGGTAATGTATGAACATAGGAAGCTTCCAAAACTACATGAGGATATACTATCTCGATGCCCTGCCTGTGGTCCCTGTCCTCGCTCAAAGGCAATTACCGTAAAGTTTCTTGTGATACATTTCAAAAACATTTACAGTGTATAAAAGAATATATGTGTATGTACATATCTATGTATGCTTGTATATGTGACTGTTTACTTATGAACATAAATAGTAACATAAACAAAAATAATCACACCATCTAAAACAATCAGGTTGTCTCAAAGGCAGTTTTCTGGCAGCCGCAGCAGGAGAAGGTAGAGAGGATTCCTCCAGTGCCCCAGGGGTGGCTCCAGTTCCCAGTTGGCTTGGGCTCTGGCTGAATGGAGCACCCCTCCCCAAGCATTCTTGACTGTGGCTCGCAGAGATAGAGTGCAAGGCCCAAAGCCCATCATCATTCCAATCTGTTCTCACCTTGCTATGGAGGAAGAAGTTTGTGACAGGAAAGAGTTAGAAAGGCATTAATAATGACGATGGTGACCAATTTGAGTAGCTCTTTGTAACCAACTTAGGAATGATCAGTGGTGCAGCCTTTGTGGTGGGGAAAATCAAAAGTCCATGGACTTGTCGAGGCATCCCCAAGTAGAAACAGAAGGAAAGTCTGGTAGTTTTGGAGCCATTCTCTGCCCACTGTTAGGGTCGTCTTGGGCTACATGGACCATAGCTCTGACTTGGAGAGTTGCCATCTGAAATAACCAGGCTGGTGAGCACCTTGGTAATCTTGGCTCCAAGGAAGCAGCTGCTGTGGAGGGGCTGTGGCAGTGAGATGAGGCTGAATGGCAGACAGAGGGGGCATTTGTAGGTAGACAGCTTCTGGAGGCACCAGGGCCAGCTGCCCTGGGTTGCTGTCCCTGGGGAATCTGGAGCCTTCCTGTCACTCCAGGAAACCTGAACTGCAGGCACCAGGACTCTTTCAGTTCAGACGCTCTTCCTTTGTCACGTCCAAAATTCATTTATTCATTCATTCATTTACTCATCCATCCATCCATTCACTGATTCAATTAATGTGTTTATGGAAGGTCTACTCTGGGCGAAGCGCTCGCAGGTGCTGGGGTCTCAGAGGCAAACCATCCACACAGCCCTGCATTCACTGCCCTGATTGTGATTGCTAATCCCACCCCCACCTCTGTTATCTGTCCTTCCTGACAGATAAGTCAGTGACACTTGGAGAACAGTGTGAGGAGTGCTGTGATGGGGAGATACCAAGTGCACAGAAGGTGAGGGGCCATCATCCACCTGGGGGTGGCCATGGGGACACTGCCAGGCTGCAAGCCAGGCCTGGGAAGCACTCCAGGCAGAGGGGACCAGAAGAGGCCCAGTGGAGGAAAAAGGCTGGCCCCTTAAGGGAATGACAGGCTGTTAACCTTCCCAGAGTGTCAGCTGTGAGAGGCCGTCCAGAGAAAGTGCAAGGGAGAGCATGTGGGTCGTTGCAAGCCAGGAAAGAGTGACCCTAGGCCATAGGGAGACATTGAGGCTTTGTAGGGTGGGAGTGAGGGGGGACTCGGTCTGGAGGTCATATGCTCTGAAAGCTCTGGGTAAAAGCTGGCAGGTCTGCATTTTGTTTGCCTTCTGTGGGCTCTGCAGCAGAGCAGGCCACAGCTGCTGGAGGGTGAGCTGTCTGCTGGTCTGAAGTGGCCCACAGCTCCTGCAGGGCCCGGGGCTGTGGGACAGAAGGCTCACACTCCAAGCTGGGCCCTGGCTGCCTCCGCCTTGCAGAGCAGAGCCAAGCCCAGACCCACAGGGGAACCTCTGTGGGCACCGGCATGGAATTTTCCTCTCAGAGTTTGACCCAGTTCCTGGCTGTTATTCAGTCACTCTGGATGAGCCTGTGGAATTCCAGAAAGGTTAGACATTAGAGAAGAGTGTTAATATTACCAGGATCTCACTTACACCCTGACTGAACAGCTCGAGGGCTTGGCTGAGCCACTTGTTCATCTCTAGGGATCCTTGTCCATCAGCCCCTTTCCCAGGGACATGTTGCACCCTGGAGGCTGCTGTGAGGTGCTGGCACCTCTCCTGAAGGAAGGCCACCTGATATCCTAGCCAGTGACAGAGGCCTGCACCAACTCTGATACCACAGTGCCCAGAGACTGAGGAAACTGGGGAAATGAAAAGGGTTGGTTTCTACCTTTACAAAATGACCACTTCTGTTTCTTAAACTTAGAAAATTATACAGGAATCAGAGTAGGTTTCTATCTGTGCCTGACAGTTCTCAAGTCATTTACGTTTGTGTGGGAACTTGCTTTTAGGTGGTCGTTTCTTACCAGAGGATGCATTAAAGGCCAGCTCCTCCCCACAATCCCCCTCTCCAAAGCTTTTATCTGCTCTCATCATTTTCTGGGTCATGTTGTCATTGTTCCTGAAGGGGCCTTGTCTCTGCTAATGGGTTATAACTGCTTGAGAGTTGGAATCCCATCACATTTATGAGCCGACACACAACACCAAGCAAGAAGATTGAGGGAGGAAAGGAAGATCATAGGCAGTGTTTGGGAAGCATCACATAATACTCCCTAGGGATGGAAGACAAATACAGGTGTCATGGAGTAGCAAAGGCGGAGTTCATCAGCTCATCAGCACAGGCCATTCTTCCTGAGCATGCATCCTAGTGATGGAGGTTGAGTCCTACTCCCTATTAGGTGATAGACTATTGATAAGAACAAGGAGGGTGATGATGATAATCAGCAGTTAATACATGCTTGTACTGTATGCCAGGCACCGTGCAAGTGCCTGAAAAGCCTCATCTCATTTAGTCCCTCCAACATTCTTATCAGGTCAATTCTATTATTACCCGCCCCTTACAGTCGGGAAAATTGAGTTCTAGAGAGTTTGCCATTGGCCCAAGTGACTCAATGGCAAAGCCGTGCCTCAACCCCATGTCTGCAGAGTCTTAAGCACAGCTCGAGTTCTGTTCTCTGCCACTTTTGGGATGTCCTGTGAAGCCCCTGCTACAGGGATTGGGCATGGCTGGGTGCTCTGTCTACTCAGGGCTTCTAGATTCCCGAGGAGAGAGAGAGAGAGAGAGAGAGAGAGAGTGTGTGTGTGTGTGTGTGTGTGTGTGTGTGTACATGTGAGAGAAGAAGAAAGAGAGGGAGAGAGAGGGCAATTTAAAAAGCATATGTAGGTGTTTGCCTGGCCCAACAGCTTACCTATAGTATTTAGTGCATGTGTATCAGGGTCTGGGAGGAAAAGCACCACCAGGCATGACGCGGGTCAGGGCAGGGCATGACTGGGACTTCCCTGTGTGGTCTCTGCCTGCACAGGTCCTTTGGGCTCTGGTGGGGGACCGGGCCTGGGTAGGCAGCACCACTAGCTATTCTCTGCCCCTCCTTGGTGGCCCTGCAGAGAGTGTGGGTCAGTCCCCTGCAATAACCTGGCCCCTGTGCAAAGGTGTTTTTCAGAGGCATCACTGTGAACGCGGTGCGGGGCTTCCCCATGAGTGCGGCCATGTTCCTTGGGTACGAGCTGTCGCTGCAGGCTATCCGCGGGGACCACGCAGTGACGAGCCCATAAGCGCCAGGTCAGTGTGCTTCCATCCTGGCCAATTGTGCCTCCCAGGAACTTGAAACTTTTTTTTTTTTTTATCATGAGAATGTTGTGGCCTTCTGAAATGTCCTGTTGTTTGTCACATATCTAATCTGTGGTAGGCTGGGGCTGCCACCCTTTTCGTCACCAAACAGCAGTTCAGAAATGCCCACCAGTGACTGGTGGTGTGCTGGGTCCCCAGGGACCAAGTCTGGCACAGAATATACCTGTTTCCAGACAGCTCGCCTCTCCGTTTCCCCTTCCAGCAGCTTCAACAGCCCTTTCAGAGAAGTACTTTTACCTTCACTGTGCAGATGCAAGTGACCCAGGCTCACAAGTGAGGACTGCAACCAGGGTACCTGCAGGGGGCACCGTCTCCCCACCTCCCTACTGAACTGCACAGCCTGACTCTGAGAGCCACCCACAGGCTGCCAGAGCCCTAGAGGACAGGTCTCTGCCACCATTCTTTGCCTCCCATACCCTCTTTTTCTTTCTCATTGCAGAAAGATCACTGTAGCCTGAGGACTCTTCTAAAGACAGCAGTCTGACTCCTGTGCTCACATGCCCTCCTTGGCTCCCCATTGCCCTCTAGATAAAGCCTTCACCCTGCTTCCGCCAGCCTCACTCCTCACCACTGTTCTGAATGTCCCGCCGTCTCTCTCACCCCTAGGTCTTTGCTCAGGCTGTCCCCTCTGCCTGACATCCTCTTCTCGCTCCTTTCCTACTTGTCCTTGGCTTCACCAGCTCTTTGCCATCCAGGCTGTAGAAGTCTCCTCCTCCAGGATGCCGGCTTGCTTTCTCAGCTAGGGTGAGTCGCGCCTTCTGCAGACCATCCCCCACCCCCACCCACACTGCATCCTAAATGCCAGAGGACACCCTCACTCCCCAGGTGGGGCTGCTGCGCTGTCCCTACCTTTGCACTAATGGTGCCTGGCACAGAGCCCAGCACACAAAGGGCCACTCAGCAGTGTCATCGGATGGGTGGATGACCAACCCCCATATGCCCTCAGGCCTCCTCTTCCTCCCTGTGTTTTTTCTTCCTCATTGTCTGGCCCCATACCGGCTACCTGCAAAGCTCAGAAGACAAAGTAAGTGTGGACTGAACTTTCTAGTCAACCAAGAAGCCATTTGACATCAGTCTTGGTTAGCACAAATTCTCCTGGGAAGGATGATCTTTGTCTATAAAACCTCACTGCTGCCTCCCCCGTGAGCTGGCAGGGGCATTCTCGGGACGGCAGAGCCCTGCCAGGGTGCACGGGTGGTGCCAGAACCTGGACAAAGGGAGGGGGCCTGACCAATCAGGCAGACTGTAGTCAGCCCAGGACAAGCCCCAGAAGCTGGCTTCAAATAAAATGCTCTCCACTTTTTGCTAAAGTGGCAACATTCACAGCTTCTCTGGCTATTTGCCCTTTCTTATAAAAGGAAAAGGGTAGCAACACAGTTTACATAATTAAACATCTTGAGTGAAGAATTACTGCATTTGGGTGGCATCCAGGATAGGGAAGGAATTCATCTTATTCTTAAAGCTGTGCTCAGATATTGGCCATTTCCCCCTTTTAACAGAGAAAAGTAATTTCTTAAAAATCCTATAACAAAAGCCAGGCATTTTTATTGTAGACAAAAATAGAAAATTTAAATAAACAGAAAGAACAAAATAATAAGACCTGTCATCACAAGACCTTGTTGTTATTCTTCCAAGTATGTCTTATGTGTATTTTCAAATTGGGATCCTATTCTACACAGTGTTTTACAGCCCTCTTTTCCCATTTAGTAGTTTGGGACCATTTTCCCATGTCATGAAATCTTCAGCTACAAGATGGTTTTAATGCCAAGACCTCCCAGATCCCAGAGTGGCTGGATGCCTGCCCAACCTGTCGTACCTGCCACTGTGACCACCCTGGTGATTAACTGCTTCAGGACAAAGGAGGAAATTTCTAGCTACCCAATCACGATTGTCCTGCATTTAGCCTTTCACAAGCAGTGACCAACCCAATTGGAAGCTTTTCTTTCTGGAAGCGCTCTTTCTTGCAAGGGGCATAGATGTCTGTCTCCCTTAGGAGGGAGGACTGCTAAGGCAGGGAGGAGGCTATTGCCTCCTGGTGGGAGAGGGAGGTTCCCAGCCACTGGTCTGCAGATTCATCTTAAACAAGTCTTGCCCATGGCATTCAACTTCCTGCTCTAACCCCCAAATACCAAGGCCTTTTAACAAGACTGGATTTTAATTTACCAAGTAGCTCTGAGATTTGGGGAAGCCCATGCTCAGGCAGCAGTCACACCTACTCTTTGAATGCCTCCCTCATTGTCTAGACCCAGGACAGAGTGAGATGATGTATATTAGAGATCTAGGGTGCCAAGCTGTCCCTAAGAAGTGGCGGGATGGGGACCATCTCGAGAGTTCCTGAGTACAGATGACAGGGATGACTTGAGAATTGTTTCTAAGAGCCTGCAGGGGATAGATCACCCAGCTCCCAGCAGTTGCCAGGTGCCTTCCAACAACCAGGCATGGAGATATCCCCCAGCTTTTCCAAGTTCCATGCGGGAAGATCAGTGACCTTTGGTGGTAGAAGTGGCATCCCGACCACTTACCAGTGGCTGGCTCTCAGACTTGTCTGTGGCTCATGAATCCAACTCTGCCATCCCTACCTGTCCAAGACCAGCCCCCAGAGCTCCCTGGAATAGTGCTGGTCTGCCCTCGGTCCTGACATGCATGCTGCAGGTCTCACTAGCCTACTTTCGGTTTCAGGAAAACTGATTTTCAAGGAAAGAAGACATAGTGCTCTTATGATACCTTTGCTGAACATTTTCAAATAGCCCCGGCAACCCTGAGAGCCTCTGCCAGTCTGTACTTTGCCTCTTACTGCTTCACAAACCCAGTCTCCAAATGGGTTGTTTGACCCCAAGATCCAAGATTTCAAGACTCCCGTTAGAAGATGTTCTTGTCTTTCCTCCTTTTTCCCAGGGTCTCATCCCATTAACAGGTCAATGCTAAAAGTGTCTGCAGAACCCATGATGTGAATTTACTGAAGAGAAAGACTCTCCACCAGGTGGGCTTTCAGCCAGGCAGGCTGTCCTCAGAACCTCTTCCTTCCTTCACAATTACAAGCATTCTCATCCCCACCCCGGCTGGGGCAGCGGAGCTTCTGCCTTGGAGGGATTCAACTGACCATTGGTCAACTGATCACCAACTATTCCAGCTTTGGACCTGCACCTGGTAACAAACAAACGAACAGAACAAAACAAAACTGGAGTAAAATAGACCCTCCCCCCATGGCCATTGTAAACTCACTGTGAATTCATGGAAGAGCTGGAGTTGGCTCTAAGTTTCAAAATAAAAGCATTAAAAACCTCTTCACATTGTTTCTCTGTCAGATGCCTCTGCCTAGCTTCCAAGAGGCACCTGGCCACTGTCATTCCTCTCTCTCTGTTCAGGCCTCTGTGGGTGTTGCAGGCCCAGAGGGAAAACCCCTCCACACAGGTGAGGAGAGAAACTGAGCCGGGGCAGCCTGGCTTCTTTTTTCCCAGATGCCTAAGGTCGGCAGCAGAGGGCGTAGTGGTTGAACAGGGTGATGAGGGACAGAAACCTTCTAGGGGTTCTCCCACCCTGAGCAGTGGCACACGTTGGTGACTTGCTTCAGAGAGTTTGGCCCTGGGCTTGGTTGGGGTGGGCACTCTCTGGGCCTTATTTTTACATGGAGAACAAAACAAAACAAAACACTTGATCCACAGTCTGGCTTCCAGAGTGACTTCATTGTTCTAAATTTTATTCCTTACTAGAGCCGCGTGGGGAGGCCATTGCTATTTTGCTGTTATGTGGCTTGTGTCCCTGCAGCCTCTTCCAATTCTGTGCCCACAACAAGCATTCCTAGTCAATCATAGAGCCCTTTCTTGATGAGCTGAGTGGCGCCTCAGAGTCTTTCTCAGCACAGTGCCGTGGCAGCCACCACCAGCCGTGCAGAACTGTCATACAAAATGAATCTATTTGCCATCCCTGGCTTAAATCCCAGTGAAGGAAATGTCCTCAAATTTGTTCTTTTTTCTTTCTCTTGAAAAGGTCTTCCTTGGTTTCTCCACTACGCTGTTCCCCAACCACCCCCTGCCTTTGAGTGATTTGGGCCATGTCTCTGAAAAATCTCTGTCTTAATAGACCGAAGACCAAAGCAATTCTATGGTGCAAAAGAGTTGAAAGTGTTCCGTCTCTTCGGTGTGAAACCTGTTACTGGAGCGGAGGGTTCCATGCTTGAAATAAAACCCTCAGCATGCCCTCCTCAATATTTCTCCTTCACAGCCCCTGGGACTGCAGGGTCCCCTGGGTATCTCTGCAAGTTACTGTTCAAGCTGCCCACCCTCCAGCAGTGGGACATTCATTCATTTGTTCAGTCATCAAACATTTGCTGAGCAGATGCTGACCTAGGTGGTGGGGACAGCCATGAGGGACTCCAGTGGCATGTCATTCTGGTGCATTGGAGAGGCTCTATTGATGGGAGAGACCAGCCTGCCTGTCTGCCCCAGTATCACTGGGTCTGGGTGGGCACGGAGGATGCGAGTGAAGAGATGCTTCTGGCACCTGGTTCATCCCTGGGTAGACCTGAAGTCTCTGCTCTAACACATCCTAGAATGTGTTTCTTAAGTCTGCCTCAACTGGACCATTTCCCGGTGCGAGGCATGCTTGCACAGTTTGTTTAGAAGTGGTGCTGTGTCCACAAGGCCAACTGGGGTCTTCTACTGGGTGCTCCTGATGAGGCTGAGATGCAACAACCACCTTCTTCAGGTGTCTGAGCTTTTCCTAGTTTCTATTAATCATCATGGCACCTCTTGATGGTAGAAGGAGGCATGCAGAGAGAAGCATTGCTGATCCAGTTCACAGATGAAGGAACTGAGGCTCCAACATACCTGAGCCCCAGCTCAGGACTTTACCACCAATCCCATTTGATAATCTTCCTGAGGCTACACTTCCCTGCTGTCCAGCCCAGGGTACATCGCCAGCAGCCATGATGATGGCTATTTTACGGTGTAAAAAAGACAAAGTTGTTGGGACACATAAGTATGGCGTCTGAAACTGCTATTGAAGGCCTCCCATCAACCACATCAGAACTGCCCTTCTGGACCCACCTCCCATTGCTCTGGTCCAGGTTCCCTGTGCTCTCATCATTTCCCCCATCCCATCCAGTGCCAGGCATACAATGGGCATTTAAATGTTGCTGAAAGGGTTCCCAAGTGATCCCACAAGCCTGCTGGGCCAGCTGCTGTGTGCCCAACACCCTCCAGGCTTCCCTGCCTCTATGCTTTTCTTTAACCTACAGGACACTCTTACCCCCAGCATCACCAGGAACAGGAATGCTCCCTGTTTTCGACCCAGCTCAGATGCTTTAAGCCCTTAGATGTTAGGGCTTCCTTGCTTCTCTCTCTCTCTCCCCTCCAGCAGCATCCATGGTCCTTCCACCAACGTGACCCCTCTGGCACTGTGTCCCTCCCTGTGCTACAGTCATGTCTGTGCACCCTCTCTTTCTCACTGGCCTGTGCCCCCCTTCAGAGCCAGGGCTGAGTCTTCCCAATCCTTAGATTCAGCATAGCAGCAAGAATGAACAGGGTTTAGAATAAAGGAAGCATAAATTAATGGGCAAAAATGCAAGCATGACCATGTTAATTGAGAATTGTTTGTAATAATGAAAATTCAGAAAGTTTCTAAATGCCTATCAATAGAAGAGGGGGTTGAACAAACAGCCACTAAAAAGAATGAGATAGATCTCACATATATTGTCATGGAAATATGTCAGCAACATTGTAAGTGCAGAAATGGAGGGGCAGAATAACATATATGATGTTATTCATTTTCATTTTAAAATATATATCGTATATGGGTAATTATATGGGCATTGAAAAACCCTTGAAGGATACACACCAAATTTAATAGTGGCTATTTCTGGGATGTGGGATTGGGAGAAGGCTTTCAGTTCCGAATTTGATGTTGGTGATTTCTTTGTACATCACTATAATGATGGTGATTTGATGATGGTGATTATTGTAATGTTTTAATTTTTTTACAGCACACATATATTGTTTTTATAATTTCTTAAAATAAAAGCACACCTTATTGCAGAGCTAGGGCTCCCTGCTGGATACTTGTTTTCCAGGCTGCGGGCTGGCTCTTCCTCGCTGCCCAGCCTCAGCCCAGCTCTGAGTAACAGCCCCTGCCACACCCCCTCCCCCCGCCCTCCTCCATGCTGGGCAGACAATGCCTCAGCACATCTTCTGCACCTTCACTCCCACTCAGGAGCACCTGGGCTGCAATGAATGAAACTCGGCTTTATTGAAGAAACTCAGCTCCAGCCCAAACAAATCTCATGAGGTAGCCAGATCTGGGAGGGGTCAGCCAGCAATGGATCTGCTTCCTCTTAGATTTTTCTGGAGAGGGCAATCTTGTGGAATAGTTGGGCCAACAGCTTGTGAGTCTTCCTCCATCAACACATTATGGTTCTATTTAACCAAATATATATATATATATATATATATATATATATATATATATATATATATAAAATATATATATGTGTGTGTGTGTGTGTGTGTGTGTGAGAGAGAGAGAGAGAGAGAGAGAGAGAGTGTGTGTGTGTGTGTGTAGTCTGACTGTGGCCAGTGCTGTTACAGGCATTGGGTGACAATGGCAGGGACCCTGCCCTCAGGGAGCTTAGTATCAGGCATTAATTTCTGTTGTCATGGTCAGGAAAGTCTTTAAACAAATGGAATCCTATTTTTAAGAAGGATGAAAACAAAACAGAATTCCAAGCCAAGCACCAGTTTTGGTGTCTGTGCCTTGGAGTTGGGGGGCTTCAGGGTTGGCCAATTTGCCTTACCAGGAAAGATGAAAAGAAGAACAAAAATCATTACCATACAGCAGCAGTCCTCAACAGCAGCCCCTTTCACTCCTGAAAATTATTAAGGACCTCGAAGAACAACTGCTTATATATTTACCAACAATTACTGGAAATTCAAACAGAATTTCAAAAATATTTATCCATTTAGGTATAATAATAAACCCATGACATTTTAACATAAATAACATTCTATGAAAATAACGATTCTTTCTAAACCAATATAATTAACGAGAAGACTTGCGTTTTCCGTTTTTGCGGCGAAGTCTGGCTTAAACAGAGGGCAATTGTGTTCCTCTGTCTGCTTTTGCTTTTAGTCTATGGGTTATCACTTGCATTATAGCCTTTGGGAAACTCCACCGTATGCTTGTGAGAACATAAGATTGAAAAGAGCAGATAACATCTTAGTGTTCTATGAAAGTGGTTTTGACCTCGTGGGTCCTCTTTGAGAACTGCTGCCCTACAGGGGAAAAAATACATATGTGTGTGTGTGTGTGTGTACATATACACACACACACATATATATGTGTGTATATACATATCCCTCGCCCAAAGGCTGATACCCTGCAGAACCACCACTTGGTGGCAGTAGAGGTCAACTAAACCCTCCGCAGGAATCCGCGTCTGGGAGTGCACGATCTTGGCCCTGTGGTGAGAACACCTGGGCCCCGTGACACTTCTTTTCCTGTTTCCTGGGTCTCACCATCTCCCTTGGCGTTGCCCTTTTCCTTCTCTGTGGTGGCAAGAACTTCACATTAGGGAGGCCTTCCCCTTGGGTTCCAGTTTCACGCAGGCCATCAGCCACCTGTGCTCTTGCAGGCAGCAGTGCCCCCTGTGCTCTTGCAGGCAGCAGTGCCCCCTGAGCCATCTGTAAAATGGCCACACTGGTCTCCCTTACCTACTTTGCACAGCTTCCACAAGAATCAAGTGCAAAAGTGTTTTTGTAAACTGTAAAGTGCAAAACATAGGGGTTAGAGGAAGGGGTGGCCTGGTGTGATTTTTCTGGTTTCTGTTCTTTGCCTGCCTTCTTCTCTGAGTCTGGGTTGTTTGCTGTTTCCAGGAGGTGAACACAGGATGACTACAGTGTTCCCTGGGCCTCATCTCTGCATGTGAAGCCCTGAGAGCTGCAGATGTTTGGCCTTTGGACCTCCAAGTGGACATCAATTAGCAAGCGTGGGCTAGGATGGTGCAGACACTGACGTGGCCCTTCTGATGCCTGGGATGCCTCATGAGTCACTGATTCAAGCCCTCCAAGGTTCTGATCCCCAATGCCCACTCTGCTAGGCTGGCATCAAAGAGCTTTCCAAGAAATGTTTGGTCCAGCTGAGAAGTCCTGACCATGAGCACCAGGGAGCCAGAAACCACCCAGAGAAACGTTGCTTCACTCCTCTGTCTGAGGATGGGGAGGGGCCAGTGAGCTCTGGGCTCAGCCACTCCCTCCAGTCTCAAGTAACACGTCCCCGTGCCTCCAGTCTCCTCTCAGCACCGACCAGGTTTTTCCCCGCTCCTGCACCCGTGGATCCTGAGGACAGCGGTAGCGCCTTCCTCACCGCACGCTGAGTCCAGTGCGTGCTCCTCACTGTGCACTTATTAGTGTCTGTTGAGTGATTAAATCACATCCTCAGGTCTGCAGCAAATAAATGAAAGTTTCTTTATTTTTTATTAACTAAATTGAGATTTTTTTCAAGCTGATGACAGAAAAAAATAATTTTGCCATTTCAGGGTAAAACTTCGAAATTCCAAGTTAAATGCCCAGTTCAAGATTTTTTCCTTCTCCACCTTCCCCTGGGGTTGACTTTAGATCTGGGAGGTTTGGGATTTAGGGAGAGGCTTCAGGGTCCTGGGAGGTGCTCTGTCCTACCCTGGTGTTCTTCCTGGCTAGTCCTGGGCATGGCTTTCCCTCCAGGGTGGCTTCTGTATAAGCATCTTCAGTCCCATTTGGTCCCTGTCCCGTGGTCCGAGCCTGACATATGTGCCCATCCCAAGGCCTCTCCAGCCTTACCATCCTCCAAGACACATCAGTGCCCCTCTCTGCCCTGTGTGAAAATCTTTGGTTTCTCCGTTGAAACTATTCAGGGGGCTGCATCAAGCCCAGCTTCCTAGGGCCAGTGGGTGGTCCTCCCTATACCACACCTTAGGTGTGGTGGCAAGAGGCATTCTCTTTTCGTGTCATCTCCCAGGCCATTCAGGGGATACAGCTCATGTGCCCTTCACTCTTGGTTTTCTACCCTCCCCAGGAGTTCTGCCCTCTACCCCGAGGCTCTGCTGGGGGCCAGGCAGAGAGCTCTTCTCCAGGGAACTCAATAGTGTCTGCCATCATCCTCTCCTCTCGGACTTCTCTTCCATAGTCCAAGGAGTTACTTTCTATCCCAGGGCTAGGAAGGTTACCACTGGAAACTCTAAAGCCAAGAATTAACTTCTGTATCAATAACCTCTATACCAATAAGTGCAGAAAATACATCAGACACAGTCCAATCTCATTCATGATAAAAGTGCTCAACAGACTGAGAATAAAAGGGAATTTTCTCAGCCTGATACTGAGCATTTATGAAAAGTCCACAGCTCACATCATATTAATATTTAATCGTGAATGACTGGATCCTTTCCCACTAAAATCAGGAACAAAACAAGAATGTGTACTCTCACCACTTCTATTCAACATTGTATTGGAAGTTCTAGCCAGAAATTAGCCAAGGAAGTGAAAGAAAAGGCATCCAAGTTGGAAAAAAAGAAGTCAGTTACCTCTATTTACAGATAATATGACACAGTTTAAAAAGTGAGGGTTGTGCAACCTGCCAATGTACTAAAATATATTGAATTATACGCTTCAAATGGATGAATTGTATTGCATGTGGTATATGAAGCGTATCTCAATGAAGCCATCTGTTTGCTGTTGTTGTTGTTGCTGCTGTTGTTGTTGTTTGTTTTTTTTTAAGACAGGATCTTGCTCTGTTGCCCAGGCTGGAGTGTAGCGGTGCAATCATGGCTTACTGCACCCTCGACCTCCTAGGCTCAAGTGATCCTCCCATCTCAGACTCCGAGTAGCTGGGACTACAGTTGCATGTCACCATACCCAGCTAAGTTTTGTATTTTTCATAGAGACTGGGTTTCACCATATTGACCAGGCTGATCTCAAATTCCTGGGCTCAAGTGATCAGCCTGCGTCAGCCTCCCAAAGTGCTGGGATTTTAGGCATGAGCCACTGTGCCTAGCTAAAGCCATGTTTTTAAAGTGATAAAAATAAAGAATGAAGACCTTTAGGTCCTCTTTGAGTTTCTGCTGAGGCCTTCCTTTGCAGAGAAAGGGAGGTCTTGGTCTGGGGTCAATGAAGCAGAGTGACAATGTGACAATGGGAGGAGAGGAATTGTGAGGTTTGAACATCACAGCATCTTCCTGCTTCAAACTGGGTGGATGTAAAGAGGGAGGGATGGATGGATAGATGGGCAAGCTAGCTTTATGGCTGGCCACATCTTGGCCTGCAGTGTGTGCTTTGATCTGGAATCTGCTGGAAACAACTCTGCCTGGGGCCTGGCAACCTGGAGAGGGTAGCAACTTCACTGCTTGTGAGCAACGTGCTTCTGGCCAAGTTATGCAACCTCGTTGGGCCTACTTATCTCATTTGTGCAGTGGGAAAAATTACATACAACAATTATATAAATATCTCATGGGGTTGTTGTGAGGATCCAACCAGATATTCTACAAAATAGGCTTAGAGGACTGCCTGGTACAGAGTAAACAATAAATATTAGTTCTCCTTTCTCCAGGGTGGCTTCTTGATGAATCTCAACTCTCCTGGCACAGAGAAGATGGTAATTATAGCACACTTTACTGTAAGTGAACCCTCCTTGGAGCTTGCCTGCAGGAATGAACACTGCAGGTTATGTGACTTTTGCAGAAAAGCCTAGGGAAAGCACCAAGCTATGCTGGTGATTAATCTGCATCAGTGAGTGGAAGCTCGTCTCTGCCCGTCTCCTCTGGCAAGACATTGCATTTCCGAGTTATATTCTGAAACCATCACCAACCATCAGTATCTGTCCCTGCTGGGATCCTGCTTGGGCTGGTGTCTCCCCATGCCACAGGTGGTAAACCACATAGTGTCACATGATTCAACTATGTCTGGCGCCAGTCATTCAGAAAACCCACATGGAGGAGAGGAGAAGAGAAGGCCCTTCAGCTGTGATCTGGAACTCCATGTGGCTGGCTGTCCAGGAAGCTACAGAAACCTTTATCCCTCCTGGAGACACCCAGCCCAGCCCCACATAAAATGTCTTCGTAAGAGTGCCCCCCACCCCCACCTCCCTTGTTAAATAGGGCATGAGCTAGAGAAAGGCTGTTTTGTTAATGCAGCTTACTAATTTCTTATCATTATTCTGAAATCCAAACAGCTGCGAAAACTCAAGATTTGTTAGGACTCATTTGGCTGCAAAACCTGACCATTTCAGTGACTGTTGCAGAATTGATATGTTTAATTATGGAAACTTGCCCCAGGCCCTGCTGTGGGTGTTATGTAATATATGGCACGTGGATTGTTTTAACTTTCTAAAAGGCTAAAAAGCTTGAATTCTGAAACCTGACTCCCTAGGTTTCTGGATATGAGAGTGTGGACTGGAATTATGATGGGTCTATTTTACCCTCAGGCTGTGGTTGGAAGAAGCACAATGCACACCCTTGGTATAAAGAGAATAAGAAAGGGGCAGAATGCAAACAGCAAAGGGTTTGGAAGCAGAGAGCACGAGGGGTGAATCCTTCTTCTAAATCTCACCACCTGTGGGATCTTGGGAATGCCATGCAGACTTTCTAAGCTTTGGTTTCAGTATATATAAAACAGAAATGCATAATAATAATATCTACTTCCTACCATAACTAGTGGGTTAAGCACTTAATTATTAAGCATTTATTCTGCATGCCCACATTCTTGAGCAGTCTCCCACTTCCAAGCTGCTGCCTTCTCCTCTTTCAGGCACAAGGCCAGTTTCTCAGGACCCTAGCCCTCTTAGCAGTGTCAGACATGCCTTCAGCCTCCCCTAGTGGCAACCCTCAGATGGTCCTCATAGACATTCTTTGTAACTGCTCCCTGCAGCCCTCCTGCAGCTCCAGCCACAGCCTATGAGCCTGAGGGTCTGTATTCAGCATCAGGAGTCTTATCACAGAGACTCCTACAGGAGTCTCTGATCTATTCTTCCCCTTAACAACACTTGTAGCTTTCTTTGTTCTGAGCAGCAAGAAATGAATAATTGCCAAGAGACCAGCTCATGTTGTTTTTTCCACATATGTATTTATTTCAAAATAAAGACATACAATGTTAAACAAATAATCACAACTGATACTGATTTAGAGTAGCTTACTTGATTTTTAAATTGTAGCAACTTAAAGAGAAAGCTTTTTAAATTTAATAAATAGGATAAATAATATTTCATCTTCATATCTTGCCTCTCATCCCTCTCATCTTTTCTTTCTGGAAAATTTCCAGAAGACTCTTCAGAAATGTCAGCGCGTTGCCTGCCGTGGTTTGGTTGCATGGCTGTTCACAGGAAAAATACTGTGGGGATGAAAGTTGATAAGGACAGAGTGACTCAAATGATGTAGAGCCAAGCAGCCCCAGAAGCCTACCTGCCAAGAGCCAGAGTCGGTGGTGAGGATTGTGGGGATGGGAAGGGAAGTGGCTTGAGACACAGAGCAAATAGGTGGGCAGGTCCAGGCTAGCTCATGTGGTGTAAAGACAGCATAGGTGGTTGACCTCAAATTGGATTTCAGGGGTCTTTACACACACACACACACACACACACACACACACACACACACACACACCCCTATTAAGTGGCCCTAAATCTCTGCATTAGAGAAAGCCTTTTCTGGGGACTCTTTGAGGCCTAAAATTGTATCATTATCCTTTTAGGTTGTCTTTCCAAGGTCATTTGACAGTACAATGGCTAAGAGTGGGGCTCTGAGGTCATATAGGCCTGAGTTCAAATCTCAGCTCTGCCACTTATCAAATATGCAGCCTTAGGCAAATTAGTTAACCTCACTGAGAGTAATAAATTGAATAATTGTCCCTAAGGTATGTATTTATTCAGTGAGACAGCATATATTAAGCACTTAGAACTAGATGCCATTGATGGTAGAAACGCATGCAGCTAAACAGCTGAGCTCAGGGCTTTCAGCCTTCTAGGATCTTGTGTGGAGATGCTAATACCCAAAAAACAGAGGGAGGTCACCTCTACCCAACTTGCCATCCCAGTCTGCTGTCAGGGACTAGGGTATATGCTGAAGAAAAGAATGTGTGGATGGGCATTCAGGATGAGTAGCAAGCTTCCACCTTGACCTGGGTGCATTGCCCTTTAAATACCTCCTTAATGCAGGCCAGGCATGGTGGCTCACACCTGTCATCCCAGCACTTTGGGAGGTCAAGGCGGGCAAATCACTTGAGTTCAGGAGTTGGAGAGCAACCTGGCCAACATGGTGAAACCCCATCTCTATTAAAAATACAAAAATTAGCCAGGCATGGTGGCACGCACCTGTAATGCCAGCTACTCGGGAGGCTGAGGCAGGATAATCACTTGAACCCGGGAGGCAGAGGCTGCAGTGAGCTCAGATGGCACCACTGCACTCCAGCCTGGGCAACAGAGCAAGACTCTGTCTCCAAAACAAAACAAAACCTCCTTAACCAACAGGAAAAAAAAATCCCTGTTAACAACATCCATTCAGTTAGTACATTGAATCTCTAGGATAATTTAGTATTATGTGAGCTACATCCCTGATTCTCTAGATTGTAGCTTCTAATTACACTCAGAAAGGATTCTTTCATTATTCCATAGTAGAGAGAAGTAAATGGCCTCGTCAGGAACAATGATCTATCTCACTTTAATTCTATTGTTTCAGTGGATCTCACTTTAATTATATTACTTCTGATTAAAATTCTTAGATGTCTTTTATCAACCTTGAACTACCAATTCCAACTTTATCATCCTTTTGTGTTCAAACAGGGTTGGCATCACCATTCACATAGAAATCACCAACAGGAACATATCACATATGAAAA
The DNA here is from genome assembly GCF_000001405.40 of Homo sapiens. NCBI lineage: Eukaryota > Metazoa > Chordata > Mammalia > Primates > Hominidae > Homo > Homo sapiens. The sequence goes on from NC_000005.10 coordinate 135,894,011, forward strand.
CAAACTTACTGGACACTTGTTGTTCTTTAGTACTTCAACTGATTTTTTCACCCGACTGAAAATCAGTGGGTATCTTGTTTGCATGGTGGTATTGGTCATCTGAGACAGTCTCTCACTGAAGCATGGTCTGGTGCAGTTGTCCTGGTAAATAGTAAGGATTTATTCAAAGAAATATTCTGAGGACAGCTTTGGAAATATATCACAAAGAGCAATATAATAGAGATGATTTTTATTTAATCACCATTACTCAAACTTGCATTATTTTTAGACAGGTCCCTTGCCAATGTAGGAAGTGATCTCCCGTATTTAAAGGGGATGCCATTTTTCCACAGTGACATCCCCTGGAGGAGACTTCCTGTATGTTACATCCAGGAAACATGAGGGCTCTGGGCCCTGAAATAGTCGGCTCTGAATGTTCTTTTCAACGGGTGCTTCCCGGCTTCAAGGCTTGTAAGTCTGAAAGTGCAGAGTGAGGAAAAGCCTTTTCACACCAGCTAATGGGATGTGACAATTGAATGCAGCTGGTATTTCAGCAGCAGCTAAAAACATGGACGGTACTCCAAGGGACAGGGGCTGTGCTGTCTGCCTGGTTCCTGCCCAGAAGGCACTCTATCCTCTTCTCATCTAATGGATGGACCGCGATGGGTGCGATGTCTTACCCTAGCCAGGGCAAGAAGCTCAGATTCTTCAGATTCTCCCAGGCCTTGCATGAGAAAGAATAAAGCACTGCACCTTGGAGAAGTGCCTCCTCCTCACCCTAACCAGGAGTTTGAATTAGGAATCAGAACTTTCCTGCCACCCATCCTTCCTGCCGTAGTGGGCAGTGGCCCTCTGGAAGCCCTCCTTCCACTCACAACCTCAGATCCTCTACCTGCCCAGAGGGCAGCATTCAAACCAACAGTCACTCTAATCAGCTAGACAGACAACAGGGTGGTGGGGAGGAAGGGAGGAGGCAGGGAGGGGGAGGTATAGCGCATAGATCATTCATGACAGATGAAAGATAAGGAGTTGTCATTTTATTTACATTGTTTCACAACTCTAGAGTTATCAGTAAATGAGTTAGAAAGCAATATGATATGAGCTACAGCAATTATTATATCCTTAGTTCCAGTTTTATTTAATTGTGCACATGGCCACCTATCTAAAAAGATATTCAGGATTCTTTTTTTAATGTTGAAAAGTGTTCAAACTTCTCAAGAGGCATAAAGTTAATTAAATACAAAGAAATGTTCATAATATAGGATTTCAAGATCGTAGTTTTAAAAGGGAATAATTTGTAACAATGTGGTTTTAACAGGGAATACTAATCTGTAACAATTAAATTAAGCAACAATGTATAACATTAAATATTAAATAAAGCAACTTATTTTTACTTAAAAACAAACCAAAAAAATCCAAGGTCAACATTATGTTATTTCACTATACTTACAGAGGGAATGCCCAAACAGAGACAACTGGTCACCTGCAAGGGAAATTTCAGAGTGAAGATTCCAGATGTGAAAATTAAAATTAATTTGGAAAGTTCTTAAAGAGCATTCACTCACATTAGCACTGCAGTGGCACTTGGAAGCTGGATCTTCCTAAAGTAGATAGAGAGATAAGAACCTTTAGTCAGCCCCGAGTTTTTTCATCCTCATACATATTTCACTTTGTCAGTAGCTGTCTTTCCCATGGGCTCCCCCTGCAGCCTACCTGCATCTTGTTGATGAGGAAGTTGATGTCCAGGATCCCCGCCAAGGTTGGACACCCCTGGCCTGCCACGGAGCACAGGAGCAGGGCAGAGGTAAGGACCATGGCCAGAAGCATCTTGACAGCGGACTGGAGCTCGCTTGCAGACACCTTCAAATCGAGTGGTATTTAAAGCTCCCTCTCAAACACGGAAAAACCCTGACATCAAACTGATACCAAGAGCCCACTTTTTCTCTGTAAGTTGGGGCCACTTTATACTAACAAACAAAAAAATCAAACTGAGTCACTTGACAGAGATGATGCTGTGCCAGGAAATATCATTCCTCAGAAAAGATGATTTTCAAAAAGTTGAGTACTGAAATGCTGAAGGAAAAGTTAAAGATCTAAAAACCAAGAAAAAAAATTCAAAGACAGGGATTCTGGTTGTGAGAGTTAGAATACTTTCCATGAACGCCCAGGTCTGTATTTTCCCTTTTTACATTATGGGAAATGCTGATATAATATAGCCAGTCATGGGTGTTCTAACGAAGGGGGGCCTGGGGAGACAGAGCGGGTTGGGGGAGGGTGCATGATATTGCAGAACTTCACTTATCTCTGTTGGGGTTTTCCTTTAGTAATTGCAACCTCAGTCTTACTATGCTTTATTCCCAAATCTCAATGTTTTTCATACCCAGGATGAAGTTTGCCACCTAATGCAAATGCATCTTAGAAGTATCCCTTTGTGCAAGTGTCTGAAAGAAGAAATGTTCAACTATAAGCACAAGAATGCGGCAACCATGCTTGTTAAAATTGGCCTTGAGGACTCCTCAGTATCTTTGGAGATCTTATATAACACTGTATGACATCAAGTAAAAACCCAGCACTTGAAAGAGTATAGTAGCTAACATTTACTGAGAACTTACTACATACTAGTAACATTTCTTTTTTTTTTTTTTTTTTTTTTGAGACAGAGTCTCCCTCTGTCACCAGGCTGGAGTGCGGTGGCACAATCCAGGTTCGCTGCAACCTCTGCCTCCCGGGTTCAAGCGATTCTCCTGCCTCAGCCTCCCGAGTAGCTAGAATTACAGGCACCCTCCACCACGCCCGGCTAATTTTTTGTATTTTTAGTAGAGACGAGGTTTCACTATGTTGGCCAGGCTGGTCTTGAACTCCTGACCTCGTGATCCGCCCGCCTTGGCCTCCCAAAGTTCTGGGATTACAGGCATGAGCCACTGGGCCTGACCATACTAGCAACATTTCTAAGTACTTTACATGCATTAAGCCATGTAATACACTCGGCTGCCAAATGAGGTGGGGAGTAATTTGTCATCACCATTTTTTACCCTTTAAAACACTGTCTACATCTTAGCTTCCTGGCCCTTCAGTATGGCTGTGTTTAATCACTATGAGTCAAAAAAGCAATCTCAGTGTAACTCTATGAAGTACTATAATTATTCTTATTATCTTACAGATGGAGAAACTGAGGCATAGAGAGGCAGGTAATTTGCCCAAAACCACAAAGCCAGGAAGCCGCAGAATTTGTATTCAAGCCCAGAAGTCTGCCTCCTGATTTCAGCTCTTAATCCTCCTGAACTCCTGTTTTTCTGCAGATCTTTTATCTGCCTCTCCCACCAGGATATATACTCCAGGGCTTTATGGGTCCAGTTCACCCCTATATTCTCAGCACTTAAGGAGGTGCCTGGGGAACTGTGGGCACTCACTAAATGCTTGTTGAATTAAAACACTAATTTGAAAAGTAGTTCTTGAAATACGAACTTCCTACTTCTGGGATTTATAAGATTTCAAATCTGATTTCTAGGATACATATTTGGAGGTATGTGCAGGTAAGTAAATATAGCTTCTACACAGTAGATTGAAAAGGTGAGGGGTTCTTTAGCTTAGCACTCTGAACTATAATAGCCAGTGGGGACAAACTCATAAGATTTCCTCGCCTCCACTGTAAGAGTATGGCAATACTGTTTTTTTTCATTTTGTATTGTTTCTTAGGAGTGATGATGGCTCGTCAGTGTTCCACTGCACTATGGGGAAGGGAGTGTCTTGGTGGTAAACAAGGTAAAGAGAAACAGGTGTTTTGCTAAATTCCCTTAAGCCATCCCACATCTCTGACTTCCATCCCTGCTCTTTGCAGACACTGAAGAGAAAACTCAAAGGATTCCCAGCCTGTGGCAAACACTTTTGTTACAAAGCACTGGATGTATGCCTTTTTCTTGATGGTAGAATTCTGATTAGTTTGGGGTACCAATGTATCCAGCCAAACACCCACATTTTCAGCCTCTTTTGCTGCTACATGTAGCCATGCAGCATGTTTCGATCAATGCAAAGTATGTAAAATTATTTTGCTTTCCTGGTAATAGGAGACAAAAGTGGCTGAACCCTGTCTTTCCCCTTAATTCCAATTTGGGTGTGATGGCAGGAGCTTCAGCAGCAATATTATAACTATGAAGAAATGGACAAGAGAATTACAGCAATGGCAACACTAACATTTTTCATAAATAGCAAATATTCAGAAAGGCAATAAAAAATAAAACCATGAGACTAACAAGAGAAGTAATAATAATAGTACAACAGTGATACTAAAATTCTAGCTAGCTATCACTGCCTACTGAGGATCCTGAGTTATAAAACCTGTTCTTGTTTAAAAAGAAAAGAAAAGAAAATTAGCATGCTTTGGAGAGATTTTAAAGATACATTACCATCAGACTAAACCTCCTTCCCTGACATTATTGGAAGACTTGAGAGAGATGTGAAAAGGCAATCATCTTTTCATTCTGTGAATCAATATTATCTGATGCTCTCTGTGTGAACCGTGGAAATCATTTCACCTGCCATCGGGTATGCCTTTCATATTGAGGAAAACACCACCCCACCCCTCCTGTTGTACAGATGGGGGCTTTGCCCAAGAAGAGAAAGCCACAGCTCTAGTTTCTAGCAGGGGATAGTACAGTGCAGTGGTTAAGACCGGTGACTCTAGAATCAGAATGCCTGAGTTCAAGTCCTGCCTCTATCACTTGCTAGCTCCATGGCCTTGGGGGATTGCTTGGCCTCTCCCAGCTTCCATTTCCTGACCGTAAGTGAGGATGGTGATGTGGAAAGTGGGAATGGGGATCTAGGGATGCAGTTGCAGTTGTCAGTTCTCACTCACTCGTAAGTGAGGATGGTGATGTGGAAAGTGGGAATGGGGATCTAGGGATGCAGTTGTCAGTGAAGGCTCCCCTCAGGGTACTCCCATAGAGATTAAAAGAAACAGCTGCTCCATCCCTAACTTGGTTTAAGTGGCATCCGGTTTGAAGTTTGTTAGGGCAAAGCAGCCGAGGTTAGCGGTCAACAAACTGTAATCCACTTTTCAGGTTGAAGGTAAGGTCTACAAGCTAAGAACAGTGTTTACCTTTTTAAGGGTTCAGAGGGTTAAAGTTTATAAAGAAATAATTAACAAATAAAAACAAGCATGTGTGATAGAGACCGTATGTAGCCCGTAAAGCCTAAACATTTATTATCTGGCCCCTTTACAGGAAAAGTTGGCCACCCCCTGGCTGAGTTCCCACACCCCACCCCACATTTTCTGAAGACATCAACTATTATCCTCCAGTCCTGGGAAGGGTAGAGCTAGGGGTTGGTTGCTCAGGTGTCTCTTCTCCCTTTCCCCATCTGGTTATTTAGGTCAGGTATCTGTACAGAGGGAAGGGAGCAGGGGACCTGGGCCACAGACTGCCAGATTATCCGAAGTGTTGGGGGCCTGCCATTTCCTGAGGCTTTTTGTGGAGTGAGCTCGCTGGTCCAATGAACCAAAGATCTTCTCTCAATGAAACCCGGTAGCTGCAGCAAAGATATCTCAGGCAGGCTCTGGTTTACTAGGAAAAGTCCCACATTTTGAAGTTAGGAGAAAAGTGAATGAATTAACAAGTTAAGTCTTGGCTTGACCAGCAGGCCTTGGGTCACCCACCTTCCCTGCTACCCTCAGGAGCTGGCTCAGGGTCAAGTGATCCATGGCCACTGGTGTTCCTTGGGCAGGTTACTTACCCTTTCCATGCACCAATGCACCCCCAGTGCTCACTCACTTAGAGAAAGGAATGTAAGCCTTCACCCAGCCCTTCCTCATGAAAGAGAGGAGTGCTCCATTTGGGATATACTCTCAGGAATGAGGCATGTTTCTGTTTGGAAATGTGGTCTGGTCTGGTCCAGGTGCCTCGCTCTTTGATACCCCCTCATTACTACCCTCCCGTCACATCAGTTTCTTTTCATTTCCATCCTCCAGGCCTTTACCCTTGCTAAGCTTGGCCTGCTGGCTCCTTCCTCAGCTCCTCCCTACGTGACCTGTTCTCATCATTTAGTTTTCAGCTCAACTACAACCTCCTCAGCAAGACCTTCTCTGACCATAGCAATCACTGCCATCTGCCTGTGCCTCTTTCAGTGTCTGGTTCTCCCAGGAGAATGTCAGTTCCATGACAATGGACACTACAACGGACTCTCTTGCTCATCACTATTCCCAGGGCATAGTCTATACAGAGTGCTCAGGAATTCCTGGTTAAATGAATAAATGACTAATACATTTAATTTTGTGAACATTTATTAAATTTGTGTTACTGATGAAATGACCAACACATGGTTCCCAGTAGACAGGTAACAAACAAAAAGCAGATGTCACATTTACCTGAACAAGGAACACATTTGAAAAGTGATTAACCAACAAGGGAGTAAAGCCTCCTGCAGTTCTGTAGTTCCTTACATTGGTGCAGGGTTTGAGAATTTCTGAAGTGCTTTTCAACCGCTTCTTTCTTTGGACTCTTATACTAACTGCATGAGGAAGGCATGCGTGGTGCAGGAGCTCCTCTGCAAAGGATGAAACAGAGAGAAGGAGACAGGTGAGGTGACTGGTTCTTTAGAATTCTTTCCCATTTCCCCACCCACTCAGTTATAAAAAAGAAAAGAATACAGGGTTGTTAAACGGTAGCTCTGCAGTTCAAAATACCATTAAAACAGCAGATGTTTATCTAGGCAAAGTCTATGACTTTTGAGGTTTAACTCCTAGGATTTCTTTCAGTATCAAAATGTAAGTATGCATATAAGCTACAGAGCAAATACACCACGCTCAGAAATCAATTACTCACCTATTTTAAATATCAAGATTAGAGTGAGATGCATACCAAGAGTTATCATAGATAACATATTTTACAATAAATGACAAAAGACAATGATCAACCATTTATTTTGTTCCAAAGATAAAGTTTGATGTTTTTATTTTGTGATAAAAGCTCATATGTCATGGATTATTTCTCTAGGAATAAAACAAAATGGTTATGTGTTCTAGGAAGGCACAGCATAAAATGACCAAAAAAAAAAAAAAAAGGCACTGCATTTCCAAGTAAAACCTGTTCTGCCTTTTACTCCAAGCAGCCAAGAGGTAACTAGTTATGAGAATCCTCAAGTGCTAATTTCCTAATCAAGTAGTTATTTCTAGATCACTACTTTCTAAGTAAGCATGATGGGGTAAGCCCCACTGGTGATGCTGTCCTTCGGTTGGGTCTTCTCTCCGTGGAAGGGGAACCCAGGACCCCTTCCCTCACATCCTGCCTGAGCAAACCCTGTGTCTGCTGCCCTTGGAAGCTACTGTTCCCTGTGTGGCCCCACACAGTTTTCTCTGAGCTCCAAGACCTAGGATCTATTTCTTTCCTCCTTCCTCTCACTTCTCTTTCCTCACTGTTGTTGGTTAATAACAATCTGGGCTATCCTTGTAAATGGAATTTCACATCCTCCCATTGGCATAGTCCACCATTACTTGAGACATGCCCCTGTATTTCTCAGAGACTATGGGACTCCCCCAACTCCCCACCCTTTGCTGTGGCCAATTCATTGATGTCCATCTAATTAAGGGAGGATGAGAACTGTTGTTCTGGATTACACTGGAGCCTTAAGGCATTAGAATTTGTTAAATCTTCCTGTGCACAAGATAACTTATTAAGCACTTTATATATATCATCTCACTCAGCCCCCTCAACAATCTTTATTAACCCTATTTGTAGATATCCAAATGGAAGCTCAGAGAAGCTAGGAGAGTTGCCATAGACACACAGCTGGCAACTTGAATGAGATTTACCAGACCCCAGAGCCTGTGTTCTTATCTGCAAGGCCATAAATCAATCTCCACTTCTGTTGACCGATACTCTATAGGCTGTACTCCAAGTCTACTTAATACAAGCAGAAAATCAAAGTATGCCTTTGGGGAAGAGGGAGGTGGATTCTAGGCCTCAGCTATATCTGTGTCCTGGGGCTGCCATCACAAAGTATACAAACTGGGAGACTTAAAGCCACGGAAATTTATTCTCGCACAATCTTGGAACCAGAAGTGCAAATCAAGGTGTTGACAGGGTTGGAAGCAGCCTGACTACTGCAGAAGTGGCTGTTGGGAAGAAGTGGAAGATGAGGCTAGAAGTTCTGAACGGAAGGACAGAGCCCTGTGTCATCAAGATTGCATTGACCACAAATCACAAAACCCCAGTTAACACTGACTGGAGTGATAAGGAAATTTGCCATCTCACAAAACACTGCATCTGTGGATACGGTGGGTCCTGGGGTGGTCGGATCTGCAGCTCTGAGATCTTGTGGACAGGCTGCTTTGCCACTCTGTGGGTTGACTTCCCTCCCCTTGGGGCTATAAGATGACTGCCCAGTTCCAGGGCTCACGTCCACTCATGACAATATAAATCCTACATTTGGAATGAATGGTCAAGTATTTGCAACCCTTTCACTCTCAATACGTTTTGCCAAACTGTCCTCCAGAAATATGTTCTAACATATAATAATAGAATTTATAATTTATAATAATCCCATTAGTCACGTTTAAGAATGTCCACTTCTGACATCCTTATCAACACTGGACAGTGATTTTTTATTAACCTTGGCCGTGTGTCTGGCAAATTTATGATGCTAATACATATGTATTGAATTCATAAATTAATGAATTCTTGCTTTTTTATATTTCTTCACTTGTGAGTTACCTGTTAGTGCCCAGATTTCTGTTGGTATATTAATCTTTTGCTTACTGATTACTAAGAGTTCTTTGTGTATCTTTGTTTTTCAAATATATTACATTTATTTTCTTCTGTTTATTGTTATGCTTGTAGTGTTTTCTGACTGTGTTTTCATGTGGTCAAACATATAACATATTTATCTCTATTTTTCCAGTCTGTGAATGATTTTATTTTCAGCAATTAAATCTTTAATCTTTTTAGAGTTTATTTGAGGGTATAGAAGAAATCTAATTTATTTTTCTTCCATGTTTGGTTGATACTATTACTAACTAAATATCTCTTTTACCTACTGATTTGAAATACTACCTTATTGAACACTAAATTTTAATTTTTCTTAAGTATCTTTCTGGACTCTAATTTAGTCCAATGAGCTATCTTACAGCTCTAGATTGACCTTAGAATGCAATTGTGGTAATAAAATGATTGTCGACATTTCCTTCATATTATTGGGAATGCTTTCAATGCTTTTCATTTAAATATCATGTTTGCTTGCATGACCTCACTTATAAGTGGGAGCTAAACAATGGGTACACATGGACATAAAGATGGAAACACTAGACGCCAAAGACTCCAAATAGGGGAGGGGAGGAGGGGGCAAGGGTTGAAAAATTACCTATTAGGTACAATGGTCACTATTTGGATGATGGGTACATCAGAAGCCCAGACCTCACCATTACACAATATATTCATATAACACAGCTGCACATGTACCTCCTGAATCTAAAATAATCATCTATCAATCAATATCATGTTTGCTGTTGATTTCCTAATAGGGAACAGTTTCGAATATTTAGTTCTCCAAATTTTTATTAGAAATGATAGCTGAATTTTACAAACGCCTTTCAAGTTTTTATCAGGATCATGAGTTTTCTTTCCACTAACTCATATGATACATTATTTTAACTGATTACTAAATGTTGAGCCATCCTCACATTCCTGGAATAAGTTCTATTTGGTCATACTATATTATGGTTTTAATACGCTGATGGAATCAATTTGTTCTTCCTTTATTTTGAACAGAGGATGAAACACAGGTTCCCAGGGTGGCAGCATTAGGTGCTGCTCTTCAGTAGGAATGGCCCTCAAGGTCGTCCAGGCACCATTCTCTTTAGTGCTCCAGGTGATGACTCAGGTGTGGAGAAGCACGACTTCCATTGGGAGGCCCAAGATATGTCCTGGCCTAAGGCTTTGTGCCCCACAGGAGTCAATATCTGGTGAAAGAGATCACAGACAGCTTCCAAGGCCCCTGCACTCAGGAGAGCCCAAGGCTGTGACACTCCACTAAAAATGGATAGTTCATTTATAGTCATCCCAGCCCAGACACTTTGCCACCCAGGCCTACTTGATATTTCATCTTCATCTGGTGTGTAGGGGAACAGAGCTAAATAATGAATGGAAAAGCCAGGTTCTCTTTCAGAAGGGAAGAGGCTGCATTAACAACTTTACTTAGATAGTGTCCATCCCTAAGGGAGTTCATTCTTCATATTCTTTTTATGTGCCTTCTTTTTGGGGCACATAAAAAGTGAGTTAGGAAGAGTTTAAATAGTAAGAGAATTTTCAATATTTCCTCACTCCTCCATAGCAAGGATTTTTCTTCTTTTATTTCCACAAAGCCAGTGACAAGACAGTTCCCAACACATAGTAATTAGAATTTTTTTGTTTGGCAGTGTCTTGCTCTGTCACCTAGGCTGAAGTGCAGTGGCATGATCTTGGCTCACTGCAGCCTTGACTTCCAGGGCTCAGGTGATTCTCCCGCCTCAGCCTCCTGAGTAGCTGGGACCACAGGCACGCACCACCACAACAAGCTAATTTTTTAAAAATTTTGTATAGAGATGGGGTCTCCCTCACATAGCTATTGCTATGTTGCTCAGGTTGGTCTCCAACCTCTGGCCTCAAGTGATCCTACAGCCTCAGCCTCCCAAAGTGCTGGGATTACAGGCATGAGTTACCACACCTGGCCATAATTAGAATATTTGCTGAATCAATTATGTTCTGACAGAACTCATTTGTAAAATCTGGGAATGATTACTTTTGGAGGTACATTTGTTGGTGTTTTCTATTTCTTCTGTTTTAATTACTCTATTACATTTTCTGCTTAATATTTTTGTGTGCATTTTTGTAGGAAATAATCCCAGATTTGACAAAGTGTAATACTGTGCATTTTACCCATCTTTCTCTGTAATAAAACTTGTAAGAAATTTGTATATTTGATTTTTTTCAGATTCAAGTTTTGCTTTTATTTATCAATTCTGTGTACGATTTTTATCTTCCTAACTTAGCATTTTATGCTTTTTCATTGTTAATTTCTACTTGATTTAAATTTATCTTATCATTCCTTTTCTAGCTCCTTGAGTTGAATATTTGCTTCACCTTTTAAACAAATACTAGCTTCAATTATCTAATACATTGTATGGTAGGCACCAATGCTGCACATCTTAAATGCATTATGTCACTGAATCCTCATAATACCACACCAGGCCATATAAGAGGTATTTATAGCAAAGTAATTATGAGTGCAGACTTGAGAAAGTCTCTGCCACTTACCATTCCATAACCTTGTGCAAATAGCTTCTCTGCATTTTGGTTTTCTCATTTGCAAAACGGCATAATTATATAAGCTACACCATGGGGCTGTGGAGGAAGATAAATTAATTACTGCCTGGAAAGCCCCTAGAGCAGTGTCTGACCCACACACAGCACAGTGGAAGTAGTTGATATTATTAGATTGGTGCAAAAGTAATTGCTGCTCTTGCCATTAAAGGTAATGGTAAAAACCACAAATACTTTTGAACCAAACTAATATTATTTTAAAATGAGGAAATGGAAGCTTTAAGAAGTCTAGTAACTTGCCCAGCATCACATAGCTATAGCTGGATAAGGAGCTGTCTTTTGAACACAGCATGGACAGCACTGCATAGATTTTGTTAAGTAGTTTGCTCATTCTTATTGATTCCTTAATAGTCTGTAATTTCAGGATTAAGACTGTAATTCCGTGATATTCATCCTTGAAATTCAGAAACTTCACCAGGATATGTCTAGTTGTGGCTGTTCTTTGATTCCTCCTGACGAGCATGCAATTGGCTTATTAGATCTTAAGATGACATTCTCGAACTCAATAAATTTTTTTCCATTAGTTCTTTGACCTCCAATCTCCTTTTTCCTCCTACTATAATTCCTATAATTCCTATAATATGTGTGTCAAAATTTCCTAAACCTATTTTTCACGTATTTTTTTTTCTCTTAAATGTCTTATCATTATTCTTTTTAGTACTGATTTCTGGGAGAACATTTGGATTGGGTGTTTTCATTCCCAGTGCAATTATCCAAAGATTCCCATTTGCTGTTTAACAGCCTCTATTCCGTTTTTTTTTTTAAACCAGTGAACATTTTAACTTTAAATACTTTTAAAATGTAAATATGCATTCCAAAAAGCACATAACAAGCACATGAAGCCCCGGGAAAGACAGATGATATACGAATGACAAAGTCCCATAAAGTGGTCTTTGAATTTCCTACTAAAATTAAGTTAATAAAAATTCAATTTAAACTCTAGTTTCCATGAAAACTCTTCTACCTCAGATACAGCCATTCAACTTCTCTTTGTCCAAGACCTGGCAACCACTGCCAGATCCTAAAACCAGTCATCTGGTTCCAGCTGTTCTTCTCCACACTCTTCCTCATTCCTCAGCATCTCCCCATCTTCTTTTTTGTTACTTAATTAAATTTTTATTTTAGAACAGCTTTTTTTTACCAAAAAATTATAAAGGCACTACAGAGAATTCTCACATACCCCAAATGCAGTTTCCACTAGAAGGGTACATTTGTTACACTTAATGAACCAACATCGACATATGATTATTAATTAAGTCCATGCCTTATTCAGATTTCCTTAATTTTACCTAATGTCAAGTAACTTGCCCAAGACCACATACCTATTACTGGATGATAGCTGGTAATTTTTCTGTTCCAGGATCCTTTCCAGGACACCATATTACATTTAGTCATCATGTCTCTTTAAGCTCCTCTTGGCCATAATTTCTTAGACTTTAGGGCCGGGCACGATGCCTCACACCCATAATCCCAGCACTTTGGGAGGCTGAGGTGGGTGGATCAACTGAGGTCAGGAGTTCAAGACCAGCCTGGCCAACATGGCAAAACCCCATCTCTACAAAAATACAAAAATCAGCAGGGCTTGGTGGCGCTTGTCTGTAATCCCAGCTACTCTGGAGGCTGAGGCAGGAGAACCACTTGAACCTTGGGAGGCAGAGGTTTCAGTGAGCCGAGATCGTGCCACTGCACTCCAGCCTAGGCGACAGAGTGAGGCCCTGTCACAAAAAAAATTCTTAGATTTTCCTTGATGACCTTGACAGTTACAAGGCACACTGTTCAGGTGTTTGGTAGACTGTCCCTCCATTGGGATTTGCCTGATGTTTTTCTCAGGATTAATCTGGGGTTATGTGTTTTGGGAGAAAGACCACAGAAGTAAAGTGCTATTTTTGTTATAGCATATCAAAGGTACATATTATCCACATAATTTATCACTGCTGATGTGACATTGATCATCTGGCCAAGGTCGTGTTTATCAGGTTTCTCCACTGCAAAGTTCATCTTTCCCCCTCCTTTCCATGCTGCACTCTTTGGAAGGAAGTCTCACACTTAAGTGGAAGGGAGGTATGCTCCACTTCCTCGAGAGCTGAGTATCCACATAATTATGTGGAATTCTTCTGCATAGGATATTTGTCCCCCCCATTTATTTATTTATTTATTCTATCATTTATATCATTAAGGGTTCATGGATATTAATTTTATACTTCGGGTTATAATCCAGTACTGCTTTGTTTATTTTGTTGCTCAAATTTTTCCAGTGCTGGCCACTGGGGCCCCTTTGAGTTGGCTTCTGTGTTCCCTTTGGCCCCTTCAATGTGGCTTTTGGGATTTTTTTTTTTGAGCACTTATTACTTTCTGGCACTACAAGACACTCCAGGCACATCTTGTCTATTTCCTGCCCCAGTCCTAGAAGCAGTCATTTCTCCAAAGAGCCCAGGTTCCTTTTATTGGAACCATTTTATTATAAATCAAAATGGCAGCTAGGGCGTGCCTATTATTACTCTTGAGATAGTTTTAGTTGTGCTATGGTACATTTTATCTTTAGGAATTGTTTGACTGTTGCTTCCTTTCCATAACAACCTGCTTTTGCTTTAGTGATGTAATACAACAAACAGTTACTCCAGGTAACCTGCCTGTTATGATGTGATGTCTAACCAGCCCTCCCCTGATCCTCTTCCTGACTGTGCCATCCCAGACTAAAACTTCATAGCATAACAGGGTTGATGGATTAGTTACTTATTGCTGCATTCAAACTATTCCAAAACCTAGCAGCTTAAAACAGCACATATCTATTATTGCACAGTAGTTTGCGTCTGTCAGGAATTGAGCACAGCTTACGTGTTCCTCTGATTCAGGGTCTCCCGCAAGGCTGTAGTTAAGGTGTTGACAGAGGCAGTGTGGTCTCCTCTAAAGGCTCCGTTGGGGGAAAGATCTGCTTCCAAGCCCACATGGCTTTGGCAGGATTCAGTTCCTCCTGCCAAGCTTGTTGGGCTGAGGATCTTGATTCCTCCCTGGCTATGCGCTGAAGGCTCCTTTGTCACATGGACTTCTCTAATGTGGCAGCTGGCTTCATCAAAGTGTGCACACTGAGAAAGCAATAGGGACATCTGCTAGCAAGAGAGAAGTTGGAATCTTTTATAACCGCATCGCTGAAGTGGCATCCTCTCACTAGGTCCACCTCACACTTCGGGGGAAGGATTATACAAGAATATGAACGCTAGGAGATGTGGGTCCTTGGGGGCCACCTTAGAAGTCTGCTCATACAGATAGGGATAAGACCTGCCTACTCCAGTCCCCAGAGAAGGTACATAGTTTTTCATCTGGTGTAGGCTGGGTTGTTTCTGTGGGATATCGGGAAATAATGTGCATAGAACAAGGCTTGGAACACTACCTTAGTCCTGGTACTGTGATTTTGATTTTTAATATGCTGAGTTTGAAATTACGAAGGAGCTTAAATGAAAACATTCAGTCAGTTGTTGCTCGATGAGAGTTGTTTTAACGTTTCTTATGAGCCAGCTCTAGACTTAGATATTTTATAGGATTATCTCATCTTAAACCTTGTAACAATTCTACGAGGAAGGCATTGTTACCTGAAATTTGTGGATGAGGAAACAGAGGTAGAGAGGACTTAGGTAACTTTTCAGTGTCTGAGCATCCCAGTACCCTAAGCAACTCCCCCGCATTCCCGCTATTGCTTGACTCATCCAATTGCAGTCTCCATCTCAAAGGGGACAGGGCTCTGTGCTTCAGCACTTCAGGGACAGTGGTAGCTTCCACTTCCCACGCACCCCTCGCATCTGCTAACTCTCTCTGGGGTTGGCCCCAAATGCATACTATTGGCCTCTGTCT
Source organism: Homo sapiens (assembly GCF_000001405.40). NCBI lineage: Eukaryota > Metazoa > Chordata > Mammalia > Primates > Hominidae > Homo > Homo sapiens. The sequence goes on from NC_000005.10 coordinate 135,909,181, forward strand.
GTTTCCACCTCTCCATCCTGCTCCCTTGGATGGAGTGCTTCATGGTGACTCTCTCCCTGGGTCCTGACTCACTCCTTCTCCCCACAGTCATGACAAACTGTGTTCTTCCTTCACTACTTGTAATGGGTTCTAGAAGCTCAGTCCAAGTTAGAGAGAAGGCTCTAACCCACTGGATTACTCTAAGCTCACTGAGCTGGTGAGAGATAGAGCCAGGATTCAACCCACCTTCTTTGTCCTACCTCATTCTGGCTCCCTGGTTGACCATCAAAGTAAACACTTAATTCAAACTCTGAACTCAAACACTATTTTCGGATTATTCTCTCCATGGTCTAAATAATCTCAGTTTGATGAAATATGTAAAATGGAGTGGAAGAAATGAATAACATTCCTATGATGGCTGTAGGGATGTCACTGTTGGGAGTGGAGGTCAGGATAGGAGTGGTGGGCACCAGGAACTCGGAGCAATGGTAGGGAGAGGCAGCAGGGTGCAGGCACCACGCACACCCCAGGGGTTTAATTCCACTGCTCCTCTTGGGGGAAAAGGTGTCTCTACCTCTGGTTATGTTCCTGCCATTGCCAGAATGCCTGAGACACCAAGCACAGGACCCAGCAGGAGCCTCACCCACAAAACCATGCGTCTGCCTGAAAGGATGAAAGACAAACGTGTTTTCCAAGTTGATTTCAGAAAAAGATAAGCAAAGCAAAGAAAGAAACAGTCATTCTGCTCCTCATGCTACTTCATAAGAAGCAGATTGGGGATCTTGTGCAGCACTTCTAAAAGTTCTCAGTACCAGTGCAGGAACTCCAGCGCCCATGTTCACTACTTCAGTCATCCCGGTGGGGCTCCAGCTGGGCTCAAAGAGCCCTGCATTTGCTAAATAGAGTATCATCATAATTAAAAATGGTGACATGATTTTACAAAGTTTTGTGATCAATGGTCCTCTTAGATAAATTATTAGTTGTGGGTTTTTTTTTCCTTTTCAACTCATTTTCAGTGTATCCTTCTAAGGAAAAAATGAAGGTCTGGGTCAGGGTCAGGGTCAGGGTTAGGATCAGAGTATAGGTTAGGATTCTTCTACAGGTTTGGCATCCTAGATACAATTAATTCAACGAGCATTTTCCCCCTCTGGAAACCTGCTAGTCTCCTGGCCCCAGGGGCACCTCTTGCTAATAACTCTCTTCCTATCTTATGCACTGCTCCCTCTCAGTCTTCTGTGGGGCTCCTTCACTTTTTTCAGGCTCTACCTACCGGATTGCCCCAGGACTCAGTCCTGAGCTTGCTGTTCTTCTCTACCATGATATAGATGTTCCCATTCAGCCCATGGCTTTACTCATCCACGTGCTGATGACTCAAATTGTATCTGCAGCATCAGTAGCTTCCCAGAGCTACAAAATCACAAGTGTGACATGTTTAAATAGGAACAGATTTTCTTTCCCTTATCAATAATCAGATCACCTTTTCTCTAACTTCCTCAGCAATCAAGATGTAGCTGTGAGACTGAAAACAATGTTTACAATCCTTAATATATTTAGGATTTAATATACAAAGAGATTTTATGAAATTTCGTGAACAATGGTTCTCAGATAAATTATGAGATTTTTTTTTTTTCCTTTCAACTCATCCTCAGTATCTTTTTAAGGAAGAAACGAGGGTCTGACTCTGATAGTTGGGCTGTGGTCTTGCTGCCCCCAGGCAGGAGAAGAATGAACCAGGAGGAATAAAAGTTGGAAGCCCCACTTATCTGGTACCAAGGGATCAGAGGCAGACATGTGGGTGCTGACCTCCCCTCTCCGAACTTCTGGCCAATCAGGGGAAGATGGGTTATAGCTCTTCAGGGGAATGCTGAGAGGAGAGTTTTTGCCTGATTTATTTTAGGAGCTCTGGGAGGAGATCATCACCCAACTGGCCTTTTTGCCACCGACCTGGGCAGTGGGAAGGAGGTGGCAGGCAAATATATCAGAGTACAATCAGTGGCACAGCTGGGTCAGGCAGAGACAGGGCTGGATTGTAGCTAAGCTACCTTAAGGTCCCCTGTGGTAAGGATGGGATGCAGAAATTCCCACATGTTGCCAAAGTGTCAGTGGACCATATCTAGGTGGAAAGCTAGTGGACATTCACAGGGCCTGTGGCTGCAAGGGGCACAGTGGGCCATTGAACCAGGGGCTGGGTGGAGAATATGACAGACAGCTAGAGGGGTGCACAGGGCAATCCAACACGGGGCTGAGTCAGCCAGGGAGTCCCAAGCATCCACCAAGCCCTCACCAAGCCACACTGGCTGCCAACTTCAACAGTGAATGCCAGCGGGGCCAGTGATGACCAGGACTTTGCAAATAAGGTGCATGACTATGGAGTTCAGAGGAGGCGAGACACTAAAATTCACTGACTCTTTCCGGGCCCTGCTGGAGGGCACTATAGGCTCCTGGCATCTTGGAGAACAGGAGTGATGGGCTGAACATCTGAGAGATTGCACCTGTTTAAATGCTGCCCTCAGGAGAAGAATCCCAGGCTGGACTAACTCTAGTTCCCTCCCCGACTCAACCCCCATCCCACCGGGTCCAGCAGTCATGAAGAAGATCCAAGAGGATATATTGTATTGCACTTCTAGGTTACACTTAATGCAGTCACAAATTTCTGCAACTCATAAATCTGATTGTTGACATCTAACATGAATCTTAGACCAAACCTAGCTTAAACTGAATTCTTCTTCCCTCCCTGCCTACTAAACAACAACAATAACAACAAAAAAACCACTCCACTCTTAATTTTCCCTGCCTTAGGCAGTGGCAGCGTATCCTCCCATGAGTTTAAGTCTCCCGGTTGATTCCTCCTTTCCCGTCACCCTGCACATCTCGTCCATCAGTATGTCTTGCCAGCTCTACCTCCAGGCACATCCTAAATCCACCCCGTTCTCTCTTTCTCCACCACTGCTATTATCCTTACAAAGATTACTGCAATGTCCTCTTCCTTGTTCCCACCTCTGAGGCAGCTTCCATATGGTGCTTTGTATGCAATAAAAAAAAGACAGCCCTTTCTACACGTGAGCACAGTCCCAGGCTAGACATGGAGCTTGGTGAATGGGCAAGGGCTGGATCTCAACCTCTACACATCTGCTCTGCCCGGCACCATTGTGTGGACTCCAACCTATCAAAACCCAGCCAGCAGTCTTCCTCGCTTCTCTGCTTGCACCCTATGATTCAGTATCCACCAGCAGCCAGAGGGATCTTTTAAAGATATAAATTAGATCTCACTGCCCTGCTGAATATCCTCAATGTCTTCCCAACACTCTTAGAACCGTATTTCAACTTCCCACCATGGCCTGTGATGCCCTGCACACTGGGACCCTGCTTCCTTCTCTAGCCTTGCCATTCTCCCTCACTATCACCCTCTTTTCCTCCCACATGACACCAGACCATTGCTTTTGCTTTTTCTGTTTTGCCAAACTGGAATACACAGGCTGGCTCCTTCTTCTCATCTAGGTTTGGGCTCAAACGTCACATCCTCAGTAAGGATTTTCCTAACTGACGCCATTCATATTATCCTCCTCCCACATCTTCTGTCATATTACATGTTTTTTTCTTGATGTTTATCAACCCCTAAAATCATTTATTCATTCGCGTATTTCTTGTTTCTTCCTCTTTTAATTCTGCAAGAATAAAAATTTCAAAAGCAGGGACCATTTCTGTCAGGTCCGCCTTTATTTTCAGGATCTTAAACACTGAATGGCACAAATTTGTGGAATGAACACTTGACTTAAAGAATCAATGGTGAAAATTTCATGTGATGTTATTGTAGGTGTCTCATAAAAAGACAGTTAAGTTGTTGCTAACCAGCAAAGCCAAGGCTTTAGTATTTCTCAGAAAGACAGTGACGTGGATCTAGAGACACACAGATGGAAGAATAGAAGTAAGAAATCATTAAAAATTCACTGGACAGTGAACCAGCCACTCAGGTTATCCAGTTTTCAGCAATAAATTGCATGGCAAGTTGATGTCAGTGCTGTGAGTGCATCTTAACAGATTTCATACTTCAGTATTCTAAATATTTCAAAAGTTCAAAAATAGTTTCTATAATGTACTATGCTTGGAATAAAAAACTGTTCATGAAAATATCAATAAAACCCATTTATAACTAAAATTGGATCTTCTAGATTACCACATGTTAAACTAAAGATTTCTTACCCAAAGAAAATATGTTTTTTTCACTCTGTTCCCAGGGTCTCACTCTGTTGCCCAGGCTAGAGTACAGTATCATGATCTCAACTCACTGCAGCCTCAACCTCCAGGGCTCAAACGATCCTCCTGCCTCAGCCTCCTGAGTAGCTGGGACCACAGGTGCATGCCACTATGCCCAACTAATTTTTAATGTTTTCGTAGAGATGGGGTCTCCCTATGTGGCCCAGACTGGTTTCAAACTCCTGGGCTCCAGTGATCCTCCCACCTCCACCTCCACCTCCCAAAGTGCTGGGATTTCAGGTGCTAGCTACCACACCCAGTCTGAAAACCCTATTTTAATATCTGAATTCACATGGCATATTCTATTTGGTTAATTCAATTAGGGTAATAATGAAACATCCCTCCCTTCCCTTTTTCACAATGTCTAAATTTTAACTAAATACAGCATGAGAAAAGACACTCTTCAGTTATGTGATTATGATACTAAGGAATCATTTAGGGTGTTGCCTTTCATTACTGAATTTGAAACTAGAAAATAGCAAGTTTTCAAGTGGTTGAGTGCTTTTACGAAGTCATAGAAAACAAATTCTTTTGATAACCATCTTTTCTTCTGACTCTGAAACTTTATTCACCATTTATGTGCATCCTGTTTGTGGTTTAAATAAAATCTGATCACAAAGAATGATACAACACATACTAAACAATAGTTAGAATCATCTTAAAAATTATTCATCATTAAATGTTCAAGTTTACTAAAACATTATTCATGGTGTTACCAAATCCAGGAACTGCTTACTTATATACAATTTACTCTAATATACAGCCCTTGCAAACGAATATTACTAATGATGACTGAGCCTCGTCATGACCAGTTCACAGAACTACTACAGTGAGGGCATTTATCGAATGTCACCATCTTCTGTTACCTCATTTGCTCCAAATCTTCAGCCCTACCATGATGACCCTGTGGTCTGAGGCTCTGCCTTGAGGTTTCTCTTCTCACAGTTTCTTCTGTTCAATTTAGGAAAAGCAGTAGTTGCACAGTGGGCTAGGTCTTGTAGACATATTTTCAGATCACTGTAAGATACTGGTTATTAAATGTAAGCTCTGTTGAACAGTAGGAAAAACAATTTTTACTTGAAATCCACTCTACTTTTCTACCTTCTTTTCTTCATCCTTCCTTCTTTTTTTCTTTCCTTCTTTTCATCTTTCCTTCAAATATCTATTGTGTTTCCATTATGCAGGAAGTCTAGCATGAGACAACTACTTATGAACCATGAAAAACCCTGTTGCTATGCCTAGAACAGAGTAGATCTTCCATTGGAGGGGGAAAAAAAAGAATGAAACACATGGTTTCTACCTTTGATGCTGACATGATTGAATCTTTTATTTGAACTTACCTAGACACCAACCAACTAATCTAAGCTCTCGTGTCATATCTTAGAGTCCTTAAGAAATGGTCCTCTATCTTTTGCTTAAATGAATGGATTTTTCCGTGTTGTAGTATGGTAGGGGAAGAGAACTGTACTATTATTCAGAAAATGTGGGATAATTCCCAAGAGAGGGTGTATAAAGCTCAGTGTAGTAGCAAATGCGTTGGAATGGAAATCAGTAGACCCGACTTCAAATCAAGATTTTGTTTCCAACAGGCTGTATAACCTTAAATCAGTCACTCCCTCCATATGAGCCTCACTTTCCACATTTGAAGAATGAGAAGATATATGATTACTTGGAATTCTTTTAAACAAAAGTGACAGGAACCCAGCTAAAACTAGTTCAGGCAAAAAAGAGAATTTTTCAACTAAACATCTTCAGACATGGCTGGATCCAGGAATTTAAACCACGGCACTAGAACATTGTCTTGTTCTCAGCTGTGCATATTTCTGTGTTGGCCATTTCTCACCTCCTGTAAATGGGCTTCCACTATGGGCCTAAGGGAAGCAGCCACTGGTAACTTTAAGTTATCATCCCAGCTTCTTAATTCCTAGAGGAAAAGACTTTAATTCCCAAGATCTGTGGCTCAGTCTGAGGGAAGAACTCAGGTTGGCTGTGCCCTGTTCACACTCCTATCCTCTGAAACTATCTCTGTTGCTAGGGGAGTAGGGTCCTACCGTTGGTCAAATGTGGAACTTATGTCCACCTCTTAATTGGGTGGGGGATGAATTTTCTTGGTTCCTGATCTATTGTCCATTTTCTGGCCACAGAAATAACTAGAAAGCATTAAGATAGCGCAAGTTTTGCCGTCAGCCTTTCCAGGCAATGTTTCTCCGTGCCTCTGATAGATTAGGAGACACGGAACCAGTGAGGCATTTTATCTATAAAGCAAAATTATTACTCATGTCCTTTGCTCATATATCTGTCATGTTCTAAGGAATAATAGTAAGTTTTGTTACTCACTAGGAAGGTTTCTATTTTACAAAGAGATAAAGTACTTACCCAAAGTGAAATGTCTGTATTGTGACAAAGTCTAGGGCTACAACTCACACTACCTTCCCCCAACCAGGGTCCTCTCCACACTACCATGCTTTCTCTTTGGTTGAGCAGAGAATACTGTTTTACCATTTTGGCGCCTGTGGTCATGGGGGTACTCCAGTTTAGAGGCAGTGATAAGTTAGTTCCTCCAGGCCCAACTTAAATCTTCTTAAGTATTCTATATTATTTATATTCCTAAAACATGAGTATTTTTAGAGCATCCTGACCGACAAGCTCAGTCAAATATTACTAGTCTAGACTAAGAGGAAGTGCAGAATGAGTTACAGGATCTTTTGCAAGAAAGGTAGTCTGGGCATTTCCAAGTACACACAAAAATTAAGACATGGAATCTGTACCGAGAAGCTCGCAGATCAGCAGATGACTTTTTGAAACCTCAATTTCCTCATGTATAAAATGAAGGAGTTAGACTAAATGACTTCTAAGGTCTTCTAGGAGTCTGTGAACACGATTAAGGCCTGTTGGAGCTTCTTTCAGTCTCTAGACCCATGGAGCAGAGTTCATTTTAATAAGCAGAGAAGTTATATGCTGAAGATGGTTGGGGTGCATGGGTTGTGTCTGTCGTACTCAACTTTATCTCCAGGGCATTGGCAGTCAGAGTCCTGACCCCAAACCACAGAGGCTGAACCTGGCTTTTTGATTCCTGAAATTTCAGCATGGGGACTTCATTCGTTTCACCCTCTCCAAAAAGACAAACAACAACCTTGGAAGAGGCAGCTTGTATAAGCTGTGATCAGAGGCTTTCCTGGTGTTGGTTTTGAAAGGAAGAGGCACAATGGCTCTGGACATCAGCAGAGGAGATTTAAGGTTCTGAGGGGCATGGCAGTAAGAGACCAAGGCATCCAAGCCACATGCTAAACATCTGGCAAGTGTGTGAAGGCTCAGTCTCATAAAAAACACTTGCCTTTACATTCTAAGTGTGGTCAACACAGAGCACATGTGTTACTCGCATTGTGACCTCAGGAAAACACTTTTGGTTAACCGCCAAGATTGAGGCTCACTTTTTTCTCAGCGCCTTCCCTGAATAGTCTGTTCAACCATGATATGCCCACGGAGACAGGAAGAACCAAGTAAAGTTAAGCGAGGTGACTGACTGGCCCAAGGTCACCGTGAGATTGTGCTCATAGTCTACATGTCATGCCACTTTTTTTCTTATGCTAATAAGCCAGGCAACGATAGACTTTCCCAGGCTTCAATGACATATTGTAAATGTCAAACTGCTGCTTGAGCTTATCTTGCATTTTTATGTTTCAATACAAATGTGTCAAGAGCCACTGAGATCTTGAATCTATTAAGCCTTTCATTGCTACCTGATGTATAACAGTGATGTATAAATCCATGTAATTACAGTACTCTTTTTTCGGTAACACATTTTTAAGATGTTCAAATGAAAGGTGTTATTTAATACTTAATTTCTGAGAAATGGAAAATGTATAATGATTATATGCTGTCTTTAGTCTAAAATGGGAGCGTTCTATCTGTAAGTCTATATTGGTACTTGTGCTGTTTTTCCTAGATGGGGGTGGAGGGGGTTAGTGGTGGTGACAAGTTATAACAACCTGTCCATAAGTGCTATTATCTACCAATCAATCAATCAATCTATTTATCTATCTATTGATCCATCTATCTATCTATCATCGATGGATTGATGTATCTATCTCCCTACCTATCCTCTGTCTACTGGAACAATTTTGGTAGATGATAGAGCATTCATTCATTCATCACCTCTATAATTATGCATTGAGTACCCACCATGCCAGGCGCTACTCTAAGTAGTCAGGATACGGCAGTGAACAAAACAGACAAAATCCCTACCTGCCTGGAGCTTACCTTCTAAGGAGAGAGACAGAACTAACTGCAAAACAGCAGTTAGTTCTAAGCAGGAAATAAAGCAGATATCCTTTGAGTAGAGCCCTGAAGGAGGAAAGGGAGTGACCCTCACAGATAACTGTGGAAAGAGCATTCCAGGTAGTGGGAGCAGTGAGTATGAAGGCCCCAAGGGTGGATTGGGCCTGGAAGGTTTGAGGAACAGCAAGGAGGAGACCCCTATGACTAGGGCAGAGGGAAGGAGGGAGGAGGTAGCAGAAGACAAAGTCAAAGAGGAGAGGAGGAGGGGAGGAGGTCAGATTGGGAGAGGTTGCATAAGTCCTTCTAAGGACTTACTTGGCTTTTACTCAGAATGAGAGGAAGCTTTTGGAGGGTTTTGAGCAGATGTGTGGCATGAGCTGACATTTTAACAGGACTCCTAGCTGTGTACTAAGAAGACGCTGTAGGGAGCAAGGTGGAGGTGGTGAGGCCAGCTAGGAGCCTGCTGCACACTCCAGGTGAGAGACGGTGATGCCTTGGACCCAGATAGTGGTGGTCAGCCCATTGAGAAGTCTTCAGAATTCTACAACCCATCTTCTGCTGACAGATGAGAAGTAGAATGTGAAAGAGAATAGAGGAGTCAGAGACGATTCCAAAGTTTTGGGCCTGAGCAACTGAAAACATGGAATTGCTATTCACTGAGGTAGGAAGACAAGTTTTAAAGGAGATCTGGAATTCACTGTGGACATGTATGAGGTGACTATTAAAATCAACGAGGAGTCCAGTAGACAGCTGGATATAAACATCTGCAGTTCAAGTGAACTGTATCTCCAGGGCTGGAGATACAGAACTGGGATCAATCACACAGGACACTGCACTTAAAGCCATGAGATGGGACGGCACCCCAAGGGAATGGGCGCAGGTAGACAGAAATGCTCCTGGGACTGAGTTGCAGAGCACTCCAGTATTTAGAGGTTGGGGACTTGAAGGGGATCAGCCAAGCAGAAGACTGGCTAGAGCAGTGGGGGGAATGTCAGAGGCTAAGTTCACCGTCTTTTACCATGAAATAGCACAAAATTAAGTAGCATACCCCAAAACCATTTTACGTTAATTGATCTCTATTTAGAAGAATGTGTGCGATTTGGCCTGAGAGTCAGACAAAGCAATGCTAAGGGAGATTCTATTGCATCACGCAACCACGGAACTCTATTTAGATATGCCTTCCATCATGTTTTCTACTTTAAAAGAGGATGCGCACCAAAGCCTTAAAACCAAAGCATTTGATTTAAAAACTATTTGGATATATTTTTTCTGCTTAATTCAAGAATATAATAATTACAGTTCTCAACATACTTCTACCAAATAATACCAAAAAGTATTCTGAATTAAATGTAGGTTGTGTGAAAATAGGTTTTGTATGCCTTCCAGAATTTAGAGGAATCTGAATTTGTGAAAATGATCATTTGCTCAAATGTATTACCTTTTATAATTAAATAATGCTTTAACTCCAACCTGAAAGCAATTAAGAAAAATACTAGGGATGCTATGAATGTGGTATAAGCAATGTTGTGATGTATTAATTCAGTTTCTAGCACAATTTTCTAGTTAAGTAAAAATTCAAACAAGTGAAACTGGAGTATTATGCTCAGGGGTCAATGAAGTATTTGCACATCACTACCACTATTTGATAAAGACAACATACATACATACATACATATACATATATACACACACACACACACACACACATATATGTAGGAGGTAGCAGAAGACAAAGTCAAAGAGGAGGGGAGGAGGTCAGATTGGAGACATATATATATATATATATACATATATATATATATACAAGTTTAATATTAGTAAATTTTCCTGGATTGAAAATGAAAGCTCTGTTTGAAAGGGAAATGTGTCAATACAATAAGAGTTTGACAGGGTTCTCTTCTGAAGCACCTGTATAATTATCCCACTAAAAGTAACAACACACTCTTAGGATGTGACTCAATAGCAATTCACTCGTGGTGAAATATACTTCAATCAACAGTGGATAGTATGATGATTTCCTTTCAAAAATTTGAAAAGTTCCCTAAAGGTAAGAATGGGTGGTAAATGTTGATAAAGAAAAATGAATATCAAAGTTTTTTCTAAAGACTTTCTTTATTAAATATAAGGGCAACAATGCTTGACAAGGATTTGGGAATTTAAAGTATACTCTGACTATGATTCAATCCAAACTGAATATATATGCTGAGGATCATCACTGTGGGAAGAAAATACTTCTTCATACACAAGATCTGCTCCCCACTTCTGGAAAGAAATCTTTCCCTTGACACAAAATGTTCTGCATTCTCTAAAGAATGGACTTTTTCTCAAAGCCCAAGTTAGTGCCCACATCATTCCAAGTGCCAGATATTCATATAGTCAGGCAAGTGGGTTTCACTTAAATTTTTATTTGTATATGCTCTGCACACCTCATCCCATTTTCGTAAGGTTCAAATACAAATGCACGTGAAGGATCTGAAGATGCCTTTCTCCCTACAAGTGCTGTTCTTTATTATTTTACTCAAAACAGGGAGTCCGTACTGGGAACTGTAAAAGTCAGACATCCTGTCCTCTATTTTAATTTCTATTTTTGTAATAACTTTTAACACCACCATCTAGAAGACACGGTGGTAGGTGCTGGTGTGTTCAGAGATGATATGACCAGTAGTAAATATTTATTGTTGCAAGCACTTAGCTGCATTGTACGTATAAGTGTGGGGCCCACAGTTTGTTCTCTTGCACTGTTCCCTGTCCTGGATTGGCTGCATAGTCCTTCACTGGCAAACCTTGTTGATATCAGTAAGTCTGATTTCTTAAAGTCTTCTCAATACCTTGTTTATAAAGAGTTGCCTTATTTCTGTTGGCACTTGATTGGTGGGATTGCTGGCAGTATACCACTATCCTATGGCATTTTAAATATTATATCTGTTAACTATTGTAGCTCTTTTCTATTTCCTCTGGGAAGTACTCTATTTTATGATTTTAGGGTAATTGGTAATACAGAGTATTCCTTCAATTAACTATAATCTTTTTTAAAAAATCACTTCAGAGCATTTTCTTTCTAGAACCAGTAAATCAAATTAATCAAAACCACTTAATTTTAAGTTCTTAATTTTTAATCTTAAAATATGTCAGTTTTCATAGGTTGTAAATTAACATGGGAGGACATGCCATAAACAAACAAATCAAAATTTAGTAGCTTGAAACAGTTCCCTGTTCTTTATAAGAAATATCTTTGTGTTAACATTTTCCTTTTGCTAAAAACACTATGAAATTTTTTTTTGGTAATGACTCCTTTTTGAAATGCACTTTAAAATGACGGATCACCAGGACATCTATAAAACATGACGTACTAACCTACTTTTATTAGGTGATTTTGAAGGACTAACCCTGTTTCTCTTGATCCCAGACTTATGCTGACAATCAAAGTAATAATACAGAGTTTTGTCTTTCATAAATAAAATGACTACAGAAAATTATCTCGAGATTAACAAAGTATTCCTATGAAATTTTCAGTTAAACATGGCAATAAAATCACTTGCTTCTTTTTAAACAAAATATATTTGTAGAATTATTTTCCTTGAATTTCAGCTTTTGAAACCAAGTAATCTGCAACGTTGGAAAACATGATTCAGTGTTACATTTTATTTTAAATATGTTGCAATGTGAAAGCTTTACTAGAAGAGCAATAGTAAAAAGCAATAGGTTAAAAATTATTTTTATTCCTTATTTTAAAAAGTGATAACTTCAGATCCATGAAGCTGTGCAAAAAAAGTCCACCATAAACCAGAAGAACATGTTGTTAATGAAATCTTGAGCTCCATACAATGCCCTTGACTTTATTCACTTTTCAACACAGAGTAATGGCTTTGAATCAATGTTGTCAGTGATGACTAAGCCTGACCCATTTAGAAATGCTTATTTCATAATTCCCCATTTACGAGGGCTTCATACTGTGGATAGAATGCAAAGAACAGCAAGCTCTTCTACATTTAGAGACACACTAGCTGGGACTTGTGATTTTAAAATGAATAGCCTTAATCTTGAAGTAAAGTTAAATAGCTCCTTTACTAATTTCCTTTAGGGAAAACTTAATCTAAAGAAATATGAAGTAAAAACTGTATCTCAAAAATGTTGAGAGATTTTTGCACAGGCAAGAAATCTTGACTGATGTAGATAATAGGCTATTTATATTTTAAATAGTAAAAAACAAATTCTTAAAGGAAAAATATGATCAATCTTCAGGACATAATTAATCCATTGCAGGTTTAAATGAAATGAATTAGAACAGAGGGAAATCTTACAGTGTCTTTTTATGCTGGCAAGGTGTTTTGCAGTGTCCAAGGGAAAACATGTGCAAAATGTACCTGAACTTTTCTCTCGGAAGTGGGCAGTTTACATATTAAGCCACATACAGACATGATTCAGAGATATTGTGGGTTCAGTTCCAGACCACTGCAATAAAGCAAATACCTCATTGAAGCAATTTGTATGAATTTTTGGTTTCTCAGTGCATATACAAGTTATATTTACACTATACTGTAGTCTAGGTGTGCAGGAGCATTATGTTTAAAATCTTTACGTACCTTAATTTAAAAATGCTTGACTGAAAAAAAAATGCTAACCATCATCTGAACCTTCAGTGAGTCATCATCTTCTTGCTGGTGGAGGATCTCGTCTTGATGTTGACGGCCGCTGACTGATCAGGGTAGTAGTTGTTGAAGATTGGGGTGTCTGTGGTAATTTCTTAAAATAAGACAACAGTGAAGTTTGCACACGGATTGACTCTTCCTTTCACAAGAGATTTCTCTGTAGCATTTAATGTTGTTTGGTAGCATTTTACCCACATTAGAACTTCTTTCAAAATTGGAATAAATACTCTCAAACCCTGCTGCTGCTTTATCAACTAAGTTTATGGAATATGCTAAATCCTTTGTTGTCATTTCAACAATGTTCACAGCATCTTCACCACAAATAGACTCCATCTCAAGAAACCACTTTCTTTGCCCACCCATGACAGGCAACTCCTCATCTGTTCAATTCTTGTGAGACTGCAACAATTCAGTCACATCTTCAGGCTCCACTTCTTACTCTAGTTCCCTTGCAGTTTCCACCTCACCTGCACTTCCTTCCTCCATGATGTCTTAAACCCCTCAAAGTCATCCATTTAGGCTGGAATCAACTTATTCCAAACTCCTGTTAATATTGATACTTTGGCCTCCTCCCATGAAGCCCAAATGTTCCTAATAGCATCTAGAATGGTGAATCCTTTCCAGTAGGTTTTCAATTTGCTTTGCCCAGATATATCAGAGGAATAACTATCTATGGCAGCAATAGCCTTACAAAATATATTTCTTAAATAGTAGGACTTGGAAATCAATCCTTGATGCATGGGCTGCAGAATGGATATTGTGTTAGCCGGCCTGAAAACACTAATTTCCTTGTACATCTCTATCAGAGCTCTTGGGTGAGCACTGTCCATGAACAGTAATATTTTGAAAGGAATCTCTTTTTCTGAGAAGTAGATCTCAATAGTGGGCTTAAAATAGTAAAATATGCTGTAAACAGATGGCTTTGTCATATTTCTAGAACAGAGAAGGAGCAGATTAAGCATAATTCTTAATGGAATTAGGATTTCTAGAATAGTAAATGAACATTAAAGTAAAGCCAATGCTTTAATTTAAAGTCACCACCCACATTATTCCTAACAAAAGAGGCCAGCTGTTCTTTGAAGCTTTGGTACAAGGCATTGATTTCTCCTCTTTAGTTATGAAAGTCCTAGATGGCATCTCCTTCCAATAGAAGACTGTTTAATCTACATTGAAAATCTGTTTTGAATGTAGCTGCCTTTATCAATGATCTTGGCTAGATCTTCTGGATAACTTGCTGCAGCTTCTCCATCAGCACCTGCTGCTTCACCTTGCACTTTTATGTTATGGAGATGGCTTCTTTCCCTAAATCTGATGAACCAAACTCTGCTAATCTCAAACTTTTCTTCTGCAGCTTCCTCACCTCTCTCAACCTTCATAGAATTAAAGAGGTTAGGGCCTTGCTCTGGATTAAGCTTTGGCTTAAGGGCAGGTTATAGCTGATTTCATTTTCTATCCAGACCATGAAAACTTTCCCCATACCAGCAATAAGGCTGTTTCACTTTCTTGTCATTTGCGTGTTGACTGGAGTAGCACTTTTTAATCTCCTTCAAGGACTTTTCCTTTGCATTCAAAACTTGGCTAATTGTTTAACACAAGAAGCCTAACTTTCAGCGTATGTCCGATTTTGACATGCCTTCATCACCAAGCTTAATCATTTTTAGATTTGAATTTAAAGTGAGAGACAAGGAACTTATCCTTTCACTTGAACACTTAGAGGCCATTCTAGGGTTATTAATTGGCTTAATTTCGATACTGTTGTGTCTCAGGGAATAGAGATGCCCAAGGAGGGGGAGAGAGATGAGGAAACAGCCAGTGATTGGAACTCAGAACACACACATTTATCAAGTTTGCCTTCTAATATGGGTGCAGTTTGTGTCATCCCAAACCAATTACAATGGACACACCAAAGATCCCAAATCACAGATCACCATAACAGATATAATAATAATAAAGTTCAAAATATTGCAAGAATTACCAAAATGTGACACAGAAACACAAAGTGAGTACGTGCTGTTGGGAAAATGGTGCCGATAGACTTGCTTGATCCTGGGTTACCATAAAACTTCAACTTGTAAAAAACACAACATCTGAGAAGTGCAATAAAGTGAAATATGCCTGTATAGCATTACTTTATCCCACCACAGTGCCAAAAATAAAGATTCTTTATTAAATAGAAAAATTATTGGTAGAGTTTACCTGTATTTTTCTTCACAATAAGATACATAAACAATTTCATTGCAGAGTTCTGAAATGATGTTGAGTCAAATACAATTTGATCCTAGTGTAGTAAAGAGTTAACCTTACCCAAACAAAGGTCTGACTTTTGCATTTAGCTCCTAGGAGGTGATCTCTTAGTCCTTGGAGTGTCTTACCTGATAGGAGTGTCTTTGTTTACCTGGGAACCTCGGGCCACATGGGACAGTCTAATAATGTAGTTTATGGTGGAGGTTTTGGGCTACGTGATATCACCTTGACCTCAGGGGTGGGGAAGGCTGGAAACTAAAGAGCAACCACACACAGGCAGTCAACCATGTCTATGTGACCAAACTCCAACCAAAACATGAAAGAGCTTCCCTGATTGACAGTACTCTGTTGTGTATTGCTATACATTGTTGCCTGGAGAAATTTAGCACTGCTCATGATTTCACTGGAAGAGGACACTTGGAAGCTCTACATATGGATTTTTTTTTTTTTGCATTCTTCTCCATGCCTCTCTTTCCTTTGATTATTTTAATCTGTATCCTTTCACTGTAATAAACTACAACCATGAATATAACAGCTTTCCATGAGTTCTGTGAGTCCTTCTGACAAATTATCACATTTGAGGTTGATCTTGAGAATCCACAAGCTCTGAAGTTGGTGTCAGAAGTTAAAGCTGTCTTGAGGGTTTCCCAGAAATGTCCAACATGCACTCCCCCTCCACCCTCCCATCCCACCCCCCCCCACCAAAACAGAGACATCTTTTTATGTGTGAAAATATTTTTGATGTGATTTTTGTTGCACAATTTTACTTGTAACAGTCAGTACAGATGTTCCCAAACATTCCAGGTTTCTTCTTCCAGGCATAAGGTAGGACTGCACTTCTTTACCTAACTTAAGTTAGGTGTTGCCATTTTAGCTAGCTTTGGCCAATGAAGTAAGAACAGAATTGACATACAGTTAGAAGTTAAGGTGCAGTGTATGTACCTCAGTGTCTCTTTCCCATGGTCACAGACTATTTTCCAGACAGTGGCTGCTCTAACGTCCTTGGTCTCAGAATGAACACAACAGGGATGACAGCTTCTAGCTGAAGTGTGATAGAAGTGTAGCATGACTGAGAAATAAACTTTTTTTTGCATTAAATCACAGGTGTTTGTTATTTCAGCATAACCTAGCCTATTCTGACTTAAACAACCAAAATCTTTGTTTGCTCAAAGCTTAATAATAATATTTTCTTTGAAAGGACTATACAGAGATGTTCTTTTTTGTATCACAAATGGCATATTGTGTATTCCTGTATTGTAAAGTATATCATAATTATCTGACCGACATCATTTTAGATATGGCTCTTTCCATCAAAATCCAACATATTTATACTAATAATTGAAATTCTAGAAAAATTCTTCAGTAATATTCACAGAAATGCACCAAGATACAGGATTTTCACAGCCTACTTTATAATAGTAAAAACTAAATGTTCAGCAATAGAAGAAGGTTAAAGAATTGCAATGTTTCCATATAAGGGGATTGCTCATTTGGCCATTACTAAGTGAGGAAGAGATTTCTCATTACAACCAAGATAGAGAAATAGGGAATAAATTCCCTCTCTGCATAAAAGAACAAAAAAACAAAACCGGGACAAAACAACCAAAGAACAAAATCAACAACAACAACAACAAAAACACACAAAGTATTTGAAACAATGACTTTTGTAGGAATAGAAAGGGAATGATTTTTTTCCTCCTCATCATTATATAGGTCACAGCCAACATCCCTATGACAACAGGTTAACAAGAGAAAAGCATAACAAAGTTATTTGATCATAGCTTTATGTGATATGGGAATCTTCAGAACGAAGACCCAAAGATACAGGGGAGCTATCTGATTTTTGTTTAGGTTTGATGAAGCAGGGACAGTGTATAGAAATGTAATTAGATGAACAAAAGGCTATGAGCTAATGGTAATAGGCTGATTGGGAAAAACCTAGCAAGGTCTGTCTGATTAGGTTCTTCCTGAGGAAGAAATATTGTAGCATTTCTTCCTCCTGGGTATAGGGTAGGACCCTTCTGGAATCTTAATTTCTTTATAGCCAGCTGTTACCCAAAAAGGCAGAGGAAGGTTAGAGCAACACTTTTAGGTTTTACGGCTGGCTTTGGGGGAAAAGGGTTCTGGTTTCTATGACCTACCTTGGGGAAGAGGAATTCTAGTTTCTATGGTTTGCCTCAGGGAAGAATGAGGGGTGAGAGATAGAAGGGCAAAAGATCAGAGAGAAACTTTGCTTTTGAGGCTGCTTCTAAGGTCTTCGCTTTGGAGTCATTTTCAGAGCCCCAACACTTTTGAGAAACAAGATATCAGGCAACAAAAGACAAAGATCTCCAAGAGATAAGAAATAAATGAGATAAGTCCTATGATTACCCTTATTTTATTGCCTTAAAAGAATGTCTAGTCTGCTACACAGAGAGGGGGAATCCAGACTAAGTTTAGTGGACACCCTGAGTTTAGGAGTTGACAATATGCTGCTAAAGCAGTACTTATGGGTATATTTATGGCACTGCAAGCCTATGTTAGAACAGAAGAAAGGTCTCAAATCAATGAACTCAGATTCTACCCTGAGAAACTAGAAAATAAATAGCAATTTAAATTCAAAAGAAAGGAAATAAAGATGACAGCAGAAACCAATGCAATATAAAACAGGAAAAATAATAGAGAAAATTAATTAAACCAAAGGCTGGTTCTTGGAGAAGATCAATAAAATTGATAATCCTTAAACCAGACTGATGAGATAAAAAATAGTGTAGATACAAATGACCAACATCAGGAATGAGAGAGTGACATCATTATAGATACTACAGACATTAGAAGAATAATAAGAGAATATTATAAACAATATTATGTCTATCAATTTAACAATCCAGATGAAATGGATAGATTTATTTAAAGATGTAAACTACCAAAGCTCCTTTAAGAAGAAATAGATAAACTAACCTAATAGAAGAAATAGCCCTAAATTTATTAAAGTAATTGAATTTCTGGTTAAAAGCCTTCCCACAAAATAAACTCCAGACCCAGATGGCTTTATTGGTGAATTCAACCAAACATTTCAGAATAAATAATACCATTTCTATATAGACTCTTCCAGAATTGAATAGGAGGAAATACTTCTCAGCTTGCTTTATGAGGCTTGTATTACTTGATATCAACATTTTACAAAGATATTACTAAAAAAGAAAAGTACAATCTAATATCCCCCATGAACCTAGATGCAGAAATTCTAAACAAAATTTTAGGAAATTGACTCAAACAATAGGTAAAAAGGATAATAAATTATGATAAAATAAGTCTTTTGCCAGAAATGCAAGGTTGGTTTAACTTTTGAAGATCAGTCAATGTAGTCCATCATTTTAATAAACTAAAAAGGAAAACAATAAGATTATTTCAATTGACACACACAAGTACTTCATAAAATCTAACATCCATTCTTCATCTAAAAATTCTCAGCAAAGGAGGAATAAAACGGAAGTTCCTCAATCTGATGAAGAGCATCTATGCAATATGCACATCCATGCAATATGTCAATGATTAAAGATGAAGCACTTTCCCTCTTAGATGAGGAACAAGACAAAAGTGTCTGTTCTCACCTTGATGTAGAAATCAGTTTGGGGAGAATTCACATCTTAAAAATACGGAGTCTTCAAACCAATGAATGTCATTGATATATCTCTTTATTAATGTTAATTATTTAACACTGTACCGGCAATATAGTGCAATGGGGAAAGAAAAAAATAAAAATGCATTTTATATTGAAAGAAAAACTGTCTTTGTTCGCACACAACATGACTGTCTATGTAGAAAATCCAATGGAATATACTAAATTCTAATAAAAATTTCTATTAATAAAACTGACAAGTGATTTTAGCAAGGTTGTAGGATACAAGACCAATATAAAAAATCAATTGCATGTCTTCATACTGGCAACAAACAAATAGAAATTAAAATTTAAAAAACAATACTATTTACCATAACATTTAAAAACTATGAAATATCTAAGAATAGTCCTGACAAAATGTGTGTAAGACTTATACCCTGAAAACTGCAAATGTTGTTGAGAGAAATTAAAGAAGACCTAAGTAAATAGAGCGCTATATCAATCATGTTTATCGAAGACACAACATTGTAAAGATGCCAATACTCCCTAAGTTGATTTCTAGATTCAAGGCAATCTTCAGTAAAATCCCAGCAATATTTTTGTAGATATTGACAAGCTTGTTCTAAAAAAATCATACAGGAATGTAAAGAATCTAGAATAGACAAAATAGACAAAACAATTTTGAAGAACAAGTTAGAGGGCTAAAACTATGTGATTTCAATACAAGTACTTGTTATAAAGCTACAGAAATCAAGACGGTGCGATATTGGTGTAAAGATGGGAAAATATATTAACGAAATAGAACAGAGGGTCTGAAAATATACCTACACATACATGGACAACTGATTTCCCACATAAGTGCAAAGGCAATTTAATGGAGAAAAAGAGTAGCCTTTTCAACAACTGGTGCTAGGTAAATTGGATACAACTTGCACATGAAAAAAATAAACCTTGACTTCTATCTTGCAGCATACACAAACATTAACTCAAATAGAACATAGACCTAAATGTAAAATCTAAATCTATAAACCATGTAGAAGAAAATATAAAAGAAACTGTGACCTTGACTTAGACAAACATTTCTTAAGTTTAACATCAAACAAATGATCCATAAAAAAACAAATTGATAAACTGGATTTCATCAAAATCAAAACTTCTGCTTTTCAAAAGACACCATTAAGAAAATGAGGCTGGGGCCGGGAGCCGTGGCTCATGCCTGTAATCCCAGCACTTTGGGAAGCTGAGGCAGGTGGATCACTTTGAGATCAGGAGTTCAAGACGAGCCTGGCCAACATGGTGAAACCCCGTCTCTACTGAAAATACAAAAACTTAGCCGGGCATGGTGGAGCACGCCTGTAATCCTAACTATTCGGGAGGCTGAGGCGGGAGAATCTGTTGAATCCAGGAGGCGGAGCTTGCAGTGAGCCAAGATCAAGCCACTGCACTCCAGCTGGCGACAGAGCGAGACTCCACCTCAAAAAAAAAAAAAAAAAAAAAAAAAAAAAAGAAAGAAAGAAAGAAAGAAAGAAAAGAAAATGAGGCCGGACACGGTGGCTCATGCCTGTAATCCCAGCACTTTGGGAGGCCAAGGCAGGCGGATCACCTGAGGTCAGGAGTTTGAGACCAGCCTGACCAACATAGAGAAACCCAGTCTCTACTAGAAATACAAAATTAGCCAGACATGGTGGTGCATGCCTGTAATCCCAGCTATTTGGGAGGCTGAGGCAGGAGAATCGCTTGAGCCCAGGAGGCAGAGGTTGCAGTGAGCCAATATTGCGCCATTGCACTCCAGCCTGGGCAACAAGAACGAAACCCCATTGCATTTGTGCATTGATAAAGGGGCGCCCTTCATCGGGAGTAAGTCCCAGAAACCACAAGCGTTGGCTCATGCCTGTGTGGAGTCACAGGCAGGTGGCCACGGGGAATTAGCTGAAGACCAGCAGGCAGGAAGCCTCCCACATGCCACCTAAGGGGCGCTCCCGGAACCGCCGCCCCTGCGGGAGGAGCGGCTGGGGTCTCAGATCGCCGTGCGTGACTTGGTGCTGCGCCAGGTGGGCGCCATCGCCGCGGCCTGCTGGGGGAGGCGGCCTTTGAGGAGCGGGCGCGAGGCGGGGCCAGGCGGGGCGGGGCCTTGGGCGGCTGCGGTCTGCGCGGACCCCCGTGCCTAGGCGCTCCTGTGCCTCCAGTGCGCGGAGCCGGCCTCGCTCGGGCGTGTTCCTGCGCCGACCGGACGGCCGGACTCCAGCACCTTGGCCCGGCCCGCGAACGCTGAGCACGCGCGGAAACCCTTTAAAGGTAGCACATTTTTCGGGTGTCGCGGGGGCACCGCCGGCGGTGGCGACGTGGGGCGGAATGGGCTCGCTCTTTGGGCCCGGGAGGCGTGCGCTCGCGCCCTGGGCCACGTCGGGGCGGTCTCGGGCGGCTGAGCGCCCCCTGGAGCGACCCCTCCCGCGGCCCGGGCCCGGCCGCCCCCGAAGCCGGGGTGAGCGGGGCCTGGCTCGGGCCGCCAGTGAGGACTCGCAGCCCCCGGGCGTCCGCTTTCTCGCTGGGCTGGGTTTCTGCAGTGCCGGGCGCCCACCCGGCCACCCCATGAGCCGCGCGTCTGGCTCTTCGGTGGAGTGAGCCTAGAAAGGGCGGCGTTCGTCCAGTGATCAGTGCTACCCGAGGTTGCTTTTTGCATGACTGCTTGCAGTTAAGTTCACCGGAGTTTATAGTTGCCACAAATGTCAAAAAGTAGCCTTCTGGCGAGCTGAAAGCGCTCACCTGTGCGCTTTAAGGTGTACCGTCTTTGTCTTTGGCGAGTGTGCCTTTTAAGACGCTTCCAAGATAAATTGAATAAGAAATGATGATTGTTTTCTCCCAGAAAAATCTTGCAGAAATGATTTCTGGAAACACCTGTGTTCGTTGTTAGCCCCCTTAGAATGCCCATCCGGAGGCGGGCTCTCCCTGGCTCGGAAGGCCTCCCCGCGGAGGGCCTGGCTTGCTGTCCGCTCGCTTTTCGCTTCCAGAGTCGGAGAGACGCGACTTTGGGGTCGATGTGGAGAGAGAAACAGATGCCCTAGGCGCCCCCCATTCAGGGATTTTCACAAACTGCCCAGTTCAGCTTTGTCCCTTGCGTCTCCAAAGGTGTTTTCAATCTACATATATTTGGAAAACTTCAGTTTTCATATGATTTATTTAAAAATAAGCATACATATTATGTTTATTAGGAAGTAAAAATTTTCTTTTTAAGTAGATATGTCCTAGTACCACAGAGAGACTTGAGTGTAGAAAATTGCTAAACCAGTGACAAAATGCCAGAACACTGCAAAGATGGCAACCACTGCTTTAGGAAATATTTGACATAAATATTTTTCATGTTTTGTCTCCTTAATATCTCGGTGATATTTTTATTTGATTTGATATTTTAAAAAGAATTGTAACTTTTAGACTTAGAAGGGAACTTAGAGTCTTATGGGCTGCAAAGTACATAAATCTGTTTGACAACGTCTCCAACAAATTATGTTTTGTCCTTTGCTTGGATTATATTTAGTAGAAAGAGGTGTTGCTCCATTCTTTTGTTGGAAAACTGTGTGTTTTTACGTGTTTTGGAGCGCGAGGCTTCAGCCCTCCTGTCCAGGCCATGCTTCCCCTGCCCTTGCACTGGTGAGTAGGATTCCAGGCTCCTTAACACGGACCGTCTGCCTGGGGCAACAATCTGATTGCTTATCATGAAACTTTAGGAAGGAGATTAAATAAAGGACATTTAATAATTATTTCCCTTTACTTTTGCTGCTCCCAACAAATTTGTCCACCCTTTTCAGATAATTTTGCATCTATGTTCTGTTATCTGTGGTATTCACCTATTATTTCTATTGTTGTGATCACTGAAAACTTGAAACTGTTGAAAGTCACTTCTGGGTATTCATTTCACCAATCTGGAAGAACCTAGTGATGGTGCAGAAGAGAGCTGCTTCCATGGCCTTTAGTGAGTTGGCTGTGGATGTTCAGACAGTCTTCATCTCATCTTCTTTGATAATCTTGCCCTCAAGAATACTGTGGCAATCTCTTAGATACTTCTAGAGGATCCCATTCACGTAGTCACCTGATCTACCAAATTAGAAAACACATCAAAAAAGGCATTTGAGTTAAGGTGGTTAGTGGAGCTCCTCAATGCTAATAAACTTGTTTCATACTCTGGAATTGTGCTGAAGATCCGTGTCCAGCTTGCTCTTTTCTCCCTTTTTGGAAGAATGGCTTATCACTTGATGGAGTCCTGTATTCTGGTTTTGTTCCCTACCTGTCCTCAAAATTCTCGTGACTATGAGAGCCATCATGTTCCTTCAGCAACCAGGGAAGTAATTCATCTGATTCGGAAGACTTCAGTGAACTGATCTGAGATAGGTAGTGGTGCACCATCTTCTTACTGGTCTTGGGTAGCAACTCCCTATTGATATGTCAGTATTATGTCAGTATTCTCACATGAAGAATGGCCTATTGGCACAGAAATTAGCCATAAGTGTAACTCAGGAGAAAAGTTTCTGCAGTAAATAAAATTGTGTGTCATCTGATTTGAGTTAACTAGTAACTCGACTTGTCTTTTATTTTTGGTGTTTCACTGAAAGTGTGCCCTGGAGTTCCTTTCCCTCTACATCTGGAATAAAGGAAGGACAGCCAACCGTGACATTATCTGGAAAACAGTGTAACAGCTGGTGGCAGTGAGGAAATCAAATGGTAGATCGTGAGCTCAAATACATTCCCCTAGCCTGTCCTCCCCAGTTCTGCTTTAGGAGTTGGATTCAGAGAGAAATGGAAAATTAACAGGGGGTAGACAGTAGAGGTTTAAGGGAACTGTTTAGTAAATTAATAGGTTGCCATGTTTAACTCCTCTGTGTAGTTGAGTTTGGTTTACAAAAGTAGTAGAATGTATTTATTTATGTTTACCTTACGACATTTATTCATGATGCCAAGGGTGTGAGTTTTATCCTGCTGTAGACCTATATTACTATTTTCTTCAGTTTCCATAGACTTTCCTGCTAGCTCTGACAAGTCATTTTCCTGAAATTTGGCAAACCTCAAAGAGTATGACTGAATCAATGCCATCTCTATCAATATATATGAAATGATTTTTAAATATGAAGCATATATTCTATTAACAGCAGACTAGTCCAACTATATTCATATGGGAATGATAAAATAATAAAAATCACTCATGTCTGCCTCTTTACTATAACTGTGGTGGTATTATGTGCTACTAAAATCTGGAACTGGAAGATTTACACAGCCTGTAAACAGATAATTGTAGTCATGAATTCCCTCACATTTTTTGTAGTATCTCTCTATAGACATTAATTAAAATACAGATTCTCAGAGTCCATTCACTCTTTGATCCATAGCCTTGGTAAAGCCTCAAGAATAATTCCTGGGAATCATAACAAGATTTCCACTAACCATGCTAATTTTTTGGAATTTGTTTTGTTTTTGTTTTGTTTTACTTTGTTTTGTTTTTGTTTTTAAGACAGGGTCTCACTCTGTTGCCCAGACTGGAGTGCAGTGGTGTGATCTCAGCTCACCGCAACCGCTGCCTTCCTGCCTCAGCCTCCCAAGTAGCTGGGATTACAGGCATGCGCCACTAACACTCAGCTAATTTTTGTATTTTTGTATTTTAAAAAATTTTAAAAAGTTTTTTTAATTTTAGAAATGGGGTTTCACCATGTTGGCCAGGCTGGTCTTGAACTCCTGACCTCAAATGGTGCACCTGCCTCGGCCTCGCAAAGTGTTGGGATTACAGATGTGAGCCACCACGCCCGGCAGGGCTAGGTTTTTTTGCGTGGTTTTTTTTTTTTTTTCTTTGATACGGAGTCTCGCTCTGTCACCCAGGCTGGCGTGCAGTGGTGCAATCTCTGCTCACTGCAAGCTCCGCCTCCCGGGTTCACTCCATTCTCCTGCCTCAGCCTCCCAAGTAGCTGGGACTACAGGCACCCGCCGCTATGCCTGGCTAATTTTTGTATTTTTAGTAGAGACAAGGTTTCATCAATGAACAACAACAAAAAATAGTTTCAGAATCAATAATTTCTAACAAAATCCTTCAATATATAGAGTGATATATAAAGAGCCTAAGCATAGAAATTATTGAATGTTTATTTATGTATTCTGATGAATGTGTTTTTGTGGTATTTCACCAAGATAGGAAGTGAAATCAAATGGAGGTTGGTGAGTACCCCACGGCAACCATTGCTTCGTTTCATGGTTCAGAGTGAACTCTAATCTGGAAGCCTTCCTTAGGTAAGAAAAGCTTGAAAAAGAAATGATCGACTTTTTAAATGGTCACATATCTTTAAGCTAGAATGTTTAGATTAACGTTTTCAAGCTAATAAAGATCAATTTGTCTAAAATATATTTTACAATGTACATAGCTATAAAATCATATGAAGTGTTTGATTTGTGGATGAGCATAATCTTTATGCTCGGAAGATTACACAACTTAAAAAAAATTAAAATATTATTTTTAACAAGTTACTGGTATTAATATAATACCTTAAATTACTTATTGCAATTCTACTATCAGTGAATTGGCAATTTAATGATATCATTAAATAATTTTAACAATCCATGCCACATACAATGAGATTTAATATATAGCACAGTCCCTCTGTTAAGGACTGCAAGGTAGTTTTCTAACCTGGCATTTGAGTGATGTCTTTGTTTTATGTTAGCATCACTGGTTTTCAAGTAAAGGATTCTATTAAGGGTAACTTCTTTATAAAAACTTAGTGAAAATTTATCCATTTTGTTGATTTCCAAATGAAACGGTTGCAAGCAAAATGTCAATGACTGTGCTCCACATCAGAGTTTAGAATCCAGCATCTGTTCTTGTACCTTACAGCATTAAGGAGTTAGCATTGAAGAGTAGTAGATCGGGCCTTTTAAAATAGCACATGCTTTGAATTCTTGGTAGTCAGCAGTTTCACATAGTCTACGTAGTACTGCTGGACAGGGCCTAAGTCATGCATGTAACTGGTTTAGTCAGACTGAAATGTGTGTAGTAGCTCTTTTGCCTGATGCTTGAGATGCAGCTTTGTAACTATTTTTGCTTTTCATTTCAATTTTCCAAACCCTAAAGATGATTTTTCATTTTGTTCAATGACTTTATAGGTCATTCCTGCTTCTGGGATCCAACTCTATGTTGTGCTTAAGAAATGTGTCACATCAGACAGAGTGAATCACAAGACAGAGATATTTACCTATCACATAAATATTTTATTAGATTTCAAGGTATGTTTCAATTATGACACTGAATCTTTCATGTGTACATTCCTAACATTGCAGGGGTTAAAGGAGGGTTATATAGTTAACCAAAGTTCAATAAAGTTCAGAACCACTCTTACCATTATTTTGCCTTTCAAATAATTGTATACTTAAAATACTTTGTATTCTTACATAAAATATACGTACAAGATGACCATATATACTTGGACGTATCTGGACTTCAAATTTGCTGGAACTTAATTGCGTCCCAAGCTGGCTAATACCTAGAGATTCATCATTTCTGTTTGGAGGGTAAGAATGCTCATTCCCTGTCTGCTTTACTGGAGAGGATCAGGTGTGTTGCTTGAACTAAGACTTTGTCCCTGCCATATCTAACTTCTCTGAGCTCCTGTGTCCTGGCTGTCGTCTGAAAATTGTTGCAGATCATTTGAGTTTTTGTTAGAATTGTGCTTTGACTTAAGTAATGAAAACAGTTCAGAAAACTGCACTGGACAATTTAATATAGCAACACAGACTGCAACTAAACTATCTGCTGGCACTTTAATACTCACAATGATCATATAGGTACTTTTCTTGTTGGAGATGAGGAAACTGAGGCTTAGAGTAATTTGTTCTGACAAGATCATATGGTTAGTAAGTAGCAGAGTAGGGACTTATCTAGACCTATGCTTTTAATTGTGTTTTACTATCTCCCAGACCTCCCATGTTTTTTTTTTTTTTTAAGGACAATCGCAATGTGATACTTCCTTCTTTGAAAGAGATAAAATACAATAATTGACTAGGAAAAAAAAAACTTGGGACATACACTGCTTCCTTGGACATTTCCTCCTGGAAGCCTCCCAAGCCACCTCTTCCACACACAAACTCAATCACATGCATCCTCTTTTCCTTCTGTTGAAACTTGTCCCAACTTTGGTCATAGCATTTATCACTGTATTTCACCATTTTACCATAGCTCTTTGAGAACAGGTTTGTACTTATTTATCTCTGTATCCCCAGCATGAGGTAGCACCTATCCATGCATGAAAGTGGAAGATACCTACTAAAATTGTATTAAACAATTTTTCATTTTCTAATGTTATTCTGTACAGTTAGAGTGCCAATATTTGGTGGAAATGTGAAAAAACTATCAGAAACTGAACATTTTCTAATGTTTACAGAATGAAGAGGAACAGTTTATCTGTTGAGAATAAAATTGTCCAGTTGTCAGGAGCAGCGAAACAGCCAAAAGTTGGGTTCTACTCTTCTCTCAACCAGACTCATACACACACGGTTCTTCTAGACTGGGGGAGTTTGCCTCACCATGTAGTATTACAAATTTTTCAGTAACTTCCTTTACTAGATCGGGCCTGTGCATCTTCTGTATGTAGGAGGTGGAATGAAGTTTTTCATATTTCTGACCTTTGGAGAAAGTTTGAATTTGAACTGAACCAGTCAGCTACTTCATCTTTTAAGTCCACTCATCCTGATCTCATTCAGCAGATCATTAAAAAGCATTTTGCTCATCTTCAGTATGTCAGCTTTAAGGTAAGAAAAATAAGCATTAAATGGAAACCATGACTTACATTTCGTTAACAATGCTTTTGTATATCTAGAGCCTTATTTTGAGGCAGTCAGTGAATTTTGCAAATCATTTTATCCAAAGAGGTTTCCTGTTTTTCTGCAGTTATTTGCATCGATTGAAGTGTAGAACTTGAACCGTAATTGAAAAACTTAAAATGCAGTTTCCATCATTTGTATGCTGTTATTAAAATTCAGGTAATTGTAAAAGATTTGAAAATATGAACTGCTTGGAAAGCTAATTTGTCATCATCTCTGTTTTTCGTTTTATCATCTCAGACATTTTGTATGAAGAAAAAATACTCATTTATATGATAGCTCAAAGGAATGAATAAAATTTTGCAACTGAATTCTACTAAATAATTACATTGCCAGTATTTCTGATAAATTATCTTCAGGAAATTATTCGAGATTAAAAATTGTCTGTCTAGGTTGACAGTAGCGCTGAGTCAGCAGAAGCTGCCTGTGATATACTCTCTCAGCTGGTAAATTGTTCCATCCAGACCTTGGGCTTGATTTCAACAGCCAAGCCAAGTTTCATGAATGTGTCGGAGGTAAGGATATTATGCGTTTTTGGTGAGCTATACTAAAATCCCTAAAGACTGCCAAACTAGGCAAAAGCCATTTTTTTCCTAAAGACAGACCATCTCCTATTTGTATTCAAAGTATTATTTAAAGCTGTTTTCTGTTGACTAGCACTTATTTTTGCAAAAATAGTTTATGCATGTTTTCATTCTTTAGATATATTTTGTAACTGTAGTCATGGTTACCACAGTGTCATTAATATAAAATTTGGATATTGTGCTTATTCTACTTAAATAACAATTTATGTAGTTACTTTGAACATAGAGCATGTAGAGGCAATAGTGGGTGTTTTTCCTGTGATTCTGTGGCCTGTCTTTTGGAGGTGGAACAATATAATATTTAACTAAATGAACTACGCTTGTTAGCATGATGTTTACATTCATGCAGTAGAAACTCCAAAACAAAAGTGGTTTAAAAACATGATCAAAGTATATTTCTCTCACATTAAAGAAATTGATAGGTGAGACAGTCCATAGCTGGTATGAAGGTGGTAGGAACCTAGGTTTCTTCCAGCCACTCCACTCTCTCCAGGGTGTTTCTTCAAGATGACCATCTGAGCTCTGACCATCACATCCTTGCTCTGGGGGCTAGGATGTTAGAAATGGGGGAAGAAGGGTGTGCCTTCTCCTTATCAAGGAGACTACCCGTAAGTACCACACAGTGTTTCTGTTTACCTCTAAGTCTGGCCACACCAGATTCCAGGGAGTCTGGGGAATCTTTGAGCTGGGTGGCAGTGTGCCCAGCTAAAAATTGGGACTGGATTAACAAACAAAGGAAAAATGGTTGCCAGCAAGCAGCCAGCCACGCTCTGCCATAGAAACTCATACCGTATTCTCCTCATTCAGGCTTCAACCTGAATGCCATCTCCTTGGAGAGCCCCCCCTTAACCATTGTGAAAATGGCACCTCCTGCTCCAGTAATAATGTACTCTACCATTACATTATTTTTATCTTCTTCATGTCATTCATCAGTACTTGAAACCACCTTATTTATTTAATGTGTTTATTCTCTTCTCCTTATACCAAACATAAACTCATTGAAGGCAGAGATTCTATTTTGTTTACCATTATAAACCCAGAGTCAGAATAGTACCTGATATATGATAGGCATTAAATTATGGTAGTTGGTAAAGCTGGCTAATGGAAATTTTCCTATGGAGGAGGATAGAGGAATAGCAGCCTCTCTCTTATAAACTGAGTCATGGCACTCTTCTAGCAAGTATTTTTGCTGGCCTGTTTATCTTCTAAAGGGATGTGCTGAAAAAAAATGGGTCATTTAGGGATTAGAGTAATGTAAGTAATCTGATGAAATTTACCACTTCTAGTTATTTCCTTGTTTATGAACTACAGAATCCGATTACCCTGAAATTCTTCTTATATTCTAAAAGCTGTCTCTAATGTTGCACATCAGCTTCCAGGGCCAGCTTCTAGGTTAGCTGATGCAGTCACCAGAGCTAGATACCAGGAATTAATTAGCAAGCTTCATTTCAAGCTCTGCCTCTACTGTTTAAAGTAATCTCTGTGGCTTCTGGCAAGACCACAGATCTCTCTGAGACTCAGTTTTTTTAATCTGTTAACTAAGGAAAAATAAAAGTATAGCATTTTGCTAAGCATAAATAGTACTAAACTAATATGTTGCTATTATAATGAAATATGTACTCTAATGTTTTTTAAAGTCGTCCTTCAGGACTAAAGCAGTCAGTTGACAATTGATTAAAGGGAAACTAAACCTTGTATTTATATTCCCCTAATAATTTTGGCACCATAAAATTTACAGAAGAAGTTTAGCCTTGTACCATTTGAAAATATGTGCAAACCGGTTTACAATTAGTATAAATCAATATGTTTTCTTATAAATTAATGAACATTTATAACCAATTTGGTCATTCTGTTAGGCATAATAGAACCTTTGGTAGAATCCAAATTGATTGATTTTAAAAAGGGAAAAGTGATCATGTACAGATTTGGTTTCCAGACTTTCTATCTTTGCCAAAAAATACTGAATCTGAAAATTTCTGAAATTCTACTCATTTTCAGATCAAACTAGAAGTAAGCTTTAGTCTGTCAGTCTTCAAAGCATATACGACTTGGATTTACTTTGGATAATTGGCTAGGAAAAGCATGTCACTGAAGATTGTGAAATCTTATAAAATGAATTAAAACCTCATTTATTCATTCAACAAATTTTTATCATCCATTTGCCGTGCTATGTGCCAGATACTATTTTAGGTGCTAGAGATACGGGAGTGGATAAATCAGATAAAAATTCTGTTTCTTCTAGGGCAGGGGTCAAAAATACTCAGATAGCAAATATTTCAGGCTTTGGGGGCCAAGTAGTTACGCTGTGACTACTCAACTCTAACACTGGAGTCTGAAAGCAGACACAGACAATATTTAAATAAAGGGCATGGCTGTGTTCCCATCAGACTGTATTTAGGGACACTGAAATTCAAGTTTATTTCATGTCATAAAATATTATTCTTTAAAAAATTTTTCCAACCATTTAAAAATACAAAAGGCATTCTTAGTGAGCCATACAGAAGCAGACCATGGGCTGGATTTGGCAAGTTGTCTGTAATCTACCAACCCCTGTTCTAGGAAATAAATATACAATAATCATGTCCTTCTAATATTGAAAACCAAATCCTTAATTGAAGTAATTGGAAGACATGTTTTATGAAATCTTTGAAGCTTTTTTTTCTCACTATTTCATTTATCAATTATAAAAAGTATAAAACTATACTTCATTATAAAAATATCTTCTACTAGAAAATGATTCTGTGGAAACAGCCGTATGTTCATGGTTCTTACTATGTTATCATTAGCATGTATTGATATAGTTTTAATGAATTACTTAAAGCTGTACATTTTAAAATAATGTTTTCATAATTTTTTCTTATTGCCATGCAAGTCTCATTTTGTGTCAGCACTTACAGTTGTTTTTATCAACTCAAAATCATTATCATCAATCAAAATTGAAGATACACCAGTGGATGATCCTTCATTGAAGATTCTTGTGGCCAATAATAGTGACACTCTAAGACTCCCAAAGATGAGTAGCTGTCCTCATGTTTCATCTGATGATGGGTTACATTTTTTAAAGCTAGAATGATATGATATTTTTATTACAATAACTATAAAGATGCAATTTCCTTTTGAAAATTATATACCTATGAAGCATAAATTATTTAAGTTTTTTCAAAAGATTTCTTAATCTGCAAGGTAGGTATAGTTATAGTAAGTTTCTCCTGAGATATTTTAATTTTACATATATACATATGCTTTTCATTATATACATAATACCTCCTGGCAGCCATGCTCTCAGAAGTTGTTATTAGATAGCTATTTTCACAAATAATGAATAATTAATATTAAATTTAAATTTACAAAATATTATATTAGGATCAGTATGATTCTTTGTTCTTGAGAATTTTTCCCAACTTCCCACAGGAATTCTTTGTGTAGCTGACCGTTGTCAAGGCCTTAGAGAACTGGCGTTGAATTATTACATCCTAACTGATGAACTTTTCCTTGCACTCTCAAGCGAGACTCATGTTAACCTTGAACATCTTCGAATTGATGTTGTGAGTGAAAATCCTGGACAGATTAAATTTCATGCTGTTAAAAAACACAGTTGGGATGCACTTATTAAACATTCCCCTAGAGTTAATGTTGTTATGCACTTCTTTCTATATGAAGAGGAATTCGAGACGTTCTTCAAAGAAGAAACCCCTGTTACTCACCTTTATTTTGGTCGTTCAGTCAGCAAAGTGGTTTTAGGACGGGTAGGTCTCAACTGTCCTCGACTGATTGAGTTAGTGGTGTGTGCTAATGATCTTCAGCCTCTTGATAATGAACTTATTTGTATTGCTGAACACTGTACAAACCTAACAGCCTTGGGCCTCAGCAAATGTGAAGTTAGCTGCAGTGCCTTCATCAGGTTTGTAAGACTGTGTGAGAGAAGGTTAACACAGCTCTCTGTAATGGAGGAAGTTTTGATCCCTGATGAGGATTATAGCCTAGATGAAATTCACACTGAAGTCTCCAAATACCTGGGAAGAGTATGGTTCCCTGATGTGATGCCTCTCTGGTAATGGGCTGCCAAAGATTCTGAAATTGTTGTTGTTGTTTTTTTAATCAGTATGATTAGCTGCTTTCTATCTAAGCAAATGTAAATTTTAAAATGTGTTGCTGCTGTATTTTAGGTCAAATATTTGATTGTTTGCAAACTGTCGTGATGGATTGCTGCAGAAACATTTGGAAAAAAATAAGAAATTTGAAAAGCAAGAAATTGCTGTAAATAGGGCACAAGCCCTGTATATGGATTAGATGGTCGATATGCCAAAAACTACAGATGGTTTCTAAGTAGATTTCTCACCTTTCCTTGGAGGCATATTGTAGCTTGCTAAGTAAGTGTGTAATATTGAACTTGGATTCTGTAAAGTTATGTCATTTGCTTTATTACATTGTTTTATTTGATTCTATTTTATCTTGGTATTAATATATTTTATAAAATATAAAATATTTTAAAGCTTATTTAACTATAACATTTTTAGCACCCTATGAGATCATCTTGTGATTCAGTAAAAAACTTCTAATTTCCAAAGTACTTCAGATTCTACTTTATTATATTGAGAGATAATGGACATTCGATTAAAATTTAAAAATACTAATTCATTTCATAATGATACTGAGGTGAAAAGACAAGAGATAGTCATTCTGATTGTTAGTTGGTAGACTATTTGAATAAAGCAGTAAATGTTGCAGGATGTGTTTGGGAGGGAATCAGCATTTGCTGCCTCCTGCTATGGATCTGGAACTGTGCCAGATCCTTTGTATAAGTGATCTTAGAATTTAATTAGCAACACAGTTAGAACTCCTTAGTGGCTGCTTATTGTCTTGAGGGTGAAGATCTAGCCTTAAAATAACCCACAAGGTCCTGCAAGGTCTGGTCCCTCCCTGCTTCTTTTGCCTCATTTCCCATCAAGCTGCCCCTTGCCCTTCAGTTCCCATTTCCTCTCAGTTCCTTAGAACTGTCCTGCACCCTCTAGTCACAAGGAATTCACTCGTATCTCTCTTTGCCTGGCTTACTCTCTGTGCTCCTCAGATCTTTCCTCTAGCTGTATGTCCTTGATCATGGAAGCCTTCCTGGACACCCAGCCCATTCCCTGCTCTTAGGTCAGGTCCACGATGTGCACTCTGTGCAGGGCACTCAGCACCCTGGCTTTACTGTGCGGCACTTATCCCTGTTATAATTCATTACTTACTGGTCTGATTATTACCTGTTTGTTCCATTGCACTGTAAACTCCATCAGTGCAATATCCTTGCTGTTTTTTGCTCACTGTTTTATCCCCAGAATCTGCCATGCTAGTGGTTAGCACGTAGTAAGCACTCAATAAATTTTACGTAAGTACTTTGGTTTTCAAGCTTGTTCCACTCAGTTTGCCCCACAGTATCTTAAATTTTGAATAAATCAATTAAAATAAAAAGAGAGAATTAAATATGTTCATCACTTTCCAGTTTGGAATATTAGGAAAAAATTATAAGTATTTTTACCTATTAAGCAATTAGAATACATTGTGATGTGTAAATGGCAGTTTAAAAAATAGCACTTTCATATCCCTGTATTTAGAGACTATGTTTGTGTGTACATTCTCACCACTGTGCCATGTTATTTCTCACTATAAGCTCTGTAAGGCTTCTCATATCTACCTATGTGTTCCTCCCTCTCAGAGCAGTATTGCTACATTAGTAATTACTCCATAAATGCTAGTGGAGCTGATTTTACTGGTTAAAAAAAATAAAACCAATTTCTTGAGGACGGGGATGGTACTACAATTACAGATAATACAATTTATACTTTAAGATTTCAGGAGGATACAGAAGCATCATATAATACAGGACTTAAAACCTGATTAGGGGCCAGGTGTGGTGGCTCACGCCTGTAATTCCAGCACTTTGGGAGGCCGAGGCAGGTGGATCACAAGGTCAGGAGTTTGAGACCAGCCTGGCCAATATGGTGAAACCCCGTTCTACTAAAAATACAAAAATTAGCGTGGGTTGGTGGTGGTCGCCTGTAGTTCCAGCTACTTGGGAGGCTGAGGCAGGAGAATTGCTTGAACCCAGGAGACGGAGGTTGCAGTGAGCCGGGATCATGCCACTGCATTCCAGCCTGGGCAACAGAGCAAGACTCCATCTCATAACAAAACAAAACAAAACAAAATGAAACAAAACCTGATTAGGATAACAGGACAAACAAAAGAAATAGCTTAACAGAGATGGAGTTGGGGATCAGAGCAGTGGTGGACATTCTGAAGGGATAAGCCTCTGGTCTCACCTGGGATCACTCTACCATGATATATTCTAGGAGGAGTTGGGAGTATACATACCCGAATGGTTAGGTGATAGAATGCCAGTGGAGTTTGCACTGAGGATAATGAAGCAAAACAGAGGGACTAGAGAAGGGAGGTTGGGGGTGAGTTTCTCCCCATTGTCGACTAGTATGGAGAGATGATGAGTACCATTGGCCTCTTCTACATAGAATAAGAAGGTGCTGCTCTAAATTGTGCTTTTTAGTGGCCCAGTAGTTGAACCTAGTGAACTAAGCACTATAATGAATCTTAGAGCAAAACTCAGAGTAAATCTAAGTTCATGAACTCATGTAAATTACCTTGATTGGCCTGACTTACTGGGTAAGTAAATGGAAGAGTAAAACATTCCTACAACAGCCAAAAATAAGACAAGAACTTATAGAGTATTTTAAATGTTTTATCTAATGAAAATGTCTCTACTTTGGAAGTCTATGAAAAGTACTGTTTACTTAAAACTAGTGGATTCTAGATAAAGGATTTGACATTAAGTGGGTTTCAAACTTTAGTCTTTGGAGAATATTTTAGTTCTGTAAGCAAACTTTTTCATGTTAAAAGTGTTTACATTTGTTAGATGATTCTGGAGAAGTTTGGATAATTTTGTGGGCAAAAATTTGGTAAATGGAGAGAATGGGGGAAAGGTCTTACTGTAGGTTGTGCTGAAGAAACACAAAAATAGGATGCTCATATTTTTTGTTTTTCCTTCCTTGTGATCCTTGCTGGCCTCATTTGTATTGTACCAAATATGGGAGAGGTGAGTCAGGAAGCAAGCCTATTTTTCATGGGTATTATTATTAATAACATGTCACAGAGGCAACAGGTATGTGATTACTGTAATATGCCACTGAGTGTGATAAATGTCAAATGGATGCAAGGATTCTTCCTTTTGTAGCCTGGCCTCTTAAATTGGCCACTTACCTCCTTCTTTTTCTTCTATTAAATTTATCTCTTGCAGATAATTCAAAACATTTTCAAAGTAAATATTGGTTTTATTCACATTATTAATGTGTAGCTATCAAACCTGACAGAATAATATCACAATTTTTGAAGTGTATATTATCATCATGGTTACTAATGAAAAGTAAGTTTCTCCATACTGTTACCCCTTTGCCATTCAAACCTTTGTAACATTTTTATGCTTAAGTCAAACGTTTTGACATCCAAACCTAAAAGACAAGGGGGAAAATAACACGGATTTGTTGTTGCACTAGAGGGCGCTGTATTCCAGTTCTTCCTGAGAAATAAGTCCTTTGGTCCAAAGTTTGCATTTCCATTGAGCAGATGTGAGAAGGCTGAGGGGAAGGCAATGTCCCTGCTCTACCTTGAGGAATTTCTCCATTCCAGGTCATGAGTCTGGTTTTTAAAACAATATCCATATCCACCTGTGTTTTGCCTCCTAAATAATCAGAAGGATGATTATTTGGAAAACTAAGCTTATATTTTATTGTGCAAATATTTCAGAGTTTCTTTTAAAATTGCCTTTAAGAGCTGATGTGCTATTTCCTTTTTGTGTGTCCTCAGTGGTGTACAGCATTTATTTTTTGAAAGCCAAATTTCTGGAAACAACCTAAAGTTATTTGGTACCAAGGAGATGCATATTCAAATCAGACAGTGCTAGATATAGTTTGCCATTGAAAGTAATAGCAAAAACCGTGATTACTTTTGCACCAACCTAATAGATATAAGAAGGTGCTAAATGTGTGACATAGATTCTCAATTACCTGAGAGTCATCATGATAACTCTTTCTTCCTGGCCACCCACTGCAAGTCCTGTTGCTTCTGTGACATGTTATTCATAATAATAAATACCCATGAAATCACCTCCCAACTGCAAAACTACAGCACTGATAGTAACTTATATCTTTCTGTGTGGTTCTCTCTATCTAGTTATGAGTTAACTAGAGT
Source organism: Homo sapiens (assembly GCF_000001405.40). Lineage (NCBI taxonomy): Eukaryota > Metazoa > Chordata > Mammalia > Primates > Hominidae > Homo > Homo sapiens. The sequence goes on from NC_000005.10 coordinate 135,945,852, forward strand.
TCATTATTTTCTTGCTCGCCTTCGTATATGATTTTGTTATATAAAAAGGAAATTGTATTTTAACTGTTTTAATGTTATAAAAAGAATTATCATCCATTATGTAATCTTCTGGACTTTTTAAAACTTAAAATTATATTGCCATGATTCATTCAGGTCATTATGTTTAGCTGAAGTTCATTTATTGTGACTGCTGTTGACTATTACATTCTATAACTTTGAGATTATTTATTGGATTTCACTGTTGATGGGCATTTAGGTCACTGAAGGTTTTGCTATGAAAAATAGTGATATCATGAACATTCTCATACATATGCCCTGATACACAAATGCAGCCATTTCTCTAACAATAAACTTCAGTTAATTATGTTTTCCTCTAACAATCTACACATAAGAATATAATCATTCTGCTGGCATTTTCTGCATTCCGAACAAATTTAAGCAGAAATTCATGAAGTTTCCAGAATGATTAGTTCAATGTATTCATTTCTTACCAACTGGCTAAACTCTAAGGAGCCAGAATTATTTCTGGTCCTTTGGACATTTGTATGGTCTTGTTTCCTCATAGTACCTGTTGTCAATATAACTAAGACAGAATAACATAGATATAATACAATGATGTGTAGAAATAAGTAGCTGTAATATGCATATGGCTAGATGAAGTTGACAGGCCCAATTCCATGAGACACTTCAGATAAAGGTAGGCCTCATTCTCACTCTAGTCCTTCCTGTAGTGCAGCCTCACTGTTTTCTTGGGATATGTTTTCTTGGACTGCCATCATTCATAATCATGTGGGTGAGTGGATGGAAATACCAGCAAATCCTTTATTATCCATGAAAGCAGCTCTCTCTCCAACCAATATGATAAACCTAAGGATATTGCTGAGAGTCTACTACCTAAACTCAACTTATTCATTGAATATGTATTAAATGTATACTAAATCTAGCATTATAAACCACTCACTGTTCTTGTACCATAGAAACACTTTCAGGCTTTTTCTTATTTTCAAGCAGAAAGGTTGCTAGTTTTAGAGGTGTCAAAAATGCAGCCTGGCCCAGCGTAAGTTCTCTTGTTTATTTATCTTAGATCTTCGGGACTGAGAAATCTAAAAAATAAAACCACTCAGATTCCATAGGTGACAGATCAAAGAGCCCGAAGCAACCAGTTCACATGAACATCAGAGTGACAATGAGTTAAAATCAAAATGTTTTCTTTCTTGCATTTATCATGTTTCTATTTAAACTCAAATTTCCTTTTTTTAATTAAAAAATTTTTGTGGGTACATAGGTGTATTTGTTTATGAGGTACGTGAGATGTTTTGATACAGGCATGCAATGTGTAATAATCATGTCATGGAAAATGGGGTATCCATCCCTTCATGCATTTTTCCTTTGTGAACACAAATTTCTTGAAGAGAAGGGTATGCATCCAGGTTTTTAAGATGACTTTTTATTTTGAAGATCTGACCATTGGCCTTCGATTTACAGGTATGCAGTAGGGTCACTCGAGTCACAGTTTTCAATGTGCACATGCGATTGTATGCCAGGATAAACTTTCTGCAAGGGCAATAGAGTTCCAAGTTTTTCTCCCTTCTTAATAGGACCTTTATACTTAATTGGCTTAATGTAGAACATTTTGACACAAAAACCTAAAAGAAAATAAGTATAATTATTTATCTGGGCTTCAGTAATCTTGAATCTGAAATTAAAAAAATAACAAATGGACAAAAAATAAAAAAAAGAATGTTGAATGAACTCAGGAGAGGAATAGATGAAAATGACAAAATGATATTAAAAAGGAAGACTAAATTACAAGATGCCAAAGGAAGAATAGATTCAAATGAAACGCTAATAAAGGCATTGAAGAATAATAGCAGGAAAATACTAGCTAGTTAGAAAAGGTGAGCCCTGAACAATGTCAACTCCAAAACATATTCTGATAGAATGATTGGACTTTAGAGATAAAGAAAAATAGAAATAACTGGAACAAAAATACAAACTTTGCTAAATATCAAAAGAATTAAAAAGGCAAAGACCCAAGTAGAGAAATAGAGTACAATATAATAATTATACAATAAAATGGTGTTGGGTACAAATACAGGAGTCATGTCTATAAATGTGAATGGCCTTATCTTGCCTATTAAAAGATGTCCCATTGGGTTGAAAAGCAAACCCCAATTGAATGCTGTATGGAATAAAACACAGCGATTGAAAAGGCTGAAAGTGAAGAGCTGGACAAAGATTTGCCAAGCACATGGACAAAGATTTGCCAAGCAATAAGAAAGCAAGGGCTATTGTCCTGTTACCAGAAGAGTGGAAATCAGGCCAAAAGGCATTGAAACAAGACGAAGATAATGTAAGAGGGTAAATGCCACAAGTCACAATGAAGATATAACAGTTACAACTATCCATGCACTAAATAGCACAAGTCATCTATATAAAGCAGACACTACAAGAGATGCCAGGAAACATAGATAGAAACCCACCAATAATAGGAGACTTTGATACACTAGTGGCACTGCAAACCGGTCAAGTGAGCATAAAAATAAGGCTGTAAAATTATGCTGTCCAATATGGTAGCCACTAGCCACATGTGGTTATGCAGCACTTGAAAGGTAGTTAATATGAATTGAGATGTGCTTTAATGGTAAAATACACAGTGGATTTTGAAGACTTAGTATTTAAAAATGTAAAATATCTCAATAATTTTTGTATTACATATTGATATAATACTTTGAAAATATTGAGTTAAATAAAATACTAAAATACCATGTTTTTTTACTTCAACATGGCTACTAGAAAATTTAAAATAATAATAATAATAATTATTATTATTATTTTTTTGAGACGGAGTCTTGCTGTGTCACCCAGGCTGGAGTGCAGTGGCGCGATCTCGGCTCACTGCAGGCTCCGCCTCCCGGGTTCACGCCATTCTCCTGCCTCAGCCTCCTGAGTAGCAGGGACTACAGGCGCCCGCCACCACATCTGGCTAATTTTTTGTATTTTTTAGTAGAGACGGGGTTTCACCGTGTTAGCCAGGATGGTCTCGATCTCCTGACCTCGTGATCCATCCACCTCGGCCTCCCAAAGTGCTGGGATTACAGGCACGAGCCACCGTGCCCAGCCGAAAATTTAAAATTATATATATGACTTCTGTTATATTTCTATTGGATAGTTCTGCTGTAGAAGAGCTAAAACTCCATCAGGTAGGTTTTACGAATAAATATTAAACAAAAGATGTGCAAGACCTCTACACTGAAAACTACAACAACCATTAATATAACAGTGAAGGAAGACCTAAGTAAGTGGAGGACATAATATGTTCATTGATTGGAGGACTCACTACTTTAAAAATATTAGTTCTCAATTTGATCTGTATATTTACTGCAGATTCAGTCAAAGCCCCAGCAGGATTTTTGGTGGAAATTAGCAAACAGATTCTGTAATTTATTTGGAAATGCAAATAACCAAGAATTGCCAAGGCAGTCTGAAAGAAGAAGAAAGTCAATTCCAATTATGCATTCTGGAACTGGGGAAATAACCTCTTGGTAGATTGGAGGATGCACTGGGCTCACTGTAAGATGGACCCTAGTGAAAAGCTATATTTACCACCTGACTCTAAGCCCCTAGTCTGACTGGTGAACCACAGTGGCCTTTTAGATCTCCAGGAATTAGTGTCAGTTTTGAGCAAGTGTCCAGTAATCTCTGAAGAGCCTAATTATTTCTTCCCTAATGTGCTGTCATCCTGCTAAACCGTTGCAGGTCCCTTTGGGGACAGCTAGAAGTAAGGTTTACAGTATAAATGTTTGGCTGCGTAGCAGGACCCTTACGCAAAAGGACTGAGCCTCCCTTTTGTTCAAGAGGCTCTGGGACTGTGAACCAATTCAAGCCTGGGAATTTATTGGGAATTGGGACCCATTATTGTGATGACTGAAGTCAGCATTTTGTTCATCAGACCTGGAGCATTTCCATTCATACAAGTCCAATAAGGCTTTAGTTGGCTGCTCATCTATTCAGTTCCTGAGTCACCATGATTACTAGCCAGTGTCACAAATCTCTGAGATTTAGACGAATCTGATTACTGCTTCTGCTCTCACTGACCTTGGCATTAACTGTTAAGTGCCACTACAGAGGACACAGTTCAATGGCAGAAGTTTCCCTTGTGACATTGGCCTACAGAGGACAACCACTATGTAGCTCCTCAAGGATGTGGGTTCGCTCAAAAGATGCCTCTCACAGGCTTGGTGAGGAGGGTCTCCTCTGGACTCACTCCCAATAGGAATGCATATATATGTTCATTAAAAGGTATAAGGAAGTTCGTAGCAGCAATTTTATAATCATCTTAAACTGGAAACTGCCCAAAAGTCCATCTGAGGAAGAATAGATAAATAGATGAAAGTATACGCATATAATGGAATATCATGCATCAGAAAGAACGTGGATACAAAAACATAAACTGCATAATCACGATGTGGAATGAAAGAAGACCCAAAGAGTGCATGCTGTTTAATTCTATTTATACCATTTTTAGAAACAGGAAGAACTAATACATGGTGTTAGAACTTGAGATAGTGATTATCTTGCTGGGAATAATGACTAAGTGGTAGCACAAGGGATCTCTGGGATGTGGGTGATGTTCTTTTTCTTGATTTGGGTGCTGATTACACAGGTGTGTTCACTTTTTGAAATTCACGGAGCTATACATGGATGTGTTGTGCACTTTTATGTGTGTATTTATACCTTGATGGAGTAACCAAACAACAAAACCAATACCTGGAGTACCAGGAGATCTAGCTTTACCTAAAACTTAGAAGCTTTCAAAAATATTTCACATTCAACTCTTGCAGAAGTGCCAGCATTTATGATTTGTGGGATTTGAGTAAATGCAAGTATCTATCCATTATGGTTAGCATTGCTGAAAGTGGCTTTGTTTATAGATTGTTAAGCAAAACCACATGGGCCACAGGAAGGAATGCCTCCAATCAGCTGTGGGGTTTCGTGAAGTGTGTGCATGAAGCAGAAGTTTTCAGAGAAAATGGTGAAACGTCCTTGAAAGTGCCTCAGCTGGGAGAGGATCAGAAAAAAATATCTATCGGGTACTATGCTTATTACCTGGGTGACAAAATAATCTGTACACCAAATGTCTGTGACATGTGGTTTACCTATATAACAAATGTGCACATGTACCCCTGAACCTAAAATAAAAGTTTTTTAAAAAATGCATCAGCTAGTTTGGGTACACTCTATATTCTTTCTGTTCCAGGTTTTATCATTTTGAAAGAAGTACAAAATCTCTACGTATGGAACCTGCATTAAATAAATGAGCATCAACATCTCCAGGAGGCACCCCAGGTGTAGACTCCACCTCTCTTACCTCTTCCAGATATTCGAACACCATTATTGATAGCATTCTTGTTTTGATAAGGTTTCTCCTGGCCCACAATCATTCCAGTGAATGGTGCGTACACAGTAGATCCAGCAGAGCACAAGATGTCCACACCCTGGTGAGGCCTCTGACTTCTAGGATGTAAATAAGAACGAACAGACTGAGGAACTGCCTTAGGGGAGCTTTACTGCCTGGGAACATGGTGTTAGCCCACTGTTTGCAGACGAGGTACCAAAGCTTGAAGCTGCCAGAACATGTTGGGATGTCCCAGGATGCCTCACTCTGTTTAGCCCAATTTTAACCTCCCTCCCCGCAGGTGCTAATAACCATATCATAAAGATGAAAGCATTTAAAATGGTACTTGGTACATAATAAGCCTTAAGCAAATATTAGCTACTATTATTTTATGGCATGTTGGGGGAATGAGGCAGTCCATGTAAGTGCATTTTCTAGATACCTAGATCTTGACATCTTCAAGCCCACTTTGAAAACAGCTGTCTTTTTATGGGAACCTATCATAAAAGTATCACATGTTACCCTAGTCTTATTTTTCTTGCAGTGATCTAGAAAAGTGATTGTAAACGTCACTTACTGTATATGGTATTTTAATACAATGAGTGATACCTCCTGGGTTTATTAAAGTGCATGGAGCCCAAATCAAACTATTCTAGATTGTGACGTGCCTTGAGTTCGTCTTAGCAACCCCTCAGCTCTTGCTTCCCGCTGCTGTCACTATGCCTGCTCTCACCAGCCTCCCCTACCTTCTAATAGGCTGTCACCTGAACGATCAGGTTCACCAGGATTGCTGCAATTATGTACAAAGCAACACTGAGCAAGCTCAAGAGCCAAGAATTTACTGTATCAATCAAGTGCATAAACTTTGCAGTATAAGCTGAGTCTGAATTTTGGCAATTCAAGGGACGTTTCCCATATTTCCCTTCTCTTAGTCCTGTTTCAGTATTTGAGGTTGCTTTGTAAGTAGTATCTGTATATGTGAGAGTTCCCCTCTAGTTAGGATGGAGATCAGTGATATGACTGGACACATGGCTATTTCATTAGAAAGTGGCACCCCAAGGTGATGTTGGGTATAACTGAAAATTCACAAGTGTGACCCTCATTTTCTGGAAGAGATAGTGGTGCTTTCTCTCCTGCTTAGGGCCAGCCTCTAATATTCAACATCCAGAGCCTGAGCCAGTAACCGCGTGGTTTGGTGGGAAGAGGAACCAAAAGCCTGAATTCAGGTCCAGGCTTCACCATCTCCAACTGTGCTTGGCAGGTCCCTTAACCCTTTGGTACCTCAGTTAAAGTTTCTCTTCTATAAAATGGGATAGTTGTGTTTAATAACCCTTTGGAAAAAAACAGTTGAGATAAGTGAATGTGTGAAGACATTCAGAAGGAAAACATTGTGTTTGCTCCCTGATCTTTTCCTTCTTCCACATTCTGATCCCAATTTATAGCTCATACTTGAAGCAGAGTTCTTGGAAGCTGCTCCAAAGACAGTGATGTAACTGGTTACATCTCTGGTTTTTCATGCTGTCAGAACTGTGAGCCCTTGAGGCAACCAACGTTGGGCAAGGACACTAAGAAAAGAGGTTAGGGACCAAAGGGTTGGGTGGGTGGTTGTGCAACTTCATACCTTTGAGCAGAGTACTGTCCACAGCCATGGCGGTCACACGTCCGGATCTCATTGGAAGACTTGCCAGCACATATATTAGCCCATGGCCCTGCCAGTGCTAAAAAGGAGAAAAGTGAGAGCAGAGCTCCTGGCCTCAGACATTTCCTATCCCCATTTGCCTTATCAGTCACACAGTTGATCCTGACAATTCTGTTTTCACTGTAGTTTTCCCTGGACTTTATGTATTTATGGGAAGATCGTCCTTCCAGAATTTTATTTCCTGATTCAGATGTAAAATTGGCTTTTTCCCTGGCCACAGAATTCTGCTTTGTGACGTTAGAGTATCAGTGAATACAATTTTTTTTTTTTTTGGATCGGAGTCTCACTCTGTTGCCAAGCTGGAGCACAGTGGCGTGATCTCAGCTGACTTCAACCTCCATCTCCTGGGTTCAAGTGATTCTCCTTCCCCAGCCGCCTGAGTAGCTGGGACTACAGGTGCGCACCACCACACCCAGCTAATTTTTGTATTTTTAGTAGAGACGGAGTTTCACCATGTTGGTCAGGACGGTCTTGATCTCTTGACCTCGTGATCTGCCTGCCTCAGCCTCCCAAAGTGCAGGGATTACAGGCGTGAGCCACTGCGCCCAGCTGAATGTGTTTCTTTATAAGCATTGGCCTCCATCATTATACTTTGCTTCAGATCCATTAGTAAATGGTATAAGTTGTGCTTTTCTATTTTTCTTTGCTCATTATCTGCCATGGGGATCATTATTTTTAGATTAAGCAAAAATAATAAAATAGCATGGCTCAGAAAATAATTTTAGAAATTGTAATTTTGAAATGGTTAGTTCCACTAATCAAATCCAAGCAAATGTTTGAATTAAAGGAGAAACGAACTCTGTACTAGCCAAGTTTGTTTAACACTAGATAAATCTCTCATAGTTGCCAACATGGAAGAGGGAGATTCTTAAAAATAATCTGAAATGTCAAACCAATTTAGCCTAGACTGAGATTAGGGGTGAAGGTAGGAGAAGGAGTAGAACCAATTATATGAAAAATTATGAAACGTGGAGGAGGGGCTGCTTTCTCAGCAGACTTGGTGCAAACTTTGTTTCAGGCACAATTTGTTTCTTTACTATAGTAAGCACTTAATAAATGTTCAATGGAATTAAATGTCCTGGATTTCCAGTGTTAACATTCACAGAGAGATACAGTGAGCACACTCAACCTTGCACTTTGAAACAAACAAGCAAAAGCGAGAGCCTGGTAATTTGACTATTGATTTTATTTAAAGACATTTTACTCTTCATTAATACCTATCCTGTGAAGAGAACCTACAGAATATGGCCATTAAGCCTCTTCTTTAAAATACTTTTAAAAGGTGGGTTTCAAAAGTTTTATGCCTTGGAGCCAAGCTCCAAATCAACACCTTGATCAAGATATAATCCCATCACTTTGGCAACTAATATTTATCCTTGGGAATTGAGGCAAATATCAGACAGTGTAGTAATTTATTCACTTTTTCCTCCTTCGGTGAGTATTAAGGGAGCCATCCCTTTGTCTTAATCCATACCAGTCTCTGTATTAGTATCTGTATCAGAATTTGATTTTGATCAAAATCAGAATCAAATATTTATATCAACTTTTTATTATCTAGTTTTGTTCTAGTTAAGTCCCAGACCCAGACTCAGACTGAAAGGCTTTGTAATGTCTTCTCAACCCACTATTATGTTTCCCTCATTAAAGAACCGGAACATTCCATTTAAATTACTTAAAACATCCTCAGGACCATGTGTCATTCCTATTTCATTTTTAATAGCCAAATACACAAGTCTTTGTTGTGATCATGCTATTAATGACTTTTTAATCTTTTTAGTCTTCCCCTGAAATCAGTTTTTAAAAGTTAATCAATATTCTAAAATTGCACTTTCGACTTACCGGTAGAAATCAGACCAGCCAAAAGGAGGGCTTTGGTGGAAAACATCTGGTTTTACTTCCTTTAGTTTCTTCCTCTGATTAGAGTTGCCCCCACACTCTCTTTGAAGAATATTCAAGTTTGAATGAATACTTCCTAGCTATTTAGCCTTAGAATTCTGCATCTCTCATTTCTTTAGTGTGAGACACAAAAAGTTTAAGAGGATGGAGCAAGTCAAGTTCTAATATTCCATGGATAGCTATTTGATTTGCAGGTAGGGCCTATGTAAAAGCCTTTGATCTGAAGAAGAAGCCAATTATATTGGAAATACTGACTAAATATTAACAGAAAATGATAAGGCTAGGTGCATATCGACAGTCTTCTGGGCTGTGGCTTGTAGGAGAATGTTCGTGCGAATGATGGAATATTTAGTGCTGCCTGCTGGTAGATCTTTCTTTTATTTCCTTGATAGCACATATTTCAGAAGAAAATTGGTCATTAATAATGTGTAGCCCTTCATAACATATTCCTTAATATATCCCTTAGGTGTTTTTGAATTCTCAGTTTAATTATATTTCACCTGTGTAATATTTGCAAATAACTTTAATATTTTAATAAAATTGCATGTATTCACCTTAAATATGTGATTTTTAAATGTTTTCTTGTTTATGATAATGGTAAGTTAACACCATTAAAAGCATCCATCAATAAAGGAAAAAAGATTAATTATAATATAGTCATTGATATGGTTTGGATCTGTGTCCCCACCCAAATCTCATGTTCAATTGTAATCCCCAGTGTTGGAGGTGGGGCCTGGTGAGAGGTGATTGAATTATGGGGCTAGAGTGCTCATGAATGGGTTGGCATCATCCCCTTAGTGCTGTTGTCCTGATAGTGAGTGAGTGAGTTATGGTGAGATCCGGTTGTTTAAAAGTGTGTAGCACCTCCCCTGTTCTCACTTCCTCCTGCTTCAGCCGTGTAAGACATGCCTGCTTGCCCTTTGCCTTCCGCCATGATTTTCAGTTTCCTGAGACGTCCCAAGAAGCTACCATGCTTTCTGTACCTCTTTTCTTTATAAATTACCCAATCTCAGGTATTTCTTTATAGCAATGCAAGAACAGAATAATACAGTCATACAACAGAGTAAAATATAACAATTTAAATGAAGACAATCTACATGTATTAACACAGCTAGATCTCTAGATATACTGTTGAATTAAAAAGCTATTTTTAGAATTATATATATAGTATCATACTATTTATAATATGTAAAATCTGAAAACAAGTATATTAATCTTAATGAATGCTGTATGTATAATAAAAATATGCACAGACTACCTTTAAGGTACTAATTACTTCTGGATAGTGAGAGAAATAAAACCGTGGAAGGATATACAGAGTACATAAACTCTAAAATATTTTATTTCTAAAAAAAGAAAAAAATCAGAAGCAAATATGTTAAAATATTAATTTGTTAATTATTGGAGATAGACACATGGATGTTATGTTACCCTGTACTTTTCTGGGGAATTAAATTTTCAGTGTGTTTCAAATATATGTTAGCAGCTCCTTTTTAGCTTAATATTAGATGAGCACCTGGAATTTTCTATGGAAGCTTCCCCATTTAAATTATGTGCCAGTAGCTGTGGGAGATTGGGATTGTAGCCCCAGTTCTTCACCCTCTCTGCATCCACACCTTTGCCATGTTTCATGGGGGCAAAGGGAACTTTCCTCACCCTTGATTTTGGGTTTAGCTGTGTAGCTTTGACCACTAAGATGAGGCAGAAGTGGCAGTGGGTCGGGAAAGCCTGGGTCTTCTGGGGCCTTAGTCTTTGCACACTCCTTCCTGTGTTTCTACATCGCCGTGAGGCAGATGATCCTGCTGCCCTGGGAAGGGAATGGATGCCATGCAGAGCACAGTTGCCCCTACAAAATCCAGCTTAGTATACCCTATGAATGTATGGGCTTAACTGGCTGTCATTGGAAGCCACTGAGTTTTGGTGTGGTATGTCACACAACAATAACTAAACGATGCCAATGAGATTATGCACCTAATTGTTTTTGCTTCACACACAACCTTTCAAGGAGGCATCTAATGTATACAATATAGAATGCCAACGCATTGAATACATCAAGGATCTGAGTCAATGTACTGAAAGAATAGGTTAGTGAAACAAAACAGATGATTCAGAAATAGGCACAAATATATACAGCATGTAGTATACAATAGAAGTCATACTTTAAATGATTAGAGGAAATATAAGTCATTCTATTAACTGTATTGAGACAACAACTGGCAAGAAATAAAAGTGCAGTCTAGGCGTGGTGGCTCATGCATGTAATCCTAGCACTTTGTGAGGCCTGTGCGGGAGGATCACTTGAGGCCAGGAGATCGAGACGAGCCTAGGCAACATAGCAAAACCCCATTCCTACAAAACATTTTTAAAACTTAGTCAGGCATGGTGTGTGTGTACGCAGTCCTAGCTACTTGGGAGGCTGAGGCAGAAGGAATATTTGAATCCAGGAGTTTGAAGTTACAGTGAGCTACGATCATGCCACTGCACTCCACCCTGGGTAAGATAGTGAGACCCTGTCTCAAAATAAATAAATAAATAAAAGTTCAATCCATATCAAAGTGAACCAAACATTTGTATGCAAAAGGAGAGAAAGAGGGAGGAGGAGGAAAGAAAGAAAAGAAATGAACTGAAACCATAGAAATACTAGGAGAAATTATGAATGATTTTTAATGGTCTTGGTATGGGTTGGACTTTTCAAAGAATGTTAAAAAACCCAGAAGTGCTGAAGGAAATATTTGATAAATGCGTTATAACAATAATAAAAAAAACTTTCTACAAAGCCAACAGTATCCTGATCAGAGTCAAAAGATAATAATCTGAAAAAAATATCTATAACCCATATAATATGACAGATAAGGAACTCATCTCCCTAATATATAAAGAATTCTTTAAAAAAATAAAAGGTGTAAACAAATTGATAGAAAAATGGGCAAAGGCCAGGCGCGGTGGCTCACACCTGTAATCCCAGCACTTTGGGAGGCCGAGGCAGGCGGATCACGAGGTCAGGAGTTCGAGACCAGCCTGGCCAACATGGCGAAACCCCATCTCTACTAGAAATACAAAAATTAGCCAGATGTGGTGACAGACACCTGTAATCTCAGCTTCTTGGGAGGCTGAGGCAGGAGAATCGCTTGAACCTGGGAGGCGGAGTTTGCAGTGAGCCGAGATTGTGCCATTGCATTCCAGCCTGGGCAACAAGAGCAAGACTCCGTCTCAAAAGAAAAAAAAAAGAAAAATGGGCAAAAGATAGCAGCAGACTTTCCTAAAAGAAAAAATACAGATTACCAATATGTATTTGAAAATATGATCCACTTCACTTAAAATTAACAATTGTAAACCAGAATGAGGTGTAGTTTTTCACCCATCAAATTGACAAAGGTATGTAGAAACATTTATTGAAAAGTGTAAGTTGGTTTAACCTCTTTAGAGTACAATTTTGCAATACCCCTCACATTTTTAAATGCACAAAACCTTTGCTCCAGCAATGCTATTGTTTTCCTACCTGTGGCCTGCTTTCCTCCTATTTTCCCTGCCTTCTGCATTAACTGTTTCCAATGTATCTTCCCCTCTGAAGCCAGTGCCGTCCTCTAAACTGCAGAAGAGATGGTAGGAGACTCTTTTGAAACCCGTAATGGGATAGGATCTGAGCAATGTCATCAATGCTGAAAAGCTGATGAGAAACTTTGTAATGGATGGATCAGGCTGATGATACCTAATCAATCGTATTGTTAAGAAGAGAGAGAAGGAGAGAGTATATCAGACATTTTATACCTCCTGTTGGAAATGCACAACACAACCTATAAAGTATTCTTGTCAAAAAATCAGGCTAAAGTCTTATAAGGCCATTAGCTCTAACTTTCAGTTTACAGGAACTATGCAGCACAGGGATGCATGTTAAATGTACCACAAGAATGCAGTCAGACAAATGCAGGCTGTAGGAAGTTCTACCAGATAAAGAACCTGGTTTCTTCAACAAATAAATTCTGAGGAAAGGAAAATAGAGAGAGGGGCAATCTGTGGATTAGAAGAGATTTACAAGATTTATCAACAAAATGCCGTGTATGGACTTTACTTGGAGTCTGAATCAAATGAGGAAATGATAGACAGAGAGAAACAGAGAATAGGGACAATTTTAACACTACTTGATGATATTAGAAATTATTCTGTGTAATTTTAAGCATAATACATTAGGTGTTTGTAAAAAGTTCCTATCTTTTAGAAATACATACTGAAACATTTATGGGTATGAAATCATAGGATGTTTCAGATTTGCTTCAAAATAATCCAGGAGTTAGGAGAGTAGGTAGCATATAGATTAAACACAATTGGCTATGAACTGCTAATTACTGAAGCTGGGTAATGAGTACGCAGAAGTTTACTATACTATCCTCTCCAGTTTGTTTATATTTGAAAGTTTTCCCATAGCAACAAGTTAAATAAAGACATTTGTTGGACAATTAATTTGTTGGCAATATCTTTTGAACATAAAAAAGTTCCCATACAGCAAGGAAAAACTGATTTTTCTGTAACCTTGGTAATATTTAGCCACCTATATTTTAAACCCTTTAATCAGTCAATGACAACCCACGTCTGGTAAACATGCTCTTCAAAACAACCAATCAATAACAGCCCCTTGCTTCTGACTTTCAGCCAATTAGGGACAGACTCACTCTAGTAAGTGATTCCCAGCCAATCAACAACAGTCTTACCTGAGCACCATGTCTTTTAATCCGTCAAACCTCTAACATTCCGAAAGTTCACAAACCCCCGAACTCCCAGCTTCCCAAATCCATACATAAATAAGATGAACAGGCTGCTCTGCTTGGAAAGATTGTGCCTGACCGACACAGCTCTTCCTAACTATTGTCACTCATTCAGCTTTGTCTTTTTATTTCAGATAGTGGGTTGAGTGATGGTCTCGTCCTCCTAAGAAACATAGTTGATCCTGTCCATACCCTGCGACAGAACAGCTTCACTCTTAGTTATACTCTTGCATGTGTACACGTTCAAAATGTTCATAGTAGTATCATTTGTAGTAGTGTAAAACAGGAAACAACCTATATGTGCATCAACAGTAGAATGGGAACAAATTCTGGTATTTTTGTTTAATGAAATACCCTACAAGAATGGGAATGAATAAAATACAACCAAATACATCAACTTAGATGACTCTCAAAAACATAATGGTGATTAGAAGAAAGGAAATCGGCTGGGCGTGGTGGCTCACGCCTGTAATCCCAGCACTTTGAGAGGCCGAGGTGGGCGGATCACAAGGTCAAGAGATCGAGACCAACCTGGCTAACATGGTGAAACCCTGTCTCTACTAAAAATACAAAAATTAGCTGGGCATGCTGGTGCACGCCTATAGTCCCAGCTACTAGAGAGGCTGAGGCAGGAGAATCGCTTGAACCCAGGAGGCGGAGGTTGCAGTGAGCCGAGATTGCGCCACTGCACTCCAGCCTGGGTGACAGAGCAAGACTCCATCTCACACACACACACACACACAAGAGGAAATCACAGAACAATATGCAGTATATGCTTATTAAAAGTTCAAATGCATGCTTGAAACAGTAAGCTTTATAAATTATATCTCAAGATGAAGCTGTTTCTAAAACATTCAGATACATGCAAATCTAAAGCATATATTGTTTAGGAACACATACATAGATGGTAAAACTATTAATATAAAGAAAAGCAAGAGAAGAGTTGACACAATTTGTATGCTGGTTACCTTCAGGAGAGAGGAAGGGGATGTGATCAGGGGCAGGCACCTGGGCTTCATGGGGGCTGATAATGCTCCTATAAACCTGTTGCTGGGCACAGGTGTTCATCTGGTTATTACCCTTTAAACTGTACATATATGTTTTATACATTTTATATTTTCCAGATTTTTATCTTCCAGTATTTCAACATTCACACACAATTTTAAGTGACAAAAAAATTACAATAAAAAACAAGATCAGAGTGGAACTGAAGGAGATAGAGACATGAAAAAGTCTTCAAAAAATCAGTGAATCCAGGAGCTGTTTTTTTTAAAATAATAAAATAGATAAATTATTAGCTAGACTAATAAAGAAGAAAAGAGAGAAGAATCAAATGGACACAATTAAAAATAATAAACGGATATCACTACTGACCCCACAGAAATACAAACAACCATCAGAGAATACTATAAACAGCTCTATAGCAATAAACTAGAAAATCTACGAGAAATGGATAAATTCCCAGACACATACACCCTCCCAAGACTGAACCAGGAAGAAGTTGAGTTCCTGAATAGATCAGAACAATTTGTGAAATTGAGGCAGTAATAACCTACCAACCAAAAAAGCCCAGGATCAGATGGACTTACAGCTGAATTCTACAAGAGGCACAAAGAGGAGCTGGTACCATTTCTTCTGAAATTATTCCAAACAATTGAAAAGGAGGGACTCTTGCCTAACTCATTCTATGAGGCCAGCATCATCCTGATACCAAAAGTTATCAGAGATACAACAACAAAAAAAGTCAGGCCAATATCTCTGATGAACATTGATTCATCAGAAAGAACAAAAATTTTATTGAGAACAAAAATTCTCAATAAAATACTGGCAAGCTGAATCCAGCAGCACATCAAACAGCTTATCTACCACAATCAAGTTGGCTTCATTCCTGGGATACAAGACTAGCTCAATATATGTAAATCATTTTTTAAATAATAAAAAATATTATGCAATAAAAATTGTTTAAAGATTTTTTGCAGAAGTCAGTGGAGGCAAGCTTACTGTACAGAGTGTATTGTAACAAGTGCATTCCCTGTATAATTTAATCCTCGCAAAAAGCTGAGCAATAAAGCTGAGGAAGCTTGAGGCTCAGAGAACTGAAGTGACATGTTCAGTGTTCCACAGCTGGATGTGCCAAAGCCAAGTCTCAAACTCTACTAGACTCTAGAATTCATACTTTTACATATTTTGTTATATGGTTCAATGAATGACTCATCATTCATACACAGCCTTTCTCATATTTCAGAATTTGAAGCTTGACAATCAATACATCAGTTTCATTTTACTACCTCTAAAATGAAGATGATGATATCAACCTTCATAGGATTCTTGTAAGAATTAAATGAAGTAGTATTCCTAAAATAATTACATTAGGCCAAGCACATACAAAACACTAAGGCTGGGTGCAGTGGCTCACGTCTGTAATCCAAGCACTTTGGGAGGCCAAGGCAGGTGAATCACAAGGTCAAGAGATTGAGACCATCCTGGCCAACATGGTGAAACCCTGTCTCTACTAAAAATGCAAAAATTAGCTGGGCATGGTGGCGCATGCCTGTAGTCCCAGCTACTTGGGAGGCTAAGGCAGGAGAATTGTTTGAACCCCACAGGTGGAGGTTGCAGTGAGCTGAGAGCATGCCACTACACTCCAGGCTGGTAACAGAGCAAGACTCTGTCTCAAAAAATAAAAATAAAAATAATAATTAATTAAAAATAAAAATAAAACACTTAATAAAATTCACCCTCACCTGCTTTCTTATCTACTCTAAAATGGAATTAGATGTAAACTCAGTTATTTTCCTATGGGAGCCAAATATAATCACCAAGATACAACCCCAAATGCCATAATTCGAAATGTTGAAATTCCAAAAGATCAAAATCCTGAAACTATAATTCTGGAAAAAAAATTAAAATTTTTTTAAAGCTATGATTTACATTTTCAAAAGGAGATTTACTTGAGACACATGAAAACGTGACAGAGCACTATAGGCTACTTTACACAATAAAATAGGCAAAAATACACATTTTTGCAAGCATAAGCACTTGGGTATACTAACAACGGTCATATGAATATAATAGTGATGAGAAAATGAATCATATGCATAAAGAAATAGGTCAAAAAGGGAAATGTATAAGTACATATTACTATTGTTGGAAATTGTGTGCAGCCAGATTTAACATTGCAGTTATCTGAAATACTGTGATGCACAACCCAAGTCTTTTGATGGGATCAATCAAAAACCACAGTGAATCACCATCATAACATACAGTTGTCCAAAGATCTGAGATCTTGAGAAATTTTATCTTTCACAAATGCAGATGCACAAAAGGAACATCTCCTTATTTACTGAAGATGTTTCAACGTTTTACGTACAGGCACGATGTTTACACACAAAGTCATTGTTGTGATAATATACTTTTGCGAAGTCAAATTTGCAAAAATGTATGCAATGAATTAGAACTTTCTGAAAGTCTCTACACAATTTATACCTCCAGTATTGGAAATGATGCAAAGATGAAATGTGCATAGTGAATTGTAAAAAAAAATAATGCTGAAAATTTAAAATAATAAAATAAAACTTAAAAAAGAAAAAACTAAAAAGGAAGTTTCGCATATGAAGAACTATGTTACAGGAATAGATTATAGGCATTGTGCAAAGGTAGTCTGTAAAAAATGACTGACTTTCACAGGCATTAACTGTATTTTGAAATCTTGCATTTCAGTGAATAGCTGCTTTTTTCCTTTTAGGACATGGCTTTCCTCAGAGAATATGTTCACCTTCATTTTCTATGTGGCACTGCTCTTTTAAAAATTCTTCTATGATTCTGTATACAACAACATAATAGCCTTCCCTATTAAGTTTTCCCATCTTTGGTGCCTTGGTTCCATGTTGTTTTGGGTACATAGAAGTCCATTCTCGAAATAATACTGGTGCAAAACTATTGCGGGTCTTCTTATCCTATCATGCACATAATTATTTTCTAACCAGGCAGAAACTTCACTGGCTTCTTCAGGCAAACGTGGCTTTAATTCATTAAAAGCCCCCGGAATGTAATGAGATGGAAGGAATGCTAATGCAGGCAACCGATGGCTTTTTAAACTGAAGTTTTCATTGTTGCCATATAGCATGACCAATCATCTGAATTTTCCACCAATTTCTTCTCTTTAAACCATACTTAATTCCCAAATAGAGACACTAACGAGGTAATAGTTCCGCCTAATATGACACAACTATTCTGTTATTGTGATCTTCAGGATTTTAAGATGTGAGGGATTTTAGACTTGAAGGATTTGGACTTTACAGATTTTGATCTTTTGGAATTTCAACCTTTAGGATTATGGCATTTGGATTGTGTCTTTCAGGATTATGATCCCAAACTGTTTCCAATGTCCTGTGGCTGGAATAGGTTACAGAAACCAGAAGATTTCATAATAAGGTGACCTTGTTTATAGGGCAAATTCTGGAGGCCCCCCCCCATATGCTAAACGGGATGTGTACCTCAAAAAGACTCAGGTCCATGTTCTGATTGTAAGGCCCTTGCTGTGTCGTTAATAAAGGTCAAAGATGTTTACACCTCTGCTGTGGGTAGGCAGACATTTTCCCCTGTCATTAGTTTTTCCTATTCTGTTATTTCTTTCTGGTAAGCCGTTGGCCAAAAAATCATTTCCTTTTCTTCTGTTAAAGCTAATTGTGTCTTTTGTTGATAACCTGCCTATTGATATGTAAGACATAGCTATATTGATTGTTTTAATAATACCAGCAATACATTCTTATTGCAAAAATTACCCCAACATGCAAAAAAGTATAAAACAAATCCCCACTAATGTTTTTGGTGTATGTATTTTTCTTTTTCTTTTTAACTTGTGTCTATTATCAGGAAAATATCAGTGTTTTATTAGATGTGCACTGTCTTCAACTGAGCACAGCACTAGAAGTAAAATGCAAGAAAAGAGTAAAGATTTGTATAGAATGTTAAATAACAGAACAGTTAAAGTATTGGACTTGTCTGGGTGCTTTTATTTGAATAAAATTTACATAACACCATTTGGTTTTACTTAGCTGTGGGAATAATGGGTGAGAGGGTATGGAAATCAGAAATCTCTTCAGTATCTTTGATTGTTTATTTGATCTGCAGTTTGGAAGCCTTTGAGAAAAGGATGGAGAACATGTGCTTTGTAAAGGGTTGTTGGCTGGGTGTCCTGACTAAATACGCAGGGATCCCTCCCTCTCTCCTCCTCCTGTGTTTCAGTGGAAAGAACCTACCCAGAAACAGCAGGCTGTGCTAGACCACTGCCTTATTAACCAAATGCATTCAGAAACCTGAAGAAAGTCCAGAACTGCTCTATTAATAAAGTCTGCATACTCATGATCCCAGTAGAGAAGGCATTAAATCCACATGTTTTGGCCAGTGGGAGCCTTAGCTTAATAATGAGTCCCCACTTGGTATCTTCCATCTCTGACTTGAAAATGCAAAGTAAACATTTAAATCATTCCATTCTACCTGTCCCCATCCTTCTGCCTTCACACATGCACATACACACACACACACACACAAATCCTCTGTGCTGAGTGAGAAAGAATGGAAATAATTACAAGTATGAGAGATTAGTCATCACCAATTTGGGAAGTGAAAAAGCAAGGGGGATTTGATGGCAACAATAATTTTAAGATAGGAAATCATTTCTAAATTTTCTAATGAATGGGGTGTGTCTACAGCCATACCACCCTGAACATGCATTATCTAATGTATGGGGTCTAATGTAAAGGGTGGTTGACTTATCCTAGAAGACAGGAACCTAAAGAAGCATTCTCCAATAAGTCATTTCCTTTGTCATTGATGGAATAATGGATAGGACAGGTTGTAATCATTACAACAGAGTGGGCATTTGGTTTGATTTGCTTTAAATTAAGCTGCAGGCTGCTGAAGGTGAAATGTACACATACAATACAATTTCATATTGGGCCGAATGCAATATTTCAAGGTTTGAGTGATATGACCAGGAGGTTTTCTGGCTAGAGGCCCCTGAGGGAGCATGCGCTAAGTCAGGGTGGCGTATCTGCTGTACACAGGCCCTGATTTTCCTACATGAATTCAAGCAGACATTACTAATCAAGCACACCATTCTGTCAAACTAGATGCAGACATGTCCCTAGGATCTTGCTCAGCACAGAAACTTTCTCAACTGTTAATGTATTGAAGTTAGCATATAGATTAAAATCTACTTGGCATCCCTGATGGAGGTTAATTTACCTTAATCCAGAGTCTTGACCCTTGGTTTTTTTCAGTGTCCCAGACTCAGACTTAGGGAGAGTAGTTCAAGTTCATCAAGTTACTGGGGACCAAATAAATGAATACAGTGATAAATGAATAGATGATAGATAGATAGATAGATAGATAGATAGATAGATAGATAGATGATAGATAGACAAGATAGAAGATGGATATGATTTTCAGTGGCAATAGCTCTTCTATAATGGGGGGAAATGCTCTCTTCCTGTTGTTATAATCCTTGGGATTATGAATATGAAATGACGGCAAAAAAAAAAAGGTGAAGAATTTTAAGGGCTTTTCCAACTAACTGTGTGGTCTAATCTGAAATATATTTACTTTCCCATGAAAAAAATGGAGTAGAAAGTGTTTCTCCCGGGCATCACCTAAGGGACCTGAGAACCTCTGACTCTTTGATTTCCTTTTTGGCTTCCTAGGCTCATGTTTTTCAACTGCGAGTGCCTGGAGGTGGGCCGGGCAATACAAGAAGCCACAGGATAAACATGGTGACGCAGGGTGTCAGTGTTTCCTTAGGATCTGGGAATAGGACAAGAGGAAAAGGAAGAACTATTATATATCTCATATGCCTTTTATATCTGCTAATTAGTATTTAATCTGTTTTAAGTTGAGATTTAATTCACAAACCATAACATCCACCCCTTAAAGTACAATTCACTGGTTTTTAAGTATATTCACGAAGTCATGCAACCATTATCACTATCTAATTGCAGAACACTTTTGTCACCCCAAATGAAAAACCATGCACATTAGTAGCCATTCCCCATTCTCCACTTTCCTGGCCCCTGGCAACTAGTAATCTACTTTTCTGTCCATCAATTTGCCTATTCTAGACATTTCATATAAATGGAATCATATAGTATGTGGCCTTTTGTGTCCAGCTTCTTTCGCTTAGTATGTTTACAAGGTTCATCTGTGTATCAGTACTCATTCTTTTTTTTTATGACTGGACAATACCATTGAATGGATATACTAACATGTTTATTCATTCATCAGTTGATGGACATTTGGGTTGTCTTTACTTTGGGGCCATTATTAATAATACTGCTACGAACGTTTGTGTACAAGTTTTTGTGTGGATATACGTTTTTATTTCTCTTGGGTATATACCTAGGAGTGAAATTGCTGAGTCATATGGTAACTCTATGTTGAACTTTCCAAGGAACTGTCAAGTTCTTTTCCAAATCAATTTACATTTGCACTAGCAATGTATGAGAGTTCCAATTCCTCCACATTCTCACCAGTATTTGTTATCTGTATTTTCAATTACAGGGATCCTAGTGGGTGTAAGTGGTATCTTATTGTTTTTATTTGAATTTCTCCAATGACTATGGATATTGAGCATCTTTTCTCATGCTTGTTAACCATTTATTTATCTTCTTAGGAGAAATGTCTATTTAAATCCTTTGCCCGGTTTTTAATCGGGCTACTTATCTTTTTATTGTTGAGCTGTAAGAATTCTTTATATATACTGGATACTAGACCTTTGTGAGATATATAATTAGCAAATATCTTATTCCATTATGTGGGTTTTATTTTCACTTTCTCAATAATGTTCTTTGAAGCACACAAGTTTTATAATTTTAATGAAGTTTTATTATGTATTTTTTTCCTTTGGCTGCTTGTGCTTTAGCTGTCATATCTAAGAAACCATTGTCTAATCCAAGGTCATAGGATTTTTTTAGGTTTATTGAGGTATAATTTATAAACAAAAAACTGCACATGCTTAATCTATGTATTTTGATAAATTTGAACGTATGTATACATGCGATACCATTTAGTACAATGAAGGTACTAAACATATTCACAATTTTCAAAAACTTTCTTGTATTATTTTATGTGTGTGGTCTCTGTTTATTATTATATTTGTGTATGGTAAGAACACAACATGAGATCTACATTCCTAACATGTTTTTAAGTGCACAATGCTGTATTTTAACTATAGGTACTATGTTGTACAGCAGACCTCTAGAACTTTTTCATCTTGCATGACTGAAGCTTCATATCCATTGAGCAACAATTGCCCATTTTCACCTCATCCCAGCCCCTGGTAACCACAATTCTATTTTCTTCTTCTGGGTGTTTGGCTATTTTAAATATCTCATATAAGTGGAATCACATAGTGTTTGTCCTTCTGTGACTGGCTTATTTCACTTAGCATAATGTCCTCTAGGTTCATTAATGTTACTGCAAATGGAAGGATTTCCTTCCTTTTTTTAGGGTGGAATAATATTCCATTGCATGTATATGCCCCCACTTTTTTTATCCATTCATCTGTTGACAGACATTTAGGTTGTTTCCATATCTCGGCTGTTGTGAATAATGCTACAGTGAACATGGTAGTGCAGATATATCTTCAAGATCCTGATTTCAATTCTCTTGGATGTATACCCAGAAGTGGGATGGCTAGATCACATGATCATTCTATTTTTAATTTTTTGAGGAGCCTTTATACTGTTTTCCATAGTGGCTGCACCATTCTCTACATTCCCACCAACACAGTAAAAAGGGTTTCAATTTCTCAACATTCTCATGAACACTTGTGATACGGTTTGGCTCTGTATCTCCACCTGAATCTCATCTTGTAGCTCCCATAATTCCCATGTGTTGTGGGAGGGACCCAGTGAGAGAGAATTGAATCATGGGGGTAGGTCTTTCCCATGCTGTTCTTATGATAGTGAATAAGTCTCATGAGATCTGATGGTTTTAAAAACAGGAGTTTCCCTGCACAGGCTCTCTCTTCTCTTATCTGCCACCATGTAAGATGTGCCTTTCACCTTCTGCCATGATTGTGAGGCCTCCCCAGCAATGTGGAACTGTAAAGTCCATTAAACCTCTTTCTTTTGTAAATTACCCAGTCTCAGGTATATCTTTATCAGCAGCATGAAAATTGACTAATACAACTTGTTATCATTTGGCTTTTTTCTTGATAATAACCATCCTAACAGGTGATATCTCATTGTGATTTTGATCTGCATTTTCCTGATGATTAGTGATATTGAGCAACCTTTCATATACCCATTGGCCATTTGTATGTCTTCTTTGGAAAAATGTCTATTTGAATATTTATAATCAGCGGGCACTACGTTTACCATCAGAAATCTTCATTTTATATTTCTATTTAAAATTTTTTATGTTTTATTAAAATTGCATAGAATTAAGGTGTGTGATGTGATGTTTTGATATACATATACACAGTAAACTGAATGCTACAGGCAAGCCAATTAATGTATTCACCTCTTCACACAATTACCTTTTTTATGGTAAGAATACTTAAGATCTACTCTCTTAGCAAATGTCAAGAAAGGTTATTAAGATTTATGCCTATGTTTTCTTCTAGGAGTTTTATAGTTTTATCTCTTGTGTTTAGGTCTTTGATCCATTTTCAGTTAATTTTTGTATATAGTATAAAGTAAGGGTCCAAATTAACTTTTTTAATGTAGATATCCAGTTTTCCCAGCACCGTTTGTTAAAAAAGATTACTCTTTCTCTCATTAAATTATCTTAGCACCCTTGTCAAAAATCAATCGACCATTCTGGATTCTCAATTCTGTTCCATTGATCTATATTTCTATTCCATGCCAGTGCCACAGAGTCTTGATTAATGTAGCTTTGTAGGAAAATTTGAAATCTAGAAGTGGGAGTCCTCCCA
Source organism: Homo sapiens (assembly GCF_000001405.40). Taxonomy (NCBI): domain Eukaryota; kingdom Metazoa; phylum Chordata; class Mammalia; order Primates; family Hominidae; genus Homo; species Homo sapiens. The sequence goes on from NC_000005.10 coordinate 135,969,542, forward strand.
CTTTGCTCTTCTTTTACAAAATGGCTTTGGTTATTCTGGATCTTTTGCATTCCCGTATGAATTTTAGAGCCATCTTGTGGGTTTCTGGGAACAAAAGCAACTTGAATTTTGATAGGGATTGAATTGAATCTGTAGATCAATTTAGGGAATACTGCTGTCTTGACAATATTAAGTTTTTCAATCAGTATTAAGTATTGCCATTTTAACAATACTAAGTTCTTCCCATCTCAAAGAACATGAGGTGTACTTCCATCTGTTTAGGTTCTCTTAAATTTCTTCAATAATCTTATTGCTTTTAGAATATACTTTGTGCTTCATTTGTTGGCATTATTACTAATATTTTATTCTTTTTGATGCTGTTGTAAATGAAATTGTTTTCTTAATTTCATTTCCAGAATGTTCATTTCTAGGGAATAAAAATACAATTGCTTTTTGTATATACAATTGTGCATTGGTATCTGTGGGGGATTGGTTCTCAGATCCCCAGAAATATCAAAATTTTAACATACTCAAGTCCTGCACTTGGCTCTTTGGAACCCATTTATACAAAACATCTGGCCTCTATCCACAGGTTTCACATCCCATGAATTCTGTATATTTTATCTGCATTTGGTTGCAGAGGTAGAACCTATGGATATCAAAGGCTGATTGTATTTATTGAAAAAAATCTGCCTTTAGGTGGGCCCACATAGTTTAAACCCATATTTTTCAAAGGTCAACTGTATGTCTTATATCCTATAACCTTTTCAAGCTAGGTAACCATTAGCACTAACACTTTTTATTTCTTGGTGGATTCTTTCAAATTTTCTGTATTCAAGGTCATGACTTTTTGTTCCTCCATTCCTCCATAACTGACTTTTTTATGTTCAATACACACTTTTTGTATCTTTTCACTTCCTTGTCATTGTTTTACTATATGTTTTTGAGTTATTTCCTTAGTGGTTGCACTGGTGATTATTACTTAGTTTATGATAATATAATTCAGATTAATACCAACTTAATTGTAATCATACATAAAAACTTTGTCCCTACATAGCTTCATTCCTTCTCCCTTCCTTTGTGCTTTGTCATAAAAATCACATCTTTCTATGTTGTATACCCATCAACACATGAATTTATAATTATTGCTTTATTTACGTATGTACTTACTTTTACCGGTGTTCTTTATTCATGTAGATTCAAGTTACTATCTAGTGTTGTTTCATTTATGCCTAAAGGAGTTCCTTAGCATTTCTTGCAGGCAAGATCTGCTTGCACGAAATTATCTGTTTTTGTTTATCTTTAATTTCTGAAAGATAATTTTGCTAGATATAGAATTCTTGGCTGAAAGATTTTTTCCTCCTTTCAGTATTTTCAGTACTATGTCATCTCACTGCTGGCGTCTATGGATTCTGATGATAAATCAACTGTTAACTTCACTGAAAATCTCTCATATGAGATGAGTCTCTCTCTCTTGTTTTCAAGATTTGTCTTTCAATGATGTGATTATAATGTGTCATCTTTGAGTTTTTGAATTTACCCTACTTCAATTTTCTCGAGCTTCTTGGATATGAAGATTAATGGTTTTTATCAAATTTGGAAAACTTTGAACCATTATTTCTTTAAATACTCTTTCTACTGCTTTCTCTCTCTCCTATCTTTCTAGACACCTCCCATTATGCATATATTCTTGTGCTACAGAGTGTCGCACAGGTCTCTGAGGCTCTCTTTATTTTTCTTCATTGTTTTTTCTTTCTGTTCCTCATCCTGGATAATCTCAATTAACACATCTTCAAGTTTGTTGATTCTTTCTTTTATTTGCTCAAATCTTCTATTGAGCTTCTCTCGGGAAGGTTTTTCAGTTATTGTGCTTTCAAACTTTAGAATTTTTATTTCATTCTTTTTTATATGTAATTTCTATTTATTGGTATTATCTATTTTGTGAGACATTTTTCTCACACTCTCCTTTAGTTCTCTATACATGGTTTCCTTTAGTTCTTTGAATATATTTTAAGTAACTGACAGTATTTTGTCTAGTATGTGCAACATCTGGTTTCCAAAGGGACAATGTCTATTGGCTGCTTTTGTTCCTGTATGTGCCATAATTTCTTGCCTCTTTGTGTGTCTCATACATCTTTGTTGAAAACTCAATATTTAAAATAATATCATGTGGCAATTCTGGAAATCATATTCCCTCCCCCACCCTTCCCAAGTCTCCAAGGTTTGTTGTTGTTTCTGTTTTATTGTAGTTGTTGATTTAGTTTGTTTACTGACCTTTCTGAACCAATTCTATAACGTCCATAATCTTTGTCATGTGTGGCCACTAAAGTGTCTGCTTATGTTTGGCCAGTTAATATTTAGGCAGAACTTTTCCTAAACACCTGGAATCAATAAGTATCCCTGTCTTTGCTTAGGGGTTTATTGTGTGTGCTAGGGGATGCCTTCAACATTCAGCCAGGCAGTTTACAGCTCTGTCTAAGCCTTCACTCCCTGCTTGTGCAAAGCATCAAAGTCAGCCCAAGTTAATGCCTTAGGGCCTTCTCATGTCTTTCCTGAGCACCTGCACAGCTCTAGGCATGGACACATGACTTTGTTCTTTTAATTCCCAGGAATATGTAGGAGTTTTTCAAAGTCCCTATGGACAGCTTATTTTTTATTTTTATGCTTTTTAGTTAGTCTATTGTTTACCCCAACTTTTATTCACCATCTCAAGCAGCTGTGGATTTAAGCAGTTGTTTGTAATTGTTTTTCAACAACCACTCTGAGGGAAAGGCTATTTGGACAGGGCAAGCTCCAAGTCAGTTCAAAAACAGACAGCCTTCAAGTGGGGTCCTTGAAAGACATACTGACAGTCAAATAATGACAATTCTTGGAAATGAGCTTTAAAAGAGCTCAAGCTCTATTCTGCTTCTGCCAGTTGCTGCCAGGCTACTGGTTTCAAAGGTAGGCTGGTAAGCAGTGGGTAGGTTTTTACCGAGTCAAAATACCACAAAACTTACTGTTCTTAGCAAGATTCAGCCATTTTTGTTCAGTAAGTGCTCCCAGGATTAGTTCATTTCCAGAGCTCTGAAAAAGTTGATGCTGACAATTTTTGCCTGTTTCTTATTATTTTTATGAAAGATGGAATTTTTAGAGGTTCTTACTCTACCATTTTTGCTGGTATCCATGACCATTATTTTTATATTAAAACTAATTTGGACATTTTATGGAATAGGATGCAAAAATCTACATAACTTAGTAAGGATGTAATATAAAACTTCAAAGACATTGAACTCTACTAGCAGTAGACATCTCCACTCTGTATTCAGTACTTACATGAAGTTGTGTGACTGTATCTCACAACCAGATCCACAACCCTACGGAAAGTATGCATGTAAAATGTACAAATGTTCATATGTAGAACATATGTAGAATGTAAGTGTCCTCCCTCTTTCTACCTACCGAGTGCTAAAGGAAGAGAACCAAAAGGAGATTATCTCTTATAACTTGGTAAATTACATCGTCTACCTTTACAGCTTACAACTATTCATATTTACCTAAAGTTGCTCTCAAGAATTCTTGTGAACTGATTAACTCTCTGTCTCTGTCATATCTTTTGGCCCAAAAAAACTGACTGATGATCATTTACATGAAATAAAATAATATTACTCTAGCCTATGATGTTTAAATTAGACACAAACTTTTACCAAAAATGGCTTTTTACATCCCATTGGGTGCAAATAGGCAATCAAGAGACTCTACAATTACTCGTTATTTAAAACTGTTGTATTCAAATGAGAGTTTCTTAGTTTTAAAATTCTGTCTGAGAATTTTGTGTGGAAACTGACCATGTGGTTCTAAGATTTCAGAATGTACTAAGCCCCAGTCAATAGAAAATCTTCATTCTATCAAATACTTACAGAACTGTAGTGGGCATAGTTCCTCACTTAGCTTCACCATGTGCTAGTACTTTGACCAGCAGAAAGCAAACAGCCCGGGGCCACCTAGGGAAACAGACTTACATTACTCCAGACCATGGTAAACAGATGTGTTTGGTCCACTGAGCTTTGAACCCTGAAATTACACCACACACAGACATAGTCAGAGAGTTGCCAGAGGTTACAACACACACATTCTTGGCACCATTGTTCTGATTGACTCAGGCCAGTGGAACATCTTAAGCTAGTGGTAACTCAACAATGATAATGGAAGAAATGAAGGTAGCCAGTTCAGGCATGAAAATCCCTCTCCTGCTACTGATACCTCCTGAAAGAAGAAACTGGCAAGAAGGACTGTCACAGTTGGTTACAATACTACTTCACCTTTCAACAACTCAGTCATTCCCACACCCAGTGTGCAGTGCGCATGCCACTGAACTCTGCACAGAAAGAACATGAAGGTGGGTAAGGAGGAAAGCAAGCCAGTAAAGACTGAGAACCTGGGAGGGGTCAAGCCCTGAGGTGAGAATGAGGGTGAGCATGGACCCAGGAAAAGGGAGACAAGTGGAGGAAGTGCTGGGTGTCCTGTAGCTCACTGAGCCTGTGAAGCATTGTAGAGGGCATTGGGAGCCAAGCCTAAGCCCCCTACTTCCCTGTTTCCAACAATAAAGTTGGAGTTTCTGAATTTCATTTGACTCTAGGGAGATCTGGAATTGTTCCAGGAATATTTCTGCTGGCTGCTATGAGAGAGAATAGGGAACTAATTATTGGAGGTTTAAAAGCATTTGGGCAAGAACTAAATACATTCATGTTTTTATCTGTTTTCAAAGTTTACTTTAAAATTTTTTATGAGCACATATATCAGATATAAAACAATCCCTTCTGTTATTGCTAAATAAGAACTGTCAAGGAAAGAAACTTGGTTGGATCTGCTGGACATAAAAGAGAGAAAATGTGACCTTCAGAGTGCATCACCCTACCTAAATTGAACTTTAGCCAGGCAACAGGGTAAACAGAAATTTTCAGGGAAAATGTAACAGTCCTAGCCTGGAAACATCTTCTGTGATTTCAAGTTCAGACAGTTTCTTTCTGTTGGAGATGATGTTTTCTCTTGCAATTAACAAAAGAGCACCCATCTGTATTAGGGTTCTCTAGAGAAACAAAACCAATAGGAGCTATACATATTTATAGATAGGTAGATAGATAAATACAGTTATGTTAAGGAATTGGCTCATGCAGTTGTGGGAGGTGGCAAGCCCAAACTCTGCAGGGCAGGTGTCAGGCTAGGAGACCCAGGGAGGAGGTGATGTTGCATCTTGGAATCTAAAGGCAGTCTAGAGGAAGAATTCCCTCTTTCCTGGGGGCCTTCCATCTTTTTTCTCTTATTGCCTACAACTGATGGGATGAGGCCCACTCACATCATGAAGGGTAATCGGCTTCATTCAAAGCCTACTGATTTAAATGTTAATCTCATCTTACAAATGCCTTCACAGTGACATTTAGACTGTCATTTGACCAAATATCTAGGTACCATGGCGGAGCGAAGTTGACACAGAGAGCTAACCGTCAAACAAACCATTGTAGTGCCTTTGGTTCAGGAGCAAGACTTTGACTATGTCCTTTGACTTCAGGAGTTGAACTAGAACAGGAGCAGAGCTTGGCGTGCCATAGGAGCCTGCCGCTGTGAGTGCCTTCATGGGATTTCAAAAAAAATTTCCTGTTCTTGGTTTAATTTATGAAAGCTTTATATACCTAATTACAATCTCATTGAAAGCTTTTTCCATATGGCCTGTTTAATTTAAAGTTTTGATGAGGAGTTACAGGAAAAATAAGACGTAATGAAAGGATTGAGCCAGGGAAACATCCCTAATTCCCACATTCATTAGCATGTTTTGCATTTTGTGAGCACTCTGCATGTGTCTTTATTTTCCCAGGGCCAAACCATACAGAAACAGAAGGGCTACCAGAGAAAAGCGAAGAGTGGGTGGTATGCTGGAGCAAGCAGAGAGACTCCCACCAAGGGAGAGAAACTCAGGTTAGCGAGATCTCCACATTTTCAATAACGAATAACAAAGCCTGTTCCAATGGATCATTTAAGAGCCATGTTAGCTGAAAGAGATTTTTTTACCCATGGTTTTTGAAACACCAATCACCTATTAAATGGCTGAGTGCTTTTGTTGCTCAATATCAAATATTTTGGAATATTTTTTCATTGTCAAAAGTTGCAGTTTGTTCCTTTCTTCCCAAAAGTTTGTTGTTTAAAAAAATAAAAAACTTTGCCTCGCCAAAGGCAGAAGGATTGCATGTAAATCTTCCATTTAGCAGTTCAGGGGACTTCATTCCTCAGTGTGCTTCTTTTAAAGAGAACAAAGCACCTTTTCGCTTCTGCACTTACTGCTTCATTTGTTCTTGCTCTTTGCTTGTGCTAAAACTGAAGCTCAGACAAGTTAAGTGATGACTGTTTGACCTTGACTCCAGGAGGCTGTCATCTATATCCATTCTCCCTTCCCAGGGGCGGTCTCTTTGGGATCACTTCTAATACCCACTCTCTGGGAATCACGGGAGCTCCGGGGCTGAATACGTGTAACAGAGATTTTTCCATTGTATGTTTCACATTCACCTAAAGCACAGAATGCCTGAAAGCAAAGACAGTGCTCTCCTTTGTGAGACACTTCAAATGGGAGAGTCAGAGGACCTAACGATTGAGCCTCACCTGAGGAGGTGATGTGTAAATGCGAGGGAGTGGTTTGGGACACAGGTGAAGAAAGAATGAAAATCAAGAAACAATTTAAAGTGGAGACGAGGTACGTTGGGGAGCTCATGTAGAATAGCCCCAGTCTCCCGAGATGAGGTAAGTAGAAGGTGTGAGGATGGCGAGGAAATGAATGTGAGTTTGAGTTAAACACGTTTGGGCTGGTCACTGCAGCTGATGTATGGCAACTGGTCAAAAGAATTGCCACACAGCCTGGCTTCCCAGCGCCCTCTCCTCTAGTGTTTGGCTGCCCAGGAGCCACAGCACAAGGAGGTAGCAAGGTCGCTAAAGCACATGTTCAGCAAGCTTGACCATGAGTTCTAGACTAGAAAAGAGGCAAATAAATAAATAAAAGGCAAGAAAGAAGCCAACTGACAACAAGGGAGAAGTTTTAGAGGCTAAAGCCATAAATGAGGTAAGCCATGGCAGGAGGGCTCTGAATACCCACTTTCTTTCCTGAAACACCTTCCTGTACCAATCATCACCATACGTCCTTATGAGTTTTGACTACCCCGAACACGCTCTTCTCTTCCTTCCCTTCTACTTAAATGCCCTTCCCATCCTTTAAGTTTCAACTCAAGTCCTACTCACTCCATGAGGTTCTCCTACTTGTTTTTAGATTTTCTGCACTCCTTCTCTGAACTCCTTCAGAACATTTTTCTAGGACACTTAAATTATTTCAGAATTATAGTCTTATGTTGTATCCTTTGTATAGATCTCATTTACCTGTGAGAATGCAACCTCTCTAAGGATAAGAACTGGGCTTCCCTAACATGGTCAAACGCTACTTTAACCCAAACATGCTTAACTTTTTTAAGTGTTGGTTAGTTATCCAGTAAATAAATGACATTACTACCATAAACTTATTTTGAGACTATTTGGTGAACTTTGTCAGATTTTTGATGTTTGAGAATTTGCAATATGCGTCCCAGTCACCCATGAAATGTTTAAAATATCTGTCAAATAATTCTTATTTCCAATATTATCTCTATAAACCATTTGCCCCTAATAAAATATTCATGGGAGCAGGGATCCCAAGCATTCATTTGCACAGTTATTAAACTATGACAGAATCAAAAGAACCAAGATTTTCTTCAGATGTTTTACATTTTCTTGGATTAAAAAATTGAATAAATTTGTATTATCTTTTAATACGGTGACCAGCATCTTGCAATAAATAAATACTATGTGTTAGGTTATGATGAAGAAAAATTAGTGTATTGTACAGAGGGAATTTCTTCATGGACCATAATGGCCGCCAAGAGGTCAACTCTGCCTCTAAGGAGCTGGTGGCCTTTCTCCCTCCGTTTCCCTGTGCGATGATGCAAGGGAGGACTTGCAGCTTCACAGTGCAGAGCAGTTGGAGCCCTGAGCCGTCCCGTTGCACCGCCGCTCTGTGGCCTTCCGCTAGTGGGCGCCGCTGAGCGGACTTCGGCGCTTCTGCCTCAGCACTCCAGAGCCCCACAGCCTGCGTCAATTTCCAATCCTGACTGACGCATGTGGGGCTGAAATGGCCAGGATTGTGAAAGTCGGTGGAATAATTCGATTCCATCAGCTATTCTAAAGGTCTGCCCTGGCCCTCTGGTTTTGAGTCATGCCCACACTAGAAGTTTGCAGTTTTGCCACCATGGCCTGTTGCCATTGAAACAAAGTTCATCCTTGGTGGAAAATGCTGATCTTCATAGAGCACTGCTGTCTTTTTTATTAGGATGGTTAATCCCTTCCTACATGTTCAGGGCGGGTACGGGCCTCCCTGGGCTTCTGGACTAATTTTCACACGCAAAAGCTTAGAGATGACTTGGGTGGTAGAAGTTCAGAGCGGGGAGAAAGCTTAGGAATCGTTCTAGTCAAATCCTCTTCTTTTACAGAAGAAAGTCCAGTCCAGAAAGAAGGGATTGGTCCCGTAGCCATCCAGCCCCTCAGTGACTTAGGCAGGGTTGAAACTCGTAGATAACTGACAGGCAGAGGTAGCACCAAAAAGGGACCCTCAACCAGAGGTTCCCAGCACCTTTCATTACCTTAACTGTGCTCTGGGAGCCTTCAGTGCTGTGGATGGGGTGTGGATTGCAGCCTGCCTTAGTCTGCTTTTGTGTAAGCCTTTATTGGCTGCTCAGTATGGGTCAAGCAGTGGACGAAGCTCTCATAGCATGTATGTCTCACTTAATCCGAGGCCGTGCCATCTGGTGCTACAGAGACAGGATCTGGAGCCAGCAGACCTGGACTCAAGTCCCAGCTCCACTTCTCAAGAGCCACAAGGATTTGGGCAAGTAACATCCCCTTCCCACACCTCCCTTTCCTCTGCTGAAATTGGAGACCATAGTAGAATCTCCCATTGGGTGAGATAAAGCATATAAACCACTTAGCACAGAACCTGCCTGATAGGAAGTACCTCAGGAATGTTAGCTTTTGTTTTTTTTATCAGTCTTACGCACTAGTTGTCTTCATGTTGATATTCATAGGAGCCAGCTAAATGTTCTATTTCACATCTATTATGTAAATGTACTATTAAAAGTGTATGCAGCTATAGATGTGTTAGTAACTGCATCGTAATCACCTCTATACAAATAATGTTTTTGTGAGATGAATGCATAAACCAAAATATTTTACAAATTATTTGTAAAAAAAAAAGTCTATGATATTCTTCAAAAACAGATTATTTTCTCGTGATGACTCTCTTTGCCTCCAAATTTTAAAGTGTGGGCCAGGCGCAGTGGCTCACACCTGTAATCCCAGCATTTTGGGACGCTGAGGTGGGTGGATCACTTGAGGCCAGGAGTTCGAGACCAGCCTGGCCAACATGGTGAAACCTCATCTCTATTAAAAATACAAAAATTATCTGGGTGTGGTGGCGGGTACCTGTAATCCCAGCTACTCTGGAGGCTGAGGCAGGAGAATTGTTTGAACCCAGGGAGTGGAGGTTGCAGTGAGCAGAGATCACACCACTGTACTCCAGCCTGGACGATAGAGCAAGACTCCATCTCAGCAATAAATAAATAAATAAGTAAATAAATAAATAAATAAAGTGTTATGATGCTTTTTATCTGGTGTATTTTCTTGTTTTAATACACCAGATAAAAGGCATCATCACACTTTTTTCTGAGAGTGTTTTCTTTTTAAGTATTGGCATTGTTTATGGCTCTGACTAAATGTTCCTTTGGTCTTTGGGATTATACACTTTTTAGTCTGTAGGAGATAATTAATTGCAGTTAAATTTCTTCTTCACAGAGGGGACAGTGAAGTCTTTGATTCCCTGCATTGGTGAATATGAATGAAGGTGCTTCTCAGAGCCATGCATTAGAACTCTATCACAATATATCTACATGTTTACAAGTTACATAAATTCTTTCCTTCCTGATAGCCATCCAAGTTAGCACATCACAACTCAAGGATTCTTCTTAAATTCCCCATGACAGGCTCAGCACTCAAAGCAATAGCTATTTGCAGTTTGGTGCATTTTAAACCTGAAAGCTGGGGTTCTAGATATAAATAGCATACACAGTTGGACAACGGCATTACCATCAGGGTGAGATCACTTCCAGGAAAACACTGAAATATAGCAATGGGAATAACATCTGGCCTTTCAACAGTTGTGTTTGATTTAGACTTGGACATCATACTTGGAATAGATGCTGTATTTATTAATGACCTCAGTTTCCATGCAACTCACTCATCTTAACTCAAAAAAGCAAGACCTCTGCAGCCTATTCATTAAAAGTAGTATGTTTAGGGTATGGGTGCAATTATAAAGCCAAGTCAAGTAAATAAACTTGCCTGTTTCTCCCTGACCCATTCAATCCCCCCTCATACTACACAAAAGGAATATAGGCAAAGAGGAGTCCTTGGGAGTAAAATCTGTCTTTTTCTATGTTGACGATTGTCTGGGTCTGAGGGAAAAATCCATTAAACAAGATCAAAATCCCCCTTTATTTTAATATCTAGGTAACATTTTTATCTCTCTTGTGTAGCAATAGAATCTTCGTCCTCCCTTTATTTTATTTTATTTTTTTCTGGGCACATGGCAACTGAAATAAAGACTCCATTCTCAAATTTTTGTTGAGCTAGGTGTGAAAGTAACTAAGTTCTGGCTACTGAGATATAAGCAGAAATAGTACCTGCAGATTCTACAAAGGGTTTTTTAAAGGGAGGTTGTGAATCCCCTCGCTTCCTTTTTTCTCCTTCCTGTGATTGGGATGTGTTTCAATGGCTAGAAATTTGAGCAGGCATTTGGACAGGAGATCGCCTTAAAAATGGAAGATATATATAGTGGAATAACAAGGTAGAAAGAGCCTGTGTCTTTGACACCATGGAGGGTCTTAATAGTTCTAGACAGGGAACTTCCAGACTATTATGAGAAACAGTACACAAACAGTAATGTGCATAAAATGAAAATGTACAGTTCGATGATTTATCAAAAAGGAAAGCTCTATGTAACTACCACTTGGTCAGTGTTTTGTAAATATTCCATGTGCATCTTTTACATTTTTGGTATGCAATGTAGAAAATGTGTCCATTCTGTCAGTTTGCTAATCACGTTGTTTATATTTTCTATATCTCTACTGGATTTTTGTTTATTTGTTCTGTCAGTTGTTGAAATAGTTGTGTAACAATTTCCCACTATGATTGCACATTTCTGTTTCTGTTAGTGTTGGAAACTTGATTCATGCATTTATATTTTGAGGCTCTTTTATTAGATGCATGCAATTTTAGAATAGTGACATCATCCTCTGAGTTGAATAATTTAGCTTTTTGTAATGTCACTATTTATCTCTGATAATGCAGTCTACCTTAAAGTCCTTTATCTTTGAATATTAACCTAGTGGTTTCCCTGTTATCTTTTTCAACCCTTTATTTACAATCTTTCTGTGTCTCTGTGTTTTAGACACAGCTCTTGTAAACGGTATATATTTTAGTTTTGCATTATTTATTTATTTATTTATTTTTGAGAGAGGGTGTCAGTCTGTCACCTAGGCTGGAGAGCAGTGGCGTGATCTCAGCTGACCATCTGGGCTCAAGTGATCCTCCCACCTCAGCCTCCTGAGTGCTGGAACTAAAGGCGTGCACCACTATGCCTGGCTAATTTTTGTATGTTTTGTTGAGATGGGGTCTCACTGTGTTCCCCAGGCTAGTCTCGAACTCCTGAGTTTAAGCGATCTGCCTGCCTTGGCCTCCCAAAGTGTTGGGATTACAGGTGTGAGCTACTGTGCCTGGCCTAGAGTTTTGTATTTTTTTATCAAGTCACATAATCTTGGTCTCCTAAATAGAACATTGCTATGGTTTGAATGTGTCCCTCAAAATTCATGTATTGGAAACTTAATCCCTAATACAACAGTGTTGGGATATGGGGCCTAATAGGAGGCAGAGTCCTCATGAGTGGATTAATTCCGCTACAAAAAGGGCTTGCAGAAGTGGGTTTGGACTCTTCTGCTATGTGAGGACTTGCACTTGTTCAAGTTGCCATCTTGGGAGCAAAGACTGGGCCCTCATCAAACAACTGAACCTGCTGGCACCTTAATCTTGGACTTCCCAGCCTCCAGAGCTGTGAGAAATAAATTTCTGTTCTTTATAAATTACTTCACCTTTGCTATTCTATAATAGCAGCACAAAATTGGCTAAGACACATGTAGTCTGTTTCAGCCAGCCTGCAGAAGCAGAATGCATCCCTATCCAAAATTTGGTTTGAATGTTGAAACTGATGACACCATACATACACACCAAGAAGGTTAAAGGTTTACTACTTATATAATTAAGGTTGTCTGGAAGAAGAGGTCAATCTTGGAAGATCGGTTAGAATCTCAACCAATCACTTAACCTGTGATATGTAGACCAGCCTCATTGACATAATCTCAAAACATTTTTTAAAATAAAACTTTAATTTTAGAATAGACTAGCTTTAGATTTACAGAAAAGTTGCAAACATAGCTCAGATACATTTTTATTAACTGAAGTCCATACTTTACTCGTATTTCCTTAGTTTTTACCTAGTGTCCTCTTTCTGTAGGGCAGCTTTTCAGAAATGCAAAATCTTAGGCCCCACCACAGACTTAGTGAATCTGAATTGTATTTTAATAAGATCCTCAAATGATTTTAAAGACATTAAAGTTTGAGAAGTGTTGGTTAACAAAAGAAAAATTTTCGGAAGGAAGCATAGAGAGAAAAAAAGAATAAAAAATATGGAAGAAAACGTAAAGAAGCAAAGTGAAAGCAATGAGACTCATGTCTTACATGAGTGTAGTTGGAGTCCCCAAAGCGGATTAGAGAGAAAATAGATTGGTAGCAATACTTTTTTTTTTTTTCAATTTACTCTCCTTTTATTTATTTATTTATTTTATTATTTTTTTATTATACTTTAAGTTTTAGGGTACATGTGCACATTGTGCAGGTTAGTTACATATGTATACATGTGCCATGCTGGTGCGCTGCACCCACTAACTCGTCATCTAGCATTAGGTATATCTCCCGATGCTATCCCTCCCCCCTCCCCCGACCCCACAACAGTCCCCAGAGTGTGATATTCCCCTTCCTGTGTCCATGTGATCTCATTGTTCAATTCCCACCTATGAGTGAGAATATGCGGTGTTTGGTTTTTTGTTTTTGCGATAGTTTACTGAGAATGATGATTTCCAATTTCATCCATGTCCCTACAAAGGACATGAACTCATCATTTTTTATGGCTGCATAGTATTCCATGGTGTATATGTGCCACATTTTCTTAATCCAGTCTATCATTGTTGGACATTTGGGTTGGTTCCAAGTCTTTGCTATTGTGAATAATGCCGCAATAAACATACGTGTGCATGTGTCTTTATAGCAGCATGATTTATAGTCCTTTGGGTATATACCCAGTAATGGGATGGCTGGGTCAGATGGTGTTTCCAGTTCTAGATCCCTGAGGAATCGCCACACTGACTTCCATAATGGTTGAACTAGTTTACAGTCCCACCAACAGTGTAAAAGTGTTCCTATTTCTCCACATCCTCTCCAGCACCTGTTGTTTCCTGACTTTTTAATGATTGCCATTCTAACTGGTGTGAGATGGTATCTCATTGTGGTTTTGATTTGCATTTCTCTGATGGCCAGTGATGATGAGCATTTTTTCATGTGTTTTTTGGCTGCATAAATGTCTTCTTTTGAGAAGTGTCTGTTCGTGTCCTTCGCCCACTTTTTGATGGGGTTGTTTGTTTTTTTCTTGTAAATTTGTTTGAGTTCATTGTAGATTCTGGATATTAGCCCTTTGCCAGATGAGTAGGTTGCGAAAATTTTCTCCCATTTTGTAGGTTGCCTGTTCACTCTGATGGTAGTTTCTTTTGCTGTGCAGAAGCTCTTTAGTTTAATTAGATCCCATTTGTCAATTTTGTCTTTTGTTGCCATTGCTTTTGGTGTTTTAGACATGAAGTCCTTGCCCATGCCTATGTCCTGAATGGTAATGCCTAGGTTTTCTTCTAGGGTTTTTATGGTTTTAGGTCTAACGTTTAAGTCTTTAATCCATCTTGAATTAATTTTTGTATAAGGTGTAAGGAAGGGATCCAGTTTCAGCTTTCTACATGTGGCTAGCCAGTTTTCCCAGCACCATTTATTAAATAGGGAATCCTTTCCCCATTGATTGTTTTTCTCAGGTTTGTCAAAGATCAGATAGTTGTAGATATGCGGCGTTATTTCTGAGGGCTCTGTTCTGTTGCATTGATCTATATCTCTGTTTTGGTACCAGTACCATACTGTTTTGGTTACTGTAGCCTTGTAGTATAGTTTGAAGTCAGGTAGTGTGATGCCTCCAGCTTTGTTCTTTTGGCTTAGGATTGACTTGGCGATGCGGGCTCTTTTTTGGTTCCATATGAACTTTAAAGTAGCTTTTTCCAATTCTGTGAAGAAAGTCATTGATAGCTTGATGGGGATGGCATTGAATCTGTAAATTACCTTGGGCAGTATGGCCATTTTCACAATATTGATTCTTCTTACCCATGAGCATGGAATGTTCTTCCATTTGTTTGTATCCTCTTTTATTTCCTTGAGCAGTGGTTTGTAGTTCTCCTTAAAGAGGTCCTTCATATCCCTTGTAAGTTGGATTCCTAAGTATTTTATTCTCTTTGAAGCAATTGTGAATGGGAGTTCACTCATGATTTGGCACTCTGTCTGTTGTTGGTGTATAAGAATGCTTGTGATTTTTGTACATTGATTTTGTATCCTGAGACTTTGCTGAAGTTGCTTGTCAGCTTAAGAAGATTTTGGGCTGAGACAATGGGGTTTTCTAGATATACAATCATGTCATCTGCAAACAGGGACAATTTGACTTCCTCTTTTCTTAATTGAATACCCTTTATTTCCTTCTCCTGCCTGATTGCCCTGGCCAGAACTTCCAACACTACGTTGAATAGGAGTGGTGAGAGAGGGCATCCCTGTCTTGCGCCAGTTTTCAAAGGGAATGCTTCCAGTTTTTGCCCATTCAGTATGATATTGGCTGTGGGTTTGTCATAGATAGCTCTTATTATTTTGAAATACGTCCCATCAATACCTAATTTATTGAGAGTTTTTAGCATGAAGGGTTGTTGAATTTTGTCAAAGGCCTTTTCTGCATCTTTTGAGATAATCATGTGGTTTTTGTCTTTGGCTCTCTTTATATGCTGGGTTACATTTACTGATTTGCATATATTGAACCAGCCTTGCATCCCAGGGATGAAGCCCACTTGATCATGGTGGATAAGCTTTTTGATGTGCTGCTGGATTCGTTTTGCCAGTAATTTATTGAGAATTTTTGCATCAATGTTCATCAAGGATATTGGTCTAAAATTCTCTTTTTTTGTTGTGACTCTGCCTGGCTTTGGTATCAGAATGATGCTGGCCTCATAAAATGAGTTAGGGAGGATTCCCTCTTTTTCTATTGATTGGAATAGTTTCAGAAGGAATGGTACCAGTTCCTCCTTGTACCTCTGGTAGAATTCGGCTGTGAATCGGTAGCAATACTTTAAGGGACACTGGCAGAGAACTTTGCAAAACTAATAAGAGATATCAAAGCACAGATTCTAAAGCTCTAGGAACCCTAAAGAGAAATAAGAGGAAATCCACACTTAGGCACATAAGAAAATCTATTAAAAACCAGAGACAAAAGCAAGCAAACAAAACTTGTAAGTGCAGCCAAAATTAAGTAAAAACAGACTAAAAGTAGCCACTATTAGACTGACAGCTGTCTTCAAAATAGAAATAATGGGAGCCAAAATGTATTGGAATTATATCTTCAGAGTGCTGAAAAAATATAACCGCTAATCTGGAATCCTATAGCTACCAATAAATGTTTTTAAGAAGTGGTGACATGATAAATTTCAGAGAAACAAAAAATGAGAGAATTTGTCTCCAGAAGTCTTTCACTAAAGGAAATGTTGAAAAGCATCTTTCTAGGAGAAGGAAAGATTCCTTCTGAAGAGGAATGGTTTGAAGATGGGTGTCTGGAGATGCAGAAAGAAACAAAGAATGATAAAAATTGAATATGTCTGAGTGAATCTAAATGATTTGCAACTGCATAAAATAAAAATAATGTATTGTGGTGTTTAAAAGATATAACAATTAAAATACAAATAATAGCAGAGAGTTATATAAGTGTTTTATAAAATCATTGCATTATCCCACATGAAACAAAAACACCAATTAATATTAAATTTTTGATAGGTTGTAATGCATGCCATAATCTCTAGGATGAATATTAAAGGAATGACTTAAAAATCATATAAAACTCCCAATTAATAGAGGGGCAAGTGTAATATAGAAATAATCAAAAAGAGGGCAAGAAAGGAGGGACAAGGAAATGTAAAATAGGCAGGAAAATAGCACCTAATAAGACGGTAAATTTAGAAGAAAATATATCATTCTTTACATTAAGTAATTTGTTCTGTGTAATAAGGAGTCTGACTCCACTTTCTGATGTTTGCTGGCAGTTTTTGAGCCTCACCCTTCCCTCTTCCCTTTCTTCTCCACATCTGGGAAAGCTGATAAGAAACCAGGGTCTTTCCTGCTTTGGCACCAATAGGAGATTCAAATGACACAAGTCCCTTCCTGCATGGGACTCCTCACCCCAGATCAGTCCCTCAGCCACAGTCTCCTTTTCTGCTCTCTCAAGTCATTTTGAACCTTGAGAAGACTGACTAGTTCTCTCTTCACTGAGTTCTTAATTTCAGTTATTGTATTTTTAATTTCCAAAATTTCCATTTGATTCTTTTTTGGGGGGAGCAGGGGACAGGGTCTTGCTCTGTCACCCAGGCTGGAGTGCAGTGGCATGATCATAGCTCACTGCAGCCTCCAATTCCTAGGCTCAAACAATCCTCCCACTTCAGCCCCCCAAGTGGCTGGGACTACAGGCACAAGCCACCGTGTCCAGCTAATTTTTGTATTTTTTGAAGAGACAGGGTTTTGCTATGTTGTCCTGGCTGGTTTCCAACTCCTGGGCTCAAGCAATCCTCCTACCACAGCCTCCCAAGTAGCTGTGATGACAAGTGCACGCCACTATACCTATCTAATTTAAAAAAGAAAAAAAAATTGTAGAGACAGGGTCTCACTGTCTTGCCGAGCCAGGCTGTTCTCAAACTTCTGGCCTCAAGCAGTCCTCCAGTCTTGGCCTTTCAAAGTGCTGGGATTACAGGCATGAGCCACCATGCCTTTCTGATTCATTTTTATAATTTTTAGATCTCTGATAAAACTCTTAAGCTTCCCTTTTAATAACATAGTTATTTTAAAGTCAGTGTGGTGACTCTAGCTTCTGAAATTCTTATGGGTCTGTTTCGTTTCTCTAGTTTGTCTTATTTTTTTCTCGGGTTGCCTTGTCTTTCAGTGGCCCTGGTTATTTTTAATCTTGTGGGGACGTTGTATTTACAAAATGTCTGTAGAAATAGAAGACTCATAGGAGGTTATAATTCCAGAGAGGATTGTGGATTGTGTTTCCTTTTGCCAGACTCCTAAGCCTTGCAACAAGCCAGGATGAGCTCAAAAGAACTTCAGAGATGGAGATGACTGAAAGCTGGGCTATGGTCCCTGCAAAGGCTTACCTAGTTCTGTTTCCCCCTACTGCTGGGGTGTAGCCCTTCAGTGCCTCTATCCTCTTCCAACTGGCAGGCCCTGGATTCTACTAGCTGAGCCCTAAGCTACAAGAACTATGTTAAGACTTTAAGTCTAAGCTGTGGGTTGGATCAATTCCACTAGAAACTACTGAGAAGAATGCTCATCTCTTATCCAAAATAATTCATCTAATTTTAGCAATATACTCCTTCTCTCCCCAAGTTCTCATAATGTGGAAGTCCCTTTACTCAGCCCGAGGACCAGTGACTTCAACCAAGAGATTCAAGAAGATCATAGGCTTTACTCTACACACGTGAGCTTTTAAGACAGAAAGCTAAGTCCAGCTATGTGATTCTCGCCTGGTAGTAGACATCAGAATCCTTGTAAGGGTGTTGAACATACATATGTCTGGGTCCCATCCCCAGAAATTTTGGAGTCAGGGTGTTCCCGCAAACTCCCTGGAGTGGTTTTGATGCAAGTGGTCCCTAGTCCGCATCTTATCAAGTCCTTTTATAATTGTGTACTGAACACAAGAACCCTAAACTAGCTGTAATTGGAGCAAGTTTTCATCTTGGTTCTTCCATCAGCTCGATCTGAGAAGCTGGGCAATTCACCGTGTGTCTCTGAGTCTCTTTCGCCGACTCACCACCACTTTCCCAAATGTTCTGTGAATGAATGTAAGAAGTCAACAACCCTCACTATAGCCAGCCCTCAAACAGAAAGATTTGCTCTTTCAGTGTGCTTGTCTGCTGGCAAGTTCTAAGCTGAGATGCTCTGATATTTTTCTTATGCGTGAATGTCAATTAGGTTTATTCACAATAATATTCTTTGTGGCCAAGTGTGTGTTTTCTTAATTTTTAACTTTTGTGGGTACATAGTAGCTGTATATATTTATGGGATACATTAGCTATTTTGATACAGGTATACAATGCATAATAATCACCTCAGGGCAAATAAGGCATCTATCCCCTCAAGTACCTGTCCCTTGTATTACAAAAAACCCAATTATACTCTTTTAGTTACTTTTTAAATGTACAATTAAATTATTATTGACTATAGTCACCCTGTTGTGCTAGCAAATACTAGGTTTTATTCATTCTTTCCATTATATTTTGTACCCATTAACCCTCCCATCACCGCACCCCCCACTACCCTTCTCAGCATCTAGTAACCATCCTTCTACTCTGTAACTCGGTGGTTTCAGTTGATTTAAATTTTAACTCCCACACGTAAGTGAGAACATACAAAGTTTGTTTTTCTGTGTCTGGCTTATTTTGCTTAACATGGAACCTCCAATTCCATCCATGTTGCTGCAAATGACAGGATCTCATTCCTTTTAGAGCTGATAGTATTCCATTGTGTATATGAACCACACTTTCACTATCCATTCATCTGTTGAGGGACACTTACGTTGCTTCCAAATCTTCACTATTGTGAATAGTGCTGCAATAAACATACAAGTGCAGACATCTCTTCAATATACTGACTTCCTTTATTTTGGGTATATGCCTATCAGTGAGATTGATTGCTGGATCATATGGCAGTTTTATTTTTAGTTTTTGGAAAACCTCCAAGCTGTTCTACATAGTGGTTGTACTAATTTACATTTCCGCCAACAGTGTACAAGGGTTCTCTTTTCCCCACATCCTCGTTAGCATTTGTTATTGCCTGTCTTTTTGATATAAACAATTTTAACTGGAGTGAGATGGTATCTCATTGTAGTTTAGATTTGTGTTTCTCTGATAATCAGTCATGTTGAACACCTTTTGATATATCTGTTTGCCATTTGTATGTCTTATTTTGAGAAATGTCTATTCAGATCTTTTGCCCATTTTTAATTGGTTATTAGTTTTTTTTCCTATAGAGTTGTTGAGCTCCTTATATATCCTGGGGATTAATCTCTTGTCAGATGGGTAGTTTGCAGATATTTCCTCCCATACTGTGGGTTGTCTCTTCACTTTGTTGACTGTTTCCTTTGATGTGCAGAAGCTTTTTAACTTGATGTGATTCCATTTGTTCATTTTTGCTTTGGTCACCTGTGGCTGTGGGGTATTACTCAAGAAATCTGTGCCCAGACCAATGTCCTGGAGAGTTTCTCCAATGTTTTCTTGTAGTAGTTTCATCATTTAAAGTATTGGATTTAAGTCTTTAATTCATTTTGATTTTAATTTTGAATATGGCAAGAGGTAGGAGTCTACTTTCATTTTTCTGCATATAGATGTCCAGTTTTCCCAGCACCATTTATTGAACTGAAGGTTCTTTTCCCAATATATGTTCTTGGCACCTTTGTCAATAATGAGTTTACTGTAGATATATGGATTTGTTTCTAAATTCTCTGTTCTGTTTGATTGGTCTATGTGTCTGTTTTTATGCCAGTATCATGCTGTTTTAGTTACTGTAGCTCTGTAGTATAATTTGAAGTCAGGTAATGCCATGTGTGGTTTTAAGCCTTAAGGTCTCTCACCATTCAGGACCTGCACTGTCCCAGTGTCACAGCTCCTGAGAATGTGGAGTGCTGAGGAGTAGCACTTGCGACCCATTCGCTTATATTTGTTTGGAATCGTGTACACATCTCTGGCTGTCCAGGCACAGAGGACAGTCAGCTCTGGGAAGCTCTAATTATGACAAGGAGCTTAACTGATGAGGTTCTGGTTTCTGACCTTGGCCCCTTTTGAATTCTCTATGATCTGGCGTCACCAAGTGGTTGAGAGTTGCCCAGAAATTGTTGTCAATTCACGGTGGCAAATAGAGATAAAGAAATAAAAGCACGTTACATTTTCCTATTCCTTGCTCTATGCATGATTTATCATTAAGGAGAGTCGTTTATAAAAGAAAGCATTTATTTAGGTTTTGATGAAGTCAGCTTTTTGGAGGTTAAATATAAAAGAAGAAAGAAAAGGATAATGCAAGTAAAAGTGAACTGCTCATCACAGCTGGTTGTGGAGGTTGAGAAGTTGGTATCTAACTAAGTTAGAGGGCATAGTTGAGAAAATGCGAATATTTATTAAGCCCCTGCTCTGTGCCAGGCCCTGTGCTAGGAGCTGAGGATTAAGTGGTTACTCAACAGCAGCACCTGCCCTTCCCTTGTGGAGCTTAGGTTCCAGGCCAAGAGCCCTGGACTCAGCAGTGTGATTATGTGCTTAATGTCTCCGTTAGGAACTTGGGGAAGTACCATAAAGAAAAAGAAGGTGGTTCTATCTTAGCGCATAATGAGGGGACCTGGCCTAGGCCAAGGGTCAGGGAAGGCTTCTCTGAAGAAGTGATGCCTGAGCCAAGATCTGAAAGACGGGCTGGGGCGCTGGAGGTGCTGAGGGTGCTGGAGGTGCTGGAGGTGCTGGGGGTGCTGGAGGTGCTGAGGGTGCTGGAGCAGCGCCAGGGGAAAGGAGAGCCAGGCAGTCCAGGCACAGGGCGCAGCAGGCACCACGGCCCTGCAAGAAGACAGCCAGTGTGCCCCGAGGGACTGAGACAGAGCAGAAAATGTGGCGTCAGAGGAGCCGGAGGTGGGGCCAGGGGTGGGGAAGAGCAGAGAAGCCCACCCCGTAGGACTGCACACAGCGTAGGAAAAATGCTGAATTCTGTCTTAGAATAAAAGGGGAACCCACTGAAGGCGTATGGGCGGAGTGAAGCCACTGCAGCCGCAGTGAGGAGAAGAGAAGGGAGACTGGTGAATCAGGGCCAAGGAAGGGCCATGAGGGGCGTTTGGGAATCCGCGGCTGGGCTCAGCCTGGCAGCGGAAGTGGAGAGCAGTGGGCAGATGGCAGGGGCTTTAGGGAGGCCATGCAGGCAGCAAATCCCCAGGAGCACTTGTCGCCCCTGTGCTGCACTCCCTTGTAGTCTCTCCGTCACAGTCGGGCAGGGAGCATCAGACAGATATCTGGAGTCCTGACAGCCTCTCTCAGCAGCCAAACGCACAATTCAGAATTGTCAGTTCCCAAAGAGGCCTCCAAAGTGAGCGCAGAGAAGATATTGTCATTCAGCACAACACCGGTGTGTGAAGACACCAAAGGCTGCTCAGCAGCCCCCTGAAAGTGGCGCCTTGGGGTGACGAGGCTGCTGGCTCTTAGTGCCAGTCCAGGTGCAAGGAGAGCTGCCCCCACCTTCTGTGTGTGCCACAGTCTCCTCCCTCTCTGCCCTCTGCCCCACGTTGTATCACCTCACCTTTTCTAGCCTGAATATGGAGGCTCCCGGAGCTAGGAAAGAGTTCAGTACCCCCCAGCTGTTTTCTAAGGCCGATTGTGTCTCCACCCCTCCCAGGCTTCTCCACTTTATGTTTCCTCTCTCTGCATTATGTTTTTAGGCAGCCTTTTCTCCGGATTTCCCATCCGCGCTGAGAACAAATGACATGCTGATGTGTTCAATCAGTGTCATACGTGGTAGCTTTGAGAGTAAGTGCCAGAATGTGTCAGGGAAGCTATGGGATGGTGGAAGGTATCCATGGCAATATTGCCCTGTTTAGCAAACATGTGAAGAAAATTTATGCTGAGATAATCAAAAAGTAACTTAGAGGTACACTTTGGTAGCTCCAAGTTCAAAACCAGTATTTTCCGCTGGTTGACTGCAAGGCAAAAATAATACTCATGCACTTTGTGCCTTGAACTTT
The DNA here is from genome assembly GCF_000001405.40 of Homo sapiens. Taxonomy (NCBI): domain Eukaryota; kingdom Metazoa; phylum Chordata; class Mammalia; order Primates; family Hominidae; genus Homo; species Homo sapiens. The sequence goes on from NC_000005.10 coordinate 135,991,824, forward strand.
ATGGCAATAGTGAAGCAGGCTTTCTCAGACCGGGATAATTATCACACTCTCACATGATTTTGAGGTGTATCCATAACTCATGACAACGTCAAATTTCATTTAGAACAAGTCTACACACCGTTTCCCTGCAGTAAGGTGCCCCTTGGTAATATCTAGTTCATCAAATATTTCATTTTTATTGTTGTTTTTCTTGCAAGTTCTGCAAGTATTTTAAGCTATAAACATGTGAAATCCAAAAATGCTTACTTAATGCAATTAGTATTTATAAAGAGTTGAGTCCTTGGCCCTCCTGCTCTTCAGTGAAGTTCCCAGTGTTTCCAGCAGCAGGTGTCTCTGTATGTCTTGCTGCATTCAGAATTACCTAGAGTTGATGCCTCTTGTCTAAACTTGGCCCAAGAAAAAAGATTAAAAGCAATAGTGTGGTGCAATTTTCTGGCAGAAAACAGAAGGACTGGTATCTTAGTCTGTTTGTGCTGCTATAACAAAATGCCATAAGCCATAAACTGGTGACTTTCAAATAACAGAAATTTTATTTCTCACAGTTCTGGAGGCTAGGGAGTTCAAGATCCAGGTGCTGGCAGATTCACTGTCTGGTGAGGGCTCACCTCCTTGTTCATAGAATGGAGCCTTCTTGCTGTGTCCTCATGTGGTGGAAGGGGCAAGCAAGTTTCCTTGGGCCTCTTTTCTCATTCACAAGGGCTCCACCTTCATGACCTAATCACCTCCCAAAGGCCCCATCTACTAGTACTATCACATTGGGGAAACAAATTCAGATCACAGCCACTGGTTTTCCCTCTGGTTTTGACATGTATTGTAAATTCCATTTTGATGTACATAAAATATATCTAAACAAATTCAGCTTTGACATAGGGGTTATCGGTTGCTCCAAACTTGTCTATCTAGGAATCATGTACTGCAAAGCTATGAAGATACCTCAGAGGATCTAAGTGTGGGAGCTTCCTAGGATGCAGAAGCATGTAGGCCAACCAGCTTCCAATGGTAAATGCAGTAAGCGATCCATCTAAATGACAAAGGCAACATGGTCTAGCTTTGGCACTGACTCTTTTGAATCATGCACAAGTCTCTCTGTATAAAACTAGTTGATAATATCTAACCTGCTTTTCATGATTCTTGTAATTACCTCAACGAGAAAAGTGATTGTCCGATTCAAGGCATGCTTGTCATTCTTCTTCATCTTATCATTCACTCCGCCACACTGAACCCCTGCTACTCTGAGGCAGTGTAAGCCAGGAGTTGGGGCTGCCGCTGCCTTTCTCCTGATGAACACCAATGGCGGGGCCTTCTGCACCCTTGGGCTCAGAGCAGGAAGAGAAGCGTGTCTTCTGTGTCTCCCCCTTCCTCAAGCCCCACACACACTCAGGGGGCACTTGGTACAGTCCCTGTTCTTCGGAGCACCCACCCCAAACCTCCCCTGAAATCAAAGATGGCTGCCCGACTAAGGAGGTGTTTTCAGTTATTCAGAACACCTAACCTCACTGAGACCAGCAGGGTTAAACAACCTGATTCTATGTCAGAACACCCTTCTCAGTTATTCAGAACACCTAACCTCATTGGATCAGCAGGGTTAAACAAACTGATACTATGTCAGAAAATCTAATTGAGTCATTGTTTGGCTTAAGTCATTTCTCATCCATTTATCCACTAGACCTCCCACAATGAACACTCTAGTTCTACGTCTTCATTTTCCAAGTTACAAAAGAAGAAGCAGAAGAAAATCTGGACTACGGCTCTTGAAGCTCTACTTGGTAACATGAAAGGGAGGATAAAAGCCAGGGAGCCAGAGGCCATCTGAAGCAGAACATCACCTACTTTATCTCAGAAGCACAGGCCTTTGTCTTCTGAATGACATTCTTCCTCCCTAGAAAATCATGTCTGGAAAATTCTTCCAAACAAGGCTCAAAACAATGACTTCAGATGAAACAGGCTCAAATGCATAAACACCAGCGAAACAGAGGATTTCGAAAATCTTTGCGTGTGTGCTGCCAACAAGTTCTTTTCTGTAATTCGTGGGATTTCAGGTTTAGCTCACATTTACCCCTTTCCTCGCAAATAAAAGTTTCTGAGGCTGCAAGCCCATGGGAGGCCACTGTCAAAGGCCCCAGGGAAGATCTCTACTACCAGCAAGAGGAGAAAGAGCTCAAGGCCACACTGACAGACAGACAGACATACAAGGTACTGTAAAGCTTTCTCCCTTGTGGCCCATTCCCCTCCTGTCCGGAAATGCCTGTGCACTCTGCTGAATGACTCATCCGAGACCAGACAATAATAAAGCAATCACGTTTGTTGATTAAAAATCAGCCTATCTAGAATATAAATGTTCCTTTCAAGTAGCTCTATTACTCTATCTGTGAAGCATGTGGGAAGTCTGCTCTGTGTCATTTTTCCATTAAAACGCAGTCCTAACAGGAGAATTCCAGCTACCCTGCAACATCTGCTCCAAATTTTCCTATGATTTATGTGACCATGAGGCCAGCTCCAAGTATACATATAAATAGGTTCTGCGAGGGATCTTGTCCTATATACAAGTAAAAGTAGAAAGATTGGTATTTAATTACATCATCAAATTTGTTTTAGATCTTGGAATGTCACATTGTCAACCAGATGTCCATATATCCAAATTTATTATTTCATGTCAGTGAGACATAAGAGTGCTTTAGTTGTATATGTTCATTGTAATTAATTCTGAACATTTTACATAAGTTATTTCCATAACAACTGTGGGCAAGAGAGAAGAAGCAGATTCTAGTAACTAACTCTGCTCTATAGCTGGGGAAACTCAGTGGCCCCACAGCAACTCAAACAACCAGCCCTCAATTCTTTTGACCCTTAGCTTACTTTTTAGTGCATAGTTTCATCTCAAAGTTATAACATTTTTTAATAAAATAATAAGTAAGAGGAAATACTGTCGTATTTGATGGGGGAGGTTGCTAAATGATAATGACACTTGGATGTCAGGACATTCCATGTCAGAGTGGCCCTCTCCTTTTGCTGGGAATTTTCTGTCAGCACAGTCTGAGTACTGTGTTGGGGGTGGACTGCCAGGGCTCTGTGGTGCAAGTAAGGAGGCTGTGCCCCTATTCTAGGTAAGAGGCTGTAAGAGCTTGGATTTGGATGCTTGGGTGATGAAAGTGCAAATGAAGGACAAAGTCTTCTTCAAGGGAGATGTAGAAGGCAAAATTGAATGTACTTAAGGAGGATGAGGGTGAAGATGGTGAGAGAGGTGGCTCACAGGCTCTGGAATGGATGGTCCAACCATTCTTTAAGATAGAAAACTCTGGGAGATACTGGGAGTTAGATCAAGAGTTCAACCTTAAACAAACTGACATGGTGCTGAAACTTCAAGTGGACATGTCAACTATGAAAGTAGAGACAGGATGCTGTGCCTTACCCCCACTCACACTGGGTCAGCTCTGCTGTTTTCTGTGTGATAGGGTAGCATTTCATGTAAAGATTTGCTGTGGTTTGAATGTTTTTGTTCCTTCCAAAATCTATGTTGAAACATAATCCCCAATGCAACAGTATTGGGAGGTATGCCTTTGGGAGGTGATTAAGTCACGAGGGCTCTGCCTTCATGAATAAGATTAGATACCCTTATAAAAGGGCTTGGCAGAAGGAGTTTGCCCCTTTTGCCCTTCCGCCTTCTGCCATGCAAAGATAGCATACCTCGCCTCTGGAAGATGCAGTGCTCAAGGCACCATCTTGGGAGTGGGGAACAGCCCTCACCAGATACCAAACCTACCAGCACCTTGATCTTGGACTTCCCAGCCTCCAGAGCTGTGAGAAATACATTTCTATTGTTTATAAATTACCTAGCTTGTGGTGTTTTGTTATATTAGCACAAATAAAGTAAAACAAGTGTTTTTTTTTTAGAAAGTAGTTCTATAAGGACAAAAAATATTGAAAGAAACATGTCTGTAAGCGGTGGGAAGACACTGAAGGATTTTAACCAGGGAAATGAATTGAATGGATTTGTATTTAAGATCCACGTGGGAGCAGTGGATGAAAGAAAGTTGAGATCCTGGTTCGGCTGGCCCCTTCCTAGCTGTTTGAATTTGGGGAAATCACTAAACCCTTGTGAGCCTCGGGTTCTTCATAAGATGGAGATAGTGCTGCCTTCTTCATCTGGCTGTTATGAGAATTATAATTAAAATGCCTAGGATAATAAATGCTTAACATGCACTGGTTTCCTTCTCCATGATGGAGTACCTGCTGATAAGGTTTAACAAGTGGGGAGGGAGAGAAGCTAATTAAGAGGTTCTAGTCATCTCCCCAGAGAGGAGTGGACAACCCCTGACTTAGGGCCAGAAGACTGCAGAGTCTAGACGGCTGGGTTATGGAGTGCTGGAGTCAGGGCAGTGCGCACAAGTGTTGGGCTGGGTGACTCCAGTGGAAAGTAGTGCTGATAATCATGCTTGGAATTCAGGGGGACGGAGGGCACTTGGGGTTTGGTCAAGAGGAGGGTCCACCCTGCAGCCATTGTACACACAACCCCCATGCCCCCATTAAGACTGCAGAGCTCTCCTCCCCTTGCCTTTCCTTGTGAGCACCCTCTCTGCCCCTTTCAGCCTCTGCTGCTGCTCATGCCTCGCCACTGAGCCCCACAGCAGCCAGCTGAGCTTTCCTGTTCTCTTCCCTCCTTTCCTGTTTCATTTCCGAGGCTCTTCCAAGCCCCCGGGCTTTTCACACAAACACTTTCTTTTCCTACCTCAGAACTTGGTTTTTGCCTCTGCACAGTCAGGGTTGCTAGCTGCTCGGGTATCATTTCTTTTCTACCAAAGAAGGGAATGTTTTCTTTTTATGGGGCTCTCTCCAGGTCTGGAGCCCTGCTGGCTTCTCCACAGCTTTAGGTAACCCACAAAATCCTCAGCATTCTGGCTGCTGCCCTGGCTGTGCCTGTCTCTCCGGGCAGTGTCTTGAGTGACAGTGGGAGGAATGGGTCATGCCTGACTAATCAAAAGCCACAGCAGGCAGCATTGCCTGGACTATGGTCCTCTGACACTTCATCCAGATGATGATGCCTTCATATTTGTTAGAAACTTCATGCCTTCTTCCCAGGACCCGGCTTCCCTAGAAGTTAATCAGGCTGGTGGCCAGTGGAGTGGCTGTGGATTCAGAGCAAAGCAGTGTGGCTGGTCCCAAAAGCTCTTTCTCTGGGCCATGGTGAGACCGCTGAAAGAGCTCCACCCCACCACACAGCATGGGGAGAGCTCACAGCCAGACTATCCTTGAACCCCCCAATCTAGGCCTTTCCGCCTGAATACATGGGTCCTTTTTGCCATCCTCTCTGTTCTTTTTCTGGGTTTTTCTGGCCAAGCAATCTCTCTTTAAGTCGGTTAACTTACCTTTTGAGGCATATCTTTGCTCTCAGCCTGGGAGCTCATCTGTCTCTGGGAGATGGCTCTACCTAAACAGAAGTCTGTAGATGTTTTCTTGGGCTCACCCTTCTCAAATCATGTTGAGAAATCATGAGACATGAGAAATCATGTCTCAAAGCATTTCCAACAAAGCTTTAGCTGACTCAGAATATACAAAGATTTTTTTCCAAGTCAACTTTATTGAGGCATAATTTATGTGTAATAAAATGTATATATTTTAAGTATACAATCTGATGAGTTGTGACAAACGTGTACATCCACATAGCCGCCACGACAATCAAGACACAGAACATCTCCATCACCCCAGAATGCAACGTTTGCCATTATCCCCCCAACCCCAGCCATGAGCAAACACCCACCTGCTTCCTGTCAATATAGATGAGTTTTGCTTTGTCTAGATTTTTATGTAAATTATCATACAGTAGATATCATTTATATCTTACACTCAGCCTACGATTTTGAGATTCACCCATGTTATAGCATGTTATGGATAATTTGTTCTTTTTTTTAGCTGAGCAGTATCTCATTGTATGGAAATAAGATAATTTGTTTCTCTCTTCACTCAGTGATAGACATTTGGGCTGTTTCCAGTTTGGTGTATTACAAGTACAAATGCCTTTTCTGATTCCTGATGTAGCACCTGGAGTAAACACGTCTGTTGCCCTTAGAGAGCTTAAAGTCTTGGCAAAAAGAGACAATTTAAATGATTTAATCCTCGTGGAATTTTATTATTGGATATGATTGGGATATAATCAACTGCAGGGAGGCTTGTAGTTGTGCTGGATGCTATGGAACCGGCAGAGAATGGAAGAGTACAGGGGGCCGGGGTCACTTCAGGGCATTTTATTTTATTGGGGAATGGCATGTGAAAGCTCCATCAAATGACGCTGGATGGAGCCCTGCCCTGGGAAGCAGGCAGAGGAAGACCACAGGGGGAGCAATCCTGGCAGGTGAGAGGCTGCAAAGATGCCGCCAGACCTGGAATAGAGAGTTTGTGTTCAGCAAGTGGGACAGAAATCACGAAAAGGCCTTGAATACTGCTCAAATTGCAGGACCTGCCACTGCCATGATGAGTGCCACTCTGAAGCCCTAAAAGATGACAAGGGAGAGTAGGAGAAGCAAGCCCAGAGGAGAAAGAAAGTGGAGAATGGTCCCCAGAGGAAGGGAGGCAAACAGGGAGCAACAGCTACGCAGGTGACTGCAATGTAAGAAGCCATCCAAGAATAGACAGTGTTTCAAAATGCTCAGGAAAAAGCAAGGTGCGGTCTTCTGGATGTGGCGGCAGAAAAACCCCAAGAGAAAGACATCATCAACATAAAAGCCTGGAAAAAATAGGGATCATAAAGATGCCAGTGTGACTGACAAACAAATTAGAGGTGTTTGTCTCTCGTACTCTCCCTTATCATCTTTTAGGGCTTCAGAGTGGCACTTCTCACTGGGGCCATCTGCAAGCTGTTCTTCGGCTCAGGAGACCATGGCCCTGCTACACAGTCTCCCATTTTCACATACTTGTTTTTATTGCTGGGTAACAAATTACCTTCAACTTAGTGGCTTAAAACAATACAGTGGCTTTTTTTGTTTAATCTCACAGTTTCCATGGGTCAGGAGTCTGGACATAGAGGAGATGGGTTCTCAGCTCACAATCTCATCAGGCTGAAATCAAAGTGTTAACCAGGGCTATGTTTTCATTTGGAGCTCAGGGTTCCCGGTAATCAGAATTCAGTTCCTGCAGTTGTAGGGCTGAGGTCCCATTTTCTAGCCAATCTAGGGGCTGCGCTCAGGTCCTAGAGGGCCGTGCAGGTCCCCTCCACGGGAAGTTCACAGCATGGCTGTTTACTTTCCTTCAGGCCAGCAGGAGAGTGCCTGAATTACATCTGCAAAGTCCCTTTTGCCATACAAAGTAACATGTCACTGGAGTGACAGCCAGTCTTATTTACGGGTCCCACTTACACTCAAAGGGAGGAGATGATGCCTGCACAGCAGGGACCAGGAATCTTAGGACCCATCTTAGAATTCTGCGCATTGCACATGGTTTTTCCTTTGACTTCCTATTTCTCCATCTAGAAAGGCAGGGGCTGTGGGCTAGGTCCTCTCAGAGATTCTGCTCTGCACCAATACTCTGAGTCTGTGTTCTCCTTCATTTTATGATTAGAGTCCATTTGGAAGCACTATGCCCAATCATCTCATCCAAAATGTGCCTTGAAGATAGTGATGGGGACAGGGGCAGAGATGACTGAGAACCACTGAAGGGGTCGCAGGCCAAGGGAGGGGCAGCTGAGTAACGGGCAGGGAGGCCTGCTCCTGGAATGGATGTTTGGTGAGTCATTAGGGCTGTTCACATACATTCTGTTTCTTCTTCTGAGCAGCGGAAGTGGGATTTTACTTCCCCATCCCCTTTGCAATTCAGTATAGGCATGTGCCTGACTGTGGCTGGTGAAATCTGAGCAGGGATGATGTCTATCATTCTGAGCTGAAGTTTTAAGAGCCCGTGTGTGTGTGTGTGTGTGTGTGTGTGTGTGAGTGTGTGTGTTGTCTCAACTCCCTTGTCCTCTGCTATAGTGACTAGCAGTTTGAGACGGTGGCTGCTTCATTATCCTGGGTCCCTGAAGGGATGCAGAACAGAACTCCAGCCAACCCGAAATGGACTTGTGGCACAGATGACAGAAATAAATCTTTGTTGTTTAAAGCCCCTAAGATTTAGGATTGTTTGTTACTGCAGCATCACCTAGCCTATCCTGGCTGGTACAAAAAGGACAGTATCACAGTTATTCTGGCTGCCACCTTCTCTTTTTCTCCGGAAACTCTTATCTGAGCCAGGTCTTTGATGCAGTGGCTTCTCAAAGATATAGCCATAGGGTTCAATCTTGATGAAAAGTGACTGTGTTGCTCTATAGTCATGTATCTTCCGTCATTCAAACTGAGCTACTCACCTGCTTGCTGAGAGAAGATGCTCTCCCACACCCTGGGCCCTCAGCCCTCATGATAAATAAATAATTTTTGTTTGAGAACAAATAAGAGTAATTAGCACATTCAGGGAAAACTGCCAGTCAAACCTGACTTGGACATGCTTTGATGTAGTTTACTTGTCATCTTGTTCTGAAAAATCTCAATTACCTGCAACCTGCCATTCCCGCTCTTTTCTTTTCCTACACCTCTAATTTGTTTGTCAGTCACACAGGCATCTTTATGATCCCTATTTTTTCCAGGCTTTTATGTTGATGATGTCTTTCTCTTGGGGTCTTTTCTGCCACCACATCCAGAAGACTGCACCTTGCTTTTTCCTGAGCATTTTGAAACTCTGTCCGTTCTTGGATGCTTCTCACATTGCAGTCACCTGTGTAACTGTTGCTCCCTGTTTGCCTCCCTTCCTCTGGGGACCATTCTCCACTTTCTTTCTTCTCTGGGCTTGCTTCTCCTACTCTCCCTTATCATCTTTTAGGGCTTCAGAGTGGCACTTCTCACTGGGGCCATCTGCAAGCTGTTCTTTGGCTCAGGAGACCATTGCCCCTGCTCCACAGTCTCCCGATGAGGGAGGATGCTGGCAGAGGTTGGCTGCCACTCAATTACCCAGACTCATTCCAAAGACCACGCAAATTTTTGTCCAGAGGGATGGTGACTGCCAGGGGGACCGATAGAGGGTACACAGGCATAGATCACCCTCAAGCAGAGACTACAACTGGTTAGGACTATGAGAAGAAATTATGCACAAGAGCGTGTCATAGTGTAAATTATGCCATGGTTTAAAGAGGAAATAAGACACAGAGAGAATCTGGCAATTATAATAATAATAATAACTAACAGTTAATGAGCACTTTCCATGACCCAAGCACAGCGTAGACACTTCCTATGGATTATCTCCTGCAGTCTTCATATTTCCTGTTGGGTAACACTAGTCTCATGCCCACAATTCGGATGAGGAAGCAGGGGCTCAGAAAGTTAAAGCAGTTCACCTAAGGTACACAGCAAGTAAGCAGAGAACTGGGATAGGGTCCCAGACAGCTGGCTTCAAAGTCCATGCTTCTACCCAGGCAAAGGGAAGAAAGAACTACACTGGCCAGAGGAGCTACCCCCTAGTTGCCAGTGTCCATGATGATTCCCTTGTGAGGAGGCCCCCCAGTCCAGATCCTTCCCATCCCACCTACCTGGAACTCGCTTCCAGCTGATTGGCTACAGGGCTCTGCCACATGATGCAAACTGGAAAAGGCCCTGTTTGAACTCTTCCCCTGCAAGAGTTCAGGCCCACAGGTTCTGGTGTGGGCTTGCTCAGCTGGAGGTAGCCTGAGGTGAGCTGGAGTTTACAGCCCTGGCTGCAGGCATCCTGCCGGGTTGGACTGCCTTGCTTTTCAGAGTAGGGGGAATTGAATTATTATTGCATCAACTCCTCCGACACTCTGAGAACTATGGCCTCCCTCATTCCTTCCTCTGTGGCTTTTCTCTGCCCATAAATGAAAAGCAGATTGCCTCACTGGTGCTGGATGCTCAGAGCAGAACCGCATCCTAGGTGTGGAAGAGCAGAAATGTTTCTCACCATCTGTTTCTCGTTGACTTCAGTGGGGCCATGCTTAGACAATGGGGCAGTATGCAGCCTGCATGGGGTGTGGCCCCACAGGGTGACCCCATGGCCTGCTGGCTGGCAGGCTGGGGAGTGGCCCTCCTCTGCCTTGAAGGCCAAGAGGCTGGGGAGCTTGTGTTTCCTAGAGTGTGGGGGTGGTTTCCCCCTCATTTGGCCGTTTCTTCTTCCTTTTCTTTCTAGAAAGATGGATTTCAGCTGTTTTCCCAAGACTCATAGTAACCTCCTAGTAAAGTCGATATTTACTGTGTGTGTGTCTGTGTGTGTCTGCCTGTGTGTGTGTTATGAACAGTGTAAATGTATTCTACGTTTAATGCAGAAAACCTAGAAGAATGAAAAGAAGCAAAAAGTAACAGCCCCATTATCAAGATTTTTTTTTGATGTGTTCTGTCAGTGGTCTATTTTTCTTGATTATTTTTTAGCATCATTAAAAAAAAATATCGGGACCTAATGCACGCTGCTGAGTTAGGCAGTATTCTAAGTACTTCGCAGGGGATAATTTCAGGTTGCATATAGTACAACCCTATGAGTAAATAATTTCATTAACAGCATTTTTACAAATGAAGACACTGCAGTTAAGAGGGGCAGGAGCTCCGCTCAAGATCACCCAGGAAGGTGTGGTGGGACCAGGACTCAGGACTCAGTTGCAGGTTGGGTAACTCCAAATTTCACAGCTCATAACTACCTCCACCGTACACACTATACATGAAATGCAAGGCAGTTTGTGTCCTGTTTTTCACTAAGCAGTAGATGGGGACTATTCAACCAATAGTCCTGTATGCATGATTTTAACAGCTGCGTATATCTCATTACATAGATTTAGCTGAACCTGTTTAGCCAATCCCCTGACTTTGGGTTGTTCCAAATGTTGTCATTATAATGCTGAGATGATCATTCAATACAGATACCCTTAAGGCTATATCCATTGATTTGCCAGTAGTGGAATTTGAGCTAATAGACATGCATGATACTTTAAGAAGTTTTGAAAGATGAGGGAAATTGCCTTTAAGAAAAGTTTTACTCTTTGCAACACTAAGCATTATAATCTTTCATTTACGAAAATAGCAAAGAAGATTTTTTTAAATGCATGATTCCTTTTTATACCTTTCATTTTTTTTAGTGATCCAAATAGGAAACTTTTTCATTCATTGTCAATTTTAACTTAACCTTCTGTAAACTCAATGTTCATGCTCTTCACACAATGTAATTTATTAGGTAATTTATTTTTACGTTGATTTGCAAAAGCCTTTTACATTAAGGATGTTGATCCTTTGCCACCTGTGTTGCAAACATGTCTCTCGGTTTGTTATCTGCCTTCTTATCTTGCTTATGATGTTTTGTATTTTTGTGAAATAGAGGTTCAAAAATGCTATGCAGCTAATCTATCAATCTTTTTCTTGGTACTTTCTTCCTACAGTATTTTATTTTTTAAAGTTTTTTTTCTGTCTTACCTAAAATATTAAGTAAACCTTAGCATTAAATACAGATATTGTCCTATTGTTTAAAATTGAAGTTGCGGTTATTTTATTTTCTAGCACAACAATTACAGAAAGTATTTATATTCATTTTTGGTCATTTTTGTTTATTAATTTTTAAACCACAATCTTCTGAATATATACATCAAGAATAGCAGGTAAGAAATGAATGTACCACCCTGCTCCCTTTTTCCCCAGGTTGGGTGTCACTCACTGACCCCTGCATTCTCTCCCGCAGAGCTCAGAAGGGGCTCAGAATCTTGCTCAATACAGTAATCCTCAATGCCACAATCCTCAACACAGGTACTCCTACAAATTGAGACCCATAGGTCTCATCATCCTTTATGTTTAACAATCATTAAGAAAGACCTACACTGCGTAATAGCTTTGGTGGCCATCCGTCATTGCAGGTGATACTTCCTAAATTGTAGGGTGAAAGATATGGCATAAGAAATTAATTTCTTGGTCTTCTTATAAAATTTCAGAAGCCAAGGACAGCTTAGGGAAATAGCAAAGGGCTAAGCATAAAATCTCAGAATTCTCTGATAACACAGTCCAACTGGACTTTTGAATTTGGGATCTATGCTCCATAAAAGAAGAGCTGCATATCCAGAATTCCCTTTTTGTTGTTGTTGTTTTTTGTTTTCGTTTTTGTTTTTTTGAGACAGAGTCTCGCTCTGTTGCCCAGGCTGGAGCACAGTGGCGTGATCTCGGCTCACTGCAAGCTCTGCCTCCCGGGTTCACGCCATTCTCCTGCCTCAGCGTCCCAAGTAGCTGGGACTACAGGTGCCCGCCACCAGGCCAGGCTAATTTTTTTTTGTATTTTTAGTAGAGATGGGGTTTCACGGTGTTAGCCAGGATGGTCTCGATCTTGTGACCTGGTGATCCACCTGCCTCAGCCTCCCAAAGTGCTGGGATTACAGGCGTGAGCCACTGCGCCCGGCCTGTGTTCTTCAAGTTTATTACCTCAGTCACTAGTATAAGTCTATTTCAAGTCCTTGAATGTCTAAGAATGTCTGTCTGTTGCCTTCATAAGGCTGCAAAATTACTGGATCCTAACTTTCTTCCTTCAAAACTTTCTAAAGCCTGCTCTATACAGGGTGGCAAAGGACAAGTCTGAAGCCAACCAATTTTGTAAACTTTGAAAGAGGTATTTTTTTTCCCTCAATGCTCATGACATGAAAACAAATTAGTCTTATAATTCAAATATGTTGCTAGAATGTGTTTTAGCCCCTGTGACACAGTGAGGCCTCTCTGTCAGGGATCCCCTAGGCCACAGGTCCATCGCTGTTTGGAAACCCACTAAAATGACTCACAAAACTCAGCTTAAAGTGTACTCAGCTTAAAGTGTACTCATAGCCAAGATTTATTACAGCAGTGTTGTAAGGATATATGAGTGGCTCATGAAGGGAAAAGGCACAGGCAGTCTGGAGGAATTCATGTGCAGGTTTCCTCATGCTCTCTCTCACCCATTAGGAGTCACGCACAGCTTACTCTTCACCAGTGAGAAAAATGAAACAACGTATGCATGATGTATCTGTCTAGGGAAGCCCATCAGAGACCCATTACACAAGTTTTTTTTACTGGGGTCTGATCATGATCATGTAGGTCCTTCTGTCTAGCATGAACTAAAATTCCAAGAGAGCAGGTGTTTAGTAGCAGGCCTTTCTAAGTATTGCAGTCTTCAGGCCTGCTCGGTGAACTCTTTTCTAGACAGCCCCCTTTAAATTTATTTTTTTTAGAATGCTATGGGCCATTTCGATTTGCATACTAAGGGCTGTTTTCTCTAATGATATCTTTGATTATTGCTTTCTTCCCACTTGAGTGGGTTTCTTTCTTCAGAAGTTCTGTAATTCTTGGATATAGCAGGACAGAGAAGGAGGACCGAATCATCCTGTCCTTCCTCATCATTTTCATCATTTTGCTCTTCTCCTTTGATCTCATTCTTGCCCTCCACATTACTGATTCACTTTTCTATGGTGTCAGCTCTGCTCCTTGTTGACTTAATTTTTTTTTTCAGATATTGCATTAAAAACATTTTTAATTGCAAACCTGAGTACTTTTTCAGAAGTTTCATGATTTTCTCCCCCCAGTCCCCACCCCTCCACCCCTCCTCAAATAGTGAAAGGTCTATCTAGACCCACTGATTTATAAAAGAGAAGTTTTAGGGGTTTGTACTTGTCACTGCCCTTGACATCTTGGGTGTCTATCAAAAGCCTTGTTAAATAAACAGTTGAGCAGCCGATTGTGGTGTGCAGCTTCTAGTGCTGTTCTTAGTGACCACACGTTTTTGTTTACTGAACGTCTGTTAAACTGAAATCCATCTTCTTCTACCCCACCATGTAGCTCCTTGACATGATACAGAAATGGAATGTGTAGAAAGGGCAGTGCCCTGGCATGCCTCCCTCCAACGTTGCCATCGTGGGCTGTGGCTGCAGTGCCGTGCCCATGGGACTCTCCTCCTGGCTACTGTGGAACCCATAGTTCCTCCCTGTGCATCTCCAAGGCCATGAGGAGGGGGTCCCGTGCAGCCAGGGGGCCCCCCGGGAAAGCACCCGAGTTTTGCATGGCACAGCCCTGTGTTCCTGGTTATAGGGGCAGGTTCCCTGGCACACAGTGTGGGTGGCCCTGAAATGAGATTTTCAATCCAGCTTCTTGCCTGGCCTTAGGTTGAATCTTGATCTTAACTCACAGAATAACGTTTTTACTTTTTTCAACATCATCTTGGATATTTTCAGGAGAAGTTGGGAGCAGCTTGGTAGGAGGCTATTAACCAAGAATCATTTAAAAACTAAAGTCTTGAGGAAAATTCTAACTAAGGGGCCACGGGGGATCACAAAGAATAAAATGCTATAAGCAACCGAGGGAGTAGTCTCATTAGGGCGCTAAGACAGACACACGTATCATAGAAAATAACTAACAATACCAGACGGTGTATCACGAGGGTGCCCTGGGAGCGTGGTGGGCCGGGAATCAGGAACACCGGCTCCCCTTTCGTGACTCCAATACGGACTTGCTGTGTAACCTCAGATGAGGCAGAGCTCCCTTCTGGAACTCTCTTGCCTTGTTTACAAATGAGGGGATTGGTCTAGTTTCCAGTGTGCCTCCAGCTCCAACATTCATCATCTTTCTCGGCTGCTGTGATTCAGTGGGAACACTGCAGAAATGAGGGACTGGCTGACCTTGAGCTGAATGGTCAGCTCCAGGGGCCAAAGGAACAGAAACAGCAGATACTTCCCAGTGTCCCGCCTTTGTGCCAGGGAGAATCTCGTGTGCCCCCAGAGGGCTGCTGTCTCTTATGCCCCATTCCCACTTCTCCAGCTTGTCTCTGTTCGATTTCCTCAGAGGAGCTGGCCCATACATTGTATAACTTTTCACTTTACAAACATTTGATCTACTCAAGTCATCTTGCCTCTGTGTATGTGTGCACCTAATATAGCAGAAAATGGATTTCAGGCTTCCTTTTAAAAGAAGTCAATTATCCCTCTTATGACTGATTCATAATTTAGCCATAAGGAGCTGGACGTTACTTCATTCTGACAATGAGCCATGATCCCTTTGTTAGGCCAAGTTTAGACAAGGAATCTAAGGCACAAGTGAGTAACTCCTGATGCATCAGGGTGTGCAGAGACTCCTTGAGTTCCAGAGACCTTGAGGCCTAGTCTGGAGCCTCCAAGTGGATTTTTTTCTCTTCTGTTCAGAATTCCACATTCTCTACTGTCTGACATGTAGAGGTGAGTCAGCCTCATGGTAAAGAGCAGAGTGGCACCCTGCTGTTTGGCACGGCTGGTCTTAGGTGTGAACCCCCTTGGGGCAATAAAAGGAAGACCTGGGACCTCAGGGACTCCTGTACTCTGTCCCTCCACACATGGGCACGGCTGGCTGCCTGTCGTCCCGAGTTCTCTAAAGGCAGGAGCCCCCCGATACCCTCTACTCTGTCCCAAGACATCTCCTTGCCGCAACCCAGGACAGGAGGGGCAGTTAGCTAACTTAGCAGATTATAAAATAGCGCCAAGACCAGATATTCTACTTGATGCAAAATGCACTTGAGAGGCGTAAATAATTTAATTGGCTGTTGTCACGCAAACAGGATAATCACAAGTTCTCCCAAGTACTGGTTGTTCCAGCTCCCTCTCCTTTCAGGACAAATTGCTCACACTTATCCCACTCACATATACCAATACTTTAGGGAGAAAGAAGGGCAGGGAGAACTGCTTTCATAATTCCCAACTGTGAGGTGTTGCAAGAGGGGAACGTGTACAGGTCCCAAAGGATCTTTCTCTGTGGCTTTCTGGGACTTCACTGCCTGAACTCTTGTACCCAACAAAAAGATCACATTCTTCTTTGTTTCCCCAGTACCAGTGCTAGTGCACAGCCTGACCATAGCATTTTCCACATTGTCTGGCATTTGCCTAGTGTCTATCTTTCCCTGGGTCTGAACTTCCAAAGGTTAAGAACCAGGGCTCATTATCATCTTGGACAGAACCTAAGCAGAGTGGATGCTCAGCAGTGATTTGTTGAACCAAATAAATAAGTCAGCCCAAGGCTTTGCTAAAGAGCTGAAAGGATGATATTCCTGAGAAGACAAGTCAACAAACGTAGCCTGTGTGCATTCAGTTTACATAATTGATAAATATTTATTGAGCATTTACTGTGTCAGGCATTCGTCTAGATACTGGGGATATAGCAGTGAACAACACCAGTGAGATTCCTACCCACAAGAGTTTAAATGTAGGGGGAGACAGACAATAAACACCTAACAAAACAAATCAAATAGTAGCAGTCATTAAGAGACTTAAGATAATAGAGAGTGATCGGGATCAGGAAAGACCTTTCTGTCTGCTTTAAAGTGAGATCTGAATAATGAAAAGGGGAGAGAGCACTGCAGATGGAGGAGATAGCTAGTGCAAAGGCCCAGAGGTGGAACTAAACTTTCTTGTTAAAGAAACAGGAATCCAGAGTGGCTGAAGAGCACAGAGTGGGAGTGGAGAGTGGGGACTGGGGAGTGGAGGGCTGAAGTGTAGGCTAGGGCCAGATCACACGGGTTACTCTGACTGCATTGGGGAACCACTAAGGTACTTTGAGCTGGGCAGAGGAGGGTGGGACAAATCTGTTCATGGAGGCATTTTGAAAAGACCTTTTGGTAAAACCAGGGTCCCATCCTTCATGTACAGGATGTACCTAATACATCCACTCTTGTCGTTTTCCAGGAGGCAGAGGAACCTCGCCTGCTTCACCATCTGGTGCATGTTTGGACACATGGGGAGAGGTACTTCCTTGGCTGTGGGGCAGGGAGGAACAGAGTGGCTCCCATGAGGATAGAAGACACAAATTTGGTCTTGAAAGCGTTGAATTGTTCTTCATTGGCCAGGGCTCTTTTAGTTGCAAGTGACAGAGGCATAATACAAACTAGCTAAAGTCAGAAAAAGAATTTGTTGGCTATCAAAACTGGTCGTTCCCAGGGCACAACTGGCATGGAGGGCTCAGTGTTGGCAGGATTGTCTCTGTCACTTGGTCTTTCCCACTCTGCTTCTCTGTTTCTGTAGATGTTATTCTCTTTTAGGAGGGCTTCCTCCCAAATATCTTTAGACACAGGAAGTGGCATCTCTGTCCTGGGCTCCATGCCTCTGGGGACCCTGTGCTTTGGGGTAACTTCCTTGAAATTTTCTAAGCCCCTTGGATGCCTGGGACCAGCTGGAGCCATCATTGACAGCGAGGCAGGGTGCCCCAAACCTAGACCAGGACTCATATGGGCCCTGGTCCTCATGTCTCCCCAGTGGGACATCTGACTCTCTTTCACCTATGCTGGGTCAACCAGATATTCTGAGGAATTTTAGGAATCACATCCATGGGATTATCGAGGGACCCTGGGGCCAGGCCCCAGTTCCAGAAAGATGGTTTGGTGAATAGATCACTCTCATGAGGCAGTGTATTTCTTTCAGAGGATCCCATGAGATTGGGCCTCAAGAATGGTGCTGACAAGCTGATTTGGAATCCTCTTACTTCCATCTGATCTGAGTTCAGAGCTCTAGGCTATACTCGCCCTTGGGCTTCTACTGAGTGTGAAGGCCCAAGTGCCAGTCAATCCTGTTCATTCATGTTCTGATTATGGGGCACCAGAGGGTGGTGGAGGTGGTGGCCGGAGTCCTTTATCCTGTGTGCTTCCTGCTGCTGCAGCCAGGTAACCTCCCACACTGCTCCACAGGTCAGGATCTATACCATGTGGGCTGTGCCTGTTTCCTCCAAGAGTTTCCAGATCGTTGCTTCAAAGCACCAATGGGCCCTTCAAATTGATGTCCTCTCTTGCATATGATTGATGTGCTGGCTTCATGTCTTCTTGGGCTGGTTGTCATTCATGCCAAATCAAGGACAGAGGTTCCTTGTGCAGATCCAGATAATAATAGAGGTCAGGCCTCTGCCCACCGCTCCCACATGGGGAATGGCCCACGACCATCAGCATCTTTCTACCCTGCATTTTTATTTACCTCTCCTTCATCCATGATTGGATATATAACCCTTATACAGCCAGCACCAAGTGGTCCAGTTTCAAGGAGGTGCTATTCAAAGAAACACAGTCCATCCACCCTAATTAATTTCAAAATAACTCAAGTATTTTGCTCCTTGAAAATTATATGGCTGGGTGTGGTGACTCATGCCTGTAATCCCAGCACTTTGGGAGGCTGAGGCAGGCAGATTACTTGAGGCCAGGAGTTTGAGACCAGCCTGGCCAACATGGCGAAACCCCATCTCTACTAAAAATGCAAAAATTAGCCTGGCATGGTGGCGTGCACCTGTAGTCCCAGCTACTCGGGAGGCTGAAGCAGAAGAATCACTTGAATCCAGGAGGCGGAGGTTGCAGTGAGCCGAGATCATGCCACTGCACTTCAGCCTGGGAGACAGAGCGAGACTCCATCTCCAAAAAAAAAAAAAATTAGCTGGGCACGGTGGCGTGTGCTTGTAACCTCAGCTACTCGGAAGGCTGAGACATAAGAATCTCTTGAACCTGGGAGATGGAGGTTGCAGTGAGCCAAGATCTCTCTGTTGCACTCCAGACTGGGAGACAGAGAGACTCTGTCTCAAAAAAAAAAAAAAAAAAAAAAAAAAAAAAAGAAAAGAAAGTTATATAAGGGATCTAAGTACATGCTCCATGGGAATTCCATACATTCACCAGACAGTCCACAGCTGCTCCAGCCAGCTCTCTTCAAAGTTCTTACCCTTGCCAAAACTCTTCCTAAATCCACAGCTCTTATGGCTTTTCTTCTTTATTTCTATGCCTCCCTCCGAGGAATTAATTATCTAGATTTGTGCTGTCTAATATGGTAGCCACTGCCATATGTGGCTAATTAAGCACTTGAAATATGGCTAGTTTGATTTGAGATGTGCTATAAGTGTAAAATGCACACTGGAGTTTGAAGACTTGAGATGAGAAAAAAAGAAATATAAAATGTCTGACTAATGTTTTTCATATTGATTACATGTTAAAATGATAATGTTTTAAATATATTGGCTTCCATAGAAATATTTTTAAGATTAATTTGTACCTGTTTCTTTTTACTTTCGTAATATGGCTACTTATAAAATATGATTTTATATTTATAAAGTATAAAATTACATATGTAGCTCAGGTTGTATTTCTACTGGACAGCCATGGATCAGATCAATTAAGACTACCTAGAAGTCTTCACGTTTTTCTCCTTGCTCTGTGGTTCTTCTTTGCCCTGATATCTTGATTTAAAAACACAAAATCTCCTATTACTGGTCTGGCAGAAATGAAACTCTTCTTAGATAGGATGTCAAAGAGCAAAGACCCTAGAAACAAATGCATTCATCATTTTTGTCCCATCACACAGATGTTAACTTGCATTTGGATTCAAATTGACATTTTAGGAAATAACTAGATTCACAGTCTGTGGAAATTGCCATCATAACTCTTTACCATATAGAAACAACATCAAATGGAGGAAGAGGAATAAATTTTTTTTTCCTGAAACTCTAACAAATTCACATTTTAGTCTAGAGTTTAAATTATTTCATTCATGAGGGAGCTTCTCTCTAACTTCTGTTCTTTCCAGGCTCTGTCACAATCCCATGCTACTTAGTAGACACAACTCGAGTAAGGCAATTAGCTCCTTTGATTTAAAACTGGCAAGAAACATTTTCCTATTTCATTTTCTGCACTTGGATAAATGTCCAGTTCCCAATCCATCATCACCAACAACTTAAGATTCCACCATTTAGTTCCCGCTTCAAGGAGACTGTCCTGAACCATGAAAGCAAAGCTGCCATGACTCACACTTCACATAAAACATGTCTGGATGTTTGGGAAAACAGCCAAAAGCACTTAATATAACCTTACGATAGGAGATATAAGGTAGTTGGGAATACAATAGGAGGATTCGTTTTAAGCTTTGAAATACTTTTTATCTGATAATCTTTTAAGTCTTTTTTGGATTAAAAAGCAATGCACATTGACAGCTGACAGGAAAAGAATTTCAATATCTAAGTGTTCACATATGTGAAAAAAATTGAATGTGGACTGAAAGCACGCATTTGAAATAAATCATGGCTAATGGACAAAAGAGGATCTTTTGCCTGGTAATTATTTTCCCTAGATTAATAAGGGAACAATTTAATCTGGGTGGTTGTAGTAAAAGATTTAAAAGCTAACTACTTATTGTTGTCAGCCTGTGGTTTTGAAAATCAGAAAAGAACTTGAAAAATGGTTTCCTAGAATCTCTAAGGAATAGGGGAGAGGGGGAAGGCTCTCTCAGGTATATGATATTTTCTTCCTATGATACCATATTTTTTTGCATATGAAGAACACACATATACAATTTTAGAATTTGTTAATATTTGCTGTAGTTTTATGTGTTTAATATTTCAGACAATTGCTTGTTCATGTTACTTGAGGAAGAGGAAGTAGAATGTTGTGCAATTAAATGGAATCTCAAGAATTAACGCTGATATTTAGTAAGCCACTTCCTCTTACCCTAAGTGTCTAATTCATGCATTTCTCTATAAACGGCAAAACTGCAGATCTCATCAAAAATTTTGTACTCAAAATATGAATCTCTGAGTTCTTAGTTAACTTTAAGGTGTCATTTTCTTAAACATCTGTTGAGACAAGAGGCAGATCAGAATTTAGATATTCCACAACTGTTTTATTCTATGAAGAGATGCATGTACAGACATGAGCAAACAAAAGTTTCTTGGTGTTTGGTCTAGAAGGTTCTATTTTTTTCTCCTCTGAGCTGAAGTTCCTGTGTAGAGTGAGACCTCATAGTAGAGTGGAAGTTGGAAACATTTGTGGAGATACAGGCACTTAAGCAAAAATCAGAGAAGAGCTGCAACTTCTACTGGCTCTGACCTGAGGCCAGCTGTACACATCACAAAACCCCAGGGTAATGTCCTCTAGCTCCAACCATGTTGTTGCATATGACAGGACCTCATTCTTTTTATGGCTGAATAATATTCCTCTGCATATGTACCACATTTTCTTTATTCGTTTACCCACTGAGGGACATTTGGGTTGATTCCATATCCTGGCTATTGTGAGTAGTGCTTCAATAAACATGAGATTGCAGATATCTCTTCAATATACTGATTTCCTATCTTTTGGAATTATTTCCAGCAGTGGGATTGCTGGATTGAATGGTAGCTCTATTATTAGTTTTCTGAGGATTGTTCTATATAGCGGTTGTACTCATTTACATTTCCACCAACAGTGTATGAGGGTTCTCCTTTCTCCACATCCTGACCAGCACTTGTTATTATTGCCTGTCTTTTGGATGAAAGCCATTTTAACTGGGGTGAGATGATATCTCATTGTAGTTTTGATTTGCATCTCTCTAATGATTAGTGATGTTGAGCATTTTTTTCACAAACCTGTTGGCCATTCGTATGTTTTCTTTTGAGAAATATCTATTCAGATCTTTTCCTCATGTTTTAATTGGATTATTTGATTTTTTCCTATTGAGTTGTTTGAGCTTCTTATATATTCCAGTTATTAATCCCTTGTCAGGTGGGTAGTTTGCAAATATTTTTCCCATTATGTGGGTTGTCCTTTTGCTTGTTATTTTTTCTTTTGCTCTGCAGAGGCTTTTTAGCTTGATATGATCCCATTTGTCCATTTTTGATTAGGTTTCCTGTGCTTTCGAGGTCTTACTCAAGAAATCTTTGCCCATACCAATGTCCTGAAGAGTTTCCCAAATGTTTTCTTTTAGTAGTTTCATAGTTTCAGGTTTAGATTTAAGTCTTGAGATAAGGGTCTGGTTTCGTTAAGTGGAATAAGCCAGGCACAGAAGGACACATTTTTCACATGTTCTCACTCATATGTAAGAATTAAAATTTTTAAAAAATTGATCTCATGGAGATACAGATGATTACCAGAGGTAAGGAAGAGCAGCAGGAATGGGGGGGTAAAGTGGGGATGGTTACTGGGTACAAAAATGCAGTTAGATAGCATGAATAAGATCTAGTGTTCAGTAGCACGACAGGGAGACTGTAGTTAACAATGATTTATTGTGTATGTTTAAATAACTAAATGAGTGGAATTGAAATGTTCCTAACACAAAGAAATGATGAAAACTTGAGGTAACGGATACTACAATTATCCCAATTTGATCATTACACATTGTATGCCCTGTATCCAAACATCAGATGTACCCCATAAATACACACAACTATTCTGTATCCATAACAAATAAAAACAAAACAAAAATGACCCCAAAAAAACCCCAAGGTAGCAGCAGCCTTCAGAAATCTTTTTCCCCATCCTCCCTCTTTGCAGGGCTTGTCCTCAGCCAAGTGTAATAGATGGCTGTATGTTCTTAAAGCTCTCCTTGGGAAGCCGCCCAGCAGCCTCTGCAGCCTGTTCCAAGCCTAACACTCAAGAGGCCCTTTTAAATGTGTAATATAAATTTGCCCCGCTCTAACCTGGGGCCCTGCGGGGTACTGGCCTTAACAGCACATGCCTAGGTGAGACACAGGGAGAGAGGCTGACTCATTTCTGTCTCTGCTAAATATCTATTCTCTTATGTGTACTAGGGAAGCAACACTTTCTAACATTTCTCTTGAGACCTGTGGTTTGGGACTAAGAAGATAATAATGAAAGAAGTTATCTGGCTCTTTAATAAATCCTGCCATATGCCTGCAACCCCATCGGTACAGATTCTTATCTCAGAGAAGAAATGAGTCTTGAATGCAATCTGCACTGATACTTACCAGAATCCTGTCTACAAAATGGGAAGGCAGATCCATATTAGAAATAGGTGTCTGGCAAGGGCAAGAAATGAAAGTGAAGGTCACCAGCAACTAGAAAGAACAGCAGCTTGGATTGTAGAACCTTGGAGAGGAAGACATTTTGTCAGCCCTGCTGAAAGGCACATAAATGGCAATGATGGTGAGGTGACGTCTCTGCCCTGTGCACTGTCTGTAGACATTAAATATCTGGTTCTCTGCTTGATTTTTATGAGGGCAAATTACTAAATGATTTCCATAGCATGAAGGGAAAACAGAGGAGGAGTCCAAGCCCAAATGCAAGTCTCTGCATTAAAGGAACACTTATCATGGACTTGAGCTGAGGCCAGGCTCAGGGTGCCAGATGGATCTGGAAGGAGCGATTGGAGAATATTTCCTTTGAAGTTTGGTGGTCAGCTGCTGCCGGCTGTGCTGATGAACCCATCTTGTTCTAGGAAGAGTAAGGCTATTATTTAGAAGGGAGGGAGCCCACATTTGAAGTTCTGTATTAACATTGCTATAAATGATAAAAAAAACTTTTCATTTCTAGGCAACGTTTAAAGCAACTTGCCTGATGTGGGTTTTGCCCGCTCCCCTTAGGGTAGTAATTTTTAAAGAGCTTTAATTTAATGGAACAATTAGTATGCCAAGTAATCGCCAGCGGTAGGGGCGATGGTTTGCAAGCCTCCCTGAGCCTGTCTCTGCCTGGGGAGGGAGCAGGGCGGGGGTGCAGCTCTGTGTGCCCAGGCAAGTGGCAGGTCTTTCAGGATAAATAAAGAGAAGTGGGCCCCTACTCTGCTCTTGTAGCCCACAGGCTAATGGGATGGGGTGAAGTGGGGAAAGAAGGCATAAAATGTGAATCTAAAGTAGAAAGTATAAGGGAAGAAAACACTACAGGGAATTCACAACCAGGCAGAGGGGATCCAACGGAGGAGGTATCTTAACATGATCCCCCAAAGGAGCAGAAATTTGGGCAAGAAATGGAGAAGAAGACACCAGACTGTGGTGGGCATGTGGGAAACTTTGAGGCATGTTTAGGGAAGAGAGAATCATCAGGTTGGATTGGAATGGAGGGGAGTGTCTGGAGAAAAGTCTGGAAGAAAAGTCAAGGCAATGTTGTGGAAGGTCTTCCTTTGGGTGGGAAGGGCTGGAGGCTGCCACAGTAGCCCAGGTGAGAGAATGAGCATGCAGCGGCGAACGGGTGGGCAGAATGCACAGAAGAGCTACTGCAGATAAGGCTATTATTTAGAAGGGAAGGAGCCCACATTTAAAGTTCTGTATTAACATTGCTACAAATGAAAGTGGTTCTCCATTGTGGCTGCACATCAGAGTCACCAGGGAAACTTAAAAACTAGTGTTGCCTGGACCACATGACCAGAGATTCTGGTTTAAGTGGTCTGGGATGTGGCCCTGGGCATCAGGATTTTTTAAAAGCTCCCCATGATTACTTATTCTAAGTTGCAGCCAGGGTTGAGAACCACTGGTTGTAGCAGATTCTGATTCAATGGGCTGAGGCCTGTTCTAGAAAGCTCGAGGCAATGTTAGTGATGCTGGCCCATAGACCACTTTTTGAGTAGGACTTGACCATGCCACATCAGCACAGCACTTGCCTGCATTTTCACTTCTCTAGGGAGGAGAAATTCCAAAAATACTTTGACCTTTTTTCATCTGCTATTCCCTGGGATGTTGGGCCCTGCTAAGAGAGGGCTGCCTCATTCACTGGTGGTTGTTGCTCTTCAAGGACAAATGGAGACTTCAAACTGGAACACACACATCCTTGGGGCTACAGGAAGACCTTTTAGGGAGCATGCATAATTTTTACCAGAATCAACTTCCAAGTCCCCATTTTCCACAAGTGCCCTCTCCTAGAACAGATCAGCCTAAGCATGCGCCTCCCCTCTGCTGATGCTCCTACTTCCCTTTCCTCAACCTCCCTTCTTCATGAAGGCAAGATTTCCCTCTTACCAGCTTACCATGGGGCATTGTGCCAGGACTTCTAACAAAGGGGAATTAGAAAAGGCAGCCTCTCAATGTTCAATTAGAGTTTATAATAATAGCAAACATTTATACAGAAGTGTGGAGCAGTCCTTTTTCTAAGTACTTTACATAAAATTATCTCATATAATCCTCCTAATAGTCCTGTAAGTAGGTATTATTCTTATTCTCAATTTGCAGAAAACATTGACATAGAAGCAGTTAAGTAACTCATCCAAGGCTGGTATGAGGGACAGAGTTGAGATATGGCAGAGATTTTCTATCAACTGCATAAACTCAATCTAAAGTTCCAATATTTTGACAAAAACGTAATGTAATGCTCATATTCAAAATACAATGCTCTGACATCTTTTACAGTTATTTAAACACATGATAAAAAATCTTTATAAGTCAACTTTAAAATGTGCAAAAAAGGTCAATTCTTTGAGTTGGGTTGTGAGCAAAATATTTGAAGATCATTGATTTTGAGCCAAACAGCCCTGGCTATGACTCTTGGCTTAGTCACTATGCCATCTTGGCCAAATCCCACTCTTTCTGAGGCTTAGTCTCTCATCTGTAAAAATGGGGACAACCATCTCAGCAGGGTTGTTGAAAAGATCAAATGAGACAGCCCAAGAAGTGGCCTGGCCTGCAGCCAACTCAGGGTGAATGGCAAGTATTATTAATGTGGTTGGCGTCTGGCAAATCTTGGCATGTGGTAAGAGCTCCATGAATGTGAGTGCCCTTCCCCTTAGTAATGGTTCCCAGATTTGATTCCCATGGAAGCCTAGACATCTTGTGGAGAGGGAGGGGGTAGCATGAGGCCCCCAAGTTTCATGCCTCCCATTGTTTTCCCTTTTCAACTTCCTCAAAGAACATCTCAAAATGCACCTCCCCCAAGTTGCCTTCCCTGACTAATACAGCTTCACAGTGACCTTTCTCTTTCATCATTTGACTGGCTCATGCCAGGCACTCCATAGTTAATTAACCAATGAATGAATGAATACCGGGAATGGGGTAGTGAAGAAGGCAGGCATTATCCCTGCCCTCATCAAACTTGCCGTCTGGTAGAGAAAACAGACATGTCACTGATAGATGCTATGGTGGGAGAAGAAAAGGAGCCAGTAAAAGCCCACAGAAAGGGC
Source organism: Homo sapiens (assembly GCF_000001405.40). Taxonomy (NCBI): domain Eukaryota; kingdom Metazoa; phylum Chordata; class Mammalia; order Primates; family Hominidae; genus Homo; species Homo sapiens. The sequence continues at coordinate 136,017,622 of NC_000005.10, forward strand.
ACCTACCCAGGCTGAAGGCATCAAGGAAGGCCTCCCAGAGAAAGTGTGGTCTAAATTAAAATCTCATGGACACATGGAAGCCAGACAGCAAGAATAAAGGTCTGTGTTCACAGGTTTGGAGGTGGAAAAAAAGCATGCTAGGTTCAGAGAACTGAAAATATTTTAGTAAATTGGCTATAAAAATGTATGTTTTCCAGTCTTGAACTTGATTTCTTGCCTTTCCTTGGCCTTCACAGACAATGGTGTGCTTCTGGAAGACATGAAGGACCTTCTACATCTTTTGTGTTTACCCTGTATTTGCTTGACTATGCAATATCCACAGCTGACACTTTAATAAATGCTTAGTGGGTGTGGAACTTACTAGAAAAGGAGACCTCTCCGAAGCTTCCTTGGAGCTCATTTCATACATTCCCTGGGCCTGGGCAGCACTGTATAGAATCCCTTCTGGCCAGAAAGGGGCTAACAGAATCCACCTACTGGCCCTTAAGACATGTATCTACAGGAAGCCATGCTCTGAAATATCTTTTCATGCATTATCCCAAACTCAGGGTTATGTATTAATAGGAGCATTTCACCTGCAAGGGATATTCATAACCAGTGGCCTTGGGGCTGGGGCTCTGATCCTGTGGGATGGATGAATGGCAATGGATGGCTTGTCTCATTCTGCATTTCCTGTCCAAGACCAAGGAAAGGCACAGGGTTGGCAGGAGGGATGAGAGAGCAGGATTGTCCATTCAGACTCTGGCTCTATCATGGACAGGTCAGATCCAGTCACCAGTAGATGGACTCGGCCTTTCTTGCTGTCCCAAAGTGGCCCTTGCTAGCCATCTGTTCTCCTCTTCTCACACCCTTCAAGGCTTTCTGATCAAGTCCACAAAATTGACTCGTGCAAATGACACTGGGAAATAAGCTGTGGTCACCAACAAGTCAAAACCAGCTGAGATCGGATATTTCTTTTGAGGCATGAAAACAAAGATTTTTGGTAATCTTTTAGAGCATTCCTAGCTGGAAACTTTTCCCGGAAATCCATAAGTTAAGTGCTCCTTGTGTCCTAGAGAGCAATGAAATTTATTCTTACACCATCCACACCAACTGAACGCTAGTTATGATAGGCTCTAAGGTGGTCCATGATACCATCGCATACATAGGTAAGCTTACTTCCTGTGTGTCTGCTGGAGAAAGCTGTGTTTATGCCAAATGAATTTATGTTTCCAGTTTTCAAAATTCAGAGCTGATTTTCCCTGGTTTGTGGCAAGCGGGTTGGCCAGCAAATGAAAATCAGCAGGAGGAGACTTTCCCAAAAGTCAAAGGAGGATGGAAGCAGAATGTGAGAAGTCTGAGCTCAGCTAGCCTGGTCTCCAAGCCTTGGGCAACATGCAGCCTGCCTGGTACGTGACCAAGGTCTGAGGTCAAAGGTGAGATTCCACACACATGGAGACAGGCCAGTTGAACCATGCCAGAAACTACCACTTCCTAAGTGCACATCTTTTCTCTACTGAAAGCAGACCCAACTGTCCTTAGTGAGTCCTTTAATATGTCTGTTTTGTGTCATGCGTATGTGACTCCTCTTAGGCACCCTGAAGTCAGGAACAATCTTCTCTCACCTCTCCCCTCCAGAACACTAGCGGAAGCAACCATTTCATCTATGATAAGAATAGGACCCTGAGCTGACGACTTCCTGCATATCATTTCCTTGGTGATGAGATGTTTTTACCCCAAATCCAGCCGTGTCTTTCCCTGTTGTTTAGGATTATTAGATGTATGCACTTTTCTACCACCTTCTTCTTCAAGAGACATCTTGCACTGAGGTTCTTGTGTCATTTGCTGTTCCTAGCGTATGCCAGGTAAACATTCAGCAAGAGGCAAATGCTTTCAGCCACGTGAGACCTCTGAAAGGAAAACACAAGCAGGCCTTCTGCCGGAACCAGTAGCCGCCTGCTGTTAGCTGGGGAGAAAGGACTTTCATTCGTTTTTGTCATCAAGCTGATACTGTGCCAACACCCACATCTGGAAACAGTTATCAAGAAAGAAGAGGCATGCAAGCCTGGGTCTCATGACCCTGCAGCCTTCCTTTCTGCTGCTCTATTTATTAACATACTGATTTAGAGTGATCAACCTATGTCCCCAGAGTAAGTTACAGAAACTAAATTTTTAAAAGGCCACTGCCGTCACACCACTTCACGAAAACAGGCCAAGGTCTAACTTATGGGGTCTTGGATGGAGTTTGTATCTAAATAAACACATTTTAAAGTTGCTTATTGTGTTGTACTTTAATCACTGAGCCAAGCCTTTTTAAGCTTTGTCTTGAGCTCTGTGCCCCTCCTCAGCTTGGCAGAACTCTGTCCTGTCAGTCTCAAGGGCTTGATAGAATTTGTACTTATTGGATCTGGACACACAGATAGAGGAGTCTGTTATTTGCACATCACACAGACCCACACACACAGATACACACTTGTTGCCCTTCCTTGCCTCCTTCACTGTAAGTAACTAGAAATTTAAGAAGGAACCTGAATTATGTTTGTGTAGCACCAGTGCTATGTGATGTTAGTTGCTGATCGTGCCCCAAAGGTATAAATAGACTCCACAAGGGCTAGGGGCCTACCTTGAGGCTTATTGGTTTTGGAGTTTGAAAAGTGCCCACAGAGAAGACTTGAACCTATCTTTGAGAAGGACCAAATCAAGTCATAAGATATTTAGTAGATCTCTCTACAATAGAGGGAGGAATAAACGTGGCCATTAAGAGTGAATACAGAGGAAAGCATTTCTTTCAGGCTTATATATGTCTCAGGAATTGTAAAGCGCTAACAAGAACCAGAAATTCAGACCAGCAATCCTGTCTCTAGTACTAACCCCGTCTCCGGTTTCTGTTTTGATGAGTTGCAGTCTACCTTGATGACTTGGCTTCACTGTCCACCAGATGATGAATCATCCCTTCTGGGAAGAATCTGGTTTCCCTCCGGCTACCCCAAACTCCCCCCGCCAATCCTTGCTACCCTCCCACCCCCGTTGTGTGGTGTGTGGTTGGGTACTTCCCTTTGGAGTCCTTTTGGGTATAGCCATGCATTTGGCACTTATTTCATTGTATATGTGCCTGGCTCCCCACCAAAGAATGACTCACTTGTGTCTAGAACCGTAATAAGCAGCCGACTGCTGGGCTCCTAACATGAACTCAGTAAATATTGGTAGAATCGATCAAGAACCACTTTCTGGAGCAAGCTGGTTGTTCATATGTTGTCAGTAGTAGTTTTTAAAAATAATGTAGAATAACAGGACTAACTGAACTTCTGGTTAGACTGTTACTTCAGGAATGTGCTAACTAACGTGGGAAAATCTTTTCTAGGCACCCTGGAGGTCATTTTAATTTTTTTGTTGTCCTGGGATTTTGGTGTATCAAATGTTCATTGAAATGACCGTGCCACGAGTTTGAAGATTTCTCAGGCACATTTAATTGCTATTTCATCAGTAATTAAATGAGGAATTAAAGGTTGTTGAGGATTACTAAGCAATTCTAGTTGATCCACTGAAAGGAATGCTGATTCATGGTCATCTAGAGAGTGATCCAGCAGCTCAGGTCCCCTGTCTGTCTGGAGAAGGGGATGAGTGGCTGCGTGCTGGCTGCTTTCTTCCCCAAGCCTGCCTCACTTACCACAGCAGCTGCTAGAGTCTTGCTCAGTGAAAATGTGTTCAAGGGAGAAGGTTTGAAGGTTGTATTAGTTCGTTTTCATGCTGCTGTTAAAGACATACCTGAGACTGGGTAATTTATACAGAAAAAGAGGTTTAATGGACTCACAGTTCCACGTGGCTGGGGAGGCCTCACAATCATGGTGGAAGGTGAAATGCATGTCTTACACGGTGGCAGACAAGAGAGAATGTGAGCCAAGCAAAAGAGATTTCCCCTTATAAAATCATCAGATCTCATGAGAGTTATTCATTACCACGAGAACAGTATGGGGGAAGGTACCACCATGATTCGATTATCTCCCACCCGGTCCCTCCCACAACACGTGGGAATTATGGGAGCTACAGTTCAAGATGGGATTTGGGTGGGGACGCAGCCAAACCATATCAAGGATTTTCCAAAAATATGCAACTACCCTAGCTGGGGAGGGGGTGCATAGTGGTTTAGGTAGGACAAGTACTTAGGGCTGGGCTGCCTGTGTTCAAGTGCTGGCTCTCCTACCCACTAGCTTTGTCACCACTCCAACAAACTTCTTCACCTCTCCAGCCTTGCCTTCTTCATCTGGAAAACAGAAAAGAGAACAGTACTCAACCCATAAGAGTATTTTAAGGATGGAATGACTTAACACATAAAGGTATTGAGAATAGTACCTGACATTGGTAAACTCTTATTTTTCTTTAATAAGCCAGTATTCTACGTGGGCACATGCATGCACTGTTTTTTTTTTCCTACTGTTTTTTTTTTTCCTTCTGCTTTCTTCCCTGCATCATTCTCAAACGTATAGCCTTTCCTAAACATAGCCTCATCTGGAGGAAGCTTGGAGGCTAATTCTTGCTTTTGTTGTCTTTAGAAGCAGAAATCATTCTAAACATTTGTATCTTAACTACAGAGCACTATGTGGTTTATGTAGAGCACAGCATTCACCCCATTCCTGTCCCAGTGAAATATGAGGAGTCCCATGGATGGAAGACTGAGGAAGAAAATGCTGGGAAAGACTGGGGAAGGGTGTGTTATGGCTGGCCTGCCACTGGGCCCAGTGCCCAATCGTTAGATGAGGGGCAGTGGAGGGTCCAGAGAAGTCTGGGGTGGGTATCATGGGGCACTCTACATGGGGTTTAATTTTTGTCCTTTCATGCCAGGGCAAAGGTGCTGATCTGGACAATGAGCAAGTTCTAAAATGTTAAAACCAGCAGGCAAAATATGGTGGCTCTCATCTCACCAGCTCTTTAGCCTGCACAAATTAATTTCTATACCATGGATTTGAATGTCCAGGGTGTTTTGGAGTAGGGTGGATCGGGTCAGGATAGCAGCAAATTCTTAGGAATTTTGAAAATGGCTCTCAGGATGGCTGCTGTGGAGCCATCAGTCATGGCTGCATCAACCCTGCTTCCCCTTTCTACCTTCTAATGCTGGCACAACATTGCAGCTGGGGAAGCAGAGACTTTCTTTCACCTAGCATGAGGGAGCTTCCAAAGGATCAGGATGTGATGTTGGGAGCACCGGCCCCAGAGAAGCTCGATCCTTCTCCTTCGTGCTGGGACTTAAGGCCTGTGCTAGGGAAGCTGGAGAGGGAGCCAGGTCCGATGTTCTTTAAAGCCCTTCAGAATCCCTGCCTGACCCAGAGGGCCACGCAAATGAGTCTAGTCCACAGCATATGGTGGAGCAGTCACCTACAGCAGAGCCAACAAATGTCTTTGTCTATTCTGACCACTCTATTAGAATAAGTGTGAATTATGCTAGAAAGAATTTAGGAAGCCAGTCAACTGATGGATCCGCAAATGCTAACTGGGCTCCGTGCTGACTTATTAGGAGGCTGTTAGAGAATCAGAGGAACAAACACATGGGCTCACTGTGATGACGGATGTTAGACTTCAAAAAGGAGAGGCTCCATCCAGTGGGAGAGCCACGGAAGGGAGACCAGCTGAAAAAACAGCAGCCCAGAGAGGTGAAGGAATTTGCCTGAGCAAAGCTTCTTAGCAAAGCTGGTTTTGGAGGGAGAGTATCGCATACGTGTGTAGAGGCAAAGAAGGAGCACAGTGCTCACTACACGGGGAGCAGAGCAAGGCTGGGGGTGGGGGGCTGAGTGGGTGGAAGAGGCACAGGCTGGCCCTGCAAGAGCCCAGGCTGAGACTGGGACACAGGGAAAGCAGGTTACATGAAGCAAAGGGGGAATTTTGCAGAGGACTTTAGAAGCCAGGTACAGTAGAAAGAGGGCAATACATGGGAAGTTCTTTCAGTATAGGGATTATGGATGTGTGTGTTCCTCTTATCTAGCCTTTTCAGTATTTTTTAAGGTTTTTCTTTTTTTGGTAATGTGCCTGTATTCCTTTTTAACATGGTGGGGTGCTGGGGAGGATAAAATGTTCATCAAAAAAATAAATAAACAATCAGAGAAGTCTGGATTTTCTTTTACAAACAATAGAAGCCATCGGGAGTGTCCTAGGAGTGCAGTGTTTTGGTAGAAGTGTTTTAGGAAGATAAGACCAGCCACGTTGGGAGATGGTTGGCTGGGGTGGCAGCTGATGTCAGACTGGCTGGAGGCTGTGGGTGGTGAGAGGTAAGGCAGTGGGGAGCTGGAGTATTTGAGTAGCAAAAGAGGGAACAGAAGCATCTAGGAGAGATTTGGAAAGAACACCTGCAGGATCTTGGTGACTGATTGCACGTGGGGGACCAGAGAGCAGGGACAGGCAAAACTGAATGCAAGGTTTCCAACCTTGAGCGGCACCACAGGCAAGAATGAAGAAATGAAGAAGGGGAGCTGGACGAAAGAGCCAAGGGATTTCTGCATTTTGGAATGAATTGCTGCTGGGTGGTGTCCATTTCCCTGAAGGCCTTTATCCTACGTGCAAGAAAACTCGTGGGAAGCAGAGGAAAGGCATGTGTAAGCCAACAATCATCTGTGGGCATCCTTCCACTAAAGTATTTGAGGTCAGGCAACTAAAGCAACCTCAAAAGTGCCTCTGGATTCTTCTTAGATATTTTAGCTGAGCCAAATCAATGAAACTCTCATGAAAAATCGGTTTCCCTGGAAAATGAAATTGGGTTCTAACCAACAAGTAGCATTTGGCAGGCCCTGATTAAGAAAGCCAGTGTTTGGAGAAGTTGTGAAAACAGCCAAGTCATTTAAGAAACTAAACACTGGGGCCTAATGCCATTCTAGGGCTGCGACGGCTGTTCTGTTCCCATCAATTGCAGAGCCCGAAGCCTCAAGTTTGTTTTAAGTTCCTGCCATTACAAACCTGTCGATTATCCCAGCCTCCCTTGCGGGCTTTGAAAAGAGAGAAGAATGGAAGGTGACTGTGGCCAATTTCCCCTCCCTGTCCAGTGTGTGGAAGACACTGAATATGCAACTACTGACCTTGTGCCTGGGCATCTTGAAGGTCTTCCACAAAGTGAGCTGGGCCTCAGCGGAAGATGAGAGTTCCTCTGTGGTCACTTCACTGGTACACATTTTCAGGTGTATTTCGTTTCTTCCATGCCTACATAAATTGAATCCTCTGTTAACCACCTCTGAGCTCATAGCTATTTAACATGACCCTGTAGTCCTGTGCATACAAATCACCTTGGGATCTGGTGAAAATGCAGATTCAGTGGGTCTTGGGAGGTTGGGAGGTTATAAGATTCCACGTTTCTTCATGAGAGCTAGAAAAAATAAATAAATAAATAAAAAATTTTTAAATTTTCCACATTTCTAATGAACTCTGGGGTTGTGCTGATGATGCTGTTTTGCAGATCACATTTTGAGTGGCAAGACTGTGGAAAATCCTTGAGAAATCAATCCAAAATCCCCTAAATGGTACTACAATCACACCTTAATGTTAGTAAACTGAGATGTTTCTTACCTTTATTTGTAACATGGAAAAAACAATTACTGTATATGAAGTACCATTCTAAGTTCTGTGTGTTACACAAGGGATGGCAATTTTCCCCAAAATTTGATTCACATCTTTTCATTTGGATATCTCTTGCCAAAACTCACCTTTTTTTCTCCCTAGCAAGTCTTGGGGAGCTGAATTTTAAGAGCTCTTTATTTAGCTATATGGTGGCCTCTGAAAATGATTTTGACTGTATCTTCTGTCTCCATGTATGCCCAAGCATCACCAGGAACTTTAGGGAGTAAGGAAAAGGCAGGCCTGGTGTCAGCTGGGCTGCAGATGCCAGCTCTCCCACCAACAGGCCCAGAACCAGTTTCTTTCCTAGGTTCCTTTGTGAAGAACTTGTTGGAACTACTAATTTATCATGATGCATAAAGCTTGTTGTCATACCCTACAGTATTATTTTCAAAACCTGAATGTTTTTGGTGACCTTTCATGTGCCACAAAATGTAAAAGCAGTCATTTTTTAAAAAGTGCTTGAAAAAGTCTAGTAAAGATTCTTCCAAGCAAGCCTCACTTTCTCCTGTTTAGATTGTTTAATCTGGAAGGAAAAAATTCTTTCTCAAATGACAGGGTTTCTGGTGCTCTGTGTTTGCCTGGTTGGCTCTGGGTCATCTGGGGATGGAGGGTCCCTGCTCTTACCTCCAGCAGCATCACTCTTGTCTCCAAAGAAGCAGCAACCTCAGGTGGGAGAATGGTTATACTCACAGCATTCTGCTTTTCATGTTTGAAAGAGGGGATGGGTGGTGGGGCATGGATGTGGGATTTTAAAAAAATATCTAAACCATAAATAAAGTATTACTGCAATCTCTTTACTGAGCTCATGGAAAAACTCAAGTCATCGAATGTTAGTTTTGCAGACTGGAGAAGTGAGGTCCAGTGAACTTGCTTGACTTGCCCTAAATCTTGCTAGAGAGAGAGCTGGAACCAGATGGCAGGGCTCCTGGCCTCTTACATACAAGGAGCATTTTTCCTAGAAACTGCAATGCAGCCAAATTCTACTGGTCTCAGGGGAAACTTGTTCTGGGAGTCAGCCTGAGCTTGAATCCCTTTGGGTTCTTCCCATTATCCTATGCCAAGCAGTCATGCTGAAACCGAGAAATGTTTTGCTTTCAATAAATGAAATGAGCATTTTCAGATAATTATTTCTGTAGTTGCTCAAAACTATCATATTGTTTCATTGAACCCTACTATATAGAACAATGACTGGGGAGAGGTAATAATAATAATAGCAATGCATATTTATTGGCCATTTTACTTGAATTGTATCATGTAATCTAGTTTAGAGTCCTGTGAGGTAGGTTTTATTATCCTCTCTATGAGGTTGAATAACTTGCCCAAGACCACACAGCTAGGAAGTAGAAAGACTGGTATTTGAACCCATCTTCTCCTTTTCTTCTCCTTCCTCCTCCTCCTCTCTTCCAACACCTGCTCCCAAGGAAGCTCATCCAGTGCATGACTTTAGCTACCACCTGCTCGTAGTGGTGACTCAAATCTGCATCTCCAATCCTCATACCTATCCTGAGCTCAAGACCTTTGAATATAGCTCCCTCCTGTCCATCCCTCCTGGAAATGCAGGTGGCTTGTTCACACATAATGTGAACACAAATGGAGCACTCTCCTCACACACCCAAATGTGCACCTTCACCAGCGTGCCCAGCACAGGCATCCCTTCCTGCCAGCTATGAGCCTCGAGGTTAGCTCTACTCCCCCTCCCTAACCCTGCATGCCCAAGGGGTTTCCAAGTCTAATCAATGCTACCACTAAAATCTCCCATACACCTGTTCCCTCCTCTCCACTAGCTTGATCACTCCCCATGCAGGCCCTCAGTTGCTTTATGCTCTCAGTAGGCCCTCCTCCAGTGCCCACACTCTCTCCCTTCTCCTTCCCACCTTCTTTCTACCAGAGTTCTAACCTCTCCAAGCCCCGCTTGTCTTTTTCTTTCCCTGGCTGCCATCCTAACTCGCCCCTTCCCTTCTCAGACAAGCTTCTACATGCTACTCATCTCTCCATCAAACCACCATATTCGGGCTTTGGCCATCTGCTCTCCACAGCCAAGTCCCCAGTGGCCTCTCTGCTTCTGACACAGTGAAAGCCATTCAGATCTGTCTTGTTGGCAGCATTCCTCACTTTGAGCAGCGCCCTCCTACTAGGATACCCCTCCTTGACTACAACCCCACATTCTCTACTTCCTGGGCTCTTCTGTCACTGGAGGATGACTCCCAGGTGTGAATCTTCATCCCGCGTCCCTCACTCAAGCCCCCGATCCTCATATCCAGCTTTATCCTCATGGGATGCTTCACCAGGATGAGTCATAAGCACCTCAGACTCAGGGTGTCCCAAACCACTCATCTACCTGGCAAGCCTGCACTCTGCATGTGCCTCATTCTGAACATGGCACCATCACCTGCTGCAATGTCCAGACCACAAACACCCTACAATATCCTTGACTCTCCTTTCTCCCCTTCTCCCTGTATACAGACTCCAAATTCTATTGAGACTATTACCTCCTACACCCCTCACATTTGCCCAGCCTTCCCCATCTCTGCCTCTACCACCATAGTTCAAGCTCTCCCATGGTCCCTTCCTGGTTACCTGTTCTTCTTGCCTCCTTAAGCCTCTCATGACACTGGCCATGTCACTTGCCTCCACCCATCACCCGCTAGGCTCTTAGCTGGAGTCTGGGCCCTGCTACCTTCCTCCCCTTCTTCCCTACCCTTGACTCCACCTCCCTGTGCTTCAGCCAACCAGATAACTTGAGTTTCGTGAATGCATGCCTCAGTTTACCTGATTAACTCATTTTCATCTTTCAGGCCTCAGAGCAGGTATCACCCTGTCAGGGCCAGGTGCCTCTTCTTAGCTCCCAAAGCCCCAGCTACTCTTCATGGAACATCATTGGCTTGGGCTACGGATCTTCCCAAATTGGAGCTTTTTCACAAAGGGCTTAGGTCTCACTCATTCTATTAATCCATCTGTGTCTCCCCAGGGCTAGCAGTGCCAAGTAACTGACAGGTGATTAATAGATGCTTGGGTAAGTATCACCTCTTTACCATGTGACAATTTGTTTACCTGCCTTGAGCTCCTCCAGGGCAGGACTCTTGCCTTTGCAGAATCTATCTGGCAGGTACTGTTGCAGAGATGTTTACTGAAGAAGGGAATGAATTAGTACCAAGGTGAGGACCCCACCCTTCCCCACGGGCTCCAAAAGCAGCTTAGAGCCCAACAAAACCTGCCCCACATTTTTGGCGTTTCTGTGGATCACACGATTTACTCATCTGTCTTTCAATGAGCATGACAGGTGGGGTGGGGGTGGAGGGATTAGAGATTGAGGAGCTGGGGAGGGTGGTCAGCTCCTGGGGTGCAGAAACAAGTCTGATGGGCCATGGTGTTCTGGGAATCAGCACTGCCTCCCCTCACCCCTCCCTGCAGTGTTTTGTAGCCTCAAGATCAGTGAGGGAATCTTCGGGCCCCCAGCATGCAGGACCGAAGCCCCCGAGACAGCTGTCCCTCAGTCCCAAGGTCCCCATTTGGAAGCAGCCACAGGAGGCCTAAGGGACCTATACCCTTGGTTTGAGGAAGACTGTGGCGAGGGAGAGAGGGAGGGAGGGCTGGCAGTGAGGGCAAGGGCTGGGAAAACTGAGCACGGGCACAGTGCGGGAGCGGGTGGGTGCCCAGGGCAGCCAGGGGCGCACGGGTTGGGAGGCGCCAGGCGGCCCGCCCTCCTTGCACGGGCCGGCCCAGCTTCCCCGCCCCTGGCGTCCGCTCCCTCCCGCTCGCAGCTTACTTAACCTGGCCCGGGCGGCGGAGGCGCTCTCACTTCCCTGGAGCCGCCCGCTTGCCCGTCGGTCGCTAGCTCGCTCGGTGCGCGTCGTCCCGCTCCATGGCGCTCTTCGTGCGGCTGCTGGCTCTCGCCCTGGCTCTGGCCCTGGGCCCCGCCGCGACCCTGGCGGGTCCCGCCAAGTCGCCCTACCAGCTGGTGCTGCAGCACAGCAGGCTCCGGGGCCGCCAGCACGGGTAAGCCGAGCCGCCTGGCCAGGGGCTGCGGAAGGTCAGGTAGTCGGGGCTCGGAGCGCAAGCCGCTGGGGGCATTGAACTGGGCTGGGGGCGCAGGGGACAAAGCCCGAACTAAAAACCTTGCAGCATGGAGCGCTCGGACACCAGCCCTGCACGCGGTGGAAGGAGAGAGGGAGGGAGGTGGAGGACCATGGAGGGAAAGCGGGAGGCCGCCGCTTTGTAGAAGGGAGTGGGGAAGTGGACCAGAGACTTTCGACGCAGGCCAAGAGCCTGAGACGGACAGCGCTTTCAGCTTCTCCTCCCAGCCACTGCAGAAAGGGGGAAATGGCAACTCTTTGGCCATAATCACCGTGGGAGGGTGCCAAGGGCAAAGCCCACCCAGCAGTACACCTATTCCAACCCAGCCAGGCCCCCGGCCAGCGACTCCAGACAAGAACCTGGGCCACACACGGTGGCAGCATCTAAGGTGCCCCAGGCTCCTGTGCTCCTGGCCAGGCCCTGCACTCAGACACTGCTGGCACCCGACACTGCTCTCTGGGTACAGCAAGGGCAATGTGGCACTTCTTGTCCTGCCCGATGAAGAGCAGGAGAATGCACTGGGCCCTCACACACACTGTTCAAATGGGGAAACTGAGTCCTGAGTGGTTCCACTTTCCCACAGTCCTGAAGTGTGCACTGGAGCCAGGATTGGAGTCTGTCTTAAAGTAATAGCTGGGTTTGTAAATGTAGGACACTATCATTGCAGGAATTCCTTTGAGACCCTGAAGATGTGTTGGCTTTAGGAGACAAACTCAAGCAGAAGGTCTGGTCTGATAGTGGCCCTAATACTGACCCAGGCAGAGGCAGGCAACATTTCTACCTCAAAAACCAGGCCATACCTGCGTCACAAATACCCAGGCTTTGCTGCAGCTTCCAGCCTACCTGGTTGCACCAACTTCTTTTTCATAACTAGGTAAAACTATATATGAGTAGAATCTTGTAGTGACTCCTCAGAGGAAGCCTAAATACCATCGGGGTCTGGCGTTCACACCCACAAGCAATGCCCAAACCTCCAAGAGACTGGGCAGATCTGTGCTCAAATCAAAACTCATTGTTGGGGGTGATAGAGTTGACTTCACAGGCCCTGAAAGTCTTGGCTCCTTGCACTAGGAGTGCTCTGGGTACGGGTACAGGCTGCCCCTTGTAGGGCATAGTTGCTCTTGTTTCCTCTACTTGTGGCTTTATGGTCTAGGCCTTTCAGGAGTTTGGGGCTCTGGCGGAGAGGGCCTGCTGGGAGCACATCTGGCCACCCTGCAGAGTGAAATCAAACCAGGCCTGGCTGCAACCTCAACACCCTCCTGGAAAGAGGAGAATACTGGGGATATCCTGGGGTCTTTCTGGAAGTGGGAGAATCAGCTTTGACTTGGGCAGTGTGCAGAATAGAGTGAGGGGGGATGTCAGAAAGATGAGAGGGATATGAGGCCTCAACATCAAAATGCAAGCACCTGGCATTTTTATTATCTCTGCCCACCTCTCCGTTGGTCTCTCTGCCTTTCCTGCCAATGAATTGTGTTATGTTTGGGTGCCTCAATTTGCCTAGGAGGGTTCTATTTCTTCTGTATCTTCGCCACTAAGTCAGGAGAAGATCCTTATAGCATGCCCTGCAACAGTGTCACCTGTAAGGGCATCTCTCTGCACAGCCACAGTGAAGGATCCTCAAAGGTATTGAGGGCTTTCCATCAAGAGCCATCTTTACAGCAAACCTCTTTCCCTTCAGAGCCCAGAAGAGTGCTGACCAGCTGGAAAACAGGGTTTTTTTCTTAAATGCAGATGCTCTTGATTATGAGTTCCAGATATTAGATCAACTTCCCCACCATACCCCTGCAGGCAAAGCCTCTTAATTAGCTTCCTGCAGCACAGCTGGAAAGGCCTATTGTAATCTGTGATGGGCAGAGTAATCTAAGAAGTCACAGGAGCACCCCTGTCCCAGTAGAATCTGGATGCGCAGGCACATGAACCATGGCAAAATGGTTGCAGGCACAGTTGTATTTACTCTGATCTAACTGTCCCTGTTAATGCCACAGGGCTGCCTGGCCTGGCACACAGGGCTGTGGCGCCTTGTGCAAATGGATAACGTTGTTCTAGCTCCAGCCTTTCATTCAAAGTGAAAACTGTTAGAAAGGGAAGGAAAACTTTGCTATTTTAAGGAATTGTAGCGTGCTGCCTGATATGAAGGAAGAAATAACAGCTGTGCCTTGCTTGTGCGCAGCACTCGATTGCCGCTTTTGCTTTCGACCTCACCACAACACAGTGAGATCTACTGTTCATGTTCCCATTTTACAGGAGGTGAAACTGCAGCTTAGTGAGGTAGAGAGTGACTTAGTTCAGACACAGAATGCTGTTGGGAGAGTAATAACTATGATATGGTCTCTTGACTCCCAGCTATATCTGTGTTGCTATAGGGAAGGGGAAAAATAATACTGAAAGAGAAGTAAAAATACAATCACACTTCCAAACATCAACCACCAAAAACTGAACTGAATTTCCTGAAGCACTTGGTTTTCAAATCTAAGCTGAACATCAATGCTGTTATTCTTGAGGCCCAGAAGCAACTTGCTCATTTCAATTAAGCTTCAGCATGAACTTCCTATGTACACAGCCCACCCACACTCCCCGATGTGAGAAGGAGAGGGTCACAGCCGCCCCCAGCCTCTGCTGCTGCCACAAGGACAGCAGCAGTGGAAACATTCAGCAAAGGAATGTTGGAGCCACATCCACAAGAGACTCACTGAAGATTCGCCAAACGCCTACGGAAAGTGGCAGGGAATTCATTGACAGTAATTGTTTCCTGCTTGATCAGATTGAAGAGCTTCTGGGATTCTGTAACAATAAATAGGACCGGGGGCTGGAGTATGGCCAGCAAGGACTCTTCAGGGGTTATTCAGGGACTGTCTAACCTGTGAATCCTAGGCAGCAAACAGAAACCAGGTATTCAGAAATCTGGAGGATTTGGTCAGGCCCAGCTAGGACTAGGGAGGCATGGGCCTCTGCTGGCTGTGGTCCCTTCTCCAGCCTTCACTTCTCTTGTCCCTAGATCCTTACATGGATTCATTAATGCTCATTGTCCCTCCTGGGCCCACTCACTTTCACCTGTTGAACAAAAAACTGGCCAAGAGGTGACAGTCATATCACCGCAGAAGAGACAGGGCAGAGAAATGAAGGGGCAGAATGGACTCCCACCCAAAAGCCTGACTCTGAATATTTGAGAATTGTTCAAGTTCCTGCAGAGGAATCATGATGGGGACAGTAGGTGTAGTTTTTACTGCAATATTGGTGTCTTCTTAACAAATACGCTGCACATCAAGTGATGTCTGTGGATGGCATTCTTAAAGTAACAGGGAAATTGATGTTAAAGAAATACTTCATCCTTTGGGTGATACCTGAAGTTCTCTGAGCTTGGAGGTCTTGTGAAAGCCCTCAGTATTGTTTGTTTTATTTGCTTTCCTCTGACTTGTGATTCAGTCAGATGCATGCCTGCCTCTGGCTCAGGAAGATCAACCCTCTCCTGACTGACCACGCCTCTCCTGACTGACCACGTAGCACAGCAGCTTCCTTTCCCTAGGGGCTCCTAATGAAGCTTTCACAATCACCTGGCCTGAGCACAGTTTGGGTCAGGACTTGGTATACTTGAAAAAAACATGCAAAACCAAAATCCTGTGGTTCTGGAAAAGGCTTCTTAGCAGAACCCCCAGACATTTACACTCTGCTTTTTCACAGGGTCCCTGAGGATTCTTTGGATCTGGGTAGTTTGGGGAGCAGTATTTTCAACAAGTTCATTTCGTGCTCCTTCTACACCCTGCCTGGATGCTAGGCCCCATCTAGAATGTGAACAACAGAACAAGGCAGAACACTTGTCCTCAAGGTTCTGTTGAGTGTTAGATGCAGAGAAGAGACACCCCCCACCTCCCCGCATCACTTACAGGAATTCTGTTTGGAACCCAACATCAAATAAGGACCGTATCCACTGTCAGAGGATGGGAAGCAGCATGTCATCTGGGACATTGGAGAAAGGCTCCTGGGGGAAGTGGGACTTGAGCTGTGATCTAAGTAATGAACAACTGAGAGTTAAATGGGAGAGCATCCCCTATCAGGGTCCTGAGAGCAACCAGCCATGGTTTAAACCAGCTATAAAGCCTCGGGTTTATAGGATAGACAGTAACAATGGCTTGTCTTTGGGAGCCAAGCAGCTGGTCCAGGCATGCAGAGCATGTCTGTATGGAGAGCTGCCTGAGAGATGCTTTTGTTTACACTTATCAATTGCCCATGTCAAAGAAGGATATGTACATGAAGTTACATCAGTATGTAAGAGAGATTTTAACAATTTTTGCAGGGGAAGCTTTCATGGGGGCTGATGGGAATCTAGGTAAACAGAACCAAAGTCTAAACCCAAGATATCCCCAGTACCAAGACTGAAATGACTCTCTCCTCTATCTCTAGAAAGTTCCAGTGACCCAAGGAGGCAAACACGATGGGAGTCATTAAAGTGGGGTGGACGTGCTGATCATCTTCCTAATTCTGCTGCTTTTGTTTTCAGCCCCAACGTGTGTGCTGTGCAGAAGGTTATTGGCACTAATAGGAAGTACTTCACCAACTGCAAGCAGTGGTACCAAAGGAAAATCTGTGGCAAATCAACGTGAGTATCTGTAACCAGCCAGGAGACCAAGCTGTATGCACGCTGGCTGCAGTTCCCCAGGGCCTGGGCCAGCCTTCTAGAAGGTCAGGTTGCCTAAAAAGCCATGAAGATGCATGTGCGAACATGTCTGGGACCTGCGTGCTAGGGAGTGGCATTTTTAGGAAGCTGGCCAATTTTGTTTTGCATTTTTAAGGCTGCTGACAAGACTTGGAGACATTTTTCAGGGCTGGTTTGGGTTTGCAAGAAACATGAAACACTGCGTGTGTGTGTGTGTGTGTGTGTTTCTCAATCCTCATAAAATAATACAGATATGCAGTGGAGAAGCCACCAGCATGTGACTCTGGAAAAGAAAGCCCATTGGTGAATCTGTACTAAAGAATGCCATCCCTATCTTACAGTCCTAAGGTAAACACCCCAAAAAGACTTAGAGCACTAAACATATGCAGATTATGAGACAGCATAGCATATAATATTTGCACAGACTTCCTCATTCAAACCCTAGCTCTACCTGGGCCAGTCGATTCATCTTTAGAACCCTCCATTGCTTTACCTGAAAAGTTCGTATAACAAAAGGACCCACCTTATGGGGTTGTTACAAGGATTGAATGAAATAATGTACATAAGAGACTGAATATGGTGCCCAGCATATATCAGTGCTCAATAAATGCTAGCTACTATTATTATTATCACCCTAGATTTGCAAATCTAGACCACACAAGCAGAAGTAAGAGTGCCAACGGGGTGTGGACCAGTGTGGTTACAATAGGGCTTGTTGATGTCTGTTTCAGCAAGGAGGGAGGCAGCTTTTACCCCACTGCCCAGCTCCCTGGTGGAATCAGGTGCATGTTCTAACAATTCTGGGGAAACCTAATCTGTTTTGGCACTGTCAACAGATCTCAAAGCTGGCTGTCTCCTATAGCTAGGAAGATGTGTATGACAAATCTCCTGAGCCACTTGTGAAGGCCTGACCTTCCTCCTGTCTCCATACATAATGGGATGATTAAGAAACTCTAAGCCACTCTCTTAAGCACTTTTCAATGTTAGGGATTTTTAAGTTTATTGTTGTGACATTGCTTTTGAGCAGACATCTCCTCCAATTTAATAGCCAACTGAAAGAAGAGAAAATGCTCTTTCCTTAAACTGTATGTGGAAATAAATATTCCAATGTGTGACCCTGATTATGTTAGGCAATTAGCAATCCTAATATGAATTGAGGGAAGTTGGGATTCATGGCACAGCTGGGGAGATACCAGCAGTCCCTGGGAGCCTGTCCAGGGCAGGTCCATGGCAGCTTGCTCCATGCCTGATTGACAGCCCAGCCTGCAAGCTAAAAGTTGAGTGAGCTAGGAGGACACACTGCCAAGATTCAGCTAACAGACACCCAGCGATATTCTTGCTGCTATGAACAAAAGGAGACTATGCAAATTATACACCACCCATTCTTCCAGGATGCCTGACTTAAAAAATAAGAAAAAAGATGGGCCGGGCACAGTGGCTCACGCCTGTAATCCCAACACTTTGGGAGGCCGAGGTGGGCGGATCACAAGGTCAGGAGACAGAGACCATCCTGGCTAACATGGTGAAACCCCGTCTCTACTAAAAAAATACAAAAATATTAGCGGGCGTGGTGGCGGGCACCTGTAGTCCCAGCTACTCGGGAGGCTGAGGCAGGAGAATGGCGTGAACCTGGGAGGCGGAGCTTGCAGTGAGCCAAGATCGTGCCACTGCAGTCCAGCCTGGGTGACAGAGTGAGACACCGTCTCAAAAAAAAAAAAAAAAAAAGAAAAGAAAACCTTTAGTACTGATTGATTTTTTCCCATGTGTGTATATTATCTACTCAAATTAACAATTAATTACTTAATTAAACACAAAGCCAGGCCTCACCTAATTGCTTCTTGGAAGGTGACCAGAGTGCTAGTGCCAAGCAAACAACTCTTCTATATCTCAAGAGCCCTGGGCTTCAGAGGGCCATCTTTTTTGTTAATTCAAGTTTCTCTGAAAATGGAGACCCGTTTATGATGACAAGCTGGCTACAGGGTAGCATCTGCCACACTGTTTCGGGGGTGCCGCTGGGCTGAAGCATTTGCCCAGCTAGTTAACAATAGCTCGATAACATTCCCTATCAGTGTCCAGGCTGAGAATACTGTCAGTGATGAGTCGCCTTGGCTCTTGTACCTGTATCTTTGTGTGCCAGGACAAGGCACAAGCAACAGAGCTGTGTGTTGCCAAAATGTTCCTGATGAGCAGGTCAACCCCTCGGGGGCAGGTTTGGATATGATAATGTGGTGATGTGGTGGCGCAGCTCCCTTACCCAGTGAGCACAAGGGGAGTCCTCTAGGAAAAGGAAGAAATGTCTGGATGAGGTGGGGAGATGGGGTTCAGAGTGGACTCAGGCAAAGCCCGATGCCCAGTCCCAGCTGTTGGCCTAGTCTCACAAAGCCAGAAGGATATGACATTTACATTCAACTCTTGAATTTGTGGCCACTGCTTTGGGCAACTTCAAAGAGAGAAAATGAAGATAGAAAAATATTATTTGATATAAAACTTCTAGGACAAGAGAGGCCCTTCCTGGAACATTACATGTAGTATTAGGAAGGTGGAGCTGCCCTGGAAAAGATCCAGAGAACTCAGAGAGAGGAAGAGGTGGAACCCATCTCTGTTCTTGTAGAGAGCTCAGTAAGAGTGGCTTGGCAGGGCTCCTGTGTACCTGAGACCAAGACCAGTGAGGAGGCTACTGTCTGACCACCATACGGTCAGAATTCAGTGCCATGGGTGGTCAGGTGGGAAGGGGAGAGGACTGTGCTGGCTGGAGTTGATGTTATCCTGGGGAAAGTAGGTCCCTAGATGCCTTTAGTTGAGTGAGGAGCAGACTGGGAAATGGGAGCACAGTAGTGGTTGGGGCAAAAAGGACTGTCTCTGCATGAGGTCCATAGGCAGTTGGAATTTTCTCAGCAAGACTCCAGAGAAGGAGGCTGGAGCAGAGGTGTATGTTGGGATGAAAAGGAGTAAAGTATCATGGGGGAGGAGGCAGCTCAGGTTGTCAAGGGTCAAGAAACCAGAAGGAGAATTTCACCTTGGAAGCAGACAACGGGTACCAAGCATACAGGGGAATACTTTGTGGTGAGAGGTCACACAGAGATACAGGAGCCGACCTGGTGAGACAGGAGCCTGGAGCCACCTGCCTGCTTTTGTGAGGCCCCAGACTCCACTGCTATCATCAGGTGAAGCTCTGTTGCCTGCACACAAAAGCTTTTCTGCATTTACAAAGAGAGAAGGGCCTGAGTTTCTGGTGCAATGCGTCAAGCTGACATATGGACTTTATTACAGGAAGTGGTTACCAGTGGGTCCCTATTTAGTGGCTGTTATTGTGAATTTTATTGTTCGGAAATTCACTTTAGCATTTATTTCAGATCCTAAATAGCACCGGAGTGATACAATGGCTAATCAAACAAAGAGGGCTGTGGGGAGCAGACAGTCAGCATCCCCCTCTGTGATTTCAGGCCCTGGTTTGATTAGTAGCCATAAAATTTTTTACGTGTGGCACTTTGAGCAAAGGTGCAGGAAATTGTGGTCAGGAAGCCTGGCTGCCTCTCGACAGGCTTCCTTTGTGCTAGCCCCAGGGAGAGGAGGCCTATTTAACAGCCAAGTCCAAGTTGACATCATGGGACTGGAATAGTCATAGCAGGAGCTCAGACATCATAAACGTGGCATAGGGAGGGCTGGTGGAGGAGCTAGCGGGTATGGGTGGCAGCTATTCATTCCAAAAGTCTTGAAATTGTTTCACGAGCAACACATTTCACAAGTGCGAAGCCCTTCTCTGGAGCCAAGATGAGCTGGCAGAGCACTCCTGTTTCTCTAGTAGCAAGTGTTCCTTTGCCCAGGGGCAAAAATATTAATACTCCTTCAGCACTGCATTAATGCTTAAAGATTTAACTTTTAAAGAGATCAGCTGGTGCATGGTCGAGCTTTTCCATCAGCTGGCAGGGCTTTTTCAGTAGGTGTCCTTCTGGGCAGGGCACTGGGGACAGCTGACGTGAAGGTGAAGAAGAGCTGTCGTTTTCCTCCCTTATATCCCACAACCTTGGTCCCAAGAGGAAAAAAAAGAAGATGGTGAGAAGTCATCCAAGCAGACCCCAGACCCATACTAGTGCCTCCTTTCCTGTTTCATATCCCTGTGCAGCCAGCTGGGATCTCTTGAATAATCTGCTCTGGGGGCACTGAGATTGGACATACACCAAACAGCGGAGATCGACCAAACGCCTCTGTTGGGCAGTGTTTCCTGAGGGTTCTGTCCCATTCTGTAAACTAGGAGGCTGACTAGCTGACAAGGAATTTTATTCTGTTGGGTATTTACATGAACCTATGTGCCACCTGGGGTAAGACCCTGTGGTAGGTAGAAACATGACTTCCCAAAAATGTCCACATCCTAATCTCTAATTCTGTAAATATATTCCCTTACTGGAAAAAGAGACTTTGCAGGTGTGATTAAATTAAGGATCATAAGAGGGAGAGATTATCCAGGATTATTTGATGAGTCTAATATAATCATCAGGGTACTTAAAAGAGGGAGGCAGGCTGTGCCTGGTGGTTCACGCCTTTAATCCCAGCACTTTGGGAGACTGAGGCGAGCGGGTCACGAGGACAGGAGTTGGAGACCAGCCTGACCAACATGGTGAAACTCCCCCTCTAGTAAAAAAAAAAATACAAAAATTAGCCAGGCATGGTGGTACACACCTGTAATCCCAGCTACTCAGGAGGCTGAGGCGGGAGAATTGCTTGAACCCAGGAGGCAGAGGTTGTGGTGAGCTGAGATCGCACCACTGCCCTCCAGCCTGGGCAACAGAGCAAGACTCCATCTCAAAAAAAAAAAAAGAGGGAGGCAGTGGGATCAGAGTCAGAGAAGGCAACGTGATGATGAAAGCTGACATTTGAGTGATGCAACCACAAGCCAAGGAATGCAGGCAGCTTCTCAAAGCTGGAAAGGACGAGCAATGGATTCTTCCCTACAGCCTCTGTGAGGAATGCAGCCTTTGATTTTAACCCCATAAGGCCGATTTCTGACTCTAGCCTCTGGAATTGTAAGATAATTTGCATGATCTCAAGCCACTAAATTTGTGGTAATTTGTCACAGAAAGCAATGGGAAGCCAACACAGGCCTTATTTGTTGACTTATAGATGCATTTTTCTTTATTTCAATGTACTTTTATCAATGGTCTCATGTAGGGTATTGCTTTCAATGAAGATATTAACATAGTTTCAACTTTAAGGTTTATATCTGGAGTTTCTTTAGAAGCTTCACAACTGACCACTTAGTAAACAGTAAGCATCTGTTAAGTGCTTCTCATATGTAAGTTCATTCAATTCTCACAATCACACTATAAGATAAATATGATTATTAGCCCATTTACAGATGAGGAGACAGGCTCAAAAGACTTTTATGCAACCTGGTCAAAGTCATTCACTGGTAAGCTGAGGAGGTCTGTCCACTTCCTTTTGCTGCCCCCAGGGGGTATCAAGCCTGGCAGTTAGTGTCAGCGACTTAGGAGGTGAACAAGTGAGCAGGCCTGTAGGACCTGGCTAAACTGCCCCAGGTCTCTGTCTACAGCCTCAAACCTGTGGCTGTGGGTCCCAGAGACAAGGCCTCCTCAGCATCAGAGAAGGATGCCTTTGTCTCAGGGTCATCAACCTTCTCCAGGTTGCTCACCCCCTGCTGTAAAGGGGATCCCCAAGACCGCTCATCAGACAAGGAGCTTGGGAACTGAGGAGACACAGTCAGCCTCCAGGAGTGCCCAAAATGCCCTCACATGCTGCATACAGATTGCCACAAATAAAGTACATCCACATTCTGAAGACTCTGTCCTCATCACCAACCAGGCTGGCCCCTGGTGAGGGCTGTAGTGGTTGAGGCCTTTGTTGGTAGACAGTAGGTTAAAGCAAGCCATGATTTTCTATTGGGAGGCTTCAGAATCAGCTCAGCTGTGTTTCCAAGACCAGGAGGGCAGAAAGCAAACCATCCCAGGCAAGCAGTCCATGGGCCATGTCAGATGTCTAGACGTTATGGGTCTGTGTTTGCTCTGCCATTCCTCTCGGAAACTATGATGCCCTGTATGGTTTACCTTCAGTCACAGGTGACTGGCCTACAGGGCCATTCCTTGTTCCAACGACTTCTCGAGTATAATTAATCCCCAGGCATTTACGGCCAGAGCAGCCGGCCAAATCCGTGAAGTGCAGTGGTTGTTTTAAATTATATTAACTTCTTGGAAACTTATTTTAGGGAGAGAAAACTCAGTACTTCTCTCTATCCAATCTTGAGTAAAAATGTTAGAAGGGACTGGTGGAGAGCCTCCCAGACATCCCTACACATAGACTTTGGGTTGACATTATCTCTTTGCACCTTCCTTGAAACTTTCTTCTAAATTAGGTGCCTTCCCTAATTTAGGCACCTTCCCAGTACTAGTCTGTGACCTGTTAGGAACCAGGCCACACAGCAGGAGTTGAGTGGCAGGGAGTGAGCATTATTGCCTGAGCTCCGCCTCCTGTCAGATCAGCAGTGGCATTAGATTCTCATAGCAGTCCGAATACTATTGTGAACTGTGCGTGTAAGGGATCTAGCTTGTGCATTCCTTATGAGAATCTAATGCCCGATGGTCTGAGATGGAAGAGTTTCATACCAAAACCACCCCTTCCCCCTGCCACCATCTGGGGAAATATTGTCTACCACGAAACTGATCCCTGGTGCCAAAAAGGTTGGGGACCGCTGTCCTAAGGGATCTGCTTTTTCTGACCTGAGGTTTTTCTTTATTAGACTGTATCTGGCTGAGGAGAAGCCTGAAGCCTTTAATCGGAACAGCTTTGGCTGATGAGATTAGATTCAGAAACCAACAGATTGGTCTTTTCTATGCAGGGAAGCCTAGGAACTGGGGGGCTATGGCTGGGAAGCCCCCTATTGTTTCCATCCTTTCCTATGTTCATCCTGGAGGAATGGCATCAGACCCATGCCTCTGTGATTGCTCCCAGCCCATCCAACCACAGCATCTATGTTCTGCCTGGGACCAGGGCCAGGGAGCATGGCACACTGAGCTGAGTATAAGGAGAGTGGAGCAGGCCACTGCCAGCCCAGAAAATTTTGGTCAAAGTTGCCTGAAATCTTCTCAGCCTTCGATTCACAGCTGCTCTCTGCTGCTCTGGGGCCATGCAGACCAGTTCAGAAAAGAGTTAATTTGTTGGGGCAGTTGGAGGCAGGTGGACTGCCAGCTTTGACACCTTCCCAGCCCACAGGCTGCTGCACTGGGGCTGAAGGCGTGGCTAACCCCTGCACACCTAGAGAGTGACAGAGATGCCAGACTGGGCAGCAGGAAGGCAAGAGGATTAAGAGAGAGCTTCCTGGCTGAAAGCCACACTCGGTTAACCAGGAAAAAGCCCTTGGCACGAGAAGACTCAGTGGCCTGAGGGACTGAGCCTTGGTTGTTGGGCATGTGCTGCATAAGCCATCCATGTGTGACAGTAGAGTGTAGTCCAGCCACTGTGGGACATGGGTGCTGAAAGACCACATGGAGAGGAACAGTGAGTGCTGACAAGGGCTAGCCTTGATCACTTTGGAGACACCCCCTGTGTCTTCTAGATGTCAGACTTTCCAAATCTGTCTGCTATCCTCCAAACGTGCATTTTCAAGAGCAATGGAAAAAGGATTGGACTTGATGGAATGCAGCAAGAGTCCTAGGTCTGTTACTACCTACCTATGACCTTAAGAAACTCCTTCACCCCTCAGAACCCTTACAGCTTTCTTTCTGATTCTATCCTGAGTTACTCTACTCCAAGCTGAGACTTTTCTGCTTAGATCTATCCCTTCCTCCTAAACCCCCAACCTCCATTTCTCCTGGTGTCTTTCTTTACACACCCCTCAGCATACACACACACCTAGCCACAGGAACCAATGAGTTAATATTTGAGGAGTTGGTTTTCTTTTGTCCTCAATGAGATCCTGGTGAGGCCACTTGAGCTGTTCAGCTCCCTTGCGGTATTTTGGGGATGGAACTCAGAAGCCAACAATATAGAAAAAGAGTCTTTGGCCAGCTTTCCCAGGGGCTCCATGCCATAGAGAGTACTGCACCCGTGTGCACAGGGGGCCCTGACATGAGGACTTTGAGGATAACACTATTCCTCCAACTCTGCTTCAGCATCTCCATGGATTTTCACACAGACACTTTAGGAAAGAAACTAAGTTTGGGGGGACTTGACCTAATCCCACATCACAGCCCCAGTAATACAGCCCTGGAATTTATCACAGAAAGCCTAGAATCCCATGCATATCCCATGCATATGCATCCCTAGTCCTATGGGTTCAAGGCTTGGAGCTCTCCCTGGATTTAGCTGGGAAAAGTTGGCAGACAGTTCTTCTCTGTCTTCTAGAAATATGGACTAGAATCGTGAGTGTGAGATTGCAAGTAACTTTTAAAATCATCTAGTTTAACTTCACCCCATTTCATAGACCAAGAAACTGAGACCAGAGAGAGAAATGGACTTTCAAGTTCACCCTGCTAGTTACTGATGGATCACAAGTCAAATCTCCTGATTCTAGCACTGTTTCTCTTACACCACACCACCTTTGAAAGTGTGTCAATCAAATCTTACTTTAGTTGCAGAGGATGACTTTAGTTTCTGAAGATAAAATTGTGAGTCAATCAAGATGAGTCCCAAGACAATAGCCTGTTTAGCCCTTATAAGTTCAGGGATGAAAGGTTAGAAAGAAACAGGATGGAAGGAGGACTGGAGAAAAAAACAAAAGAGGAAGGAAGGAGGAGGAAGCAAACAGGAAAAAAAAAGAATGTGCATAGCTTGTCACTCCTCAGTCATTTCCTGGGAGCCCATTTCTAGCAAAGTGACAGCTGCAACTCCCTGGCCACCTGAGCATCTTAGCTGATCTGTCTCTGAAACACCCCCTGGAGAACAGATGAATCAGGCTTCATCTTCGCTTAACTAAGTCTTCCCTGAGACGACTCCATTTAAATGAACAAGAGCAGGATTTCCTGGGCACACTGAGAGCACCTTCCAGAGGCCCCTCCAGAGCCCTAAAGCCTGTATTTCTTCCAGTCGGCCTGTTTCTTTCCTGGTGATGTCATTAAACGCCCTTTGAGAGTCCCACAGTGAGCAGTTCTGCGGTAAAACCCGCTGCAATTAAAGTCTGAGTCCTTTCCTGTCTCAAAGGGCATATTCATATAGAAGAAAGGAAAAGGAAGGACTGGCTGTTTGCATTTGGTTCCAGGCCTGTTGAGTAGAGGTCGTGCTCACTCCACCGAAGGTACAGGGTAGCCTTCAGCAGAACCTGGGGATTTGGTTTTAAGCAAGTCTTTCTTAGGTGTGGGCTTTCAGAACACTTCCTTCCTTGCAATATTATTTGAAATTCTCAGTGTTTTAGCCGTCCCCAGAATATTGGTTCGTTAAAGC
Source organism: Homo sapiens (assembly GCF_000001405.40). Classification (NCBI taxonomy): domain Eukaryota; kingdom Metazoa; phylum Chordata; class Mammalia; order Primates; family Hominidae; genus Homo; species Homo sapiens. The sequence continues at coordinate 136,043,306 of NC_000005.10, forward strand.
TGTGTATTTCAGATCTCCAGACAGTGGTCACTGTTTGTATATTTTCAATTTCAAACCAGAAAACAAAAGTTCTTATTGATTACTTTTTTTATTTAAAAAATAAAAAGTAAGTATCTTCGTAAGAGGAGCTTTGTTTTAATTTTAAAGTTTAAAATTTGATTGTGAAGACAGAGAAAAACTTGATGATTGTAGATATATTCCCCTCTTTGGCTATTCAATCAGAGAACTAGAAAATCATGAGAGATTTAATGACCACTGCCTGATACACATATGTGTTTTACAGATGAGGAAACTGAGACCCAGAGAGATGATGAAATTGGCTGAGGATGGCCCAGCTGGTCAGTGAAAGACTCAGAGCCAGAGCTGGTGCAGGGCTCTTTCTATTCCTTCCTGTTCCCTTTCAGGAACACTCACCATCGGCTTTCCTGTGAATAATGTTGAGATAAAATCCTTGGTGCATTATGTTTTCTAGTCACAACATTGACTAGGCTGCCAGAGTCCTCTGTTCTCCCAGTTGGTTGGCTGTAGGTGTTGGCAGCCGCCAGGAGCATTCTACAGAACAGAGGAGGAGTGAGACTCTCCTTGCTCAGGAAAGGCAGACCTATGACTTAGCAAATAACTCCTAAGAGGAGAGTGTTTCACCCACCATTCCTCTTCCTTGGCTGTGGAGGCAACTTAGTGGAGAGGGGCCAGATGACCTGTGAGGAACAGTGAAGCCCTGCCTAACACAATGTATGGTTGTCTTGTTACAGAGTCATCAGCTACGAGTGCTGTCCTGGATATGAAAAGGTCCCTGGGGAGAAGGGCTGTCCAGCAGGTGAATGAATCCTCCGGGCCTTGCCTGTTGGTGTGGGTGGAAGGGAATGGTGGGAGAGAGGAGTACCCACATAAAAGGCAGCAGAGTGTGAATGGGGGCAGTGGCACAAGGACATGGCATTCTCCCCACGTGCCCACTGGCCCCAGGCTCTATGCGAGGGGCTGAGGAATGGAAGCTGGAAACAGCGCATTTCCTGAGCTGCTCCTCCTGGCCTCCTTACCACACTGGTGGAGTAGACTCCAACTGTGGCCTGTCCATGCCCTTCCCAGCAGGCACAGGCTCAGGCTCAGGCTCTTGGCCTCTGCCTCTGGCTGGGAGTGATTCTAAACACATCCAGCAGGGTCAGCCTGATAGCCCATCAGTTTCCGATCAGCTCTGCTAGAGAGCCGATGGGATGTGGGAGGAGGGGGTCACTGGTGGGCTGGCAACCCCAAGCCATCCCCATCTCCCTCTGTGTCTAAACTTGGCCCTTTGGAGTTCGGTAGGGAGAAGAGCCATAGGCCAGGTGGGCTCACCCAGAGTCAGCAGAGAGTCCCACAAATGGTTGCACTGGGCGAAAGACAGCATGGCACCTGTGAATTTTATTAGAGCTTTTCTTTTAGTGCTACACACAAGTGACTGTACAGGGGAGTTAGTATTTTGTTTTAATTTTGAAATAGAGTCATCTTTTGGTATCTGCGGGGGATTGATTCTAGGACCCATTCTAGGATGCCATATCCTCAGATGTTCAAGTCCCTGATATAAAGTGGTATAGTATTTGCATGTAATCTATGCATATTCTTCCATGTACTTTAAATCATCTCAAGATTACTTATAATACCAAATATAATGTAAATCCTATGTAAGTAGTTGTTATACCCTCTTTTAAATTTTTGTATTATCTTTTATTGTATTTCAAAAAATATTTTTGGTCCATGTTTAGTTGAATCTGTGGGTGAAGAACCCACAGATACGAAGGGCCAACTGTATTGGCTATTTTTTTAGTTAAGAATGTGAGACTGAGGCCAGGCGCAGTGGCTCATGCCTTTGATTCCAGCACTTTGGGAGGCCAAGAGGGGACGATCACCTGAGCCAAGAATTCGAGACCAGCAGCCCGTGCAACATAGTGAGACCTTGTCTCTTAAAGATTGTGAGACTGGGCTGGGCACGGTGGCTCACGCCTGTAATCCTAGCACTTTGGGAGGCCAAGGCAGGTGGATCAACTGAGGTCAGGAGTTTGAGATCAGCCTGGCTAACATAGTGAAACTCTGTCTCTACTAAAAATACAAAAAAATTAGCTGGGTGTGGTGGTGGGCGCCTATAATCCCAGCTACTCAGGAGGCTGAGGCAGGAGAATCGCTTGTATCCAGGAGGCGGAGGTTGCAGTGAGCTGAGATAGGGCCGTTGCACTCCAGCCTGGGCAAGAAGAGCAAAACTCCATCTCAAAAATAAATAAATAAATAAATAAATAAATCATGAGACTGAGACATAACAGGAAGGAGGGCAATTTGGTTGGTTCCAAGGTTCCTAGAGTATGTGATGGGAGAGGTTGGTGCGGGTGGGGCCATGGAGGTACTGACTCAAGTGGAGGGACAGGTGGGGAAATGGGATGGGAAAAGAAGATTGACCTTAGAAGGGGAGCTCAACCTCTGAACCCTAATTTCAGACCCTTCAAAATGAATATTAAGCTCATTTTGGTCTAAGAAACAAAAAACAAATGAACATGAAACTCATTTTGGTCTTATAAGGTCTGAGAAACCCCTTCTAAACTTCAAGCTGCTTTAAGAAATAACATTTTATTACCTGCAAATACACACAGTACTTTGGAGATTTATAATAGTCTCTTATTCTAATAGAAGCCATTAGGGAACCAGTTTCAATAAACAGGTAAATCTGTAAGACTAGTTTGTAATTAGGATATCTGTTTCCAGTGTCCATTCCTGCCTCTGTTATCTAAATGTCTGGGAACAAGAGCTGTGCTCTGCTGTGTTTAAAATGATTAAAAATCACCAATTAGTTGAGTTCACGTAGACAGGCATTTGACTTATTGAGTTGTTTTAAGAAGACTATAACAAGCCTTAAGCCCCCCAGAAACAGCCTGTCTTTGGGCTTTCCCACATGCCTCCTCGTCCTCTCCACCTGTAGATGTACCGTGCTCTCTGTCAGAGAAGGGAGGGTGTGGTTGGGCTGGACCCCCAGAGGCCATCCCTCCTTCTGTCTTCTGCTCCTGCAGCCCTACCACTCTCAAACCTTTACGAGACCCTGGGAGTCGTTGGATCCACCACCACTCAGCTGTACACGGACCGCACGGAGAAGCTGAGGCCTGAGATGGAGGGGCCCGGCAGCTTCACCATCTTCGCCCCTAGCAACGAGGCCTGGGCCTCCTTGCCAGCTGTGAGATGACCTCCGTCTGCCCGGGGGACTCTTATGGGGAACTGCCTTACTTCCCCGAGGGGTGGGCATGATGAATGGGAGTCTGCAGTCATTTCCTACTGTTTCAGGAAGCTTTCTCCTTAACCCCTTAGAAAAGGCTGTGGAACTTGAGCTAAAATATGTCTTACCAGGTTGCGTCTAATGCCCCCCGTTCCCTACTGGGCAGAAAGACTTGGGTGCTTCCTGAGGAGGGATCCTTGGCAGAAGAGAGGCCTGGGCTCACGAGGGCTGAGAACATGTTTCCCAGAGTTGCAAGGACCCATCTCTTAAACACAGAGTCTGCAGCCCCTAACTGACACCCTGTCCTTCCTCCTAGGAAGTGCTGGACTCCCTGGTCAGCAATGTCAACATTGAGCTGCTCAATGCCCTCCGCTACCATATGGTGGGCAGGCGAGTCCTGACTGATGAGCTGAAACACGGCATGACCCTCACCTCTATGTACCAGAATTCCAACATCCAGATCCACCACTATCCTAATGGGGTAGGGGATCCCCAGCCATACTGCATGGCCCTTGGTGCATAATGAACCCATTTCTGTTCCATGTGTGGGCTGGTTTCTGGGGTTTAAGCTGTAGACAACCCACCCTCTTTGTGCCTGCTTCTCCTTGGGCCCTCTATTCCACAGCTTGTGGAACCCACATTTTGCTACTGTGTTTGAAAACACTGTTTTCTCCTCCCGGGGCTTTGGGACTATGCCTCTGTTGTGTTGACTGCTCATCCTTGCTGCTTCTCTGGGCAGATTGTAACTGTGAACTGTGCCCGGCTGCTGAAAGCCGACCACCATGCAACCAACGGGGTGGTGCACCTCATCGATAAGGTCATCTCCACCATCACCAACAACATCCAGCAGATCATTGAGATCGAGGACACCTTTGAGACCCTTCGGGTAAGGGACTGCCCTGGGTGGAGGCCCAGGCTTGGGACACATTGCCTCCCAAGAGGGGCCTAGCAGGAACTCTTCTGCAGGAGAGGTAGAGGATGGCTCCTGTAGGGGAACATAGAGCAGGTTCCCCTGAATGCCCTTGAACATGGAGAATTCATTGACCAGACATTCAGCTTGACCTAACCTGTGAAATTCTCCATCTTCTTTATAAAGTGTTCCCTTCCTTGCCTCCCCTGGAAAGGTCAGTGGTGTGTGGCTGCAGCAGCACAGTGTCCTCTGAGCCCTGGACCTGCACTGTGGCTTCCAGAGGTGGCAGTTCCCACATGGGGTACTAGAATAAATGGCCTATCAGGCTGTGTGTGCTTTGGGATCACATGTCCCCACCCTAGGACCCTGGTTCCAACCATACGCATGTTCTCTTGGAGCCCAGAACAGCAGAGAAGCCACCAGTGTGGACACAGAAGTCAAGGGTCTGATTTCCAGCCTGGCTTCTGACTGCTCTGGGGCCGCAGGAATACGGTTCCTTCCCCCATGCCCAGCAGGCATTTGTCTTACAACTGGAGGGGAAGGCATGTTCCTCTTGGCAAGGACTGCTCAGGAGGAAGTGGAGGCAGGCTGCCCTGTCAGGGTTTTTGCCTTGATTCAAGGAGAACTTCCTAACCACAAAGGATACAAGTGGGAGTGAGGCGGACCCTCCCTAGAGATCTCCAACACAGAGAGACAAACACGCTGGGGCTGGCTGGCACTGACAGGCCTCGCAGGTGTGGATGGCTGTTAGCTGGGAGCTTCGCTGTCTAAGCTCCTCTCCCATGCTTTTCTTCTGGGTTGCTCGAAGGACGGGGGTCTGCAAGAAAATGATGTTCCCACATAGTTGGCAGCACGTGAACAGCAATTGATCCCTTTGCATCACCTCCTCTTACTGTTTAGATTTGGTAAATATTTCTTCCTTCCCTCTTCTGACCCTCCATTTTGCCGATCTTTCCTTCTTATAACACATACTTACTAGGTACCTGCTACTTCCCGGGTGGGCCTATGTGCCAGGAGTATAGAGGTGAACAAGGAAGGCAAAGTTCTATTCTCAGTAGAGCTAATACTCTATCTGGAGAGAGACAACAAACAAATCAACAAGGTAGCCAGGGGCTGTGATAATTTATGTCAAGTGGGCAGGTAAATCGGGAGTGACAGTAGTGCAGGGAGGATTGGAAAGTCAGGGAGTTCTCTCTGGAGGAGGTGGCTTTTGATCTGCAGCCTAAAGGATGAGAATGGGTCCATTATACAAAATGCTGGGGCAAGAGCACACCCAGTAGAGGGGAGAGTAATAGCAAAGGCTCAGGGCAGGAAGGGCAAGGGAGAGGCCAGTGGGTGAGGTCACATGTGAAGGGCATACAATGGGCAAAGACAAGGCCAGAGTGGCCAGGCCCAATCCTCCAGGACTTGCAGACCTGGGAAAGAGTGCATCTCCATCCTGGGAGCAGCAGGAAACCACTCAGGCCTTTAGAAGATCCTTCTGGCAGCTGTGTAGAGAATGGGTGGTGTGATCCTTCCATGCATGGGCTCATGTACGTGATTACCAGTAACTGTCGAGTGACAGTGTGAGGAGGGCTGCAAGCCATGAGTGTAGGCACAGCAGACAGACTCACCTTTGTCTGGCGGTGAGATGGGGTGGGAAGTGTGCCAAGTTGACCTCCCAAAGAAATGATATTTTAGTGGAAGAATGAATAGAATCAGAGAAGCAAAGTAAGAGGGAAGAGCAGAGAGGACAGCAGGGACAAGGACTTGGGGGCAGGAAGAGGAAAGGCAGGTTAAGGACATGAAAGATGGCCAGGCTGGCTGGAGCTCAGGCCCAGCAAGGCCCCCTGGGGGCCATGGTCATGGGTGAGCTTGGGTTTGGCTTCTGTTTTCGTCTTGGGCTTCTGTGAAAGCCTCGAGCCCTTGCGGGGAACCAGTGAAGCTGTGTGTGCATCTTCTGTGGGGAGTGCCAGAGTCTTCAGGGAGCACTCCATCTTCTCTCCTCCCCACAGGCTGCTGTGGCTGCATCAGGGCTCAACACGATGCTTGAAGGTAACGGCCAGTACACGCTTTTGGCCCCGACCAATGAGGCCTTCGAGAAGATCCCTAGTGAGACTTTGAACCGTATCCTGGGCGACCCAGAAGCCCTGAGAGGTGAGCATCCTTTGGCTCCTGCTGCTGCCTCATTTGTGCAGCTAGATTGAGCCCAAGACCTGCTCTGGTCCAAGATGAACATACCACCTGCCATGAGGTGACCCTCAGGATATCCACTGCAGCCATGGGCTGGGGTCATCCTGTCCTGTTGCTTCAGCTAACCGTGTCTCTAGCAGCCACACTACTCTGAGGGCTGACTACAGAATCCAGCAGCTTTTGTCTGGGAGAGCTGGACTGAAGAGAGGCATAGCTGGAGACCCATAGCTGGCCCTGGCCAGAAACAGGGAGAGTGAAAGGCTGGAATAGCCAAGGCCAGAGCAAGGCTAATAGGTAGAGCAACAGCTTACAGGTGTGGGGGTGGCAGATACTGGCACCCTTGAAATGGATTCCTCATGCCCACGCTTCACTATTCTTCTCTGTGGCTAGGGGATTTATGGATAAACCAAAATTACAGTTAAAAACCAGCCATAGGCCAGGCACAGTGACTCACGCCTTTAATATCAGCACTTTGGGAGGACAAGGTGGGCGGATCACCTGAGATCTGGAATTTGAGACCAGCCTGGCCAACATGGCGAAACCCCATCTCTACTAAAAATACAAAAATTAGCTGGGCATGGTGGTGGGCACCTGTAATCCCAGTTACTCAGGGGCTGAGGCAGGAGAACCACTTGAACCCAGGAGGTGGAGGTTGCAGTGAGCCAAGCTTGCACCACTGCACTCCAGCCTGGGTGACACAGCGACACTCCGTCTCAAGAAAAAAAAAAAAAAAAACAGTTATAGTAGTCAACTTTTGACTCTCCATTTCAGATTTCGTCATGCCCTCCTCAATGAGCTGCTAAGTTAGGCAGTGCATTGATTATTGCTGCAGGAGAGGGAAGGAAGGAGCTAACGTGTTTTCACATGTTTTCCTTTTGGAGATGAGAAAGGAGGACTCTGCCTTCCCCCTACCCTGCCCCTTTCTACTCCAGGACCTCTGAAAGGCCATGAGCACAAAGCTGCTGCCTGAGTCCCCTGAAATGCAGGGTACGCCCCAGGTCTCTGATGTACCCCACCACACTTTTCCTCTCAAACATATTCCAGGATCACTTGATTTCTTTTGAATCTATTTAAACCCACCGTGTCAATGTGCTATATAAAATGTCTAATGCATTTCAGACACCCTATACATCTATACATTTAAAGTGTTCTCCTTCTATCTGTGCAGGGATGGGAAAGGGCATATTTCTGAAAGCACAGATGGGAAGACGGGATTTGTTCCGTGTCCAGGTGATTATGGTACCTCTATGCGCCTGGCCGGCACTGGGGACAGAGGCCATGAAAATGAATACAGCACAGCCTTTGCCTCCAAGAAACTTAAGACCTAGTAGAAATGGCAGGCTTTAAAACAGGTTGTTGGGATCTGATTTGGTGAGTGCAATGACAGAGATACTCACAGCACAAAATGGGGAATGAGGGCGGGCATTGGGACACACATAGCCTTAAGGGGCCCAAAGGCTTTTAGAACTGTATTCCCTATTAAAACATGATTTGCACAGAGCACATTCTTTGCTTTGGAGACCTCAGAACTCCTTACTATAGGCCGGGCATGGTTATAATCCCAGCACTTTGGGAAGCCAAGGCGGGCAGATCACTTGAGGCTGAGAGTTCAAGACCAGCCTGGCCAACATGGTAAAACCCCGTCTCTACTAAAAATACAAAAATTAGCTGGGTGTGGTGGTGGCCACCTGTAATCCCAGCTACTCAGGAGGCTGAGGTAGGAGAATCACTTGAACCTGGGAGGCAGAAGTTGCAATAAGCCCAGATCATGCCACTGCACTCCAGCCTGGGCAACAAAGCTAGACTCTCTCAAAAGAAAAAAACAAAACAAAACAAAACAAAACAAAAAAAACTCCTTATTATAAACTGTAAGAAAAAAAAGGCCCCTACTTCGTCCCTTTTGCAAATCTGCCTTTTCCTACTCACTAACCAGCTGGTTCAGAGCAAGGACACTCTGTTTGGTGCCATCGCTGCAGACTGGAAGGAAGAGGTCCTTGCCCCACACCCAACAGTCTCCTGCTGTTACCGGCAGGTTGGCAGGCAGGCAGGCGAGAAGCAGCCAGGGCTGGTGGTGTGTCCAGTTTGAAGACTAGTTTCCAGCCCTGGCCCTGCTCACCCTCCAAGTGGCCCTGGCAGGTTCCTCTACCACATCGTGGACTTCACCTTCCTTCTCTAAGAAGCTCAATCCCCAAGGCCTCATTCCCATAGGCCTTCTCACCCTTTTTCTTTCCCTCTGGCTGAATGTGGCCAGCACGGGCTTCCAAGGCCATCAACTCGTCTGCAGCAGCCCCATGCCTTGCAGGGCCTCAGAGCTTCCTCCTGCCTATGACAGTGTGGTTTTGGTTCCCACACTTGGGATCAGATTGAAACTCGCCTCCGTGGTGAGAATATGGGACATAGAGCCTCGGTGACCTTGGTGAGCAGCAGTCCAGGCCACCTGCTCAGCCTGGGGTTGGGGGGGGCTCCTCCTCCTTGACTGGTCCTTGCATTTGCCTCCATCCAGCCTGTCTGGGCTCTCCGAGGCAATGGAGACCAGCAGGAGTCACGATGGGTCAGGAGCCCCCTTTGGGCCTCAGCCCTGCCCTGCCCCCTAAAGTAGCACTTGGATAAGCAAATAAATTATTATACTTACTATTTATGGGTGTGGTGAATGGGATGGCAAAGGCCAAGTCTTACTGATCACCAAACCTTAAGATATATCCTGGCAGCTAGTAGACCCTTGGGCTAAATGAACAGAAAACTGGACAAATAAAGTGTACACAAATAACTCAAAGCTGTCATTTGTACACTTTTCGTCTTTTCCTACTACAGTTTACATTTTTATAAAGGTGAGTAGATTTCTAAAATCCCGTGGTAGGCTCTCTTGAGTTTTTCTTGTATCCCTGAAGTTCAGCTACAAATAAGCTAATCACTAACATTTGTTGAGCATTTACTCTGTTGTCAGGCCCCGTGCCGAGTGCTTTAGGTTCAGAATTTCATGTCATCCCCACAGCAGCCCTAGGAGATGAATGCAATTCTTATGTCCACTTGACTGATAAGGAAGTTGAGGTTCAAAGAGGCTAAATGACTCTCCCAGGGTCCCACAGCTGGAAAGTGGCCACAGGGCCCCAGCTGGTTTTCTAGGGCAGCAGGCAGAAGGCGAGGAGGATCTGGGCCCTGTGGTGCCCCAGCCTCATCTGAGGGTCCTCATCTGAGAGAACAGGATCCTCACAGCATGGGCAGGCTGCAAGTGGTCCCTGAGGTTATCGTGGAGTGGACCCTGACTTGACCTGAGTCTGTTTGGACCCCAGACCTGCTGAACAACCACATCTTGAAGTCAGCTATGTGTGCTGAAGCCATCGTTGCGGGGCTGTCTGTAGAGACCCTGGAGGGCACGACACTGGAGGTGGGCTGCAGCGGGGACATGCTCACTATCAACGGGAAGGCGATCATCTCCAATAAAGACATCCTAGCCACCAACGGGGTGATCCACTACATTGATGAGCTACTCATCCCAGACTCAGGTAGGCCAGGCCTCCGGGGGCCTTGGCCCTGCCTGGCCCACCATCTCTTCTGCCATCCTTTGTGGCGGGGGAGGGGAAATTCAGAGATCTTTGGGCGACTTCCCTGCCTGGACCCAGCTCACAGCTTCTCGGCCACTGCAAATGTGTGGGTTGTGACCAGACTGATGTGTCTTGAGCTTCAGGCTTGCAAGTGCAGTGGAGAGGCAGTGGGGAGCTATTGAAGGGGTCTGGGGACAGACTCAATCACAGAGGCCTTTCAGAAGATCTGCCTGCTGTGCATGGGCAAAGAGGGCCACTTGCTGACCTCAGAGCATGTGCTTTCTCAGTAGTGCCCAAGCTGTCCCATGGTCACTGACCCAGTTAGAATGACTGAATGGACTTTGGCTTGTGTCTCATTAGGAATCCTAGCCCCATTCTAGTCTTCCAGTGAGATCTGTCCATGAGTGAAGGAATCTCACAGGAAAAAACAAAATGCTTCTATGGGTGTGGTTGCTGGCCTTATCTACACCACAGAAGCCATCACACAGACTGTCTTTCTTCCCATTGTTAGAATGTGCCCTGACCAAGCAGCCCACAGGGCCTGGGACAGAGGCTGATCTCTGCCTAACTGAGCTCACCTCTCCTCCCTCTCCTCCTGACTGGTTAGATTTTCTAGGTGACTGTTCCCCTGATGACACAAGCCCGCTGGGCCCCAGCAGTGTTTAGAGGGGTTGTTGACTCACGAGATGACATTCCTGCTGATGTGTGTCATGCCCTGGGGTGGATGAATGATAAATGAAAACAGCGCTTTTAACTTTTGAACCCACTTTCTCCTTCCTTGTAGCCAAGACACTATTTGAATTGGCTGCAGAGTCTGATGTGTCCACAGCCATTGACCTTTTCAGACAAGCCGGCCTCGGCAATCATCTCTCTGGAAGTGAGCGGTTGACCCTCCTGGCTCCCCTGAATTCTGTATTCAAAGGTAACATGGGGAAGGCATCCCTGTTAGATTGTCCCTGGAGGCAGCTTCCCCACCCCTGTCACCTCCACAACACTCTCCGATTTACAGCACCCCATGGGACATTAGAACTTCCACTCAGCTCAACCAAAAGCAGATGTGACTTCAGCAGAAACTTCAGAGGCTCTGTTGTTTCATTAGGCAGTGCAGAGAATGCCTTTGGGGAGCCGTTCCTCAGAACTCAAGACTTGACATCTGGGAGGCAGCCGTTCCTCAGAACTCAAGACTTGACATCTGGGAGAGCAGAGCATTCCCTTGCCTTTCTATTTGCAGGGTCACTTGCCAATGTATAGTCAAGAGGTCAGAGTGAGGGTACAGCTGAGCTGCAGCCCCAGGAAGGCAGAGAAGGGGGCCAAGTTGTGTGCGTGCCTGCCCTTCCCTCTTAGGGCAAAACTCCAAACACCCTTGATTATCTGGATCTTCTTTAATTCTCCATAGAAGATACCAGATGTTAAGGAATATTGGCAGCTTCACTTGGTTTCTCAATCCCTGTTTCCAAACTCAAGGAGGGATGGGCTTTTTCACTGTATTTATCTCTCATCACTCTCTTCATTGCAGGAGCACATCTCTCTGGACCTAACCATCACCCTTTCTTGTAGATGGAACCCCTCCAATTGATGCCCATACAAGGAATTTGCTTCGGAACCACATAATTAAAGACCAGCTGGCCTCTAAGTATCTGTACCATGGACAGACCCTGGAAACTCTGGGCGGCAAAAAACTGAGAGTTTTTGTTTATCGTAATGTAAGTTCTGGGTCCTAAATCATGCTCCTGGGAAGCTCCTTACTGTGGGACTTGTATTAGTGTAAAAAAAAATGTCCTCAATAAGCAGGAGTTTGCATGAGAACTGGTTGCTGACAAGGAAGGAAATAATTTCTGGAAAATATAGATAACAAAATGAGATCCTGCAGAAGGATTGGAATCTCTTTTTCTGGAGGCCTTTGAGAATAAACCACACAATTATCCAACCTGTATTGTGAAGGAATAAGTCCTTCTTGAATTCAGGAATTAACACCTGGGAGGAGGGATGGAGTTCAGACTCTTTCTGAGCTTATGAGAAGAGAAGCCCCCTAAACTAAAATACAGCCCTCCTTGGTCCAAAAGGTGCCTTCTCTCTTCTGCTGTATCTTCTTTGTTTTCAAACCCAACAGTTACCCTGGAAATCAAAAAGGAAGTACAACTCAACATAGCTCTTGCCTGGGACCAACCAGCACCATTTGGCTAAAGATGGTTATCATCTGTTAAACAAAGAAATAAATAAATGGGTTCAACGTATTTATTTCAACATTGTCAATGGACCTCATGTGTAACTGATATTCTCATTATGGGACCTCTGTGTGACTTTATTGGGGCCTCTCTAACCGTTCTTTCCTTAAGGAAGACCATTTATTGTTTTATTTCCTGGAGAAAATACATCATTTTATCCCAGCCTTAATAACCCATCCCAGTGTATACTCCTTCATCTTCATGGATAATGACCCTGCTACATGCTCTGAACAAATCAGGAGGCCCCTCGTGGAAGTATAACCAGTCCTTTCTTTCTCTGTCCCTCTTCTGTGCAGAGCCTCTGCATTGAGAACAGCTGCATCGCGGCCCACGACAAGAGGGGGAGGTACGGGACCCTGTTCACGATGGACCGGGTGCTGACCCCCCCAATGGGGACTGTCATGGATGTCCTGAAGGGAGACAATCGCTTTAGGTAATTAGTTCCATCCCCGGGTGGAGCTTCTGCCCAGTGGTCATGCTGGAGTGGGATGTGGGGCCCCAGCTATTTGTCAAGCTTTCTTCTACCTTGGGGATTCAATTAACACTAGCAGTGCACTGCTGCGACCTTCCAGACTTGGGATGGGGAAAAGGCAAGGGTCGCCTTGAAAGCTTACATTGGGAAGAAGGGTTACTTCTAAGAGTGTAATCTTCACATGCATGGGAAGCAGGGAGGGGGGACTACATTTTTATGACTGAAGTGCAAGGAAAACATCACCCTCTCATTGTAAAGCTCCAAGTGAGCCAAGAGCACATAGTTTACAGTGCACGATGAGCCTCTCACTCTCTGCGCAGTATCTGTTTATTGCAACTGAAGCACCCTTGTGAGTTTGTTTTCTTGCCCGGCTATCTCCATTTCTGACTTGCTCATTCACCTTGGGGTGCTGTCATATTGAATGTTTCCCTGTCACTGACTTCAGCCACCTGCACAAGGGCTTGGAGACCACACCCCTCTGCCCTCCCAGAATCATATCCCTGGAGGCTCAGCTAGTCTCTGGGTCAGCCATACCTCTGCCCTTTCTTTTCCCTCCTTTCTCCTGTGGCCTCTGACGTCTGGCCATTTAACAGAGCTTAGCATTTTTGCTGGGTGGAGAGAGCTGGAGCCTGGAATCACTCCCTCTTTGTGCATACGGAGGGCATGAAAACCAAGGTGTGTGCATTCCAGTGGCCTGGACTCTACTATCCTCAGTGGTGAGGTATTTAAGGAAAATACCTCTCAGCGTGGTGAGGTATTTAAGGAAAATACCTGTTGACAGGTGACATTTTCTGTGTGTGTATCTACAGCATGCTGGTAGCTGCCATCCAGTCTGCAGGACTGACGGAGACCCTCAACCGGGAAGGAGTCTACACAGTCTTTGCTCCCACAAATGAAGCCTTCCGAGCCCTGCCACCAAGAGAACGGAGCAGACTCTTGGGTAAAGACCAACTTAAGTACACGTCTCCATTTTTCTAAAGTAGTGATCCCTCAGGGCCCCAGCAGCAAACAGTTGGCACATCAAGGATTGACTTGAAGGGATTTTATGACAAGACTATTAGTGAAAGAGTGGGCGGGACTAAAGGAACTAGCAAAGGATGAGGCCAACCAGGGACTAGCAACCCTGGGAAGCCTTTACTACCCCTAGGCCTGGGGGAATGGGAGGATGAGAGCAGGAACCAGGGAGGTCATGAGCCTTGGACAAGGGCACAGAACAGCAGCCAGAGCCATGTGCAGCCAGCCACTGTCAGAACCATGCAAGGGGGACCACTCAGCGCCCCAGCCTCCCTCTCAGACAGTTGCCATCTGGGTCTCTTGTTGGCTGATGCGAGAGCAGGAGGGAGCCCACTGATGCAGTTCATAGAGCTCAGCCTCCTGGGCAGGAAACCGGGCAGAGAGGAGTAGAAAAGAATTAAGGGTGGCTGCGACCAGCCCAGTCACTGAGGCACGTTTCCCACTGGAGACCTATGAGCACAGTGATAATAAAGCCAGTTACCTGCACTGACTATCCCTCCAGACAAAAGCTTTCCCAAGAAGTTAGTCATGGCTCTGAGAGATCTAGTTGAGGATGTTTGGCAGGGGATCTAGTGGTTACGGGTGGCTAAGAAAAATGAGGAAGGTAAGAGTATCTTGCAGCCTGTGTTGGGAGGATTAAATAGGATGCCACACACAGGGCCAGGCAGACAGCCTGGTCAGTAATAGCCATGACGATGGGGGCGGGGGGAGCAGGAATGGGAGTTGCAGTGTTTAGCTCAGATGCATGCCTGTGAGAGATGCTTCCACTCTCACAGAAAGATGAGACCAAGGAAAAGGAGGAGGAAGAGGAAGGACCTTGACAAACCTTGGGGCCCACATTGTCTACACCTCCCTTCCTGCTCTAGAGCAGAATAGAAAGTTCAGGTTGCAGGCAGCTCTAAGTTGAATTCGTGTCCTGTTTAATTTTCTTTATTGCTAAATGAATGCCTGTGTCTGTGATGCTGACGTATGTTCCTAAGGAGAGGGGAGAAGTTCATTCTGAACATAAACTTTTCATCCTCTCTCTGTCCAGCAAGAATGGAATATTCCCCAAGTGGCCTGAGCCAGCTTGGCTTTCTTTTTGTTTTCAATTATGTGGGAGTTGAGGAGGGGGATGGGAAAAGCTTCCCAAACACACCCTCCCCCAGGCCTGAGGCACCCCTGGGGGACAGAGAGTGTTAGAGGTTGGTACAGGTGTTAGAGATATTGAAAGGACATCCCATGCACCCCAGGGGCTGGTGTGGCTCTGTACTTCCAGGCAATATTTTGTGGAAGGGGAACCTTGTCAGCTCCAGGTTGTGGATGTTTGAAAATCAGTTGGTACCCAGTGGCTCCATCCTCTGGCAGGCATGTGGATTTGTCAATAACCAAGTGAACTCTCCAAAATAAGTTAAAACTTCCTCCCTTCTCAGTTTCAAGATGCTGGAAATAGCTGTTCATAAGCCCTGGGGAAATTTAGCCCTTTGGCTGGTAATGGGAGTATCCGAGATGAGAGGGCAGCTGGAAACTTTCGGAATGACCTCCCACACTTAATTTGGGAAATGCCTCTGCACCTTTATGGGCAACCAGATGCCTGCCCCAGTTGCTGGAGACACTGATGTGGGCTGAAAGGAATGCTGAGACGTGACGAGGAGAGATGCTGCGGAGGGAATATCCCCCTCAGCCCTGACCTCATCGGCTCCATGGCTCCTCCACAGTACAGCTGTCTACTCTTTTAAGTTCTCCCTTCAGGAAATAGCCATCTCAAACAGAATGTGCATTTGAGGGCAGAATGTGTAAATATTGCACTACTGTGTTATAACCGTCAGGAGCCATGCTGATGATGAAACGTCCCAGATGCCGGTGCTGGAAAGGTCCCTGGCTTTCCAAGCAAATATTTATCTCATGGAAACATGAGTCATACTCACAGAGGAGTATGGATTAACTCCTTCTCAGCAGCCAGGGAGCCCAGCATCCCAGACAGCATATTTAACCCAGAGGCCAACTGACTGCTGGGGCAGATTTGTGGTCATGAACATGTGCTTTGTGTCCTCTGACCATTAGACAGATTGTGGGTCACAACGTTGAGTATACAGTGGGAGCTTAATAAGTGCTTATTCCCTGGGCAGGGAGTTCTTCATTTCAGGGGTGACCACTTACATCTTCTCCTCTGGGCCCTCCTTGACCAGGCTAATTACCATTCTTGGGATTAACTCTATCTCCTTTTCCCGCAACCTGCAGGAGATGCCAAGGAACTTGCCAACATCCTGAAATACCACATTGGTGATGAAATCCTGGTTAGCGGAGGCATCGGGGCCCTGGTGCGGCTAAAGTCTCTCCAAGGTGACAAGCTGGAAGTCAGCTTGGTAAGTGTCCTGCAAATCAAAGGCTGGCTAAATTTCCCCAGGGCAGGGCTCCAGGACATATCTCACCCCCAGGATGGAATTATACACACACAACCTTCAAGTTGCAGCCCGAATCTCTGAGTGTAATTCGTCCAAAGAAAAAGAGAAAAGAGAAGAGGGTCTTCAGGGAAATCAAGTGAGATCATAGTTAGACATGAGTAAGAACTTCCAGATTTACAAGGGAATAGAGCATCTGATTTGGCATCTGAGAGAGGCTATTAGATCTTCCTTCTCTTAAGGAGGTTGTAGGCAACTAGTTATGTGACTGAAGAGATCAGTCTGTACTCACACCATCCCACCCCCCAAACCCAGGGCTTCACTGAGTTGTACCATGAACCAGACCATCCCAAGAGGCTTTTTGAGTTCTGACACTTGCTCTGTGAGCCTTCCCTTGCTCTGCACATTGATGATATAACTTTGTAACTGCACTAAGAGTGTTCCTAAAGCAGATAGCCAGCCGAGCTCCAGAAATCTCCCTGGCTGCACCTGCAGAGGCCACTGACCCCTCTGTGGAGGGACCGCTCTTCAGTGTGTGGCTGGCTTCTACTCTCTGCTCCTCTCTCTTGGTCTTCAGCCATCCATTGCTCACCAGTTTCTCACGAGGAGCATAGGAAGATATGCATGTAGGGAGGTAGGCACGGGGATGACTTGTTTGACTTTAGCAGGTCATTCAAGAATCTCCTCGCACCTGGTTTCAGATGCTGGGGTCCTGTCTGTCACAGGCTTCTGTGCCTCCTACCCCCTTGAGTTTGTCACATGGCCCTTCAGGAAGGCCTGAGATAGATTTGCCCTGGGTGGGCCTCCTATGAGAAAATCTTAAGTGAGGCACCCAGGCAAAATGGAAAGAGCCTTTTGCCCAGAGCAGGAAGCCTGTCTTCCATTTCCAGCTGTTCCACCTACTTAGCTTAAAAGAGGCACTTCGCCTGTCTTCAGTCTCAGTCTCAGTCTCCTCTTCTGTGGAATGGGACAATAATATCTACTCTCCTTATCATACACTGCTGTGAGGACTGAGTGGATCACACAAAAAAGCATTATGTAAATTGCAAAGTGCTAAATCCACACAGGAGATTTGAATTAATCCACCACACTGAAGGTCTGTCAAGGGCAGGGACTGTTTCATTCACCAGAGTATCCCCAGTCTAACACAGGACTTGGCATATGAAAAGTGTTCAGTAGGCCGGGTGCAGTGGCTCATGCCTGTAATCCCAGCACTTTGGGAGGCCAAAGTGGGCGGATCATCTGAGGTCAGGAGTTCAAGTCCAGCCTGGCCAACGTGGTGAAACCACATCTCTACTAAAAATACAAAATTAGCTGGGCGTGGTGGCACATGCCTGTAATCACAGCTACTCTGGAGGCTGAGGCAGGAGAATCACTTGAACCCAGGAGGCGGAGGTTGCAGTGAGTCGAGATCATGCCACTGCACTCCAGCCTGGGCGACAAGATTGAAACTCCATCTCAAAAACAAAGAACAAGGAAAAAAACGAAAACTGTTCAGTAAACACTTGCTGAATGAATAAAATAAATATATAAATGTATAAATAAATGCTCTACTTTCAACCACTACTCTGTTTTTCTTTTAGAAAAACAATGTGGTGAGTGTCAACAAGGAGCCTGTTGCCGAGCCTGACATCATGGCCACAAATGGCGTGGTCCATGTCATCACCAATGTTCTGCAGCCTCCAGGTAAGTGTCGCATCCCCACTGACTCTGCAGCCAGTCCTTTTCTTCATGTGGCAGTTGGTGGAGAGAAGAAAAACTGTTCTAAACAATGATGAGAATAACATGTAATTGTGATAGTTAAACTGTGCCTATGTGACTGATTGCAGAGTGAATTGGGAGCTGTTGGTTTTGAATGCACCACACTAAGGAATGTGAGGACACATTGCTCTTTGCGGAGTTGCCCAGCTATATTAGCTCCCCTCGGACACAGCCCAGTTTTCTGTATTCGCGTGGATGCTGTCCGCGCGATTCCCAGCACTCCTCTTACAGCATCTCACCTCAGTGTATGTTCCTTGCCTCCAGTGCAGTTGAACCTCAGTCCTGCCTCTCCTCATGTGTGCATTCACCTTTCTTGGTGCTCTCTCCCCATGGGCCAAGTTCTACCATGAGTTATGAAACATTATGGAGAAAACATGTCTTTGGAAATGTGAGCCAGAAAGCCCACCAGTGCCCCTCAGTCACGGTTGTTATGAATGACATGCTAATGGTTTCACTCTGGTCAAACCTGCCTTTTCTTTCCTCTTCAGCCAACAGACCTCAGGAAAGAGGGGATGAACTTGCAGACTCTGCGCTTGAGATCTTCAAACAAGCATCAGCGTTTTCCAGGGTAAGATGCCTGCTAGGTTTGCGCCTAGCCTGAGCAGCCTCAGGTCCTCTGTTTGGGCCATAGAGGAGCCTCTCCAGCCCCTGTCTTCCTTGGCTGCTCCCCAGGGCTCTCTTAAAACTTCTCCCCACTCCCACTGAGGCATCCTCAGCCCCAGCCTGTGTCAAATTCAGAGTAAAGAACCAAGGCAACTCCCTGGCTTTCATGGGCCAAAGCGCAGGCTTTCACACCGAGGCCTCTGAGCCTCAGATCATGGGGAAGTCACTGCTGGAGAGAACAGACATAGCTCTGGAAGCCATCTGCCCAAGAGGGCAGCCCATCCCAAGTTCATCTTACAGTGGCCAGGCCTGCCCTGAGCCGGGGCCTCTGGGTCACTCTTCTGCTGTCCATGGCATTGCCCATCCTGGGTGAGGCTGGGGCTCTCCTGGGCACTGTATGTATTCTGGATACAGGGATACTGGGCTCGCTATGTGTGTGGAGCCATCCCTTCCTTGCCCCAGCCCCACCTCCCTCTCAAACCCTCTCTGGCTCTTTCTGAGCTTCCTTTCCTGCTCCCCAGCTTGCCCAGTGCTCAGTGCCCCACTTGGCTCTTTTGCTACTTCGGGTCAGGTGGAGCCTCTTGGGAATGTGAAGTGCCTTACAGAAAGATTGCACTTCAAGAGGAGAGGCTGCAGGGAGCCATCCTAAACCCAGAGGCCTGGAGCTTACTGTGTCACTTTACTTTTGTACACAGGGGTCTCCTTAGTGCCCTCGAGAAGGATTCTTGGCCCTGAGCTTCTACTCCTGAGGCCACCTCTGTGCAGCCCCAGCTCCCTCAACTCTAGGCTGTAGTCTCAGTGGGAAAGCCTGGCTTGGGGGTCTCCTAGGAATGTCCACCTGAAGGCACACTTGATAGGGGCTTGCACAACTTATGTCTGCCAAGGCCACCTGAGGAACTCCCTGGTGCCTATAAGTTCCACCTTCCCCTTCCTCTTCCTCGCCCCAGCATTTTTTCTGAGTAGGGGTGGCAATGGGCAAAGCCATTGTCATAAGCAGTTGCAGGTATAACTTTCACTAGAAAACCTGACACCTTGTGTTTTCTTTCAGGCTTCCCAGAGGTCTGTGCGACTAGGTGAGTCTGGTCTGGGTTTGAAGTCATTGCAGACCTGTTTAGGCCTTACCCCCAAGCAAGCCCAAGCCTGCCATCTGCTGTATATAGATAAGAACATCATGGTGCAGTAAAAGAAGCCTGGCCTTTGGAGTCAGAACAGCAGGGTGACTTGGGGTCAGACCCAGAGCACCCCATTTCCTTCTCTGTAAGATGAGGATAATAAGAGTAACAACCTTTTAGGGTTAAGGTGAGTTTTCAGCTTAGGAAGTCTGGGAATATTGCAAAGGGCTTGGCAGGAACCCATGGTGAGGATCTAGTTCCAAGTTGATAGGTACAGAAAACCAGAACATCGGGCCTTGAGTAAAGAGTGAAGTTTCACAAACCACAAAGCACCTGCTATGTGCAGGAGAGCATGGCAGAAGGAGGCTGCTTGGCCCTGGTCCTTGAGATTCTGACAGTGTCCTAGACAGACATGGGGAGATCTGCACCTATTTGACGTTACCAACTTCTCTTTTTCAGCCCCTGTCTATCAAAAGTTATTAGAGAGGATGAAGCATTAGCTTGAAGCACTACAGGAGGAATGCACCACGGCAGCTCTCCGCCAATTTCTCTCAGATTTCCACAGAGACTGTTTGAATGTTTTCAAAACCAAGTATCACACTTTAATGTACATGGGCCGCACCATAATGAGATGTGAGCCTTGTGCATGTGGGGGAGGAGGGAGAGAGATGTACTTTTTAAATCATGTTCCCCCTAAACATGGCTGTTAACCCACTGCATGCAGAAACTTGGATGTCACTGCCTGACATTCACTTCCAGAGAGGACCTATCCCAAATGTGGAATTGACTGCCTATGCCAAGTCCCTGGAAAAGGAGCTTCAGTATTGTGGGGCTCATAAAACATGAATCAAGCAATCCAGCCTCATGGGAAGTCCTGGCACAGTTTTTGTAAAGCCCTTGCACAGCTGGAGAAATGGCATCATTATAAGCTATGAGTTGAAATGTTCTGTCAAATGTGTCTCACATCTACACGTGGCTTGGAGGCTTTTATGGGGCCCTGTCCAGGTAGAAAAGAAATGGTATGTAGAGCTTAGATTTCCCTATTGTGACAGAGCCATGGTGTGTTTGTAATAATAAAACCAAAGAAACATACGTCCTGTGTGCATGGTACAGTGTGCTGACCTGAGGCCGTCATGCTCCTCCACACCTCAATTCTGCTCTGGAGAAGCTCAGAAAGGAGCCCCGAGGGATGGTTTTGGGGAGATTCCAGCAGCCAGCCCTCAGACAGCCAGACAGCTCATGGGGGTTTGAGCCTGTCTTTGCCAAACAGGTTTTTATTTCACCCTCCTCCGGTCCTGGGGTTTCAAGTTTTCAGTGTTGCCTTCACCCCGCACTTTATTCCTCTTATTACTTGGAAGTACCTTCCCTCCAGCATGGTGATCCCCTGCCTGTGTGCTGGACTTTTGAGTCCTCAGCACCAACCTGTGAAGTGGTTGCCAGCATAATCCCATTATGCAGATGAGGAGACCAAGGCCCAGGGAAGGGAGAACCACCAGCAGCACGTAAAATAGCTGAGCTGGGACTGGAACTCACACCTCCTGACTCTCAGTGACCACCACTGACAACAGCATAAGTCCAGGTTTTCCAGGCCCATCCCCTCTGTGCCAACCCACATTCAGATTCCTTCCCCGGCTCCCGTAATCTCTGGCATCTAGAATATCCTCAGGACTCTGAGAGGTGATATCATGTGGTTGTGGTGCCATTGCCCCCTACCTGTGTGGCCTGGGGCCAGTCATGTGACCTCCCAGGGTCTCCTCTTCTGTAATAGGGAGATGACCGTCACATCTACTTCATGGGTCCATCGTGAGGATGAAATGAGATGATCTATATAAAATGCTTGGTACAACATTAGGTGGCCTTATTTTTATCCTGCCGTCTGGGACTGCTCAGGATCAATGCGCCAGAGAGCCTTTATTTGTGTCTTTCCCACAGGTGGGCTGGCCCACTTTCCTAGAGAATGGGACAGACCTCCTTCCCACCCACACCCATCTCTGCCAAGGCTGATTCACTCCAGCAGGCGGAGCTCATTTCACTTCATGGAACCAATGACCCAAAGATATATCCCCAGCACTACTGCTGGTCAGTCCACTGCTGCTGGGAATACAGCAATGGTAGTGGCAGACAGAGGCCCTCTCTTAAATAGCTTCCAGTCTGAGGAAAGAGAGATATGACATCAATCCATTAAAATCATTCATCCATTGGTTCCACAAATATTTGTTGAGGGCTACCTATGTGCACCCCCATGTTAGACCCTGGGGAATAGACATGTCATTCTCATGAGGCTTCTCTACTGATGGGGGGGAAGAGAATTGTCAACCAGATAATGGCACTACAGCCTGTGTGTTCTTAGTGACTCTGAGGATAGCACTGTGGTTCTGTGACAGATAATGAAGGATTTGGAAGCAGGAATGCCCAGGAGCTCCCAGAAGTGGGAAGAGATGAGAGGAATGGAAGGAACTTACCTGAAGGTGAAGGCATCAGGCTAGGGGACCAAGGGAGAAGGTGTCCTGAGAGGTAAGGCTTAACCTTGGGTGTGAATTCAGTTCCCGTCACTCTCCCATAGCTCTGTCCTGCTGTTCCCACCTCCCCTGCAGCCATGCGGGCTTGGGCGGCTAGTGAGGGCCTTGCTCATGCTGGGTATCCTATGCTATGCTTCACTTTGAGCACCTAAAATACACACACTGCACTTTACCAAGATGACCTCGGAAACCAAAGAGGTGATCAGCATAAGTTTTAAAGACCCTTAAATTTAAAGTAAAAATCACTACAGGATCCATTATAAATGCCAAACACTAAGATGTGTGTTTCCAGTTCTCCCCTTCATTTGTCCCTGCCACTCCCTGCCCTGACTTTGCCCCACCCCCTAGTAATGTGGGCTCCACTCTATGCTCCAAACTCTCCCTGGAGAGAAATCCTCCCTGTGGTTGAGGACAAGGCGCAGCCTTCCCCTCCCACCAAAGAAGGTCAGATTCCCTTTTTTGGTTCCTAACCATCCATACCCCTTCTTTTCTCATGAAGACTCGGGCTAAGCATTCATTAGGGCTGCCATCTGGAGGATGGACCCTTAGAGCTGAGGGGCCAGCACTGTGTGTTTCCAGGGGTGGGTGATTTTGGGGAGGGAGGTGTGCCTCACCCCATCAGAAGGCCAGAGGGTAGCCCAAGCTAGAAGGAGGTTGCCCAGGCCTTGCCTGAGCCCTGACCACTGAGCCCCAACCAAGGAAATGGAAGGAGAGGAAGAAGGGGAATGGGCTCTTCTTAGTCCACTTCTGTCTTTGCTGTCACTCTGGGAATACAAAGCTTTCTGGGATGTAGAGAGGACTGCAAAGACCCTCAGCATTGGGCCCTGAGGCCTCCCAGGATGGGGTATGCCTTTCCCACACAGGGGACAGGGGTGGCCTAAACCTGGCCACATTGGCCAACTGAGAGGCCAGCTCAGCCATGGGGCCAGAGAGGCCTGCTGTATTGGGCTATGCACCTATGTGCATTATTTTTTCTATTACTTGCACTGATACTATGACACAGGTAAGTACTATTAAAATTCTCATTTTACTGCTGCAGAAATAGAAGCTTAGAGAGCTAAAGTAGTTTGCCAGGTCACAGAATAAGAAGAGGCTGAAACACAAATCCAGCCATTCTTAACCACGCTTCTCCCTTCTGCTCAACTATACCAGAGGCCAGGAGGGGTAGTCAAGGCAGCCATGGACAAGCAGACATGAATGCCAGGTGGTCAGAAGGGCTCAAAACCCCCTACCCTCCAGAGAAGCCCCTGCAGGCCAGGTCTCTGCTTGCACAGCCTAGAACATAACTTGTTTCTATGGTGCCAGGGCATTAAGAATTAGCAATAGCCACGAGTGCCCCAGAACTCATGTCTGGAAAAAAAGAGAGGAAAATACCTCTGTGCTTGAAAGCATAATTCAGTGTTATGCTCTTAGAAGAGATGCCTGGAATATTATGCTCAGAACTCTTTTCAAAGCCAGGAGAGAAAGTCATGGAATGAGGGATGGGCCCGAAGCCCTGTCCAGAGAAGTCAAATGAGGCCACCTTGGGCCATCCCTATCTGGCAGGGAAAGAAACTCATCCATTCCAGAAAGCCAGAGAGCCAGCCCAGAGAATAAGTGGTGGGTGGAGAGGGGAGGAGTCTGGGACAACCTCTATACACACGCACATTCATTCACACACACAAACACACACACACACACACACACACACACATGCATGCATGCACACACACCCCTGCATGGGAAACCGAAGACACAGCCTTAGGCAGAGAAAACAGGCACAGCACACCCACTTGTGGTTGGGGAGAGGACTCCAGGACCTGGAGGTGGAAGGCAGCAGCTGGAGCTCTGGCCTCAGGCCTGTTAGAGGAGGCTCCCTGGAGCTGCTACACCCTGTCACCCATGCAGGCCCTAACAGTCCCTGCAGTGCTGGAGCTCCCCATCACTTGGGGAGGCGATGGAGGTCACTGAGACCTGAAGAATGAAGAGGGTGGGGAAGAGAATTCAGTCTGAAGAACAGTGTCATAAAGGCTCTGAGAAAATGTGAGAGAGTTTTGTGTGGCTAGAGAGAAGAGAGACAATTCCTCTGGTGAGAGGTTTGGGAGCTAGACTGTACTGGGCCTCATAGGCTAAGTACTATCATAATTAGTATTAAGAATTTTAGACATTATCCTTAAGACAATGAGAAGCCACTGGAGGGTTTTAGTTGGGGGAGGGAGATAGAGAGGGGTGTGCAATGATCAGATATATATTTTATATTTAGTAAAATATACATGGCATAGAATTTACCACTTCAACTATTTTAAGTATACAATTCAGTGGTATTCAGTACATTTCCCATTGTTGTGCAACCAATCTCTTCATCTTGCAAAACTGATCTGTTCCATTAAACATTAACTACCCATTCTCCCTTCCCTTCTGCCCTTGATAATCTCTGTTCTATTTTCTGTCTCTATGAATTGGAGTTCTCTAGGTATTTCATGTAAGTGGAATCAGTATTTGTTCTTTGCGACTGGCTTATTTCACTTAGCATAATATCTTCAAGGCTTATCCATGTTGTAGTGTGTGTCAGAATTTCCTCCATTTTTGAGGCTGAATAATATTCCATTGCATATATATACCACTCACTTTGTTTATTCACTCATCTTTTGATGTACATTAGGCTTGTTTCTACCTTCTGGCTCTTGTGAATAACGGTGCAATGAATGTGGGTGTACAGATGTCTGTCAGAGTCCCTGTTTTAAATTAGTTTGGTCCCTCTTTTAAATTAGTTTGGTTATACCCAGAAGTCGAATTGATAAATCATATGGTAATTCTATTTTTAATTTGGGAGGGGGGGGAATTGCTATAGTGTTTCCATTGTGGCTGCACTATGTCACATTCCCCCCAACAGTGCACAAGGATTCCAGTTGCTCCACATCCTCTCTAATACTTGTTATTTTCTGGTTTTTGGTAATAACCATTCTATTGAATGTGAAGTGATGTTTCATTGTGGTTTTGATTTTGTTTTGTTTTTTAATGATTAGTGATGTTGAGCCTCTTTTCATGTGCTTATTGGTCATTTATATTTCTTCTTTGGAGAAATGTCTATTTGATTCCTTTGCCCATTTAAAAAATTTTTTTTTCTTTTTTAGTTATTACATTTTAGGAGTTCTTTATGTATTCTGATATTGATTCCTTATCAGATATATGATTTTCAAATATTTTCTCCCATTCTGTGGGTTGCCTCTTTACTCTGTTGACAGTGTCCTTTGATGCATAAACATCTTTAATTTAGATGAAGTTCACAATATTTATTTATTCTTTTATTGCCTGTGCTTTTGGTGTCATGTCCAAGAAATCATTGCCAAATTTAATGTCATGAAGCTTTTCTCCTGTTTTCTTCTAAGAATTTTAGTTCTTACATGTAGGCCTTTTATTCATTTTTAGTTCATTTTTGTATATGAAATAAGGAAAGGGCCCAACTTCATTCTTTTCCATGTGGCTACCCAGTTTTCCATGTGGCTACCCCATTTTCCACGTGGCTACCCAGTGCTGGGAAAAGATTGTCCTTTCTCCATTGAATGATCTCAGCACCCTTGTTGAAAATTATTTGACCATACAGGCAAGGGTTTATTTCTGGGCTCTCTACTCTATGCCATTGGTCTGTATGTCAGTCTTTATGCCAGTACCACACTGTTTTGATTATTGTAGCCTTGGCGTAAGTTTTAAAATTAGTAAGTATGAGTCCTTCAACTTTGTTCTTCTTTTTCAAAATTGTTGTGGCTATTGGAAATTCCTTGAGATTTTGTATGAATTTTAGGGTAGATTTTTTTCTGTCTGCCAAATATATCATTAGGATTTTGATATGGATTATATTGAATCTGCAGATCACTTTGAGTACTATTGACATTTTAATAATAGTAAGTCTTCCAATTCATGAACATGGGATGTCTTTCCATTTATTTGTGTCTTCTCTAATTTATCTCAACAATTTTTTGCAGTGTTCAGTGTACAAGTCTTTCATATCCTTTGCTACATTGATTCTTAAGTGTTTTATACTTTGTGATGCTATTATACATAGAATTGTCTTCTTAATTGTTAAATATGTTTTTAAATGATTGTTTTGGTTTTTGTGTGGAAAGTGGGTTGAAGTGGAGGGTAGGAGTAGCAGCTGGGAAGCCAATTAGGAGGCCGTTACAGTCATCCAGGCAAGACATGATGGAGGACCAGGGTGGTGGCACTAGAGATGGAAGGACACAGAGGAACTTGAGACATATTTTGGAGGTAGAACAGATAGGACTAGAATAGGGGTTGGAGGAGGAACATGAGAGAAAGGGAGGATTCAAGAACGGTACCAAGGTTTTTGCCTTAAACAGCCAGCTAAAGGGTTATGCCATTTTTTTTTCCTAAAATTCAGAGCAGGGAAGAAGCTACTGGTAAAAAAAAAAAAAAAGACTAAGAGTCTCCTTTGGATAGTTTAAGTTTGGAAAGCCAATTAAAAATCCAAGTGAGATGTTAAAAAAAGCTGTTAGATATTCAAACCTAGAGTCAAGGAAGAGGTCTAAGCTGAGATGGAGTGTTGGGGAGTTAGTACATATAGGTGCTATTTAAAAAGAGTGACTGGATGTGATCTCCCAGGGAGAGAGTGTAGAGAGAGAAGAGAGCCTGAGACAGAGCCTTGGGTAGCTCCAGCATTTGGAGATCTGGAAGAGGAAGAAAAACCTGCAAAGGGGTCTGATAATATGTGTATGGAATCCTGGAAGTTGAGGAAGGATAGCCTTTTAAGGACAAGCATCAACTCAGATGAATTATTGATGTGTCCGATGGGTTTAGCCATGTGCATGTCATCAGGAACCACGGCAAGAGCATTCTCGGGGGAGATGAGAGGACTGACTCTGGGCTGGGAGGAAAGGGGGCAGGAGAGAAGGATACATTTTCTGCTGTGAGTGCTTGAATGGATGCCATTTTTCAGGGATTGAGAACCCCACAGGCATATGAAAACCTGGAAGTCTACTTGTTCAGTCTTACCCTTCATGTCAGATCAGCAGCTCTTTCTTCTAAACCCCCGTACATGTGCCGCCATAGCCCTAAGGACTTATTTGGGTTAATTCCCTACTTCTTGTTTGGCCTTCCCTGCTAGGAGGTGAGCTGCTCAAAGGTATGTAGGGACTCCTCCGCCCAGTGCCTAGCATAGGGCCTGGCACACAGTACGTATTCAAAAAGTGTTATCTCAGAGCCTGGTTTCCAGAGAACAAATGGCTCCTTCAGTCAACAAGGTGTGTTTCCAGAGAACAAATGGCTCCTTCAGTCAACAAGGTGGGCTCAGGCCCCTGTTGCTCTCTAAAAAAGGAAGAGGAGGCTTCTCCAGACCCTTGAGGTATCCTTCTGGGGTCTCTCACGCATGTGGGCTGGAGGAAGCCTGCAACCAGAGCTCTCCTCGGGTCTTCTCAGGAAAGCAGGGTGGCTTATGAGCATCACCATCCCCAGGGAAGCCTCCTGCCCAGCTATGTGTGCCTCGGTCCCCTCTGGCTAAGACTCCCTAACTGAGAAAGGTCACCCCTGGGTCAGCAGGCCCCAACTCAGAGAGAACATCTGGGCCCAGAGAACAGGTAAATGGCTGATGAGTCACACTGCAGAAAGGCTGCTTCATCTTTAGCAGGTGACTCCACCCTCTAACCCTTCTGGGGAGGAAGTTTCATGCTTGGAGGGTTTTTCCCCATTCCCAGGATCCTAATTCTATTAGAAGAAAGTCTGAGATTTGGGAGTAGCAGAGACAGAGGGGAAAGACTTATGATTAAATGTCCTCATTTGGGCGGAAATGAGTTTTTGAGTGAACAGATGGAAAACTACTCTCTTCTCCTGTCAGTGGGGCGGGTGAGTCCCTGCGGCTTCTTGGCAACAGCTTATGAATAATTCAAGTTCAAGGAAGCCATCTGCACGCAGGGACCTTTCCCTGATGACCGCTCTCAGTTGGGCTTCCAGAATCGGAGGGTGAGGGAAAAAGCCCTGCTAGAGGGGCTGTTTTCAGCCAGCTTTGGAGTGAAGAAGGCTTGGTCCCTCCTACAGTGGAGGGAGGAGAAAAGAAGGGGTATAGGAATAAGCACTCCTGGGTCCTCAGTTGTTCAGTGATGCCTGAGAACTAAGGAAGAACGTGGTCTTTGAACAGCGAAGATGTAGCCTCAAATCCCAGCCCTGCTTTGAGAGGAATCACCTACAATCAGATCCTATTCACTTTTAGA
The DNA here is from genome assembly GCF_000001405.40 of Homo sapiens. NCBI lineage: Eukaryota > Metazoa > Chordata > Mammalia > Primates > Hominidae > Homo > Homo sapiens. The sequence continues at coordinate 136,071,446 of NC_000005.10, forward strand.
CTAGAACAGGATTCCTAATCTTCCTTAGGCCAGGGACTCCTGATAAAAGCCGTGGACCCTCTCCTCAGAAAAATGCACAGGTATCTACAATACACACGATTTTGATGACCACTGTCCCTCGAGCTCTGTATTACTCCATTTTCATACTGCTGTGAAGAAATATCCAAGACTGGGTAAATTATGAAGAAAAAGAGGTTTAATGGACTCACAGTTCCACATGGCTGGGGAGGCCTCATAATCATGGCAGAAGGTATAGGAGGAACAAAGGCAAGTCTTACATGGCAGCAGACAAAGAGAGCGTGTGCAGTGGAACTGCCCTTTATAAAAGCAACAGATCAAGTGACACCTATTAACTATCATGAGAATAGAACAGGAAAAACCTAACCCCATGATTCAATTACCTCACTGGCTTCCTCCCGTGACATGTGGGGATTATGGTAACTACAATTCAAGATGAGATTTGGGTGGGGACACAGCCAAACCATATCAAGCCCCTATTCAAAATACATTTCATACAGACCTATGTGCTTCTTGCATGCACAGTACTATGTGCTTCTTGTGTGCAGTCAACAAGTCCTCTACCTTCAAAGCATCAAGCTTAGACATTGCACACAGTAGGTCATGCATAAGCATAGAACAAGTAGGGCATCCAACTGCAGCCCAGTTTCTTTGCCTGCAACAGGGCATAGGGGCTGTCCCCCAATGGCGCAGTGGCAGCCTAACAGCAAGAGAGAAAAGAGAAGAGCCATAGTCAGGTGTGCTGTGGAAAGGCCCTCAGAGCTCACGGCACTGATTCGCTTAGTAAAGTATGCTGCAGAGGAGAAACGCTGTGATGTCAGCAATGTAGACGACATTTACTCCACAGGCAAAACTGTTTCAGTATCAGAGAATCCATGGGCTGGGAAACCCTGAGAACTTAACATGGAAGCACCTTCTTTATGGTTTATTATTTACATACTCGAGAGAACTCAACCAGGAAGGAAATCTTCAAACACATTTATCAATAGCCTATCTCTTTGTTTGAAGATCATAGAATTTACACAGCTGAATGATTAAAAATAAAAGTCCTTTTGTCATCTTTCTAACGAGATTTTAGAAAAATTGTATGTGTGAATTTAGTTTTATTTCCTAATGTTTCTATTGTGTTATTTTTAACTTTCAAATTCAACTTGAATTTCATTTCCTCTAAGATGGAAATTCAGGGTCTTAATGAATTAATTTCACATAGAAATTTTTATTCTACCGTCAGAAATGTATCAATTATTTGCCTATTCATTACATTGTTCTGCCTTCTTGGAGATATGTTTCATTATTCCTATCAGCTTGTGTCTCTGGGCTACAATATCTGTTCCTTTGATCTACATAACTGTGCTTGCACCTGGACCACACCACGTAAATTGGTGTTAATTTAGTATCTTTTAATATCTCATACAGTCAGATCTCTTTGCTTTTGAAGATAACTTTTTTCTTTTTACAAAATTGACACTTTCTCCTTGTGGAAGTTTTAGAAAGTATAGGCAAGCAGAAAGAAAAAAGTAAACCATTATCAAATCACTGGAGCAGATTCTTTCAGATACTGTGTTTGAGGAAAACATGAGCATATATAATATATTGCAATCTTCCCCTATTGTGCTATAAGTTTCAAAATAAAAAGAAAATAGGTATTGTGGTAAGCAGAATTTTAAGATGGCCACCATGACTTTTGCCCCACAGTGTTACTCTGTTGATAGCAAAAAGGAGATTATCCAGGTGGGCCCAATCAAATAGCAGCCTTTTAAGCAAAGCCTTTTCTCTCTGGCTGGTGGCAGAGGTGGAAATCAGAGACATTTGAAGCCTGAGAAGGACTTGGTACAAAGTTGCTGGTTTGAAGAAAGAGGGGCATGAGAAAAAAGAATGCAGGCAGCCTCAGGCCGACAGCCAGTGAGGGAATGGGGACCTTGGACCTTCAGCTGCAAGGAACTGGATTCTCCACTAACCTAAATTAGTTCGGAGAGGGAGTCTCCTCTCGCTCCTCCAGAGAGGAGACCTGCTGTCACTATGCCTGTGAGACCCTGAGTAGAGAATCTGGTTGAGTCCACCCAGAATTCTGACTTTACAGAATTATGAAATAATTGATGGGTATTGTTTTAAGCCACTAAATTTGTAGTAACTTGTTAGGCAACAGTAGAAAACTAATATAGGCCTTTAAACCAGTGGAAATGCCCTTTGTCATGTTTCTTACTATATTCTTAAGAAAAATCATATTTGGGAATAAACCTGCAAATTTTGTTTCATTTTCTTCACTCTGCCTCTGCAGAGACCTCTGAGTATATGGAAAGTCTGAGTCCTGGGCCAAGAGGGGTCTCTGGGCCTAGGCATCAGGGCCAGGCCCTGTGAGGCATTACTGTGAAGAAAAAGGCCCTTAGGAATCAGGGGGATTCCCCAGCCCTAAAACTGTCCCAGACCCACAGGCACCTGCCGAGAGCTAGGGTACAGAACTCCCCTGGGGCTCTGGTTGCACCTTCTACCACATGCGTTCCTGGGCTTCTGCCCTGACAAGCTAGCTGACATCCTGAGGACATCCACACACACCAGGATGACATTGACTGACAAACTGTGATCACCATCAGCTGGGCCTGTGAGATTCCACAGGGTCTTCTGGGAGTAAGTGTCCACTTTTGCATTTTAACGTATTGAAGGCTTCAAATTTCTGCTCCAAAGCAGTCAAGGGTGGCTCTAGGGCTGGCTGGAGAGAGAGAGAGAGAGACTGTGTAACAAAGGGCCCTGGATCGCCTCACACCCTCCAATCAAAGCCACTGCTTATTGAAGGCCTGGTTTGTACAAAGCCTCATTCTCACTAGTTTACACTCACGTTCTCATTTGTTATAATGTTTGTTTCCAGTTTACAGAGGAGAAAACTGAGGCTCAGAGAGATTGAGTAATCTCTATGGACTGAATGTCTGTGTCTACAATTCTTATGTTGAAAATGTAATCCTCACTGTGATGGTGTTTGGAGATGGGGCATCTGGGAGGTACTTAGGTGATGAGGGTGGAGTCTTCTTGATAGGATTAGTGTCCTTATAAGAATAGTGGAGAGAGCTTGCTTCCTCCCTCCACCAAGTGAGGCTACAGCAAGAAGGCAGCCATCCACACTTCAGGAAGAGGGCCCTTACCAGAAACCGAATTGGCCAGCACCTTGATCTTGCACTTCCTTGCCTGCGGAACTGTGAGAAATAAATTTCTGTTGTTTAAGCCACCCAACCTATGATATTTTTGTTACAGAGGCTTGAACTAAGACAGGAATTTACCCAAGGAAGCTTTGTTATATAAGTGATGAAGTCAGGATTCTAACTCAACTCTGACTCTAGGTTCTTTTAACCACTACCTTGGGAGGCCAATGAGAGGGTGTGCATTCAGCAACAACACACAGAGAAGTGGTTCTCAATCCTGATTGCATGTTAGAATACTCCAAGGAGCTTTTTAAAATTCTGATACCTAGACCAGAGATTCTGATTTTAATTGACCTTAAGGAAACCCAGTCCTCAGCAGTTTTAAAACTTCTCCCAGGTGATTTCAATATGCAGAGCAAACGTTCTCTAATATTACCATGCATCAGAACCCCCTCAGAACCTCGTTACATATAAGATTTCTAGGCTGTACCTTGTCATCCTGTTTCAGTTGTGTAGGGAGGACCCCAGGAATTAGCTTCTTTAGCATACCTCCCAGCTCAGTGTTTCTCAAACTTGTTCAGATGAAGATTCTGACTCGAGAGGTCTGGGATGGAGCTTCAGACTCTGCATTTCAAGCAAGTTTTCAGGTCACACTGCTATTGGTCTAGGGGCCACACTTTGAGTGGCAAATACCTCAATAGGTGTGGAAGAGCTGCCCTAGGCTAATGTTTCTAAAAGAGTGGTCCTGGGACTGGCAGCATCACCTGGGAACTTGTTAGAAATGGAAATTGGGAGACCCCCTCAGCCCTACTGGATCAAGAATTCAAAGAATGGTGTCCAGCTGTTTTAGAAAGTTCCCACCCCAGGTGATACAGGGTACAGTTTGGGAACCACCACCAGAGGGAGGGACCACATCTGCTGAGACAGCCACTCAGGGCAAGCAGAGTGCAAGTGTCTTAGAGGTCTCTTCTTTGCTCAAAGGCAAAACTCTGTTTCCCCAGGGGGCCCAGTCAGGTTGAGCAGTAAGAAGACTAGCGTCCTACCAGCCACATCTGGAACTCAGCATGAATTCTTCAGTTTCCCAACAAGGTCAGGGACAGCCATGTTGGTATCATTATGTAAATATGCAAAAAGCAACATTCTTGAAGGAAAGCCCTTGACTTTGATTTTAATGAGATCTGGCTCAGTCCTCTCTCCAGATGTCTATTTACTGGCTTACCAACAGCTGCCAGGGAGATGCAATGCAGGGTTGATTTGTTTGTTTTCTCTCAATTTAATGCATCAGTTTCTGGAGCCTAAGTACCCATATCTGGAAAGCTGTGGGATTTCCATGGCCTGTGGAAATACAGAAAGTTAATACCTTCCTGAAAGGATGAGTAAGATTATCATTCTGAACATGTATTCATTTATTCATTCTTTCAGTAAACATGTATTGAATACCTGTTGTATGCCAAGCACTATGCTAGGGAGAAATGATAATACCATTTATTGTGTTAGTGATATCTTTATCATTTTCTCGTGATGTTTTTCTCATGGCTGTTTTCTCATGGCTGTTTTTCTCATGGCATTTTCTCATGGCTGTTTCTATAGCAATGAAGCAATTTCTATGAAGTAGACAGTATCATTAACCTCCCCTCGATTTTGTAGATAATAAGCTGGGACTCACAGAAATCATCACATGCCCCCGGTCACACAGTCGATTGTGGGGCCATGAGGCAGGGAGGAAAGTGGGATGTAGTGCTGCTTTATCCATTACCTGTGGACCTGCAAAACTGTGGATTGAGGCAATTGGTTAAAGATCCTAAAGCAAATGGCTACTTGTGCAGAATTAGTCAGCTCGTGTCTGCTAGGTTGGCGCACAGTGATTCCACAGCCCCACACATGTCTATACCATCCCCAGGAGAGCTAGAGGAAAGAAGAGCCTTTTGACTCTGAATGTCCTCCTGGGACAACCGCCATTTGGTAAATCATCTCTAATTTGTCCATTTATTCACTGTCTCTTCATTGGCCCCTACATCATGCCAGCAGTTTCTCATCACAGGGGAGTGAGAAAAACAAGAGAGGGATGGAAAAAACAGGTTGGACTCACTGGTCCAGTTCTCAGGATAGGTGGGATCCCACAGCACCCTCTTCCTTCTCTAGTCTGAAGAGATCCATCCCACCAAGCCCATACCCCCTCCAGGAGTCAGGTGCCAGGATCCCTCCCCCACAAGGTCACCAGGTACCCTTTTCAGGGGTCTTTGGTCTGGGCAAGAAATCCAAATAAGCTCCCTTAAAAAGCAGAACCCAGAATGGCTGTGCCTCTCTGAGCTGGAGCCCTGGCCCTCTGAAGACAGCATGCTCAATTACAGTTGAATGTGGAAGGAACAAGAGAGCTGGACCTCGGGATTGGGGGCAGAAGTGGTCCCTTCTGCTTTCTCGGAAAATGGCCCCTGTCCTCCAGCTTCCCACCCCTGGACTCTGGGGAGATCACATAAGTCTCCCATTTAAAAGCCCAGCTGCTCTGCCTGGTCCTGAAATGGAAGCTTTCAAAATCCAGGACACCTGCAAGAGGAGCCAAACAGGGAGCAGGGCACAACCCCACCAAGAAGTCTCTTACAGCTGAGGGATGACCTCCGCACTAAAAAATTGTGTTGCTGTAATGCTGTTTCAAGTCTGAAACAAAGGGAGCATAAAGAACCATACATCAACAGCTTCGGAAGGCAGCTAGTTAGAGTTCCCTTTGAGCAGGAAGAGGAGAGTGCTTTCTCCATTTCATCTTCTGCCAAATACATGCATTTTTCATCATCCACTGGTTTCCTGCCTGAGGCTCTTGAATTAAGATGGGGTGTGTCTCCAGCCATCCTCACAAGGTTCAGATTTAGGGATTTAAATAGACTCAGAATATCCCCCCACATCCCTCTAGGCCAGCTAGCTTCTGTATCCCAATATGGCCCCAGGAGCTTTGAGCATTTCCTTGCCTTTTTCATGAAAGAAAATTAGAAGGAAAGGAGGATCAGAATGGATCATCAGTCCGCTCTACTGTGTGAGGAATGGGCTAAAGGGTGCTCACAGAAAGCAGGGAGCCCAGATGAATGGCTGTTAAGTAGTCCAGGTGAAAAGGGATGGAGTCGGAATTTATTTGGACCAAGTTGCAGTGGCAATGATGAGAAGCGATTGAATTAAGGATATATTTTACAAGTAGAACCAATAGGACCCATCCTCCCCTCCCAAAGACCTCCTGTCTAGAAGCCAGTAGTCACCAGGTTAGAGGAATATATGTCCCTGAAAAGGTAATGTGGTGATCTTATTGGGGAGGGGATCCTGGCACCTGACCCCTGGAGTAGGTGTGGGCTGGTGGGATGGATCTCTTCATGGTAGAGAAGGAAGAGGATGCTGTGGGGTGTGTCCAAGCTGTCTTCTCCATCCCTCTCTTGTTTTTCTCACTCCCCTGTGATGAGATCTTGCTGGCACGGAGTAGAGGCCAATGAAGAGATAGTGAATAAATGAATCAAGTAGGGACAGAGAGGCTTTGCCATAAAGAGGACGGACAAATAGATGTTGTCAGGAAGGGACATGGGTTAGGGAAGGTTTTGTGTGTGTTTTGCTTTGTTTTGTTTTTGCTGTGAGGGGGACCATATTAAGGCGAGTTTGAAGGCTAATGGGAATATTTCGGTAGAGCTGGGGAGCTGGTGGTGTGAGAGGTTAGCCAGGGGTGTCCAATCTTTTGGCTTCCCTGGGCCACATTGGAAGAAGGAGAATTATCTTGGGCCACACATAAAATACACTAGCACTAATGATACCCGATGAGCTCAAAAATCGCAAAAAAAAAATCTCATAATGTTTTAAGAAAGCTTATGAATCTGTGGTGGGCTGCATTCAAAACTATCCTGGGCCACATATGGCCTGTGGGCCACAGGTTGAACAAACTTGGGTTAGGGGCTGGGATCTGGAGTTGCAGGAGGCATCTCCTGTGGTGATTGCCTGGACACCTCCACTAGAAATGGTGAGAAGGCAGGCAGAGAGCCTAGAACCATTGTGGTAAAAGTATTGGCTTTGGTGGTGGGAAGGTGAGGAGATTTTCAGGTTTATGTAAATTCATTTCATGAAATATAAGGCAGATGAATCAGTTTGGGAGAAGGTTTGAGGAGAGGAAATATGAAATAGTCACACTAGTGTTCTTTAAAAACGCGGGTTCCTGCGCACCACCCGGTGATTCTGATTCAGCTGTCTGGGGTGGGTCGGGGAAGGAAGCTGAAGTTTTTAAAAGACCCTCAGTTGATGCTGGTATGGGGATTGTCCCTTTCCTACCCACAGCAGGAAGGATTTGGTGTCGGTTTTGTTTTACATTAAGTAATTTGTATTCTTTATGGCAAACTGGAAAATGAAGATTGATCAAATGTTGAGTTGAATCCCTCTAGTCCCTCACTCCGCCACCACCAACACCACTGCTAATATCTTGGCTTCTATCATAGGTCTAGCTCAATAGTTTTCCCCTTAGCTCAGTTTCTCTCCCCTGAAAGGTTCAAGTTTGGGCTCCTCTTTCTGTGCCTGGGTTGTTTCTCTCCCAGAGGGAGGTGCTCGCTCCTGATGTTCGCTGTTCCCAAACCCCTATAAGGATCCTTCAGTCCAACCTCTTGGGTGGGGAACAGAGGGGGTCCGTGAATCTCCAAGGTCCTTCTCCTGCTTGCCAAACTGAGGGAGGAACTCCCACTAGCCCTAGGTGTAGCAGGGGGCCCGCCAGCAGTCCCTGGGGCTCTCTGCTTGGGGGCGGGCATAGGAGGGGAGGTGCACACTGGAGAGGAGGCGCGCGGGACCGGAGGCGCACACCGGAGGGGAGGTGCCCCCACCAAAATTTAAGTGCGGCGCAACATGCACCACAGGTAGGGGCACTACCAGGGCAAAAAGACTTGGTGAATGCGAGGGCCGGGCCTGATCAAAGGTGCGTATGGTGGTACCAGAGCAAGGCGGAACAGCTGCTCAGTGGTCCGCAACCGGGTCAAGGGACAAGAAGACGATTCTGGATTGTAGGCCGCCCGAGAGCGCCCCCAGGAGCCCATCACTGCGAACACCCACTGCCTCTGGGCTTGCATTCTCTGCCTCCCCAGAGACGCAGGCATTTTCTCCCCTGAAAAAGACCCCTCCCCATACCAGCCTAGACTTTCCCAAGGGAACTGAGGCCACTTCAATCTAAAGCCCTAAGTATAGGCAAGTTGTGTTCCACAATTCTACTTATAGGGATTTAATATGAAAAACACATGTGCATGTCCCTGTGCATTAAGCTACTTAAATCAGCTAATACTCAAATCTGGTCAACAATGTACTAGACGCTGTAAGTACAGCAAGGGGAGAGGCCCCTGCCCTTGTATGGCTTCTAGGGGGGAGCCCCCACGCTAAAGGTAAAGACAAATTGCATAAAATGTCTGGACACGATGCGAACAGGTGAGAATAGCGTAGGTACAGGCCGCCAGGGAGGAAGAAACTTGGAACTTTCAAAGACGTAAAGAAAAATTCGGAGCGAGTCTCACTCGCTGTGGTCCAACAGGCAAGTCCTGGCGGGTGGCAATATATGTGAAAAAAACAGTCATACAGATAAAACAGTAGACGGCAGCTATTGCTGTTAAACTTCCGTCCTACTTGGGACGAAATCCATAACGCACTCCGCGGTCCGAAGTTGTGGGGTCTCGGAGCTTCCAGGTGTGTCTCGTGAACTGCACAAGCATTTTTTTGTCCCCATGCGTCCTACCTGGCAGTACAGGCTGGTCACGCACGCCCTGTAAGACCAGTGGCCAGCCTCCATACTTTCTGTCACACCTTCAAAGTGACACCAACTTATGTTATCAGCCTATTAATTTAGCAAAGTTAAAAGGGATAAAAAATAACAAAGCCTTCAGAGTGACAGATTATACCGAATTTATTGCATAAAAGGGTCAGTAAGCACCCGCGGGTCTCGAACCCCAGCACAGAGATGGACAGATAGAAAGTCCGGCATGAGGAGGTAACCGCTTGAGCTAACTCCGACCCGGGTAGGAGTGTGCGACTGAAACTTCTAAACCATAGAAGAGTGACGATGTGGAGAGGGACGGGCTGCATGTGCTCCCCGCCCCCGAGAGGCCTGCGTCATGCGGTCTCGCCCGCTCTGCGCCAGGCGTCCTGCTAACGTGTCCTGGAGGGACTCTCAGTTCCTCCCGCCCGCATCCTGCGCGGGAACCGTGGAAGGGGGCAAAATCCACCCACTGGAGGGGAGGCAGGAGGGTGCGGGGGGGCGTGTGGGCCGTCTACCTAGGTCCAGCAGCCAGGCTGCTGAGGAGTACCCCCGCCAAAGGCTTTTCGGGGTTCTCTCCAGCAGACGGGGGCAGCCTAAGGCCTCCATAAAATCTCCCCGAAGCAGCCTATGAACTTGCCAAAGGCAGGGGTTCTGTGGTTTCATTTCTTGCCAGGTCCTGGGCTGGACCCTGGAGACGGAGTTCATCATCAGCAAATCCTCTTTGGGTGGGGAGTTGAATGAATTAATGAGTGATTAGCAGGGCACTAGGGCCCAGGAGTAAGCCCAGAATTGAGATCACAGGCTGAAGATTTAAAAGCTTCATAGCTCAAGAGAAACGCTCTGTTAAGGCTGAAGGAGAATAAATCATTCCTCTTTTTCCCCAACCCATCCCCTTGTCTACACTACTTTTCTTTTGAAAGATTCAGGAGCTGGATGGAGAAAATTGCTAACAAAGAAAATGGGACCTTCAGAATATTAATAATGTCCCTGTTTGTTGAGCACACACACACCATGTGCCACGCTCTGGGTTAAACATTTACCTCATTTCATGGCCGGAACAACTCTGAGATCCATAATGTTGCCCCCATTTTGCAAATGAATAAACTGAGAATCAGTGGTGGTAAGTAACTGAAATGTTAGGAATTAACAAAAAGTGACATATTCAGGAACAGAACCAAAGTTTGAACTCTCAAGAAAGAGTTGCCTGTAGTGTATGTCTGTCTGCCTGTCTTGCTTAAAAGTATCTCAAACAACTGGTAAGCTGCACTAGACAGGGATCTTCCATTCTGTTCTTTGCTGTCTCCCTATATCCTCCTCAGTTCCTAGCCTGGTCCACAGTAGACACTCAATAAACATTTAAGTGAGTGAGTGACTGGGGATAGTAGGACCCCATTATACTAGAAACTGCGCTGTCCCAACCTGGGTTTGAATCCAGCTTCCCCTCTTCCTAGCTGTGTAGCTTTAAACTTTTTAATTGTTTTTCATATTCATTTTGTATTAAACAAAAACCACGAGTACAGTAAAAATTAAAACAATAAAGGTAGTGAAAGCCCACCACCCTTGACCTAACTGCAGCTTCCAATCCAGATCTCTCCCCAGAGGTAACCACTGTTTTTTAAAATTTTGCTGTGTCTCCTTCTAGTCCTCTTTCTATTATATAAAGATAATTAAAAATATATAGCTTTATTTGGGTTATGGCTGTGTTTTGATATGAAGGACTGCACTGTACACATTGTTCTGCACCTGCTTTGTGGGAAATTCCACAGCATGCCTGGGAGGTCCCTCATTATTTATAATGGCTCCCCAAGAGTGCATGAAGCATGATTTGTTTTGCCATCCCCTGTTAGGGCTAGACATTGAAGGTTTTTTTGTTTGTTTGTTTTTTTCCATGAGTTTACCAATAGCGCTCCAATGAACACCTTTGCACACGCCTTTTTGTGAACATGGGCAATTTCATGAATGTGAGGATAAACTCTCAGAAGTGGAATTGCTGGGCTGAATAGCATATATGTTCATTGTAATTGCCAAGTTGTCATCCAAAAATGGGGCTATTGATAACATACCCCTGATGGAGGGAGGTATGGGAAGTTATGCTGAAATAACACATTTTATTCAGGCTAGGTACCTAGTAGTCTCGGTAAACAATTACAAAAATAACTGCCAATGACCATTTCCCCGCTAGCCATTTCCAGCTGCTGATCTGATCCAGCCCTGGCTTCGTTGCCTGGAGCCTGGATTTAGTAATGAAAACTGGCCAGCAGAAAGGACCCAGCGGGTGCGTTCCAGGTGCTCCCCCTGGTGGGGAAATGTCCCTGGACAGTAAGGAAATCCCCTGTCTTTGTACACTCTAAATCAAATCACATCCCCTCCCAGCTCAGCACCTTGAAAGACCTCCTCTCTTATAATCCAATCCAGACAGGGTTTACTGGATGATCAGGTGCCCACCTAACTTTCTGGCAGTACCTGGTGCCCCTCTCCTCTTTCTTTGCTCTGCTGCAACCACCTTGCCTTCTCTGGTTTCTCAGGCATGCCCTTTCCATCCTGTTCACTCTTTCTCAGAGATTCCCCACCCTCCAATCTCATTCTTTAACACTCAATTCTTATGCCACCACCTCAGAGAACTCTTTGTTGAACACTCTGTCTAAAGGGCCAGGCCACCTCTCTCCTCTCCACACACTCTCCTTACTCTTTGTTGCATCACCCTACGTCTTTCCACCATTAACAAGACATTAACCCAGACATTGCCAAATGTGGTAGAGACAAGTGTCACGAAGACAGAGACCATATCTGTCTTACGTATGCTATTTGTCTCCCAGTGCCTGCCACAGCACCTGGCAGTAGAAAGTGCTCAACATTTGTTACGTGAATGGATGAATTAATTAATAAATGATACCAACAAGCTGGAGTAGAATTGAAATTGAAGGCTAGCAGCAGGTGAGGCAGGACATACCTCCTGGGGTTTTTGTTTCCTGCCCTTCATATGCCCTTTCGTGATCAATATAATAATTTTTTCCTGGGGTAGCCTTTAGTCAGAGGCATTATCCTGAGTGCCCTGGAATAGTGAAAAGAAGATAGAGGAGCTTTCCACAACTTTACTTCCATAATCTTCACCAAACTCTGCAAGGTAGAACCTTTTATTTGCTGGATGAGTAAACTGAGGCTCAAAGGTAAAGTAGCATGTCCAGCTAGTGTTGGGCTCAAAGAATGGGAGTACCTGGTGAGGGGAAGGTTAGAAAACAGTCTCTTCCTCTAGTCCAAAAGGACATATAGTCTGAAAGGAAGTTCAATCTCATGCTTGTGCAATGGTGGTACTTCTCAGTGGAGAAATGTATACTGGCTAAAATTCAGTGGCAGGCTCATCTATTCAGCATACCTTTAAAGATCATCTACTTTGTGCCAAGCCCTTCAGGGTTGATTAAGGGGGTAATTTCAGCCTTCAAAAGCCTTACAACCAGGACATGTAACAGATCATTGTTCTGTAGGATGTCAAGTGATATATTTGGAGTATGTACAGGCAAGGCTATCACATATGGCCAAATTGTGCATAACTCAAATCTGGGTGTTGCCCTTCAGAATGACTGTGATGTCAATGGTACTCTCCAGAGTTATGCAGTGTACAACCTGAGCAAGCATACGTGGCTACCAGTGGGAATGGGATAAGTCATCTGGATTTAGGTGCACAATCTGACAAGTGAGAAGAGAATAGAAAAGAGATCTCAGAGGAGCATCAGTATGTAGCGTTCTGTGAGAGAAGAAAAAGCTTAGAACCAAGGCATTAGAGAAGTCAACAGAACAGGGACCAAGATGGAGGTGAGGCCAGCAGTGCCAGAGGCTGCACACAGTCAATCTCCCAAATGACTGTGGCAACAAGGAGTATGTTGTTCACCTTGGCAGGAGTGGTGAGACTGAGAGTCAGCTTTTTGATGGCTGAGTAATGAATGGGACATGGGACACAGTGTGCATGTTCAAATCTTTCTGGAAGTTGGGCTGTGAAAGGAGAGAGGGAGCAAGGGTTGTAAGGATATTCAGGACTAGGGAGAGCTTTGTCTTGTTGTAGGTTTTTCAGATGGGAGCCTGGAGCATGTCTAAACATTGTTGAGAAGAAGCAGTGGCAAAAAAAAAAAAAGTTGAAAATACATTAGAGAATGTTTTCACTAGCATAATTCATATAGGAAGGTTGCAGAAGAAGTGGGATTCATAGTAGGCAAGGATTCCAAATGATAGCTAGTCAGGATTCCAGAAGGCTTCATGGAGGTGGCATGCCTTAGTCCTGGGCAAAAGGGGCCCCTGCCCTAAGCCTAATGCTTTAAAGAGCCCTCCCTGGAAACCTCTCCACAGTGTGATAAGGAACTGTGAAGGAACCAAGGGAAAGGTTTGAACTCTATCTCCTGCCATATACAAAACGCAACCATTTAAAAAAATTAAATTTAGGTAATGATAAAGCATAGATTTAAGTGTATAACCTAACCCAGAACTCTTTTAGATCATGCTCTACATTACCAGAACACTCAAATCACCTGCCAGAATGGCACTGTGCCCACCTGCTTTCAGCATCTATGTAGGCCTTTTTCTCAGGGCATCCTTCCAAAGACAGAGCATGCCAACAGGGAAGCCAGCTCATTTTATGAGCCAGACAAACTCTTTATAAGAAAACAGCAGAAAATGTCCCTTATGAACATAGATGCAAAAATTCTAAATAATAATTTAGCAAATACAATCCAACAATCTATACAAAGGATAATACAACATGACCAAGTGGGGTTTATCCCAGAAATGGAAGATTGGTTAAACATTTGAAAATCAATCAACATAGTTTACTATGTTAAAAAACTAAAAAAGAAAACTCACATTATCATAACGATAGATACAGAAAAGGCATTTGAACATTTTAACATCAGGAATGCCTGATTTTTTTAAAAAAAAAACCTCCCAGCAAACTAGGAATGATAGGAAACTTCCTTAACGTAATAATGGCCTCTACCAAAGGGATACCACTAATAGCATACTTAAATAGAAAAGACTGTTTTCCTCCTATGATCACAAACCAAACAGGAAAGCCTGCTCTTACCATTTTTTTAACATCATATTGAAGGTTTTAGCCAGTGTAATAAATCAAGTAAAAGAAATAAAGGGTATCCAATTGAGAAAGGAAGAAGTAGAATTGTTGGCAGAATATAGAAAATCTGAGGGAATCTAGAAAAAGCTGCTAGAACTAGTGAGTGAGTTAGCAAAGTTGCAAGATACAAGATCAGCATACAAAAATAAATTGTATCCTCATTTATTAGCAACAAGCAATTAGACATTGAAATTTTTTTAAGTACCATTTATAAAAGCACAAAAAAGTTATGAAATACTTAGGAATGGATATGACAAAATATGTGCAAGATCCATAACTGAAAACTACAAAACACTTCTGAGAGAAATTAAAACCTAAATAAACGGAGAAACATATCTTGCTCATGGGCCAGAAGACTCAATATTGTTAAGTTGTCAATTCTGTCCCAATTGTTCTGCAGATTCAGTACACTCCTGATCAAATCCCAGCAGGCTTTTTTGTAAAAAGTTGACGAGTTGATTCTAAAATTTATGTACAAAGTAAAGGACCTATGTTAGCCAGACAACTTTGAAAAAGAAGAATAAATACGGAAGGCTATCACCACTCAATTTTAAGTCTACAGAAATCAAGACAGTGTAGTATTGGCGTAAAGATGGACAAACAGTTCAATGGAACAGAACAGACTCCAAAAATAGGCTCACACATATATAGATAACTGATTCTTGACAAAGTTGCAAAGGTAATTAGATGGAGAAGGTGTAGTCTTTTTAACAAATGGGGCTGAATCAACTGGTTATCCATATGCAGAAAAATAAAGTTTGAACCACACTTCCTCCCATACACAAAATAAAACCATTAAATAAAAATAAAAAGTAATGCTGGATCATAGATTTAAACATATAACTTAAAAAGCATGAAGCTTTGGCTGGCCATGGTGGCTCACACCTGTAATCCCAACACTTTGAGAGTCCAGGGTGGGAGGATTGCTTGAGGCTAGGAGTTCCATACTAGCCTGGGAAACATAGTGAGACCTTACTTATAAGAAAAAATTAATTAATTAAAAAATATTTTAAAAGTAAAAACCATACAACTTCTAGGAGAAAATCTTTTTGACCTTCAGTTAGACAAAGATTTATTAGATGAAAGATCAAAAATCAAAAGAATCACAAAAGAAAAAAATTGATCAACTGAATTACATCAAAATTTAAAACTCTGCTCTCTAAAAGATGCTGTTAAGAGAATAAAAAGACAAACCACAGACTGAGAGAAAATCTTTGTAAATGGTATACCTGGTAAACGGCTTGTATACAGAATAAAAAATAACTCAATAGTGAGAAAACAAACAGCTCATTTTTTTCCATGGGCCAAAGATGTGAATAGACATTTCACCAAAGAAGATATATGATAGCAAATAAGCACATGAAAAAAAAAAATCTCAGCATTGTTAGTCTTTAGGGAAATGCAAGTTAAAACCATAGTAAGATACTACTCCACATTTATTACAATGTTTGGAACAAAAGGCCATTTTAAGTGTTGGCAAGGATGTGAACACATATGCTGCTGATGGGGATGTAGAATGATATCATCACTTTGGAAGAGAAAGAGTTTGGCAATTTCTTAAAAAGCTAAACATACACCTATCACATGGTCCAGCCATTCTATAAGATATTTACTCAAGGGAAAAGAAAGCATATATAGAAACAGAATCTTGTACATGAATATTCCTAGTACCTTCATTTATTATAGCCCCAAACTGGAAACGACTCAAATGTTCCTAAACAGATCAACGGATAAACAATCTGTGTTATATTCATACGATGGGATACTACCCAGCAACAAAAGGGAATGAAATAGTGATATATGCATTAATGTGGATGAATTTCATAACAATTTTTCTGAAAGAAAGAAACCAAATGAAAACAGTACATACTGTATTGCTCCATCTATATAAAACTCTAAAAAATGCAAGCTAATCTATTTTGACAAAAGTAGATGCAGAGCAAAGGTTGCCTGGGGCTGGGGGGTGGGTAGAGTTGGAAGGTGGGAGGGTAGACTCACAAAGGGGCAGAGGGGGATCTTTGGAGTGTATTTGATATGTTCCCAATCTTGACTGTGACGATGTTTTCATGGAGGTATACATGGGTATATACAATATCAAAATCAATCACGGACAGTTTATTGTGTAATCAATTTCACTTCACTAACGCTATTAAAAGACTATATAGTATATGAGTCTCCTTATGTACTCTAGTCTGGGGCTGCACAAATGTTAGGAACCAGCTTGGTGATAGGACATCAGTGGAAAAGAGTTAAACATTCAGAAAGATGAGGAGCAAAGAGCCTTTTGTGAGTGTGTCTGTGTGAGTGTGCTGTGTTTGTGAGAGACAGAGAAAGGATGTTTTTCTCAATCGCCCAAATACCCAGAGGTTTCAAAAAGTCACCAGATAATATAATTAACAGCAAGTATTTATTTAGCTACCACCACGTCTCCAGGCTTGTGTCAGATTCTTGACAAACTTGTACACTAATCCTTTTGATACTCTCAACAAATTTACACTATTTTGGCAGTTTAGAAAACTGAGGCTCAGAAACCTCGAATCAGCTGTCCAAAGTTGAACCGCAAGGAAATGACAGGGCCAGGACCTTCTGGACTGACAGGGTGGACTTGTTTCCTCTCCCTTTCTCCGGCCCCTCCCTGCAGATAGCTCCCAGTTGGGTGGCTCCAAGCCACTGCACGTGGGCGGGTGCTGAGACAATGGGCCAAGCCTGTCCAAGTGCTCAGCTCTCCAAGGTTAGATATTGCGTGCAGAGCTATATATAGCTGATTGTTGGGAGGAAAGAGAAAATAAGATTTACTTTTTGGAGGCTCAGAGGATTTGGGCAACTTGAAGGCCTTTGCGGGACAGAACCGAAAGGTCATTGTCTAAGCACAGTTGGAGTGTGGTTTCTTGGCAGGGGGGAGGTGTCCTGGCCCAGGAGGTGTGACACGTTCCTCTGCTCAAAATAGAGACTGGCCATTTCCTGAGTGGGAGTCAGCCGAGTGTGGGGCGGCAGCCCCATCCCTACAGCCCTGGTGGGGAGTGGGAAATGACTTGAATACTCAGGGCCCTGAGGCTCTGGGGCTGGGGTTGGGGGATGACACACAAGGCCAATGGGATAGTTGCTATATTGCAGAAGGTGCCGGATGTGGCTCCCACCTCTGGTTTGGGTGGGGAGAAGAGGAAGGGAGCATGGAGTGAGCCTTGAGGCTTGAGTCAAGCTGGCTCGCAGGGAAGAATTTCCAGGGAGACACTAGTCCCTGCAAAAGTGTGAGAGTGGAGGTGGTGTTGAGGCTGCCAGTGGCTGGGTGTGGAGGAATCGATGGTTCCTGTGCAGGAAGTGACTAAAGAAGGGTCTGGATAAGGAAGCAGAGGCTGGATAATGACCCTTACGGTGTGAGCGAGCATTCAGAGGTGATTTTCTAACTGGGTGAGCACCAGCAGCACCCTTGGGTTTAGATCCTCTGTAGAATCCAACTTAGTAGTTGGTGGTGAGTTGGTTTGCACTGGTACAGCCATTCTGGTAGTTAAATGTAGAAATAACTGAGTGGTAACTAGCCACTTCCCATATCCCCCAAAATGACCCCCCACCATGATGGCCAACCTTGTCCTCCCCCTTCATCCCATGGGATACTCCTCTTCACTTCCCACAAAATCCAACCACCAGAAGGTTAATGCCTAGCCTCCCTCTGATTGGCCAGTGCCAGGGTTGCTAAATACTTCAATATATCACTTTCGCTGGACCCCAAAGAGTAACAGCAGTCATTTATACTCGCTATGTGCCAGGTAACCATTCCAGGGGGTTTACCTACATTAACAACAACAGCAATAACAATAAGACAACAACAATAGCTAACAAGTATTGGGTGCTCATTAGATGTCAGGTGCTGTTCTGTGTTTGGCATTGATTATGATCATTAATGCCCACTCATTCACTATAACCCTAAATGGTAGGTTCTGATATTATCCACCATTTTCAGAAGAAAAAAATGCTCAAAGCCTGAAAAGGTTAAGTAACTCGCACATAGATAGTAAGCGGCAGGGCCTGATCCAAATCCAGGCCTTGCTGACTCCAAAGCCCTTGTTCTGCAATTACTCTATGCTGCAAGAAATAATCTGCAAATGCTCATAAAATTGTCTTGGAAACCATAGTTCTAATATTAAAAGCACTCCCTTCTCTTCTGATCTGAGAGTTTAGCACCTTCATTAGGCCGTTCCTCCAACTTTACTGCTTAACGTTCCTAATACATTTTCTGAATTTGGTGGACACCGTTTGCATGCTGTGAAAATAAATTTGATTGTACCAAGAGTTTCCCAGTTAATCTGATTTAACAGTGGCCTGTAACACTCTATATAGAAGATGTATGTGAGTCCTGGCCACTGTCTGCAGGGGACTGATAGGAACACCGAGCCTTCCCTAGTTCCATGCCATTTATTTGCTCTTTAGATGCTAGAGCTTTCCTGGAAACTCTGTTTCCGGATTCTTTTTTTTATTGTTGTGCTGAAGTCAACGCAAAGGCCATTAATCTCTGCAGTGTCTCCTTGGCAAGCCTCATAAAAGATGCCCTGTTCCTGAAAGCAGCCCTCTTGCTGACTGTGTTCCAGGAACTGTCCAGAGTATTAATGGCTAGCCATGAGCATGCACTCATCCATTCCTCAACCATCTAGAGAAGGTCAACCATGTGTCGGCACTGCGGATCGGGCCATGGGCCAAATAGACCCTGTTCATGAGCTCATGGGGCTTATAGTCGAGGGAAGGAAGTAGATATTAGGCACATGATTACGGAAATACAGGTAACTGTGTAATTATGTTTTGGGGTAAGTGCTATGAAAGAACAGTGAAGAGTGAAATGAGAGCTGATGTCAGATCTTAGATTGGAGTGTAAGAAAGTAGGAAGAAGGAAGATTACAAATAATATTCAGGCTGACATATGAAAAGTCAGCCAAGGGAAAGAAAGAGAGGATCTCAGAAGAAAGTAAGTTCTAGGCAGTAGGAACAGCATGGTGAAGGCCCCGGGGTGAGGTAAAAGTTTGGCATTTTTGAAGTCAAGAAAAGAAACCATGGTGTCTGGAGTTTAATGAGCAGGGGCGAAAGTGAAAGAGAATGAGGCCGGAATGGGGTGGGGCAGATCTCCTATGGATGGGGATCTCTTAGGAGGCGCAGTTGAGGATTTAAGACCTGTGGAGAGGGGGGAACCATCCCAAAGCAACACTTGTGGGAACAGATAACCCACTTGATAATGGTAAGGGGAGGAGGCCAGAAAAGGCTCTCTCTGCCCACAAGTAGAGTGAGAATGGGCAGTTGATTTCATAGAAAAACTTATCTCAGGCTAAAATCATAACATATTGGCAAGGGAAAGCATTCTTGATTAAAGTAAACCCAAAGAAGCCATGATAGAAATGTGTTCCTGACTTTTAGGGGCTGGGACATTGCCTGAGTCAGGATTCCTTTAGTTAAGTGATGGAAACCAACTCAATTAGCTTAAGTGAAAAGATAAATGTATTGGCTATGACAACAGAGGAGTCCAAGGAGTAAATTAGCAGAGTAGGAAGGTTCACCTTGTTCTTAGTTGTCTTTCTCTGTGTTTTTCCTCTCCCTTCCCTTCTCTCTCCTTGCCAATTTGCCCTGACATGGCTTCATTCCTGCACAGGTAAAGATGAACGTCATGCTACTTCAGATAAAAGAGATGGATTGTCATCTGAATTCTGAGTGTCTGGCTTGGATCCTATGCCCGTCCTTGAGCCAATTGCCAGGAGAACAGAGCAGTCTGGTGGCTCTGGATCAGTCCTACCCAAACCAAGTGGATCAGACTGGAATGCCAGGAGTATGAAATATGAGAGGGGTCATTCCCCAAAGACATACTGGCAGACAAAAATAGACCACCTAGTATCAAAGAAAACAAAATTTGTCCTTGCTTCCACACGTAGAATTTTATTGTTCTATTATATATATATATAGAGAGAGAGAGTTCTATATATATATTGTTCTATTATGTATATATAGAGAGACTGAGTCTTACTTGATATATATTATATTGTTCTCTATATAGTCTATATATAGAACATATATAGTTCTATATATATTGTTCATATATATATATGTGTGTGTGTGTATATATATATACACATTTTTTTTTTTTTCTGAGACTGAGTCTTGCTCTGTTGCCCAGGCTGGAGTGCAGTGGTGCAATCTCAGCTCACTGCAACCTCCACCTCCTGGGTTCTATATATATTATATTGTTCTATATATATAGAACATATATAGGTCTATGTATATTGTTCATATGTATATGTGTGTGTATGTATGTGTGTGTGTGTGTGTTTGTGTGTGTGTGTGTATATATATATATATGTATATATATGGAGAGAGAGAGAGAGAGACTGAGTCTCACTGTATCGCCCAGGCTGGAGTGCAGTGGCACGATCTCAGCTCACTGCAACCTCTGCCTCCTGGGTTCAAGCGATTCTCGTGCCTCAGCCTCCTGAGTAGCTGGGATTACAAGCACCTGCCATCGTGCCTGGCTAATTTTTGTATTTTTAGTAGAGATGGGGTTTCACCGTGTTGGCCAGGCTGGTCTCAAACTCGTGATCTCAAGTGATCCCACCCGCCTCAGCCTCCCAAAGTGCTGGGATTACAGGCTTGAGCCACTGTGCCCGGCCTGTTCTATTATTTTTATAAGTAAAAAAAAGAAATAAATTACCCATAATTCTACCATTTATTGTTAATATTTTTCTCTACATCCTATCAGTTATACACACACACACACACACACACACACAGACATACACATATTTTATTGGTTTGTTCCTTTTGTTTTTTTCTGAGATGGAGTCTACCTCTGGTGCCCAGGCTGGAGTGCAGTGGTGCAATCTCAGCTCACTACAACCTCCACCTCCCAGGTTCAAGCAATCCTCCTGCCTCAGCCTCCCAAGTAGCTTGGATTACAGGTTGCCTGGGCTAATTTTTGTATTTTTAGTAGAGACAGGGTTTCACCATGTTGGCCAGGCTGGTCTCAAACTCGTGATCTCAAGTGATCCACCCGCCTCAGCCTCCCAAAGTGCTGGGATTACAGGCTTGAGCCACCGCGCCCGGCCTGTTCTATTATTTTTATAAGTAAAAAAGAAGAAATAAATTACCCATAATTCTACCATTTCTTGTTAATATTTTTCTGTACATCCTATCAGTTATACACACGCACATACACACACACACATACACACAGACATATACATATTTTCTTGGTTTATTCCTTTTTTTTTTTTCTTTTTTGAGATGGAGTCTCACTCTGGTGCCCAGGCTGGAGTGCAGTGGCACAATCTTGGCTCACTACAACCTCCACCTCCCAAGTTCAAGCAATTTTCCTGCCTCACACTCCTGAGTAGCTGGGATTACAGGCGTGCACAACCATGCCTGGGCTAATTTTTGTATTTTTAGTAGAGACAGGGTTTCACCATGTTGGCCAGGCTGGTCTCAAATAGTTCCTTTTTTTAAAGTAGTCATTTGGTAGGAGAATTTAATTCCAATAGTATTAATATTTAATTTTTCCAAAGAAGCTTAAACCTATATTCCTGTAATCAGTAATGTCCTAAATGAAACTTTTGTTGGCACTCCTCTATGTAAACATCATTCAAAAGCTTTCACTCCCTCCTATCTTTCTTAATACTTAATGACTATTACCACTATCCCCAGTCACATTATCATCATTGGTTTGAGATTTAATCATACACCTTACAGTGTTCATGTTCCCAAATGTTTTTTAACTCCTCGTCTTACTTTAATTTGCATGCTTCATTTTGTAATTTAAATTTAACCCACCTAGAGTACTTAGTACTTTTTACCTAGAAAACACTAGTGTACTTTCTAAGTCCTGGTACAGCGAGAAACATGGTTTTTACATAAGAATGATAACTTGGCTGGACATACAATTCTTGGAATATAGTTCTCTTTTCTGGATGTCTGGTATCATTGTTTCACTGTCTTCTAATTTTCACTGTTGTTGATGAGAAGTTTCGTACCAATCTGATTCATTTTCCTTCATAAGTAAACTTTCTCTTCACCTGGAAAAGTGTTGAACTTTCTCTTTAATCTCAGATTTAAGAAATTTCACCAGGAGATGACGAGTTTGGGGCTTTTTGTGCAGTTTGGAATTTGATTTGCAGCCATTTAGTTCTTAAAATGTAAATTTTTCTACATTTAAAGTTATCTTGCATTGTTTCTTTAATATTTTTCTTCTTCTGTGCCTTTTGCCTTAAGGATCTCCTGTTATTTATTTATCAGACCTCCCAGACCTACTTATTATGAATCTTATCTTGTACTCATTATTTGCATTTATTTGTGTATTTGCTTTTGGTTGTTGTGGATATTTTTTGCCTTTTGTAAGTGTGTGGGTGAGAGATGTTTCCTTTATTTGATTTTCCAGAACACAAATTCCATTTTAATCAGTAATTGTTCATTTCCTGTTCCTTGGTTAATTAAACAAAATTGCAGTTTTTACATCATAACTTCCTTAAAATATTCCATTTTAGAGACCTCTTGTTGTTCTTCCATTAGAACTGCCTCCATAGGTGTAATCAGTGCCTGTTGGGGACATGGCTTCCCTCCTTAAAATAGCCTGTGAACTTTTTTTCTCCAAAACATTGAGAGTTTCCTCTCCTGTTAAATTATCTCCTGCTATTTAGTATCGTTGAGGAAAAGTCTAATACAGGCCTGATTTTTGTTCTTTTTTGGGGATCCAGTTTTTTTCTCCAGTGCCTAGTAAGCACTCAGAAAGCAGTGCCTACGATTGGGTGGCTCATGGGGCAGCTTCTCTCTTTATTAGAAAAAGAGATATCTTACAAGTGGTTGCCTCCACTGAGATCAGTTGGAAACTCCCCATTATCTCATTTATGTCCCCATTTTCTCCCTGCAGCCCAAACAATCAGCCTTTGGACTTTATCTAGGCTGTCACAGATGGAGAGTCCCCCTGATGTCCGGAATCATTGCCCAACAGTCTGGTGTCTAATGTTCTAATGAAATGTCATATTTCATCATTTGTTTGCATGGATATGTCTGTGAGAAAATGGTTTTGGGGGAGGAGAAATGATTCAGTATAATAGTTAAACTGCTTAATTGCAAACAATATAAACTCTGTTATTTTATTTGATAGTTATTGGGAAGCTCCAAGAAGGGCTGGACAAATTAGAGAAGCAGGCTTAGAAAATGGGTAGGAACTAATGGAGGTGGGATGGTAGGGAACTCCACTATGAAAACAGTCTGATTATGACATGTTGCCTGTTCTGCTGTTCCCAGACACTCACCGTGCTGCTGCTGGACTTTGAACTTGGCTACTGCCACCATAAATAGTCACTGACTGTACCTGAATCTTTGTGCCACTGCCTGGCCTCATATGCAGCAGGCAGAGTATAATTATTCCCCATTTGGGCTTTCTCAGTGGCAAGGGGGCTCAGTCTCTCTCAAAGACATGCAGAATAAAGAAGTCTCCCCCAAAGAAGGGGGTTTTATATTCTGGGCAGCTAAAAATTGGCATGTGTTATCTAGGCAAACGTCAGTAGACTTCTGATTTCTATCACTAAGTAGCAGCCTTCGATTCTGCTGGAGATTGTGATACATCCCAAAAGATGACGAGGCAGAGGTTGTCGCTGCCCTGCTCATCCTCTCTGCACTCACCCCTACCAGCAGAGGTGATTCTTTCCAACACCTGCAGCTCTCTGCCAGCTGCAGAAGCACACTTGACCTCTCCCCGGGACAAGCAGGAAGAGCCAGATACCTGATGCCCCTTGATTCAGTTCTCATCCAACAATTCGATATGGCCATGATGAATGAATACCATAGCTTCCGTGTCCCACAGCTGGGGTAACTCTGGGGTGTGTACTACATTGTTTCCCAGCAAGATTAGTCCCAGCTGTCCACAGTGAGAAGTGGCATGATAAGACACCCTTTCTTACCTGTCTCACTTCTGCACACCCCTACTTGTAGGCCTGCAGATCTCCTGCCAACTAAGCTACTGGCACTTGAATACTTGCCTTAGGGTCTGCTCTTAGATTTGCTCAAACTAACACAGTTGGTGAAGCCCTGTTGAGTAGTCAAGAGTACTTGGAATAAAAGGACAAGGCAGAAGAGTTCCTGATCTTATTCTCACTTCCCACTTAAAGTTTTTGAAGAAGTGGATTATCCTGAAATTCTACCCTGCGTAAGCCCTTTGACCCAGTCTTTTCCCTCGTAGTTGTTTATCCTACAAAAGGACTTACACTCATGTGCAAAAGTAACACAAAATGATGTTCTTTGTGGCTTTGGTCGTGACAGAAAATAAATTGGATGCACCTAAATGCCCATCAATGAAGTTAAATAAATTACAGTGCACCCCTACAAGGTAATACAAAGCAGCGATTAACAATGATGCTACCGATTTCTAGTAACTAATAGGGAATGAGGCCCAAAATATATTGTTAAGAGAGAAAACCATATCGCAAAGGAGCATTATAGTTTTATTTCGCCAACAGATATTTCAATACATATTTCCTGAGTGTCTACTATGTGCCAGGCTTTCACTGTCCTGTTTGTAAAAATTTCATCTATTCTATTGCCTGAACTGTGTTTTGGCAAACACAGTTTGGAAAATTGTGTCTCTTCCAAAAGTATTCAAAGAAAAGGAGAGTAAGCTTGATGGTAACTTTTGAAAACTGCTTACAGTTAACAGTGTGAATATCTTATAGAAGCATTTTTCTCCATTTTTTCATAAATGACCTAATTTGAAGATAAACATTGAATATGTGTATGTATGTGTGTGTGTGTCTGTGTGTGTGTGTGTGTGTAGTTGGGGGGCAGTGGTAGAGAGATAGATTTTCTGACTGTAATAAAACTTAAATCACCTTGTGCCTTCCGCACTATTTGAATTTTACCCTGAGGATGAATCACTTTCATAATACAAAAAACATACTAGTTCAGGCCAGGTGCAGTGGCTAACCCCTGTAATCCCAGCACTTTGGGAGGGAGGCCAAGGCGGGTGGATCACTCGAGGTCAGGAGTTTGAGACCAGCCTGGCCATCATTGCGAAACCCTGTCTCTACCAAAAGCACAAAAATTAGCCGCGCATGCTGGTGCGTGTCTGTAATCTCAGCTGCTCAGGAGGCTGCAGCAGGAGAATGGCTTGAACCCAGGAGGCCAAGGCTGCAGTGAGCTGAGATCGCGCCACTGCACTCCAGCCTGGGTGGCAGAGTGAGACTGTCTCAAAAACAAAAACAAACTAGTTCATTAAAAAAGCTTCACAAACACACACACACACACACACAGTTTTTCTCTATAACAGAATTCTGTCTTCAGTGACTTGCTACTCTCTGGAAGCTTTGCCCTTTCTTGTGCACTGCCAGATGCCTCAAGGTATCCTTTGAACTGTCTGCCCCACCAGGAAGCCATATTCAACCACCTGATCTGTTGGTTTTCTTTTTCCAGGACCCTAACAATTCTCTCTTCCAAAGACATTCCAAGAAGATGAGGAAGAATATAGAGGAGTGTTTTAGAATCGTCTGAGTTCCTAGCTTGAATACCTTAATAACAGCTTTAAGAAATGTTTTTCTTCATAAAAGCCTTGAGTTGAAGAAAAACATGCGCTGAAATAATTTCCTAAGCCCCACCCTGTGCATGACTGGCGTAAGGAATCGCTCATTGTAAAGCTATTGGTTATTCTAACTCCTTCCGCAAATTAATTTACCTCAGGAAGCCATGTTCCTCCATAAATGGCGGGAAACAATGGGGTCTTTTATATTCCCAGTAGTATGGTGCTCATTAGTTAAATGCTGACTTTGTTGGGCTCTGGAATAGAACAAAATATCCTAAAGCAAGGTCATGACTGTAGCAACTTGGGAAGAAAGGGGACCATGACACCTGTGTCTGAGCCCTGGTAGGGAAGGAGCCAGGCTGACTGGTCTAGGGCAGGAGGGATGCTGCCCAGGTATTCTCCTCCTCTTCTCTATGGTGAGGCCCCAAAAAGCCTGGGCCCAGAGGGAGCACTGATGGAGGGAGGGAGAGTGGCACCTGTACCTCCTGAGCCAGAAGTGCCAGAGGATCTTCCAGACTGGTGGTCTTCACACTGTTTTTTTTTTCCCCAGGCTGTTTTGATCACAACTACCTCTATTGCTAAAAATGTCTGAGCATATACTTCTAATGTATAGTGTAATGATATATTGAATATCTTATAAACCAAATACTGTCAAAAATTTAAAGGATACAATTTAAATATAAAGACCACTTCTATAGATGAGGCAGGAGCAGTGCCCATGGTCCCTGTGATGTCTACTCAGTCATGAAATAATCCTTGGAACTTGAACTTTTAAAAACGAGCAAGCAGCTTCATACTAACTCCTATCCCAAATTTCCCACCAAAATACTCCTGAAGATACAGAAAAGGTCCCAAGGCTCACAATGCCTAGCAAATACCCTATAAATTGAATCTGGGGAGAATTTCTACCAAATATAGGGCAAATGGAGTAGGACTAAGGGAAAAAACAATGCCAACTGTGCTCACCCATGAAGCAGGGCATTCCTGCTTCCCCAAAAGAAGGCAGAAAGAATCTTCAGCAATTTCCATTTTTACCCTCTGGAAGTTTCTGCAACAGCCATACAATCAGACAGGCATTTCAGAACAGCAGGAGGCTGCCTTTTGAGGTGCTCTGAAAACTATCATTTCCCACTCCCTGCGGACACCAGTTTCTACCTCCATTCAGAGTGCAAATCCCAGAAAGGAGGGAGCAGGGAGATTGGGGGTAGGCAAGAGAGAAAGAGGGGGGATGGAGCATTTTAGAGTGGCAGAGTCCCAAGGTCAAAGCCTTAAAAAAGAGAGAGGAAATCTTCATAGCAGCACCTGATAAAGGTTCACAACTCTCAGGTATTCCATCCTTTCAACCTTTCGGAGAGCCAAGAACTGGGAAGCAGGAGAAAACGTGCCTTAGGGCAAGAAAGGCACAGGACAGGAATGCTATTCTGAGCTCTTATCTCTCACTTCACTCAAGTTTTTATGATTACATAGATTTTTATCTTGAGGTTCTAAGTACGGTATTTTTCTGAAAAAAAAAAAAAAATGGTTTTACTGAAAGCCACGATAGTTCTTCCTCCTGGACATTGGAAATTGGGTCATGAGCTATTCCAGCCACCTGCTCTACTGCTGAATTAATGGGAAGTGGGGCTGGACACACATCCACTCATCTGTCCCCACAGTTCCTTCTTTGTGCAGAGCCAAGTGGAGCAGGGGAATCCTGACAAGGAACAACAAAAACCCTAGTGAAGATGACAGGAACACCACAGGAAACAACATCTTGAAAATTCCCAAGAAGAGCATCACAGTGAAAATAACTTATGGCAAATCCCAGAAGAAAATTTTAGAAAACTGTTCGACACTTTCAATAAACATAGCTTTTATAAAACGGAAGTAGAAAGCCATGAGAAGAAAGCTAGATGAGATGAAAAGGGCTGTAAGAAGGGCAAGGAAACTCATATATTAATGATAAGATTAAAATCATCAAATTAGAGGCAATAAAAACTATAATTAATGCCAGAAAATTAAATCATTCACATGGAGGATAAATTTCAACAGCCTTTACAAAATGCAAAGGAAATGGGAAAAGTAATAAAGATTATGAGAAAGGAAATTATTTACTTGGAGGGCAAATAATGGAGACAAATTCCAAGAAGTGTAGGTTATCCTAAGTAAGAATCAAAATATGTGGGTGTAGAACCAATAAAGCAACATTGAATAAAACCTTGCAAAGATGTTTTTAAAATTTATAAGTATGTGAATCAAAACCAAAACCATAAAAAAAAAGAAGAAAATACAGGTGAGGATTTATCTGATGTCAGAAGGGCACTAACTCTCTAAACAGATAAACAACATCAACAACAGTATATTATATATACTAATTAATTGTTTTCATATGGGGGAGGCTTAGATATACACATTTTTTAAAGTTTAAAGAGCATCCCAAAATTGAGCTAAATAACAAATTTGGAAAAATGCCTATGATAAATGTGAGAGAATTAATATACTGACTATATAAAGAACTTTTTAAAAATAAACAGGAAAGATACTAGCAATAAAAAACTTAAGAACTTTGGGAGGCCGAGGAAGGTGGATCACTCGAGGTCAGGAGTTCGAAACCAGCCTAGCCAACATGGTGAAACCCTGTCTCTACTAAAAACACACACAAAAAATTAGCCAGGCATGGTGACAGGGGCCTGTAATTCCAGCTACTTGGGAGGCTGAGGCAGGAGAATCACTTGAACCCGGGAGGCGGAGGTTGCAGTGAGCCAAGATCGTGCCACTGCACTCCAGCCTGGGCAACAGAATGAGGCTCCATCTCAAAAAATAATAATTAAAGACTCAAATGACCATCACAAATATTTATATCTCTGAAAACAGATTTAACCTCATTAATAATCAAAGAAGACATGCAAATACAAAACAGTACTGACATATACGTTTTTGCTTTTTACGTTTGTGGATTTTTCTAAAGTTACAATACTTGAGCATTCAAGGTGATTCTGATACAGTTGGTTTTTGAAAAGCATAATTTGAGTAGTACTGCCCCCCTCCCATTTGACAGACTCCTCTCACCATTTAGATTTCAGTATTACCTTCACTTCCTCCTGGGAGTTTTCTCTGACCACCCAGGCTAGATTCTGTCCTCTCATTGAGATTTTTCACTGTACTTTATACTACATGGCATTTATCTCAATCGTATTGTGATAATGTGTATGATTTATTTATTCAATGTTTGGCATCCCAATGAGACTGTAATAATAATGCTTATACTGAGAATTTGCTTTGTGCTAGGCAATTTTAAAAGCTTTAATTTCATTTAATGCTCTCAATAACCTTATGCTAAAAGGACTCACCTGAAGCTTAGAGAGGTTCAGTACCTTGTTCTAGGTAACAGGTCTGATACCTACTCCGTATAAGTTGATCACACAGAAGCAAAGCTCCCTGCCTCCAGGAAGACACTGGATCTTTCCTTTCCTGAGCTTCAGACAGCTCCATAACACCTTCTTCTGAGGCTGCACTAGCAGACCAAGGTTACTTCTCAAAGATGTAAAGCAAGTAGCTAAACTAGGAAATACTCAAAATCGATTTACCTTCATGTGTTTGTTTATTTCAGGAAGCAAAACTTTTGCCCCTGGCAATCATCTCCATATTCCAAGGTGTCACATTCTGCCATAAAGATACAAAGCAAAACTGGGGCCACTGCATGATTCAAGTGTCCAGATCCTTCCTCAGGTCTCCAAAGGAAAATAGCTTGCCACTTTCATAAGCTGCTTTGTAAATGCCAGATCGATACAGGAGAAGCAACATTTTTTTAGGATACAGGACACATAAGAATGACTCAAGGTAAAGTCAAGTGAAGACACGGTTATGTCCCTTTGTTCATAAGGAGATAGACACAAGCCTCCACCATGGTATGGGCTAGTGCAAGGGGCTTCGATTTTGGAGGAGAGGGGTGAGTGGGCAGTTGGAAAAGAGAGAGGGGTTGTCCAATGAACATCTGTAACTGACAGGAGCAGAGGAAGGCACATCCTATTTTATAGGATGGAAATCCTTCTATGCACCTCTAATCTGCCACAACTTCTTTAATGCAAGATTCATACAAAAAACAAAGCAGCTAGGGCAATTGTTTAAGAAGCAGACCTTCATTGCTGGAAAGGTCTGAGTTTGAGTCAGCTCTGTAGCTTTCCTGTGTGCCTGTGAGCAAGTTTTTCAGCCTTATTGAGCCCAACTCTCCCATAAAATTAGGATAATAAAAAAGACCACTTCATATGATTGTCATGAGAGGTACATGAGATAGGTAAGAAAAGTGCTTTGCCTAGAGCCTGGTATAAGTTTTCAATAGGCATTAAGCATATTTCATAGAGGAAACTTGACCTGCCAATGAAAAGGACACTTTCCTTTATATCTTAATTATTTTTAATGGAAACATTCTAAGCTGAAGTGGATATTTTTCAGACTCATTAAATAGAACACACTGAATGATTTTTTGTCCAGCTTTTGTTATGGTTAATATACCTTGCTGTACAAACATAAACAATGCAAGAGTCCATGCAGTCAGCACTGAAAGTCTGCCCAGGCTGCTCCTATCCTCCAGGAAACCACCCTTAACAGTTATGGCAAAGTCCTTCCTGACTTTGAATTTTCCCACAAGCTCCATCAAGTGCTGTGATGCAGAGAGGCTCTCATCTAGAGCTATGACAATACATGGGGCCATTCACCCTTACACAGCATGGCCTGGCCAGCCAATCCCTGCAAGCCCCGGGCCTGCTTCTCTATCTTCTTGCCTGACCCTTGACATCAGGTCTGTGGCAGATGGGTCAGCTTTTCCCCAGTGCTGCTTCCCGTATTCATTATAGTTTCTAATCTCCTTTATTTGAGAAATTAAAAATCACGTTGATTATAAGCATGGGCTATGTGGATAGCCATTTCAGATATTTCTTATATATGATATTTCTGAGCTTATGATTATGCCACAGAAAGAGAGGTAGTATCCCGGAGAGAGTTCTAGAGGAGAAATCTAGGGATCTGATTTCTAGCCTAGCCCTACCATTTAATTCCTGTAAGAACTTGGAAAAGTTACTGAACCCTGTGAAACCTCAGTTGTCCCATCTGTAAAATGGGATTCATTACTTCCTTAAACTCATAGTTACTGATTGCTTACTATAGGCCTGGCATATTTCTAGATGCTGTGCACACAACAGTGACCAAGACAGACAGGTCTCCTCAAGTTTACATTCTAGAATTAGGAAAAGAGGTGATCAACAAAATATATCCATGAGTTAATATCCAATGGTGCAATCAGATAAGTGCTATAAAAACAAACAGGCAGGGTTGTTAGGCCTTTAAATAAGTTTCATCGAAGAGTTTTTAAGACTGTGAAACATGATATGTTAAATAGAATATACTTTAATTCTTAGAAAACAATAACGTACCCATACATTTGTAATACCAGTGACCCAAGATTCTGTGATTCTCTAAGGAGGAGTGGTGTATCAGAGGGGAAATGACACCTAGATGGCACAGGGTGGAGAAACGCTGCTTTACAGTTGGTAAAACACTTTTGCTCATATTTATCTCAGTGTGCCTTCTAAACTTTCAAAATGTCTCCCGAACACAGAGGCAAGGAGTGATATGAGAAAAGAAAGAACTTGTTTTTTTGAGACAGAGTCTCTCTGTCACCCAGGCTGGAGTACAGTGGCGCAATCACAGCTCACTGCAGCCTCAACCTTCCAGTCTCAAGCAATCCTTCCACCTCAAGCCATCCTACCCACCTTCCGAGTAGCTGGGCCTGCGGGTGTGCACCATCACACCCGATTAATTTTTAAAAAAATTTTTTTTAGAGAGAGGGTCTTGCTTTGTTGCCCAGGCTGGTCTCAAACTCCTGGCCTCAAGCAATTCTCCTGCCTTGGCCTTGCAAAGTGTTAGGATTACAGGCGTGAGCCACTGCACTCGGCCAAGAATGTTTTCTTCCACACACAAACAGCAGCCTTATATATTAATAATGCTAGACCCCTACCATTAGTACTGGAATGCTTTTGAGTCATAAATTAGAGGGTGACGCAGTGCCCAGGACCAAAGCTCTACAGCATCCCTGCATGGTGCAACCCTGCAAGATTTGTGTATAGATCATTTAATAGTTTAGGGGCAGGAATAACCCAAAGCAAAGTGCTCCAGTCACCACTGAGGAAGATCAGGAAAACATTACAATGAAGCAAAGCTGGTATTACAAAGGCACACTTGCATATCTTGACTTGGGATTTCCATTTTACTGGGCTGGAGGCTAATCATTCTCTCAAACATCTGGTGTGGTTAGTATCACTCTCCTAACTTTACAGATGAGAAAACAGAGGTTCATAGTGCAAACAGACTCCACAATGTCTTGCTGAATGCACTTGTTGGTTTAGCTACCCCCTGTGAAGCCTCTTAGGAACTCAGGCCACACTGGTGTTCCTCAGCTCTAGCTCCTGAAACCAGCCTGTCTTGGCCTTTGCTGGTATCCTCCTTTTGTTTATTCCTCTTTCGTGGCCTCTTTGCCTCCCTCTTCATCTTGAATATAGGCTCTTCGGTTAATTTTTTTTCTGCCATAGCACACTTCTTTTCTTCTAGGCATTTATGAAGACTTATTGTATTTTCAGATGTGTCTATTTGTGTATTGTCAGTCTTCATCATCATGAAGTCAAAGTTCTTGCCTGTTTGGTTCACTGCTGTGTCCCCAGCACCAGGCTCAGTGCTTCATAAATATCTGTGGAATGATGAATGAAAGGAGAGAAGAAAGGAAGGCCAATGCATCACTTTTATTTGAAGGTTTAAATATAAAACATAAACTGTTTTCCTGGATATTGTATTAATACGATAATGCTTAAACATTAGAATGTTGAAAGAGTTGTGTAGTGTCGATGTAACAATTGTTAATATAAAATAAGAGCTAGTAATTGGAGTTCATTTCAAGGAAAACTGAATTTAATGTTAGGTTGGTTGGTTGTGACACAAATATTCATTGGATCAGAAATTACTCCAAAATGCTACAGGAGTCAACAAGGTCAAAGAATTAGTTCTATACCATGTGGCTCAAAAGCAGCACTTTGGACTGAATGCTACAGGGGCCACACACAAAGCTCAGGCTTCTTTACAGTTCCTGGTGACATGAGATATTAGGGTACAAGTCTGGGCCTGGAGACCTAATCAAGGCCTGATACGGCTCTGCAATGTGGGTCGACTTGCTTCTTTTTTCTGAGCATGTTTCTTCTCCTGCGAAATGGGGGTTAATAGTCCCAACCTGCCTAGTTTAACTCCAGATTAACTCATCCTTCATCAACATGGGATGGTTGGAATCGGATGTAGGGCCTTGTCCTTTGTAAAAGCATAAAACACAAAGTGCTGTTAAGGATTATAGCAATAAGGCACGCACACACAAAACATCTGGGTATCTGTTTGTTCCCTTCTTGCTAATCTGCAGTGGTAATAAGGAATTCCAGGTTAACTCCTAGCTTCTGTTATCAGGCAGAACTTTGGATTGCAGCCTCGTAGCTCCTCCTGAAAATGCATACTTGAGCCAAGAGCAAACCTGTAAGGGCCTCTCAGATACTGCTCACCCCCCGGAAGCTGGATTGCTTTGAATATTTTGCCAAATCTCCTTCCCACTCTTAGAAGAAGATTTGAGTTGAAAGCACATAGAACAGTTGTCTTTGCCTGTCACTTCCCCCTTCCCCGGCTGCAGGATTCCTGTCTCACAACTACCCTCCTACTCCCTTTCTTTTCCTCCGTCCCAGACCCAAACTTGTAGGGGACCTTTTGCCCTGAATTTCAGCAGGAAACACAACTAGCAACCAGATGTCTGACTTTTTCACCCCATTGGCAAGGATCAGCCATCTTCCCTGTAAACTTCCGGCCTTTCCTCTCTGTTAGATCTTTCAGCTTCTTCACGCTCTGTCTCCTTTAGCTCAGATGCATGAAAACCCTCCAGAAGAGAAACAAAAGGTAGCCTGCAAAGTGCCGCAAACGTGCATAGTATTTATATGCTCTACCCAGCAAATTGGTTGTCGGTGGATGTCGGAGGGAATGGGGGTGAGAGGGTAGCAATTCAGCTTTTAGATTCATTTGGTCTATCAGTAAATTCAGATCCAATGAAGAATAGGTGGCTTTGATCAAAGATAAAGATAATGAAAAGAAGTTAATAACTTAAAATAACACACCAAGGGAAAAAAACACAGATTCTGTTACCATCAAAGTGTTTGAGTATGATAAAATAATAGGTAAAGTAGCTTTCTCAACTTCAGGAATAATGAGAGACCCAGATCTTCTTTGACACAGCAGAGACCTTTGGGACTGGGGCAGACCTTAGACCTCATTCAGTTTCTTCACTTTCCAGGTGTAGAAACTGAGGTCCTACCTGAGTGGGAAGGACTTGCCCCAGGTCCCTTGCTTGATGGCAGAGTGGGGTGTCCCAGCTCAAGGGCCTGCCCCTGGCACTGCTTATATCTACCCTGAGACATTTCTGGAGAAGGATGGTGGTCACGGACCTGGGCTTGATCTGCCGACTCTCTGTGCCTCCTGTCTTCCTGCTCTTGGGATGGTTGGCTGGTCCCCCATCTCAGGAATCCACTCTAATCTGCGGCTCTCGGCCATGAAGCAGCAGCAGTGATGGGGCTTTTTTCCTGCGTCCACCAGCCATCTGATACACACCCCAAAGGGGAGAAGCATGAGCCTTTTTTTTTTAACATAAGAAACCTACCAATAAACATCTCCGTTGTCAAGTCAACACTTGTTGACCATCTATAGGCAGTACAGAGGAAGTGTTTCTCAAAGAAATGAATGAAAAACAGGTGGGGAGTCAGTGGAAGCCTTGAAATTTTAAGGAATTATCACTCAATCGCACAAAGTCCTGTATTACCTTATCCCCTTCCTTGCCCGGGCTGACTTTCCCTGCTTACCTCTGTCTTCACTGGTGTAAATCATCATTCCACTAATCCCAGATGTGTAGCTTGGGGCAAGTTTCTGCCCCTCTCTGTGCCCCAGTTTCCTCACCTATGAAGTGAGAATAATAGGGCCAGGTACAGTAGCTCAGTCCTGTAAGCCCAATACTTTGAGAGGCTGAGGTGCGAGGATCACTTGAGCCTAGGAGTTTGAGACCAGCCTGGGCAACAGAGTGAGACCCCATTTCTACAAAAATAATTTTTTTTAAATTAACCAGGTGTGGTGGGATGTGCCTGTAATCACAGATACTCAGGAGGCTGAGGTGGGAGGATCACTTGAGCCCAGGAGTTTGAGGTTACAGTGAGTTATGATCATACCACTGCACTCCAGCCTGGGTGACAGAGTGAGGCCCTGTCTCTACAAAAAAGAAAAAAGGCATGGGGGAATAATAGTTCTTAGGGATACAATTGCCCTGGGGGTGATGTGAAATGAGGGCTATCACACTTAGCATATAGTAGAAGTTCAATAAGCTTTAGTTCTCTTCCTTCTGTAATGGGAGACTATACACATGTTCCTTAAGCAGTGGGTCCCAACAGAACAGGAGGGTGCCCTCTTCAGCAAGTCTTATGACATCTTGCCTTCCTACACACCTGAATCTTTGTCCTGCAGCCTCGGCCGCCAACAAGAAAGACCAATCTGATGCTTAAAGGATGTGTTCAATTCTCCTGGGTAGCATGGGCACCTCATCCTGGCAGGGTCATGGTGGAAAACATTTGCCTTTTCTGTCCCAGGCCCACAACCAGGGGCTCCAGCCCTGAAGTTTCTAATTGTTTACTTCGCAACACTTGAATTTTTATTCTAAAAAAAAGGAAGGAAAAAAAAAGGAAAAGAAACCAGGGCCCAGACTTAATGCAAATGAATCCCAAGGGGAGTCTGTTACCTTCGGGCTCAGAACAATGAGTTAATTGAAAGCGGTAATGAGAAAAAGCAGCTGGCATTCATAAACCCATGGGCCAATGAGCAGTTCAATTCCTGGGCAGCAGGTGAGAGCCAGGCTTTCTAGACAACCAAAATGTCAATTTGCTTCTGAAAATAATTGCCCGAGGAATACCAAGCCACCAGCAAGGACTGAGCCTGTCTACAGGTCCTGTCACCTGGCTGGGGGCCACCTGTGATGGCCCCAGCACCCAGACCTTCAAGTCTTGAGAAAACTGTGCTTTAAGGACTTACCTGAGACTAAGGACACACACCCACGATGGACACCCAACTGGAGAGTCATGTGAGAAGCCCCAAAGTCAAAGGACTTGCTTCACATTCCAGCTCTATCACTCCTGTGGGGTGGGGCCTGAGGCAAGGCATGCCACCATACCTTAGTTTCCCCACCTGTCACAATACCTGTCCTCCCAGCCTCCCAGCATTTCTTTATCTGAACATCAAATGAGATGACATATTTGGAATGCTCTGTAAAATAAGAGATGTGTTGTGAAAATAGAAAATCCCAACAGAGTGAACTGAGGGGTCAGACTACCTGGTTAACTCAGATAAGACTCAGAAACTAATGCATACCTCACGAGATTGATGAGGGAATTTGATAAAATAGTGTGTGTGTGTGTGTGTGTGTGTGTGTGTGTGTGTGTGTATAAACATACAAACAAAGCATTTGGAAAGGTAAACACTGATGTTTAGCACATATGGTAAGCCCTGAATAAATGTTAACTAATATTGATTATGGGTTATTATTTTCAGGACAGCCTCAGCTTGTAATGACTAAGCCAAGCTTATGTCAGATGCCCAGTTTGGGTTTCTATGCACTTTGCTTCATTTTCTAATCATTTCTGGCCACATGGGTCAAATATCCACTCTGCCCACAGTAGTCCTGCATCATACAAAGAGGGCTAGGCTGAGTAGACAGAGCAGTAGATGGTTTTAAAGACAAAATGATTCACAACACAGCTGAGATCTAACCAATTGAGATGCCATGTCTTTCCAAGACCAGAAAATTACACTACACTGTGAACTCATTGCAGTCTTGTCCACCTGCTGGGCCATGGAGCAGTGTCATGGAATCTCCAGGGAGCCTTTTATTTGAACCACTGATGGAATCCAGAGCACAAGAACCTGGGAAGTGTGATTGTGCATGTGTGTGTTTGTTGGATGAGAGATGTGGAACAGCCACCAAGAAAAAAATAATATGCTCCTTGGATAAGACAGAGGATACTTCACACAAGGGTCTTCCTGGGTATCTATCTGCCCACTTCTCCTGCCTCTGCTTGTCTCTTAGAGTATCTCAGAATGTCCTTCTGAGAAAGTCCCCTTAGATCATGCCATTGTTCATAAGCAACCTCAAGTGGGACTTTCTGGCAGGTCCTAAGGGATGTCAACCATACTGTGCTGAGCATAAGTCCCACAGCAAGTGCAGGAATGAGTCTGCGGGGCTGTGTCTTGGCATGTCCTTCAGTAAAAGCCAAAGGCAATATTAAAGCACAACTGCTTAATTCACACGCTGCCAGTAGGAGTGAAAACTGGCACAACCTTTTTAGAGCACAATTTGGCAGTATTTTTCAAAACTAAAGATTTACCTACTCTTTAACTCAGGTTTTACTTCAAAACCTCAGTTCTTCAGAAGAAACATGCCCATGCATGCACAGAGGCATAGGCACAAGCCTGTTTATTACAGCATGCCAGTAATAGGAGACAACTGGAAACAACCCAGGTACTCATCCAACTGCACAAAGATGCAAGGATGCTTGCTACATCAGGTTTATAACAGCAACAAAAAAAGCAAGGTGGTGCAAACTCTTTTGTAGGAGCTTTTATAAAATGGACGTGATTTAGTATGTAGTCTACAGTGGCATGGAAAGGCTCCAAATATATATTAAGTGGAAAAAGTAGATTGCAAAGCATTAAATGCACTAAAATCCTTTTTGATAGCATACATATGGCAACAAGATCTGAATGAATGTATGGAGAAGTATTAACAGTTGTTATCTTGGTGGGGGAGGGGAGGGAGGTTACAGGAAACTTGTACTTTCTACATTATTTATTTCTATAGGGCTTGACTTCTTCATGATGAGGATACATTAATTTTGAATTTTAAAACAGTCAGAATGATTAAGGAACTATACATAAGCAAAACTGAGGATAAATCAATCCCAGAGCAGAGGTTATAACAGCATATGTGCAACAGCTGAGTTAGAGCGCAGTTTCAAAGATGCAGAGAGGCAGTTTGATTTGGGCTCTTTTGTGGGATCTTTAGTAGGCAGTGGTCAAGTTTTGCTAGAACCTGGGACATAGGCAGCTCAAGGGCCTGTTTTCCACTGAAGGCAGCAAACACCAACCAACCAGCACCTTGTGAGTCGCTCACTGATAGGGGAGTTCTGAGCATCAGAGCAGAGGGGTGGTTGTCTGGCCACCTGAATGCAGGGGCAGCCCCCTTCTTTTTCTTCCCATGGAGCTGGGGTGCAGAGGAAGTGGTCAAAGCCTGGTTGCCCCTTGAGAGCAGACCTGGGTCTGAGCCAACAGGGAAGGGTTTCCTTATAGCTCCATCCATCACCCAGGCGGGAAACTCTGAACAGATGATTTTCCATTCTTTCCTTCCTCCAAGAGGCCCCAAAAAAACTTTCATGTTTCCCTTTATGGCTCCCTAATTCTTCAAGTTTTGATTCAGGGTGAGCTGGATGAGAAAGATTGGATTACACACTGGGGGACGGTCAATTCTGGGATCCAGATGGCTGAGCAGACTCTGCTCACAGCTTCTTATGCTGTGTTGCTGTCTTAGTCTATTCAGCTGCTGTAACAAAATAACCTGGACTGGGTAAGTTATAAACACAGGAATTTATTGCTCACAGTTCTAGAGGCTGGGCAAGTTCAAGATCAATGTGCCAGCAGATTCAGTGTCGGGTGAGGTGCCTCACAGATGGTATCTTCTGTGTCCTTCTGTGATGGAAGGACAAACAAGCTGCCCCAGGCTTCTTTGATAAGGGCACTAATCCCCTTCATGAGGGCTCTGCCCTCGTGACTTATTCACTCCCAAAGGCCCTACCTCCGCATTACCCTGGGAGCTAGGTTTCAACATATGAATTTACAAAGAACACAAACATTCAGACCATAGAATCATTTCTTGCAGATAAGCAGGCCAGGACAGAGTCCTCCTCCCTAGCAAGACATTATCAACTGCTCTAGAACCTGAGTCTGAGGAACAGCACGTGTGCCTCTTTTGAGTCAGTAAAGTCAGCTGGACCTGTTGGAAAGGTGGCATGGGGTGAGAAGTCTTTGCTTCCCTTAATCCCACCTCATCTGAGATCTGCTTCCAATTTTAATGTTGTTTCTGGGGAGAGGCCCAGAACTGTCTCTGAGCCTTTTTAACAGTGAGAAGATTTATACAAGTCATGTGAACTACCCTGAAATATTTAAAAGCTAACTCATGATGGAAGACCTTAGACCTATTCTGTGGGTTTCCAGAGGATATGTATCCTTGTCAATAGTGGGAATGACCAACCTGGGCAACAAAGCAAGGTCCCATGTCTACAAAAAAATGTAAAAATTAGCTGGGCACAGTGGTATGTGCCTGTAGTCCCAGTCATTTGGGCGGCTGAGGCAGGAGGATCTTTTGAGCCCAGGAGTTTGAGGCTGCAAGTGAGTTATGATTGTGCCACTGCACTCCAGCCTGGGTGGCAGGGCAACACCCTATCTCAAAAAGAATAGTAATGATAATAAAATGGGGATGGGTTATAGGGGAAGTGGGGCATTTTTGACTCATTGTAAGGAATTACCTAAGAAACTGAGTATATAAAGGAATGAACCATTTCCTACAGCAGCAGTGAGTTCCCTGTCACAGGAAGAGTGTAAGCAGAGAGCTGATGGCCATTGTCAGGCTTGTTAGAGGATGACTAGGATGCTCTAACAAGGAGGGAATGTTGTTCCCTTCCAGAATTTCATTCGAATATGAGATGTATGAGAATAGGGACTGCATCTGCTTGTCCATGGTTGTACACCAGTTACATGAGCAATGCTTGTGTAGAGGATGTTTGGTGTGTATTTTTGAACAGGGAAGTAAAATAATGATCGAAGGGAGGAAACTGAAGCTCCGTGTCATCTTTACCTAGCACACAGCTTGCTGCATAGCAACAGAAACTTGCCTCTCAGGGTGTCTATGTGGATCCTTAGAATTCTCTTTTTTTCCCCAAATCCAAGTTAATAGTCCTATCATCTGGAAACCTGGATGCTCTATGATCTTCAGCATCATTCAAATCTGTCTGAGTTTCAGAAATGACTACTCAACATTATGGATGAATTAGGCTTTAAAACATTCAGATTTGGGCTGTTCTCAGAACACATAGCAGCATAGCAAGGCATCAAAGTTTTGGGCTTTGGATTCATACAGACTTGACTCTATCACTTAAAAGTGTGACTTTGGCTGGGTATGGTGGTTCACACCTGTAATCCCAGCACTTTGGGAGCCTAAGGCAGGAGAATCACTTGAGCCCAGGAGTTTGAGACCATCCTGGGCAATGTAGGGAGACCCCATCCCTACAAAAAATAAAAACAAATAACTCAGGCTTGGTAGCATCTGCCTGTGGTCCCGGCTACTGGGGAGGCTGAGGTTGGAGGATCACTTGTGTCTGGGTGGTCGAGGCTGCAGTGAGCTATATGATTGAGCCACTGCACTTTAGCCTGGGCATCAGAGTGAGACTCTGTCTCAAATAATAAATAATAATAATAATATGATTTTGAGCAAATGGCCTTCTCATGTTGCTTTCAACCTCAGTTTTCTCACCTGTGAAATAGGGGCAATAACAATACACTTAACAGTACACTCAAATTACTGTCAAAATTACTATTTCATATGCCTGTCTCACAGCCACATGAGGGAAGGTTCTCCATTTTAAGCTGCTAATCACCCCTAAGCTGTTAGTCCCAGGCTCAGAGCTTGGTGGCAGCTCAAATTGCAGACCTAGAAAAACAGTTTGGGAAGAGACTCAGGGCTCATCAGGCAGTTGTCAGGCAGTGAAGATTAGCGAGTAGAGAACAAGATTGTCACCCACCTTGATATAGTTTGGATGTGTGTCCTTGCCCAAGTCTCATGTCCATATGTAATCCCCAGTGTTGGGGGGTGGGTGGGGGGGTGCTGGTGGGAAGTGATTCGATCATGGGAGTGAATTTCTTTCTTTCTTTCTTTTTTTTTTTTGAGACAGAGTCTCATTCTGTCACCCAGGCTGGGGTGCAGTGGCATGATGTCAACTCAATGAAACCTCCGCCTCCTGGGTTCAAGCAATTTTCCTGTCTTAGCTTTCTAAGTAGCTGGGATTACAGGCATGCACCACAATGCCCAGCTAATTTTTTGTGTTTTTGGTAGAGATGGGATTTTACCACATTGCCCAGGCTGGTCTTGAACTCCTGAGCTCAGGTGATCTGCCTGCCTCGGCCTCCCAAAGTGCTTAGGATTACAGGTGTGAGCCACCACACCCGGCCAAGGGGGTGAATTTCTTATTAATGGTTTAGCACCATCCTCTTGGTTCTGTCCTCATGATTGTGAGTTCTCATAAGATCTGGTTATTTAAAAGTGTGTGACACCTTCCCTCTCTTGCTCCTGCTCTGGCTATGTGACATGCCTGCTCCCACTTCACCTTTTGCCATGACTGTAAGTTTCCTGAGGCCTCTCCAGAAGCTGACCAGATGCCAGCATCATGTCTCCTGTACTGTTTGTGGAACCATGAGGTCATTTCGTGACCTCTTTTCTTTATAAATTACCAGTCTCAGGTATTTCTTTACAGCAATGCAAGAATGGCCTAATACACACCTGTAAACATTTTAGGAAGCTCACTAGGGACAAAAACAAAGTGCCTTCTTGTCTTCAGATTCCTTTATACATCAGAGAGTTGGGAGGGAAAGCTGTCATGCTCAGAATTTCACATGGGCCCTTGCAAAAGGAGCATGTGTTTCTATGAGAGGTGGGGCCAAAGAGATTGTCAGTATGGGGAAGTGCCCCAGGACTCTTAACTCACAGCTAAGGGAAAGAGGGAGTGGAGGGGAGCAGCAGCGTTTGTGAACCAGCAGGCAAGGGAAGCCCCTAGAGGAGCAGTGTGGTCTAGTGGGAGTTGAGGGGCCTGCTGGGGTTATGGAGAGTACCAGGAAGGAAGCAGCTCTGGGGGAAATAGTCCTTGGAATCTGCTGCCTTCTGCCAGCTAGGGTTCAGTCCATAATCCCAGCACTGGGATTAGGAAGGCTCAAATGTCTTCAGTGTTACCATCACCATGAACTAGAGCCAAGACCAGCACCCAGGTTAGCTGATTTCTGGGCACTGTCTGTTCCCTTTAATTTCTGCCCTCCCAGGGGACACCTGGAAAGCTCTGAGGTCCTGTGGTGATGGGGGCTTATTCATTTGATTCTGGAAATATTTACTGTCATTCACTCTGTTCCAGGCCTGGTGGTAAATCTGGGGGATAAAAAGGAGAGCAAAGACACTCATTTATTCACTTGGTCAGCGAATTGTGAGTGGGACTGATGGGCTCTGTACTATGTGCTGTGCTGGGTTTGAGGACACAAAGACAAGTGACTTCGTTCCTCCTGTAAGCACACATTGAATGCATGTTGTATGATGCTGGAAACAAAGATAAACCTGAGCCTATATTCTGCCCTCAGGGAGCTCACAGTGTCGGGGCAGACAGACACACAAATGCAGCAGTGTGTAAACAAAGCCAGTATGGAGGCATGGAGGGAGAGAGGTTCTCCAAAGAGAGAGATCCAAGGCGAAGTTGGTGGTCACCTTGGCTAGGCAGAGAAGGCCATGGCATGTTACAGGGATGTTGCAGGTGGGGCTGGTGATCCAGTTTGAGGGGCCTGGGGAGGTGGTAGCAGGAGATGGGGCTACAAAGATGATTTGATGCCTGATTGTGGGGGCCTTGCTAGGGTGTTAAAGCTGATCCTTAGCCAGGGAAGAGCTGTTGAGTGATTTTAACTCAGGAAGCAACAGGCTGAGACTGGATGTTTATAAGGGGCCTCCTGCTGTTGTGTGGGTTGTAGACCATAAAGGATGAAGCAGAGAGGCAAATATGTCAGACGGTAGCAGCTGCTATCCAGGTGAGAGAATCAAGGCCTGTGCTGGATTTGGGGGAATAA
Source organism: Homo sapiens (assembly GCF_000001405.40). NCBI lineage: Eukaryota > Metazoa > Chordata > Mammalia > Primates > Hominidae > Homo > Homo sapiens. The sequence goes on from NC_000005.10 coordinate 136,113,997, forward strand.
TAGGGATTAGATTCTGAGATCCCTTTTTCCCTAACAGGACATGATCCCTCCATCCCTGCCCTCACCCTTAGCACCTGGCATAGTGTCTGGGCCCCAGCAGGAGCTCCATGGATGTGTGGGAAGTAACTCATTGATGCCAAAAACCATCCCCAAAGTCCTGCCCACAAGGCCACTGTAGGGGAAGACGCAGGAGCAGGAGGAAAAGAGGGCATAACAGGGTGCTGCCCATCTCTGTCTCCCTAGCTATTTTAGGAATCTGAGGGACAGGAAAATGGGGCTTAGGGGAGCTAGAAGCAGCTTGAGTCACTTATTCTGTGAACACAGCCTGTTGTCTTTGATTTGCCTTCCTCCTCAGAAATCCTATCCCATCAGCCATGCCCAGGGTTTGCTGTCCTCATCCAACTTGACCCAACTTTACCTCCTGCCATTCTGTTGACTATTCCCTCCTTGAAATACTGTCTTCATTCAGTGTGCACAAGCCATCGCTCCTGGATTTCCCTCAATCCTACTCTCTGCTCCTCACCTACTCAGCCACCCCTCTTCCTCAAGTTGTTGTTTAATGATAGAAACTCCTCAGAGCTCTGCCCTTACATGTTTGCGCTCTTCCCTGAGTGAGCTTGTCATACTATTGTAGTGTAGTGGCTTACAAGGCAGCTGCAATCCCTCCCTCTCTTCCCTGCACACATGCCTCTTTGAAATGTAACTGCCATTCCTCTTATCATAAGGTAGAATCTATTTCTCAGTCTTTAGAACTGGGCTTGCTTTGGTCAATGGGTAATTTTTAAAAGTGATGAAAATAAAGACTTAAAAAACATTTGTACGTTGGTGATCGCCCTCTCTTGCTGTGCTTTTGGACACTAAAACTGTCTTGTAAATGAACCTAAGCTAGCCCATAGGAGTGGCCATGTGGAGGATAGCCAAGATGCTCTAGCCAACAGCCTAACAAACTTGTGAGTGAGGCTGTTGCAGAGCATTCTCACCCAAGAGAGATCAGCAGATGAACCACCCAGCTAATCCCAGATGAAACTGCCAACTTACGGAATTGTGAGCTAGTAAATAACTGTTGTTTTGTGTCACTAAACTTTTGGGTAGTTTGTTATACACCAAAGGCTACTTGATACTCATGGCTTTAAACAATATCTTTATACTGAGAATTTCTAAAATTTGCATCTCTATTCCAGATTACTGCCTGAGCTCAAGATGTATACTATCTACTTACAACCATGTGAATATCTCATAGGCATTTCTAATTTAACATATCCAAAAGAGAGCTCTTGATCTTTTCTCAGAAGGAATCTGCCTTTCCTCTGGTTACTATCATCTGTACATGGCACTTTAACCACATAGTTACTCAAACTAGGAAACTGGGAGTCATTCTTGACACCTCATTATTCTTCACCACCACCCCACATCTAGTTTGTCACTTAGTACTTTCAACCAACCCTACACTGAAAATTCTTCTTTAATTTGCCTTCCTGTCTCTCTCCACTGTCACCATCCTGGTTCAAAGCAAGTGATGATTCTCTTGCCTGGACAACTCCAATAGCCTCCTAACTAGTCAACCACTTCCATTCTTGCCCTTTGCAATCCATTCTCAGCCCAACAGCCAGCGTGAACAGATCATGTCACCCCACCCCCAGCTCACTTGCACCTTCCAGTTTCTTCCCTTTGCATGTAGGAGCAAGTTCAAACTCCTCTCCACATTCTCTGAGACCTGCAAGAGTGTGGTTCTAACTCTCTGCACTCATCTCCCACTGTGTTCCCCTTTGCTCACCCTTTCTTTTCAGCCATGTCAGCCTTCTTTCATTTCTTTGAACTCTTCAAACTTTTCAAGACTTTCAGCCTGCCTATATGCTGTCCCTTTTCCTGAAATTCTTTCCCCTCCTTTCTCGGCCTGGCTAATTTTACTCTTGCTTTGGTTGTCATCTCAAATACTACTTCTTTAAAGAAGACATACATATTTTTCTGACTAGACTGTATGTTCCTTGAAGAGAGGGATCTTGTCTGTTATGTGCACTATGGAATACACAGCACCTAGCCCAGAGTCTGACACATAGTAGGCTCTCAATAAAATTTTTGTTGCATAAATAAATGAATAAATAAGTAGTTGCTGAATGCCCTCATTCACTTATTGGCTTGATATATATTTCTCGAGTACCTGCTGGGGACCAAGCCCCGTGCTAGCTTCCAGAAGTACACTGATGAGCATCAGCAGGAATATCCAACTTCATAAAGCTTACAGTTTACCAAGGGAGGCAACCTGTGATCACATAATCCCCATGTAGAATGTATAATAGTGAAGGGAGAGATGCGGTCTGAAAAAAATAGTTATCTGGGAACCTAGAAGGAAGGAGCCACTCGAGACTGAGAAATCCTGAAAGGCTTTTTCTTAAGGAAGCTATGCGGAGATCTGAAAGGTGAGTAGGAGTGGATGGTGGGGGAAGTATATAGTCCAAGGTGAGGGAGGGAGAATGTGCCCTGCAAGGAGCCAAAAGAAGGCCAGTGTGGAGGGATGCAGAGCATGGAGGAGGGAGGAAGAATTGAGGCTTGAAAGCTGGGGAGCAGCAAAGGATGTCTTTTGTCCTAAAAGCCAAGTGAAGGCTTTTGAAGGGTTTGAATCTGGGAGGGGTTGGGGATTTGACAGGATTATATTAGCAGTTTGAAAACATCACTCTGGGCCGGTTGTGGTGGCTCACGCCTGCAATCCCAGCACTTTGGGAGGCCACGGTGGGTGGACCACCTGAGGTCAGGAGTTTGAGACCAGCCTGACCAATATGCTGAAACCCCATCTCTACTAAAAATACAAAAATTAGCTGGGTGTGGTGGCATGCAACTGTAATCCCAGCTACTTGGGAGGCTGAGACAGACGAATTACTTGAACCTGGGAGTTGGAGGTTGCAGCCAAGATCAGGCCACTGCACTTCAGCCTGGGAGACAAAGTGAGACTCCGTCTCAAAAGAAAAAAAAAAAGAAAAGAAAATTTCATTCTGCCTACTGTGTGGAAGATGAATGGAAAGGGTCAGGAAGAGATGGAGGAGACTCTTGTAGACCCTCCAGCCAGAGAGGATGGTACTGTGAGTTAGGGGCAACAGGAAGAATGGAGAGAAGAGGTGGGAAGGGGATAATGAGAAAGAGAATGAATTATTTTTATGAAAATAGGTATGACTACCAGGGCCGGGTGTGGTGGCTCATGCCTGTAATCCTAGCGCTTTGGGAGGCCAAGGCAGAAAGATCCCTTGAGGTCAGGAGTTTAAGACCAGCCTGGCAAACGTGGTGAAACCCCATCTCTACTAAAAATACAAAAATTAGATGGGTGGGGTTGCAGGTGCCTGTAATCCTGGGAACCTGTAAGCTACTCGGGAGGCTGAGGCAGGAGAATCACTTGAACCTAGGAGGCAGAGGTTGCAGTGAGCCGAGATCGCACCACTGCACTCCAGCCTGGGCGACAGAGTGAGACTCCATCTCAAAAAAAGAAAATAGGTATGACTACCATGACCACTACCCCCTGCACACACACACACACACACACACACACACACACACACACCCTCTGTATATCTTACTTGGAAACAGATGGAGGGTGAACTTATCAAGACCAAAGGATTCCTCAGAGGGCTGGAACCTTTCCTTTACTAAACTCTTCAGTTCTTTACTGAGGGAGAAACTAAGAGTTGGAGTGACTCAAATGCCTGCTCATTAAAAAATGACGAGAAATTAAGGATTTGAAGTGAACATGACAGAAGTGCACACTGGGTCATCTGGTTTAATCTTTGTCATTTTTACTGGACGGGAATCTAAAATGCCAGCGTCTGGTTCAATACTGCATACTCTTCATCCGGACTCCTGGGCCCTCTTCCTTCCTCAGGAAATCTAGGTCATTGCCCATGGGCTCAGACACCCAGACCCTTTCCCTCTTCAACCCAAAGAGCTCTAAGCTCACAGTCTGGAGATTTCTCTCTCTCTCTGCCAGGTAACCAGCCTTCCTGCCGCTCTCACAGACCCCAACTCCTTCCTGCTTGTTGACTCCAAACACCCCTTTCTGATCCCACTCCCTCCCAACATGCAGCCTCCTGTTTACTAGGCAGGGCCCTCCTCACACTCATCGCATGAATCCCTAACTTTTCCTTTCCTCACACGGTCCTCCTTCTTGGCTCAGTGCTTCACGTCGCCATTTTATTTTCTTTGTCTGGCATCAAATTCAAAGGCCCCTCTGATCAGACTCCCCAAGCTGGAGGCTGTGAGTATGTGGGAAAGAAATGGGAAGGACTCTCTCAATTTCCCCAGCCCTGGAAGAGGAGCAGCAGACCCTCAACACCCCACCTCACGCCCTGCCCCCTTTCCTCTCCACTTCTTCCTCAATTGCCAATCTCCCAGCAGAACCAGGATCCGTTGTGCTGCCTGGGACAAGGAAGGATGCCGTGGATATCTGAAGATGCTCTCCTGGTACTAGAATCCTGCAGCTTTTTGGCCTAACAGTGCAGAGCTTCAGCTTGGATGTGGAAAGGGCCTAGCAGAACTAGTTGCAAGTTCTGCTTCAAAGAGGGACAGGTATTCTCCCAGGCAGAGCCACCTTTTATCCCTACAGGGAGTTTCCTACTTTGTCACCTCCATTCACAGATTTGGTGGGCCACTGTGTGACAGCTGTCTTTGTCGGGGTACTGAGATGATCAAAGAGAAATGAGGCCATGCTCAGCTGGAGTTCTGGAAGATGAGATAAAATGTAAAGAATACCCTTTATAAAGATAAGAGGTTCTTAGCTTCTTGGGGATCATAATCCCTTATGACGGACAAAGGGCTCTCTCACCAGAAAAATGTACATGTGCAAAAGCACCCAAGGCTCTGCACACAGCAACAGGGCCCCACCCTCTCAAGGACCAGGAGAGAGCAGTTGGCAGGTAGGCAGAGCACCAAGGCCCCCTTCCCCATGCAGAGAAGGTGAGGGAAACCTGGCCCCATCCTAGATTCAGTCTCCAGGTCCTGGTCACAGGAAAAGAGCAGGCGAATGAGCACATTTCTTACTTTTCTTTTTGGGGGACAGCCCAATTAAACAGGGGCCTTCATCCCTACTGTTATTTAAATTGGGGCTCCAGAGCCAGGATTTTCCTCCAGGTCCAGAGGTGAGTAAAATGCTCTTCACAGTGTTTCATAAGGGAACATCTACATAACTCTCCCTATGGCCTTGGACCAAATCTGTTACTCCTGACTGGTGAGCCAGACCTGGGGGCCTTCCTAGGTTACTAGAGAGGAGAAGACCCCCTAGACATACACACTGGTGCACAGACACATACGTGTACAGACACACATGTATACACACACATACACACAAATGTATAAACACAAAGAGCCAAGAGATGCATCTGCACAGTGAAAACTTCTCTGGACTCTAACCTTTGCTGAAGCACTGGCCAGGGCAAAATAAATGAAGTCTCCATAGTTAAAACAACAACAAAAAACCCAAACCAAAACAAAAATAAATGTCTTATAGGCAAATGAGAGCAAAGTCTGTAGGAGCCCCAATTTAGTCCAGAACTTCTCTACCCATTTAAAGCATTTATAATGGACTCATCTACTTAACTCGGGGCACAAGAAGTAGGATGGTTTTCACTGTTAATTTGGAGTGTTCTTCCCAGGTTTTTCTCTCAAGGTAATAAGAGAAAATAAAAGTGTCTTTTATATGTTTTGCATTTATAATTCAATTAACAAACATTTACTGTGGGTAGACTATGTGCTAGTACGTGCCAGGCACCACAGCAAACAATCGGACAGACATGTCCCAACCCCTACCCCACATTACAGAAATAATTCCAGGTGCAGTGAGTCTTCCCACAGGTGCTTTGGCTGTCTTCTCATCCAGGAGTCATGGAAGGGCCCCCTAAGGGGAAGTGACATCTAACACCTGCTGGAAGGTAAAAGTAGCGTGTGGGTCTCCATCCTCCTGTGGGGTCTGTGTGCCCCAGACATGGCTTCTCAGTACCTCTGACCTTCCTTCTCACTCTTGCCCTTCCTGGCAGCAGGCATGCATGTGGACTGGGACCTTGGTCCCTACAGTTATTAGCCCGTGGCACAACAGGGAGCTGTGCAAGGTTTTGGGAGTATCAGCTGTGGTAAATCTGGGGTGGCAGAATGGTCCCAGGCTAGCCTGGGGTCGGAGTCACAAGTGAGATAGGGCTGATGCTGCTGAAATGCTGGGGGAGAGCTTGTCCTTTGAGCAACTCCATTTTTCTATCTACTTCCCCCCTGCACCTCCAGCTCTTCCCTGATACCTCCAGCCTTCCTCCTCACTATGAAGGCAACTGCCTGAGGCCCAGAAGAATCCAGCAAACAGCCCTGACATGTAAGGCACCATTAGGATAATTCCAAAATGCCACTCATGGCCTACATGTGTTATCCTGCCCGCCTCTCCAGGCCCATCTCCCCCTGGCTTTCTCTATCCAACATATCAGTTTTTCCTCAGTTCTCATTGTCACCACCATGTTCCCCATGTTCCTGGGGTCTCCATTTACACTATTCCCTCTGCCTACAAGGCTTCCTCCACTCTAATCCCCACCCAGACTTTTCCATTACTTCATGAACTCCTGTTCACCCACTAGGTCTCACCTCAATCACCTACGTGTCAGAGCAGCCCTCGTCGTCCTTTGGTTCTGTGCGCTGGCAGCCCATGCTCCTTTTCATACTGTGTGGTTATCCAATTATTACCCATTCCTCCCACTAGGTTATGTGATCTGTGTGAGCAGGGACAGGCCTGCTGCTCACCACTGTGTCTGGCACCTGTCACAAAGTCTGCCACATAGTAGACTGTCTGTAAAAGTATGAGTGTTTGGGTGGATACATGAATCATGGAATGTCTTGTATGGGGAAAGGTAGCCATGCCGAGCAGATGCCCAGCCCTCACTTTGTGTGCTGGGCTGGCAGTGTTGGAGTCCAGGAAGTCCATGGTGTCTACCATGCCCCTAGTCATCTTATCAGGAAAGTGACCTGAGCCACTTCATTCCTGGATCAGTGGTTTTGGCTTATGTCATGTGGTTCAAGTGGTAGCACCCCTGTAGCTCTGTCCATAATGGCCTAGATGAGGACTGATGTCCCTACCAAACTGTAAAAGGGCTGGGCGTGAGATAAACCAATGCTTTCTAAGGAGGCTTGGCATGAACTTCTAACCAATAGGGGTGCTTCATTTTGGGTAATGGCAAACTTAGGAGTTTCTTTTGAGACAACTAACTACAAAGAACTCTGTAAAAGTTCAAAAAAGAGAAGAAGGGCCACTCTAGGGCTGGCTGGATCCCCAACTGCTGGACAAGCCAGCCTCAGTAGACTGATACCATAAAGTATGTCTTTATGGTCAAGGAAACCATATTCCTTGTCACCTCAAACTCTCATGTGTCCTTGCAAAATGCCTCTTCTACCACTGCTAACTTGTATTCACCCCTTCCTTTCCATTATAAGGAGTAAGAAGAAAACAAGTGTAAGGCTAAGGAATGAGTTTCTTTTGGTATGTTTGTCTTCATGTGTGCTGTGGAGAAAAGGACTTCATTAAAGTACTTTTTAAGGCTTCCTACTTAAGGGTGCTAAGAGTCTTTGAAGGTAGCAGCCAGGCCAGGCACAATGGCTCACGCCTGTAATCCCAGCAATTTGGGAGGTTGAGGTGGGAAGATCGCTCCAGCCTGGGAGGTTGAGGTTGCAGTGAGCTGTGATTGTGCCACTGCACTCCAGCCTGGGTGACGCAGCAAGACCCTGTCTCTCAAAAAAATTAAAATAAAATAAAGGTAGCAGCCACAAACTGCTCAGCATACAACCTGTGTCTAGTGTCGGTTTTCCTATGCAATTTAGCTACAGGGCATTAGCCTGCTGACTAAATTTTTTATTGCATCCTAGTAGTTCTAGAACTGTTGGGGTCTTCAAAGTGAAATATCACAGCTCAATGATGACATGACTTGCTTATGAATCATGGTAATCATCAGCACCCCAGGTGCTAAATCCTTCAAGAGTCAATGTAGATGTAGGTGTTTGGGTATCTGGCTGCCTCATTACTCCAATTTGTCTGTGGCTATGTCAATGTTACAAAGACAACAAGCAAACCATGAGAATATCTGTTTCTCTGAGGCTGGTTGTAGGCCTCAAAAAATGAACTCCAGGTATTGATGATGAGATGAGTAGAAAGAGAGAAAAAAAATACACTTTAAAAATTAGCTCAGCCAATGATGATCAGAAAAATAAAGAGGGTGTTTTTGGATCATCTTATTCAGGCAAACTAGAGATTAAGCGATTTATGTCTGTCTCCCTGACTTGATTTTATTCCCTGAGAGCAGAGCCTTTGCCTGTTTTTACTCTATAGGGCATTCCCCAGGGCTGGGCACATAACAAGCACTCAGCAAATGTTTGTTGAGTGAATAAATGAATCAAAAAGAGAGTTGTAATCATGATACTAGAGATCAGGACAGAGAACTGACTGAAGGAAGAGATAGGGAAAGAGGTTCACTGGGAGAGGTGCGTATTCTATTTTTTTTTTTTTTTTTTTTTTTTTGAGATGGAGTCTTGCTCTGTCACCCAGGCTGGAATGCAGTGGCACAATCTCAGCTCACTGCAAGCTCAGCCTCCCAGGTTCACGCCATTCTCCTGCCTCAGCCTCCTGAGTTACTGGGACTACAGGCACCCGCCACCACGCCTGGCTAATTTTTTGTATTTTTAGTAGAGGCGGGGTTTCACCATGTTAGCCAGGATGGTCTCAATCTCCTGACCTCGTGGTCCGCCCGCCTCAGCCTCCCAAAGTGCTGGGATTACAGGCTTGAGCCACCACGCCCGGCCGGTGTGTATTCTTTTCCACTGATATCTTTGTCTTTGAATATCCTTATTTTTCATGAATAAATAGAGAAATGTATAGAATAATTTCTTACCTTATAGTTCCTAGCATATAATGGAAACTCATCTAGCAATCATAAGCAGGTAAAGTAAATATTTACTCTCATATGAGAACAGACTTCCTTCCAATGGTCATGGAAGCCAGAAGCAGTCCCCAGATGGTTTTTGCTCTGATCTCAGAGACATTATACCCAAGACCACTTTGGAGCTCAGAAGTCGTACAAATTCTCATTTCTGACAGAATGACCTGGCAGGGGGCTCCTTCTGCTCCATCTGTGACACATTTGAAGCAGAGGACTTTGTTGACTTTCTACCCTCTTTTTAAAACCTTTGAAATTTAGTTTTCAGTACACAATGCAACAGTGCTCTATAAAAGCAGGTCTGTGGAGGCAACACAGATGAGATCAACATCCCTGGACTGCTTAGCATGGTCTCTCTCTGCAGTGGAAACCTTACACCACATGAGGTGGGTAGCTAGAGTTGACTTAGAAGAGCTTAACTGATTTGATTCAACACTTTAAATCACCTCTAATGTGGCACATTAGTAATGCCACCATATTGTAAATGATACATCCACAGAAGCATTAGTCATTATACAAATAGAATGAATAGGTTTCACTACACTTCAAGATAAACATGTCGAAACACTAACTCCATTCACTCAGGGCCTTTTGAGCTTGCTCAGGGCCCTTACCTGGCTGTTAGAATAAATACAAAGTTTTATGGCTTACTTTCTCTGTATGACTTCACCATCACCCAATACAAATTCAGGCTAGAAATTGCAGTTGTGCACATTGACACATTTATTTATTCATTCTCTTACTTAGTAACCTATTGTTTTCTCAGCTTGGTTTACAGAGTATTATGGTTCCCTGACATTGATCACAGGATTCATAAGTACCATTTTTGTTAGAGTGCAAAAGTTTAGAATGGTTCTGCATCTCAAAAAGAGTGAGTCAAGAAAGCAGGCAGTATTGTGTCATGGTTAGAGCAAGAGCTTGAGAGTTAGGTTCACTTGGATTTGAATTCTAGTTTCATCGCTATGTGTATAAACTCAGGAAATGACTTCACTTTTCTGAACCTCCATTTTCTTATCTGTAAAATGGTTGTAAAACCCCTCACCTCTCTCCATTTCAGCATTGTGTATCTCTTTTCCTTTTTATGCACCTTCCAGAATGTCAAGCATCAATAAAAGATCCTTGAGGATCAGCCAGGTCATGAAGGAGGAGGAGATATGTAAGGTGGCCTGGGAAGGAAAGGTAGCACTGGTTACAGGAAGGGACATCTCCTTTAGTGATTACTATAAAAGCAAAGGTGTGCTGATGGCAATGTGATGGCCAGGTGGGAGGTGGGAACAGTAAGGACAGCAAAAACACCAGTTTAATGACAAGGAAAAGGAAGGAGGTATAGGAGACGCTAGGAGAGGTTGGAAGGGACTGAGCTGTAGAAAGCAGAGAATGCAAGATTTTACAGAATATAGCAAAGTAAGAAATGGGCTTCATGTACAAAATATTTCAAACAAATTCTCTTATATCCTTTAATGATTAACAAAGCATTTTGCAAATACCAGTTTCTAAAAAAATGAAGCTTCCAAGGCAGGTTACAAACACTTCTGAGAGTTGTAAACCCTCACAGGCTATAGGAATATGTGCATTCACAACAGCTAGTTCTTTAATGGCTTGTGCCTTAGTTTCTTCCTTTATAAAAAGGAGAATGATAATGTTGGTAACCATGACTACATTGTAGGTTATCGTAGCATTTCATCAAATATAAAAGGCGTGTCACTCTGTACTTTGCATAAATAAGTGCTTAATCAATATCAGCTATTTATGTGTGTGTGCATGTGTGTGTATGTGTGTGTGTGTGTGTGCATAAAGAGATGTCTTGTAAGATGTTCCATCAATGTATTGACCATGGTCATTTCTGATTCATGGGATTTTAAGTAATTTTTACCTTTTTGGACCTTTTTGCTATAATTTGAATTTTCCCAATAAACATGCATTATTTGTGTAAAAACTATAAAGCGATTTTTTAAAAATCCATACTTAGCAATGAAACATTTCAGATAATGTAGCTGAGTGGGATACAGCTTTGCTTGTAACAGCCTTTCCAATGATCAGACTGAATAGTTAACCCTTCAGTGCTAAAAACTCTATTTCAGAAAAAGGTCCTTGTTTTACATTTTCATAATTAAATGGTCTATTACAGGTGGAAGCTTTTTACAAAACAAGGAGTTCCTTAAAGGTAAGAAGAGTCTCCTCCACTGAGAATATGTAGGCTTCCAGCTTTGAAAGGATAGATTTTTGATTTTTAGTCTGAGAGTCTTCCATCTAGCGTTTATGGATTTTGAAGACAGAAGACAACCAAACATCCCCCAGAAGACTGTTAGCTTCACTAGCACAGGGAAAGTATAATTCACCTTTGTATTCCCAGGGCTTGACACAGTGCCAGGCACGGAGTAGGTACTATATAAACATTTTTATGTTGAATGAATAATCGAATGAATGAATGGTAAGTTTAAGGGCTGAGTTTCTGCTTGGGAGATGGAGAGAGTCACACTCTCTTACATACTAATATTTGAATAGGAAATTTAAAAAAATTAAATGGGAGCAAAGTGATTTTAACTAGGAGCACACATAAGACCAAAATTGAAGCAGAAAATTCAATGTCCCTTTATTAAAGGCCTACAGCACACCGGGCCCTGATCTACATGTTGAGGACAGTTGTGAAGAGGAGCTTAATTACATTGGGGAATACAGACTTTGATCAAGCCATGACATGTGGGAGGTGAGTCCCTGCAGGGAAAGAGCTGGATGCTTTGGCAGCATATGATGGGGGCACCCAGTCTAGGTAGGGTGCAGTGGGGAAAGCAGACATGGCCAGGGAAGGCCTTTGTAAGAAATTGGCATTGAAGTTGAGACCCAAGGTTGATGAGAAGGAGCAAGAAAAGTCAAGAGTGGCGGCAAAACATTTCAGAAGCTTCCAAGGTGGAGACATAGAACAAGCTAGGGGACCACAGGTACAAAGATCCTAATCTGGGGAAGAGTTTGTGATATGTGAGGAACAAAAAGAAGGTCAGTGTGAGCAAGGCACCTGCGAGAAGTGGGCCATGGCAGGGATCACATCACTCGGGTCAGGGCCATGGGAGGAAGTTGGGATTTGATATGATGTGTAATGGGAAGATCTTGAAGAGCTTTACTGTGACAGTAACCATAATCTTATTTATATTTTCAACATGGAATAGCTGTTGGGTGATAGAGGGGGTAGAGTGAGGCTGAGTGGAGGCAGAAGATAGTCCAGGCAAGAAATAAGGGTGACCCGGACTATGACCTGGGTCTATCTGTAGACAGTAGACATGGAGAGAAGTGGATGGATTTGAGCTATGGTTTGAAGGTAAAACTGATAAGACTTGGCAAATGGAAAGTTGAAGGGCAGCCCTATTTAACTCTGGCTGCTCTGTCTAACAGCAGCCATCCTTTTTCATCCCAGCACTCTCTCCCCCAACTTCCATTCATGGTTTTATTTTTCTACAGGTACTTGTTACCATGGGACATATTAAGTTTTATTTGTTTTCTCACTATTAATAATTATCTGTTTATTACAGCTTTAACTTTTGTCTATTTTGTTTAATGTCCTATTCCTTATGCCCCAAACATTCTTGGCACATATTAGGTATTCAATAAATATTTATTGCCTTATTGAATAAGGGCATTAATTTAATAAATGAATAAGTAAATGAGGGTGAGAGACAAGGTAAGTGAAGAATGTTTTTAGTTGGCTATTCCTTCATAACAAACAAACCTAGAATCTCAGTGGTATACAACAACAGACATTACTTTTTCTCACTCTTGGGTCTGTGAATCAGCTTGGGTAGCTGTGCTTCAGGCTTGCAGGTCTGTTGAGCTAGGCTCTGGACTGTGGGTTGGGATCCACTCTGCTCCATGTGTATTTTCATCTTCCTTGGCTCAATGGCTACCTGGAGTCTGTTCTTCTAAATGGTAGATGGCAAAAGCACAAAAGACCAAATTCAATTTCAAAGGAGCAAGGAAGAATATTTCACCTTCTCTGGTGGAAGATACTGCATGGCAAAGGGTATGAATGTATAATTCCACAACAGGGGGAGATTGAGGATTAAAGACCTATAATCCAATCTTCCAATATGACAGCTAGGTATGGCTTGAACAACTACATGGATGGAACTGCCATTTACTGATATGGGGAAGACTGGAGCAGGAACAGGTTGGGGAGAGAGGATAAAAATTAGGAGTTCAAATTTTGACCTGATAAATCCAGTGAGACTGCCAATGACAGGAATCACAAGTGGTAGAAATGTAACTGGCTTAAGCAAAAGCAGAATATAATGGTGAATGTAATTGGGAAGTCTAAGGAGGATCTTCAGAGCTTCAGGTACAGCTGGATCCAGGAACTCAAAAAATTTTGTCAGGGATTTGACTTAGCTTCTGTTTCTTTGATCTGTTTCTCTTTTTTGGCTTCACTTCCAAGCAAACTCCCTCCACATGGTGGTGAGATGGATCCTGGAAGCCTCAGAGTCACCCTTAGCTTAGCAATGACAGTAAAAAGAAGGACTTTTCTCTCTTATCCATACATCAGTCTAAGAGATGATATTGTTAATTTTGCTTAGGTCATATGTCCATTTATCTGATCTGTTTCTCTCTTCTGGCTTCATTTCCAAGCAAACTCCCTCCACATGGTGGTGAGATGGCTCCAGGCAGCCTCAGAGTCACCCTTAGCTTAGCAATGATAGTAAAAAGAAGGACTTTTCTTTCTCAACATCCATACATCAGTCTAAAAGATGATATTGTTATTTTGCTTAGGTCATATGTCCATTTATCAACCAATCACACTGGCCTGGGTAGCTGAGGTACTATGATAACCCTCCTTGGTCACGTGCCCATCTCTGGGGTAAGGTGTCTGGTACTGTAGTTAATACAGTAAGGAAATGATATCACAAAGGAAGCAGGAAAAAGATGATTGGAAGGTATTGGGGCAGACAAAATCCAAACTACTGCAGTCTGGTAGAGATGGTAAGAGGGTAGTTGAACTTACGGGTCTGGCGTCCATTAGCCAAGTTCAAGATGGGACCAGAAATTTGGGAATTGTCTATAACAGATGGTACTAGAGGCCTGGGAGTGAATGAGATTACCTAGTGGAGTAAGAAGAGAAGAGGGTCTATTGTACTGTAAAATGAATACACACTTTATGTGACAAACAGATTTGCTAATTCGTTCTTAGAAATTGCTGGCATATCAGGAGAATACATGTGTTTTTAAAATAAACACCTGTATAGCACTTACTTTGTGTCAGGAACTGTTCTAAGAACTTTGCAAGTCTCTATGCATGTAATCCTCATAATTCTATTAAGCTGATACTACAGTTATCCCCATTTTACAGATGAGGAATCTGAGGCAGAGATTGGGTTAAGAAACTTGTGCATAGTTATACAGGTAGTGAGATAGTCTGTGTTCAAACAAAGAAGTCTGGCATCAGAGTTCTCATGATTAAGACTTCATGTAGTTAAAGAGCTTCCTAGAGAACACAAAATTTTCATCTCTTTCCCCTCTCCTCAATTCCATAACACTTTCAGATTTTCACCTGCTGCTCTGGATTTGTGGTGGGGTACACATGTGGTTTGGCTTATCTGAGACTGTCTCTGAGGATGAAAATTGAGAAGGTAGAACCCCGGAGGTTATTCAAGTTAACTTGGGGGGTGTTCGCCATCAGGAGAAACAGATGCTGTTTAAGTCAGGAAGAAATGAGTGTTCGCTCCAAGGCCTGCTTCAGAAAGCCTCTTTGTTTTATGACTCTGGGTGCAAGCAACCCTTTTAATTTTGTGTCTTGGATTCCAGCCATAGGAGGCCTTCTTTAATGTGGCAGATGGCTGGAGACAGGCAAGCCAGGTTTCTAGACTCTACATTAAGCTGCCTTCCCTAGAGAGGAGTCTCCTAATTATGTTGCTCTGAAAAAGAGAAGAAAAGATACCTTAAAATGGACACATTAAACTTATACCACGTGTAAAGTAACCACTGTCTTAAGCATCTGCAAACATGTGGAGGTCAGGAAACCTTTGAGAATCTGATGAAAGCTATAGGCTTTTTCTGCAGAAAATTTGTATGTAGGTATATACACAAAAATGTGCACATTAATTCCCGGGGGTGGGGTCACAGATTCTCTGATATCCGTCCCTGAAGCTTCAAGGAGTCTGTGGCTGCCAGATTCCTGTGCTTTGAGTGGAGGCAGCTGTCATTCTTTTACTTTTTCATTTTTCAATACATTATGATCTCAACTTCTGAGCTATGAAAATAAAGGGTCTGTGGATTATAAGGGAAGCATTTCACACCAGAACACCAAAATTTTACTGGAAAAAACTCCTTTCAAATATTGGATAAAATTACTTTTGCATATTCTCTGGTCAGCATGGAAGGTTTGCTCATTCTGTTAAAGACTGACATGAAATCTCTTCTGACAAACATGATGAGCTTTTTCTTACTGGATTGTGGGGTGCGCCTCTGCACATCATTTCCTTGGAACCTCACTCATCTCAGAACTCCTCAGTTGAGTTCTGGCTTCTGCACTGTTTCCAATATTAAGAATTGGGTGCAGTGGGCAGTCTGCCAATTAAAGAATAACACAGAATTCTCAGAATTTGGAAAGGAAGCTTTATTGTTTCCAAGGACTCTGCTGGAGGAGTCATACAAACTTCGCCATTTCTTCCTCTGATGTCCATGTGCCATGATTGTCTGAGGAAGGGAGAAAAAGTCTTTGAAGTGGCTACCAGGATCCTTTGCAGATCTCTGGGATGTCATTCACTCATGCTTCTATGCTGGGTGACTCCTACCATCATCACATTCTTCCAATTCTCCCAGTAGGGTATGCAGTAGTCATGTAGGCAGAGCCTTCTGAGCTACAGCAAACTACAAAATTAAGATATTTATTAATGATTTTCAAACCAAAAACAATTTGCCTCAATTACTAGACATTTTAAAATTAAAAAATACAGAAATGTTTCTAAATTATTCCAGTTCTTCATCTTCCATATATTGTCTCACCTTTCCTGAAAGTTGCCTCCTTCTTAGACCTGAAAAACTCAAGGAGGGAGTAGGTCATGGGCTAAACATTTAGGCTAATTCTCTACATGAAATTGATAATATAAATGATTATTGAAAAAATTCAAAGGAAAGGATCATTTCTTCTGTAAACATCAACCCAACCCAAGAAAAACTATTTGGGATTTAAATCAGGGTTTCTCAACCACAGCACAACTGATATTTTGGGTTGACTAATTTTTGGTAGAAGGAGGCTGTTCTGTGCATTGTAGCATGTTCAGCAGTGTCTCTGACCTGCAACGCCTAGATGCTAGTAGCACCGCCCTCCTAGTTGTGACAACCGAGAACATCTTTAAACATTGCCAAATGTTTCCTGGGGGTGCAGTCACCCCTGGTTGAGAATTATAGGACTAAATTGTCCAGAAATAGGTTTCTCTACAAGTAAAGTAAAATTGAGTATTGGAGTTGCTTTTATCTGGTCTTCTTGATCAGGTGAATGGCTAAATGAAAAAAGCAGTTTGTCTATTTTGATGCCCCACTGACTATGTCTATCTGTTCAGATCATCCTGTTCTACATTTGTTCTTAGATCCCATTTGATTGCCAAAAACAGGGACTTCCTTACTTCATTCTTATGGTTCTGGGATTCCTGTTCATTTGCTGTTTTATAATGTTTTTGACTGTATAGATATTTAGTGATCCCTCTGATTTTCCATAGTCTTTGAGGTCTAGGTAATTTCTTAGACCTTCGGAAGGCTGCTGGTGTGGTACTAAAATCTCCATTCCTCTCTTCTATGTTATCTCTTCCAACTTTAGACCTAAACTGAGCTCAAATAGCAAGTTGGAGAGGCTGGAGTTGCTGGCTGATTTGATCAGTATGTGGACACATAACTTAGGAAGCAAAACTGTTGGCTATGAGATTACATATGTGATTATGAAAAGGAATCTTGTAATCACAAATTCTTCTGACGTATGTACAGTGACTGCAAAACAGCAAATAATTTGTTTTGGGAAGGATTTTATTGGCTGTTTGAAGTGAGGAGTATCTCTACTATACAAAATATTTAAACCAAATTGTTATGTCCTATAATGTTCAACAAAGCACTCTGCAAACATCAGTTCTGGAAAAAAAAAAAACGTATCCTCCAAGGCAGGATTATATGCACTTCTGGGAGTTGTAAACCCATGCAGGCTCCAGAAATATTTGCCTTCCAAGGGCTGGAAACTTCTGAATTAACAACAAATAATCAGTGAGTGTGACAAAGAGTTAAAGTACACAGACTTTACTTTCTCAAAGTTTATGATGTAGTAAAGAAGTTTAAGATGGAGACCTGAAATTGCAAACTGGTGGCCAGTAGGCTAAATCGGGACCATGGATTTGTTTTGTTTGGCTTGCATGTAGTTGGCCTCCAGAATGTCTAACAGAGTGAGAGGAAGGGAGCGGGGTGGGGGGCGGGCAGGAGACAGGCAAAGAGAGAGAAAAATAGAAAGAAGTTGCTAAACAGATATAATTGAGATTTTCACATAAAAATCTAAATTTCCAGCTTTGCTTGAAAAATCAGAATATCTGCCAACACTGGGTCCTTATTCCCACATTTCCCTATGGTAACAGTTGGCTGGAATGAAATAGCAGTGACCCCTTTGGTCTCTGGAACTAGACACTCACTCTCTGGTCTCTTCCCCCACTTCCCCTTCACTCCTTTACTAGCCCTCTGTCACCATTTCAGATGGCCACCCCTAATGCAGAGACTTCTGGACATTTATTTAGTTTCTTCTCCACAGAAATAAACTTCTAGAGCCTGGAGCAAAATAGTGGCTGCGCCATTTGTGTGTCAGATGAGATGACCCTGGCTCGGGCCATGGAGGTGGCAATTGAGGTGTGAGAAATGGTCAGATTTAGGATAAATTTTGAAGAAAGAGTCAGTAGAATTTCTGATGGATTGGATTAGGGTGTCAAAGAGCATTCCAAAATGACCCCGATTTTGATTTTTACTTATTTTAAAAAGAAAACCTATAATAGAACATTGGAGAGCCAGTATTGACCTTTTCAAATAAAAACAAAATTATTCAAAAGCTTTTTCTTACTAGTACTATTCAAATCGGGTACCCTATGTGGTACCAATATTATATTCTAGGAAATACTGACGGTTTTGGAAATTTGGAGGAAAAAGCATCGAGAAGAGCTCCAATTACTTAGAAAAGAGAGTCCAGGAGATGGGGTGGTGTATATAAGCCTATGGATGGTGTCTCTGCAACTCAGTGGCCCCGCCTGTCCAGGGGCTGGGTCCCCACGGGATCTCCCTCCCCACAAGGAGGTGGAGAGGCTATGTGTCTTGAACAACTGGGGTTGCGATCCAGTGTATGGGCAGTCCCACTCCTGGAACTCCAGGGTGGGCACTCGCTCCATTTCCACAGGCCCTCAAGGGTTCCAGGATTGCCCCGTGGGAGGGGTTTTAGTGCTGCATCTAGTAAGAAGCTGTAAGATGCTCAGAAACATGTTTTGAAGCTACTTTGCACAGAAAGAAGACTCTTCATTCAGATTTGTATTACAGATCAATAAAAGTAGCTAAGTCGTATCTGAAGATGTTTTTGTTTACACTTTGTATGTGACAGAAAACCTCCAGTTGTCTGTGTCAAGGACAATTACTTAATTTTATTACAATGTATACTGATTTGGTTAGTGGAAGCTTCTAGCGCCTACTGTGGTGGTGGTGGGAGCTATCTGATTCCCATTCCCAGGCCTGGCCATCGACGCGAAGGCCTCCAGCTGATCGGAAGTCGGCGTTGGCCGGCGCGGAGCCCGGCGCGGAGGCTTCTTTCAGCCGCCCGGGCAAGACACCCCTCCCTCGGTCCCGCAGCGGTCACTCCGCCTCTGGCGCGCATGCGCCGACCCCAGCGGGCGTCCTCCCGGGCTCCCTCTCCCTCCCTCCCTCATCCGGGTCCTGGGCGAGCGGGCGCCGTGCGCGTGTCCCGCGGCCGAGCTGCTAATAAAGTTGCAGCGAGGAGAAGCGCAGCGACGGCGTCGGGAGAGCGCGCCTAGCCGGCTCGCGAGTGAGTGAGGGTCCCCGGCGCGCGCGGGCGAGGGGAACTGGGGGCTGCAGGCTCTGCCCCGGCGGACTCGGGCCGAGGCGGGGGCGTTCGGCCGCGGACGGAGCGGAAACGACCCAGGGCCTGTCGGGCGGGAGGTAGGCCGAGTCCTGGCCTGCCGGGGTCCCGGCTGGCGGACACGGTGCGGCCCAGCGGCTGCGGAGGCCTCGCTGGCTGCCCGGGGCGTCCTGAGGCGGGGCCGGGGCTGGCCCTCGTCCCAGCCCCGCTGTTACCGCCCAGACTTTGGAGGGAGGCGTCTGGGACGCCCTGGAGGGGACCCCCTGACCCCGCGCTGTCCTGGGGAGCGGTTTGCTTTCCTAACTCATCGGATGTACCACCCTGGATACACACCCTTGATAGGACTGCGGTGCTCGGCCGGGCAGCCTGGGCTGCTGCACTGCGAAGCTGTCCAATGGCTTGATGAATCCGTGCCGCCGTCGCTTTGTGTTTCAAAGATAAGGATCCGCGCTTATCGGTGGGAATTACACTCTGGGCAGTTGTGACCGGCTACTGCAATCAGCTGGTAGTTAGACCTGGTTTCTGCCACTTGCCATGTCAGTTTTCACCACTGCAAGGATTTCTTCTACTTCATGTAAACTTCTCTGTGCTGCAAAGAGAATGCCAAAGCAGCGTCTTTTTGCCTTCACCATATTCAGCCGCTGGCCGGGTCCTATACTTCAATATCAGGGCTCAAATTAATATTCCAGTCTCTTCCCCTCCCCTTTTCCCCTCTCCTCCTTTCAGCTGCTGTTACTACGTGGAGTTTGGAGCCTAAGCTTTGAAAACTCCCATGTGGCGCGCCCGTCTTAAGTCTGAGCATGCTCAGTAGCCAAAACAGATTTTTGGTTGCAGAACTCGGGCGAGGATACTTGGGGTATTTGGACGTTTGCCGGCTTCCCAACAGAATGTTCCGGTTCTGGTGGTGATGGCATTGGAGAATGGGGCTTAGGCAAGCCTGTAGGTGAGGAATGGCTGAACACCCTGAGCCAGATGTTTATCTTGATTGTAAAGACAATGTTTCCTGACCAGCTGGAGCTTTGGGGGGGGGGGGGGGGTGTTGCGGGGGGAGGGAGCAATTTTGGTTGCTTGTGCATTTAAATGGGTGTGGCGCTAAGTATATCTTGTTTACCTTATCTTTCTGTGGAAAAGTTTTGATGTCTAGGTTTGTCACATCATGCCTGTTGCCTAGCACTACCAAAAGGGTTGTTATCTAGCAGCAAAGATTGAATAGGTGGAGGTCGTGGCTTGGCCTCACAGAAGTTGAGAGGAAAGGGTACTTGGGTTGCGTTTTTGAAAATTCGTATTTAAAACTAGAGTACTTGAATTTCCTTAGAGTACCTGAATTGCCCAGAGTGAATTAGTTTTTAATTTTAATTTGAAAGACAAAAGATTGAAAACCTTAGTCCCAGTAGGTTTAGTAACATTCCAAATAGCTTACAATTTCTGCTAGATGCCAATGCAGTAGTATCCATTGTGGGGAAAACAGTACCTACATTCAGTGTGACAGTTTCACATTTATGGATCCAAATATCATTATGAAATTAGTGTTCCAAATTTAAGGAGCTATTTGCAGATGTATAACAAATTATTTTAGTCTTTTATTCCTTTGGTAACTATTAATATTTTTTTCTCTACAGTGAAAATTGTAAAAATGCAAAACTTAGACAATTTAACAAAACTTAACCTTCATAAAGGTTGTAGATACTATGTTTAGATTTATAAAGTTTAATTTTGATGATTATTTGTGTGATTGTTCCTATACAGCTTCCTTTCCTTCCCTTTCCACATTGTTGCTCCCTCAGTCTTTTTTACATTACTGCTGTTAATTTACCCATGTATCTTTGTTAAAAATACCTTATTCATCATTTTGTGCTTCCATTCCTTTCAGATCATAGCTGAAATAAGCAAGAAAAGTTAGATTAACCTTCTCAACTGACTTTACTCTCAGGTTTTAAAGGCATCCACATGATATGGTCTAGTTAAAAGGAGGAAGAGAGCAGCAAACTGGAAAAAAAGAATAAAATATTTTCGTAGGTTCTGTACAGATCTGGTAGTATTATCTGCGTGTCTGGTTCACTGTGGTAGGCGCCACAGAAATGGGTAGATTGATAATGTGTTGGATTTCTTTCCCCTCTGGCAAAGTCAGCTATTAATTTCAGTGGGAGACAGTGGCAGAATGTTGTTACTAATGAGGTTTGAATCAGATTGTTGTTTACTGTTGGTTATGTAACATGTTGCTGGGAGTATTATTAAAAGTTGCATTCTGCAGCAAAGTAGAGGCAAGTAAATTCTGCTTACCCTCTTCACTGGGTTTTAATTCTTGGCTGAACCTGAAGGCACATTAGATTACAACCATAATTATACCTGGGCAGCCTGTCTGTTTCCTGTTTTCATCATGAACCCAAACATTATGATTTGCAGTGATGATCTTTTTTGTCCTTTGCATTGAACGGAGGCAGTGTGTTTTCTCCCTCTACTGAAAACAGATTTGTAACTTGGTCAAATTAAAGATTTTAGTGTTTTGAAAACTAGGCAGTAAAATACCAGTTTTTCATTTCTTAATACAGTTACTTAAGTTGAAATACCATCTAAAAAAATCTATTTCATATATATTCTTTGTCTTTATGTAAATTTTAATATTACTAGTACTTTGTAGAGTTAAAGAAACTCTTTTTGTTTATGACATATCAGTGTTTATTATTACCAGATGTATATGTTGGTCTAGGCAATGAGCCACACATCTGGGTGAATTTCAGAGCTGACTTGAGTACGCTTGAGGATATAGGTGTCTATTCTCTTGGTTTATCAGTCTTCCCTGTTTTTACTTCTAGACGATCTATATTCCTTGTATCTGTCTGTCTGTCTCTCTGTCTCTCTGTACACTAACCACAAAGAAGGCAAATAGTTTATTTCTTCAAATGTTACAAGCAGCTTATAGCCTATGATTTGCCCGTCTTCTCATAGGGTCAAAGACATTGAGTAAGATTCCCTTTTATAAGGGATACTAGTAGCCTGAGGAATGATTCTTGTCTCCACCAGTCTGGATATTCTAGAGAAAAGAATACCTGGATATTCTAGAGAAAAGAATATTCTAGAGAAAAGAAAAGGCCCAAGGAAGCTGGGATGCAATATAGGGTGCTTTCCCATCAAAACAGATGATGAAGGACCCTTGGAAGCTGACCCATGGCATCCCCCCGCCACTGGGTTCTAGCTCTGTCGCCCAATCTGGAGTCCAGTGGCGCAATCTTGGCTCACTGCAACCTCCGCCTCCCGGGTTGAAGCAATTCTCCTGCCTCAGCCTCCCAAGTAGCTGGGATTACAGGCACCCACCACCATACCCGGCTAATTTTTGTATTTTTAGTAGAGACGGTGTTTCACCATGTTCGCCAGGCTGGTCTTGAACTCTTAACATACCTTGTTTTTCCACTTCTGAAGTTAATAGAATAATAGTCATTGGAATTTGCAGTTCATTGGTGTTGTCACATACCCTTTACCTCTAATCAGAAGTCTGAATCTGAGAAGTTTGTTTACTAAATGGGAGGTAAAGATTTAGAACTCTTTTGGAAGAATTGTTAAAAACTAGATTGTTGTTAGGACTAATCTCATAGGCCACCTTAATATTCTAACAGCTTTGTTGTTTTCCAACCTGGAAAGATGGGGTAATTACAGAGTTCTTAGGTTTTTCATAAATAATCAGCTAGTTCTGGGCTATTTATTTGAGAGTGTCTCTCTCTGTCGCCCAGGCTGGGGTTCAGTGACGCGATCTTGACTCACTGCAATTCTGCCTCCCGGCTTCAAGCGATTCTCCTGCCTCAGCCTCCTGAGTAGCTGGGATTACAGGCACCCACCACCACGTCCAGCTCATTTTTTGAATTTTTAATAGAGATGGAGTTTCACCTCGTTGGCCAGGCTGGTCTCGAACTTCTGACCTCAAGTGATCTGCCCGCTATGGCCTCCCAAAGTGCTGGGATTACAGGTGTGAGCCACCGTGCCTGGCTGGGCTCTTTATTTAGTTTTGATTTTTTTTTTTTTTTTTTTTGCCTTGGGCAGCTAGGGGGGATGTTTTTGGCCCAGTTCTAGTAGAGTGGTGTTTTCAGTGACTTTTCTTCCTCCTTTTACTGTATCCTACCTTGGTTGAGATGATATTTTGCAAGAAAGAGTTCTTTATTAAGTCAGTTCTGTGTGTGCAATACTATAATTGTAATTCACTTTTGGAAGCTAGTTATTAACATAACATTTTGTAACTAGGTTTTGCTCTTGAATTTTTTGGGACCCCCCCCCGCATCTCTTCCTATAGCATATATGTACTTTATAGACTGGTACAATATAGAAGTTTGAAAGTGATTTGACCTGTTAAGATTTTAGCAGGATTTTTTCTTTTGATATCCATATATGTTGTTTTGTTATACCGAAAATAATAGAAAAAAACTAGTGTCCCATTCCCACTTTTTCTCTGAGCATAGCAACTGGAGTCTTGGGAGGAGGCTTACATCTTTCAAATTTAACTATGATCTCAGAATATGGCTGGTGCTTTCAAGGCAAGTTTTGTTTTGTTCAGGTTTGTTTTCATGATGTGTTAGGATCTGCCTAGTATCCTATCTGGTAGGCTGTACAACTTGAGTTCTAGTTATTCTGGTTTGTGTGTTCCCAGGAAGAGGGGGGTTCTGCAAAAATATTTAAAAGCCAGTCTTCTTCTGTTTTCTTCTTAGTCACATCTTCTGTCTACTTTACTCATTGACCATTTCTCATTCTTTGGAGATGAAAGTGTAAATTAAGTGAATGATGACACTAGAGCTGAAAAGTTACCCAGAGTCATGTTTATTCCCTTTTCTACTAAGCAGGGAACTTGAACTCTGGGTGCACATGAGTTCTCTGGAGAACATCTTCATAATGCACTGTAATATATGTCGTGTACACAGGTTAGCTCTTTGTGCTCCAGAGACACATTTTACAGTCATGATTTGGTATCTGCACTTGATGATTTTATAATTTAAAGGAATCACTACAAAGATTGACCAGCTCTGTGTCTGTTCCTGTGCCTACACGCCTGTACAAGCATACTCAAACACATCTGGTAGCAATGTAGGAAATCTTGCAGGCTCTGTGGGGGTGAGTGATACATTTAGATCAGGCTCTGTTTAATTAGGGGACTTAGAGGAGCAGGTGAAGCTTAAAGAGTGATTAAAAACTGGGAAACAAAAGTCTGGCTGTGGGAGATAATAAAGTAGAGAATTCTGTGGGCACAGAATAGGCAAGAAGATTATGCAGTGAGAAGTGTTGGGAATCATGAGTTCAGCTCCTGAAGGGCTTTGAAATCTGCTATGAGAACTTCTTATGTCTTTGGAAATCGGGAGCCACAGTTGAGGAAAGTGGTGATTTAAATGTTTCTCTGTGAAAATAATTTTGGCGCCCATGTAATTGTATCCTGTCTTTCTTGTAGATGTTCTTATAAAGAATAGGATTTCTGAATCTAGAAGAGCTGTGAGCAAACATGCTTTTGGTTTCCTTCTCCTCTCTGCGTGCAGTTGTGAATGTGGCTTACAAAGTTGATAGCAGTTGTATACATGGATCTAGGGATGGTTTGACAGTGGTGGTGGTGGTTGTCTACTTGCTGACACTTGGTGACTACTATTGATAATGAGAACCACAAGGGTAAGAGATTTTTAAAGCTTTACCCCCACATCCCCCCTGCCCCCAAAAGTTACCCTTAGGTTGTATGTATGCAAGTGTCTTTCTTCCATTGCAGGAGATCCTGAGCACCTTGGTTCCCAAGCCTCCTGCATGGTCCGAGATTCTTGTTAAAAATGTGGGCAGTAAGGCCCTTCTGCCAAGCTTAGTGAATCTGAATTTTGAGGGATGGTTCTAAGGAATTTGTTGATTTAAAAACCCCATGTCCAATTATTTTGTACAGGTTTGAATTAGAATACAATGGGTTGTGACCCATTATGGGCATTTATTTTCATGGGATGATGTGCTCAGGAGATTTTGTTTTGGCCAATAGTGTTGAGGAAAATGTGGGGATTGGTTTGCTTGCCTTTTTATTTCAGATTGCAGCAGTCATAGAGATGTTGGAGCACAAAGTGAAAGAGTTGTTTCTGTGAATTCACTTTAGAAATCTAGCTGTGAGCTCTGTGTGTGTGTGTGTGTGTGTGTGTGTGTGTCTTTCTGTATGTTTTTCTGTATGTATGTGTGTCTCGGGGTGGGTATTGAAGTCAGTTTGTGTGTGTGTTTATTATGAAAGTTGGTCAGGATGTAGTACTTCCATAACCTTAGGTAAGAACAGGACCTTTGGGTTATTGATTCAACATGAATTCATTTGAAATAGAAGCTTTGTGAAGCTTAGCAACATTTTATTCATATGGTTAATGTGTATAAAACTTAACCCTGAATCTTCCTTTAGCTTTCTTATCTGCATTTGCCAAATCAGTTGATGTCAAACCCCATTCTTCCAGTTGTCCAGGCTGATACCTTGGAATCATTGTTAACTCCTTTGTTCTCATACACCCCATGATCTCCTTCATCAGGAAGCTTACTGTCTTTCATATGTCTGCTGCTCACCACCCCACTGCTATCACCCTGGTTGTAAGCCATCGTCATCTTCTCCCCTCCCTTAGATTACTGCATCTCTGAACTGGTCTCGCTGCTTTTATCATTGCTGTCCACCCCTCCTCCTGCTTATTCTCAACATACCAGCCAGGATTTATTTATTTATTTTGAGACGGAGTCTTGTGCTGTCACCCAGGCTGGAGTGCAGTGGCATGATCTTGGCTCACTGCTACCTTGACCTCTTGGGCTCAAGTGATCCTCCCACCTCAGCCTCCTAAGTAGATGGGATCACAGGCATGTGCCACTGCACCTGGCTAATTTTTTAATTAAAAACAATTTTTTTTTGTAGAGATGGAGTTTTAAAAACTATGTTGCCCAGGCTAGGCTTGAACCGCTGAGCTCAAGTGATTCTCCTGCCTTGGCCTTCCAAAGTACTGGGATTACAGGCATGAGCCACCACGCCTGGCCCAGGATAACTCTTTTTTTTTTTTTTTTTGAGATGAAGTCTAGCTTTGTTGGCCAGGCTAGAGTGCAGTGGTATGATCTTGGCTCACTGCAACCTCTGCCTCCCGGGCTCAAGCAATTCTCCTTCCTCAGCCTCCCAAGTAGCTGGAATTACAGGCACATGCCACCACACCCAGCTAATTTTTGTATTTTTCGTAGAGACGGGGTTTCACCATGTTCGCCAGGCTGGTCTTGAACTCCTGACCTCAGGTAATTTGCCCACCTCGGCCCAGGATAATTCTTTAATAGTGTAAGTCGAGAACTATCATGTCTGTGCTCAGAGCTCTCCACTGAGTTCACAGTTTCCTTAGAGTACTGTAAAAGCTAAAGCCTTTATATCCAGCATGGCCATTCTGGCTCTCTGGTATCTCTTTGACCCCACTCCTTACCTTTTCCCCCTCGTACACTGTGTTCTCAGGCTATACTGGTCTTCTAGCCAGTATATGCTCTTCATGCCAGAAGCATGCCAGACATGCTCCTACCTTAGGATCTTTGCATTGCCTGTTGCCTTTACCTGTAATGGTTTTCCCCTAGATATATGCCTGTTGGCTCACTCTTTTATTTCCTTAACATTTTAACTCAGTTGGCACCTTCTTGGTGAGACCCAGCCCAGCCACCCTGTTTAAAATTACACCTCTCTTCCAGGACTTCTTGTCCACCTTCCCCTGTTTTAATTTTTCTCTATAGCACTTTTCACCTAACAAACATATCATTTACTATATCTCGTTGGCCTCCTTCTGCTGGAATATAAGCTAAATGAAGACAAGTGTTTTGGTTCCTTTTATTCACTTCTATATTCCCAGCTCCTAAAATGCTATCTTAATAAATATTCTTTTGGATGAATGACTTGAATGAATTTGACAAGTTATTGTAATGTATGTGGTACTGTTTTTTAAAGATTATATTCTAGTGCGAGAGACAGAAATAAAGTAAATGAACAAATTATTATGAATCAGTTAATACAGTGAAGAAAATGAACATAGTATTGGATTAGAGATTAGGGAAACTCTATATAGGATTATGGGGTGATCAGGGAAGGTATCTGGGATGAGAGCTAAAGCTGAGACTTAAATAACGATAGAGCTAAAAATTAGTGGCCAGGGATTAAGAAAAGTGGTATAAGCAGAAAATGGCATTTGTAATATCTGAGGTTCAAAAGACATTCCAGTATAGGAAGATAAATGCTTTTGAAGAATGAGTTCTTACTAATATTTATTGGGAGCAGGAATAATGCTTCTGGAGTTTGATTTCATTGTTTTGAGGAGCAACAGCTCATTTGTAGTAACAGGACACACTGTGAAAAGTGCTAGATACCTGGATTACATGCCCTTTCTCTGTCTCTCTGTGTTCCTCTAGTAACTTGAGTTTATCTCATTGTACTTACATATAGGGGTATAGTTTGGTGTCTGTCGTGCTACGTTATTCTGTGAAGGGAGATTCTGTCCCGTTTGCATTTTTGCTATTCCCACTCTTCACTCATATAGTACCTTTGTATGGGACTTAGAAAAAGGCCTTCTCATTTATTCCTTCACCCTTGGCTAGTGCTGATAAACCCCTGCATGTCCTACAATGTCTGCTAGTTAGTAGGTGCTCAATAAGTGTTTAATGATTCATGGCTGTTATAGCTGCTGAGTCAGTTAATGCACATATACTTAAAGAAGTAGGTGTACCTTATGATAATCATTTCTGTATTTCTGTTGATTAACCTAGAGTACTATAGTTATGGAAGTATTTGTACCTAGTTTCTGATTTGATTTTTCTTAGTTTCAACCTCCAAATTTGTATAACCCCAAGTATATTAGAGAGAATTGTTTTGAAGCAGGAATGACTCATGATAATGTAAATCCTCTCTTTAGTAAGGGTTCATAATATGGCTGAGGTATAGCTGCACTTTAATTTTGAAACCTGTTTTTCCTCTGACTCTTCAAGAAATATGTTTATTTTAAAAAATATAGAATTAGATGAAGCAGAAAGTGAAAAGTACACCTAACCCCACCACCAGAGCTAATATCACAAACCCTTTCTTTCATTAAACAAATATTTATTGAGCATATGTATCACTAGGCTTACAGTGATGAGTGAAAACAGATACAGCTCTTCTCGTGGAATTTACATTCTTGTGGGGACAGATTTGAAAGGTAAATGTAAAAACATAGGTGTGGTAAGTGCTACAAAGTAGGAGTATGTGATGCGGTAAGCATATAAGAGGGGGACTTCTAGCCAGGACGGTTTGGGAAGACTTCCCCGAAGAAGGGATGCTTGAGCTGAAAGAGAGGTGAGGTGTGTGTGTGTTTTGTAATGTGATAGATTCATTTGTAATTCATGATATACCGTAATTTTATAAGGTTTTCATTTATGGCTGAGGTACCACTGCATCTCTTTTGGTACACTAATGACGTTCTGTGTTCAGTCAGTGGTTGCAGTTTTTCAGAAGAATCAGGGAACCTCACGTACACAGGAATTTCTAAATATTATGATTACCTTGGTTTTCTTTCTAGCTTTGAGGTCATTTCTCTAAGAAATGACAAAATACATCAATAAAAGGGTATTATCAAGTCAAGTCTTCATAAACCAAAGGTATACTATGAAAGGCCAAGATAATAGCAGATAATGGGTTCATAGCTGTTAAGTCCCTCCAGTTTCTAGTGTAAGAAGGAGCATACCTTCCTGTCTGTTCAATTATTGGCTCTCTGTGCTTGGTGTACATTTTTTTAAACTCAATTTTAATGCCCTATTTCTGTTGGCTATCATATGGAAATAAATATAGGATAAAACTAAGTGATAGGCTAAATGGCATATGAAACTCTTTATAGCCCCTGTTCTTTTTTCCATTACTCTCTAAGATCTTACAGAGATTATGGTTAGTGTCTTTTAAGCCTGAGTTCCTAGCATGGAGTATTCCTGACATACACTAGTGGGCACCCGGTAAATTTTGAATAAATCAAATGTCTCCTCTGTCTAATATCACAATTCATCTCTCCAATTCATATGATCCTCAATATCTACATATTTATTCCTTTTCTCCTTGAGCTTTAATTTTATATCTTCCTGGATGCATGCCAGTATTTGTTTCCTTATGTCCCTCCACTGTCACCTTCTTGCCTTGTTTTGGCCATAACTAGAGTTACCCTTTGGTAAGTGATGTTTTCATTATTCAGGGTTTAAACCTTAACTTTTCTAGTTAGGCTTCTGTTTATTTGTGACATCCCTCGTATCTCTTTTTTTTTTTTTTATTTAATCACGGTGTGTGTGTGTTCCTCTCAGTTAGGTTACTACCATGGTTTTCATCTACGCTTTGTCCCCCTAGTTAGTCTCTTACTTGGTCCTTTGTTGTTGGAATTTTTGTCTTCTTGAAATACCTCTTCGAACATGTCTTTCGGCTTAGATAGAACTCTACACGGCACATAGAACTACTTCTAGCAGTCTGACTCCTTAGCCTTGTATTCACAGTCTTTCCCTGTTTGACCTTCATTCTGTGGTTGTGCCTTTCCCTTTTGCTTCACAGTCAGACTAGCTGATTGTCACCTCCTAGCCTCCCTTCCTCATTTGGCTGAGTGATTTGGTTTTCCTCGTCCTTGTACTTTCTTGCCAAGTGGACTGTGAATGATAGATTGTTATATTTCTATCTCGTATTCAGTATTTTGGTAGTCACTCTCAAAATTTGTGCTTATATGACAAGCAGTTATTCTTGCCTCATCCTTAAGCTCCTATTCACTTAGGTGCAGTGTGTTTGAGTTTGCAGGGGAGGGGTAGAATCTGTCCAAACCAGCTGTTTTTTTTGCACAGTTGCTAAACCCCCTCAACCAACTTCTTGTCTGTTACTGGCCATTTGCAACACAGTTAATTCCTTCTTAATCAGTCATATTCACCAGTATATAATCTTTTCACTTTTTTCTTCTTCCACTTTCCAGTTATACTGTTCTTTCTGTTCCATGTATGTACTCTAAATACCTCATAAACCAGAGGTATACTATGAAAGGCCAAGATAATAGCAGATAATGGGTTCATTATCTGAGTCTGAAAGTGTTTGATCACTCAGATTTAATTCCATTCATTCATACGGCAGTTTTGATGAAAATTGACTGTCTCACCTAACACGAATTGTCCCGTGGGTTTCCTAATGAGATTTTAGATTTAGATTTTGGGGGATTCTCTGGTTTTCAAGCTAGAAGTAGAAATTCCCTGAAAGGTTTCATGGACACTGTTCAGTGTAGTTTGTGTTTTTCTTTTATGATGCTCATGGTTAGCCTGTTCTGAATTACTGTAACAAGACTTGGCTTTTAAAGAAAAGGCTGTTTGACACTTAGCCTTCTGAAAGTTTGGTTTAATACGGCCCTAGTAAGAGCAAAAAAGAGAAGGCAGAATTTGTCTTCTATCCCTGATTATGTTATTGAAATAAGATTAACATTTATAAACAACTGTTTTACAATAGGTTTCTATGGAGGTTTATTGCAAAAGAAAATAGCTTGACGATTTAAGTTCCTTGAAGCCTATTGACTTTTTGGTTTTCTTAGGAACTAAATATATTACCTCTTAATATGTTTAGATATATATAAATATATCTTATTATATTGGTATATATTAATATATATTATTCCCACTGGTGTACTTTAGGATAGGTATGTTAGGTGGCTCAGGATGAGGATTACAGAGGTGCAAATAGAATCTGCTCAGAAGCCAGATTGTCTAGGGCATTATTTCACCTATGTGGACTGTCAAATGCATCTTCCCTTGACTTACTAGAGAACTCAGAAGTAAGCAAGCCCTGGAGCACCTGAAAGTACCAAGGATACAAATCATGTATTCCATGCTAATTGGGTTCTTTTTGAGACAGAAGGAAAGTTCATTTTCATTAGGTAGTTTATCAAGTTTCTCCAAAAGCAACACTGAGGAATATAGGAGAAGCTATGAGAAATGCAGAAAGAGAAAAGAAAAAAAAAAGAGTTAAAAGAATGAGAACAAAGGAGGGGTTAGAATGACAGATACTGGGGGCAAGTGATGGGGAGCATCAGAAAGGACTTTGAGAGAGGACAAAAGAAAAAGCTGCCGTATTTCTTCTAAGATGTAATTTTTTTTTTCACCTCATAACATAACATTAACTGTCTTACAGTTAATAGCATCTGAGTATTGCTTTTGGCCAGGTGGCAGTTTTGATCTAGTTGTCATTGTACAGGCATGGCTCTGACTTGCTGTTTCTGTTGCTGTCATTTCAGTCTCAGTGTGGACATTGTTTTAACTTCTCGTGTTGAGTAATTGCCATTTAAAATATTTTCTTAGTTGTTGTTTTCACATCTTCATTTAGATCCTCTAGGGACACCAAACAGGCACCAGTATCAAAATTTGCAGGATGGTTGTCAGTGGCTTGAAAGACAGTCCTGGAGCAGTGTCGGAACATTCTTCATACTTACATTCTTGATGGCAGAAGGATGATACTGTGAATAAAAATTTTAAGTTATAAGAAAGCATTATGCCATTTACTTTGCAGCTTTTTCTTCCTTCAGGGTTCATAAAATAATGCGGACTCTTAAAGTACATGACTGTATGCTTATTGAAATAAAGGATCCCAACCATTTATTTAAAATCCTCAGCCTGATAGCAACAATGTTCATGATTATTACAACAATAATAACTACAGTTGCCCTTTATTGAGTATGCACTGTGTACTAAGTGTTTCTCACTTAATTCTCAGAACCTTTTAGGGCCATAGTATTCACGATACAAAATAGGAAAAAATGGAGATTTTGGGTGTAAGTGTTAGATCCAGAATTTGAACCCAAGTTTATTAGGCTTCAAATCCGGTGCTGTAGTTCCTCATCCTGTTATATAAAGTATTACTTTGTGAAAGACATAGAAGCTTTTATGCTTAAGATAAAATTGTCTCCCTTCATCCTTCTCCCCAAAGGGTCATATCCTGACTTCTTTTAGCGACCTTTATATCTTTAGGGCAACTCCATTCTCCACTGTGTATCGTAGATAGTTATGGGCACATTTCAGTTGTTCTATTAATTTGTGACTATTTAGAGTTAGTCTGGATCTGATTTATATTTCAACTCTTTATTATCTAGCTTAGTGCCTTGCCTTTTATAGGCACTCAGTAAATATGTGTTGTATAAATAAGGCTATAAGTGTGAGCTTAAGTTTAGCACTGGTTATTATGTATATTTGTGTCTCAGTAGACTCTGAAAGCATTTAGAAAAGGAGTATAGAGGACCAAAATTTAGCTGTCCAGTAATCTGTAATGTGTAAAGACTGTTGCAGTTGCTAAGTACAGTCTTTTGGGATTTTCTCTATTACTGGAATAAGTGTAGAGGTGATGTAGAAGAGTATTATGGGGTGTTAGATACACAGCTGATTTAAATTGAAGATAGGTGTTCTCAGTGTTTCTAAATTCGTTTTATTTAGTGAAAGGCAAAGGGGGCATGAAAAATTGAATCAACTTTTCAGGAAAGAGACTCAAAATGTTCAGAGGTATTGCAGGTTCACTTGTGGCTCATGCAAATCAGAACGTATTTTATTTTTTGTATACATAATGAGAAATTTTTTCATAACCGAGTACTTATGTGAGGATACTAAAGTAAATCTATTGCTGTAACCCAAGCTCTCTGATCATTTTATTTCAAATTTTGGACCAAGGTGTTATTTTGAATATAGTATAGTCTGCAGAAAAGACTAGGACAAAATGCATCCATTATATGGGTACCATAAAGAAGTTTTAATCTCAGTTTAACAATTTTACTTTTACTATAGGTGGTTTAGTTCCTTTAGAAACCTAGCTGTTAAATATTAAGAGAATAGATGAGTAAAATATGATTGCACCATTAAAGGCATTTAAAAAAATCTATATATTCGGGTGAGGGAAGAGCAAATGCTTGTGGTGTTAAATAGAAAATGCAGAATACCAAGTAATATCATGTTATATCCTGTTACGGGCAGTTGTGGGCAAGACTATATATATGCAGAGGAAACAAATATAAGCATACCATATGTTAATGGTATGATTATAGGTGAGTATACTTAGGAAAAATATTTTTTAAGGAAAAATATTTTTTAAAAAGTGGTACATTGTCTCATCATTTCTGAGATCATTGTGTTCCAGTAATAAGTGTGCTAAAAATGTCCTAATGATAATTAGAAAAGCTTTGGAGTAAGATCACCACAAAAAAAATATATTTTTATGCAGTGGTAGTAAGCATAAAGCTAAACCTTTCATTCCTGCTGATTGACCTAGCACAAATGTGAGAAGGTTGGGTTAAAGTTGATAGGTTGATGACATACGTTAAGTGGTATAAAAATAAGTTTGAAAATGAGCAAATTAAGCTGGATTATTCTTGATCTCTTAAACTATACAATCTTATGATAATATTTAACAATTTGAATGTTTTGGAGAAGTCAGGAATATGAAGAACAATTACAGACCTGTAAGGGAAGAAAATTCCTTGGCAGGAGGGTTTCTTTCTAGGAGGCAGTCTGTACAGTGGTTTGGAATATGGATTCTGCAGCTGGACTGCCAGGGTTCAATTCTCAGCTCTGTTTCTTGCTTTCTGTATAATTAAGCAAGTTACATTTAATTTCCCTTTGCCTGTTTTCTCATCTGTAAAATGAGAATAATGGAATTTGCTTTATAAGGCTGTTTTGAAATTTAATGATTTTTGGTTTCTAAATGTAAAGTCCTTAACAGTACTTGGCATAGTGAGTGCTCAATAAATGTTAGTGGTTTATTATTATTACCATTATCAAAGGAGTATTATGATTCCTTTGCTTAAGCAATTGATTTTTTTTTTAGAAAGGAAGCTGTTGAAGTTATTGAAGTACCTGTTGCTATATTCTAAGAAATTAAAATGTCCAGAAATCTGCCTCTGTAAGTAACCTTTTAAGATCATTCATGCCACTCTGTTTCTTTAGTCAGTAATAATGCAGCCCATGTTCTATGCCTTCTATAGAGAATTTCATTTAAAATGAAACCACTGAAAAATGTAGACCACCATTTTATACTAAATGGTGAGTAAAAGGTCTGATTTTATCTTGAAGAATGAAACTAAAATTCTGGGAAAACATTAGCTTATAGTAACTGTAAACATGCATGAATTGTTATAATGAACAAATAATGGATCAAGTGTGAATGGATAAACAATTTTTCCCACAAAATAATTCAGTATCATTATATGACAGCCTTCAATTTGACATTTGTGGCATTAGCTTTAAGTTGTTCTTTTTTTTGCAAAAATATTGATAAAAATATATATACATTTTTTCAAGGACCTCTGTTAAATTCTTTGATAGTCAAGTTACTCTTACCCTCCTCCCGAACAAAGAATGTCTTGCTTACTGATTACTGTAAAAGTGGTAGATTCCCTGAGCTCAGTATTCCTCATCCATGCATCAAGACTACAAAAAAGCACAAACTCATACATATAAAACATGGAGAATCTTATAATACTGAAGGAAAGATTACGTGTTATTCCTTCTATACAACATTCACAAAAAGGCAAAACTATAAAATACATCACATTATCCCCATGGGTCTTGGGGACAAACAAAACCTCAAATAATGTCAATGCTTATGCTGCTTGCTGTGCCCAGAGTAGCAGAGTCTCTAACCCAGGAGTCTTATGTCCTTTGGCACCATCCAGAAGACAGTAACAGACTAACTTGTAAGTGGGGTAAAATCAAATCCTAGATCCTACATTGTTTGCCATCATTTTTATAAACTTTGGAAATCTTGGAATTTTTGCAAAATCTGTAGTCTCACTCATGGTTCATAAGCCATTATGGTGAGGGAGACACTTGTGAATAGGGACTGATTTTATAAGTGATCAGTCACAAGTATGTTTTAAAGATATTTTTAAAAATTGAAATAATCATCTAGTAAAGCACACAGAATTAAAGTGTGTAGCTTAATGAACTTCTGCATATGGTATACATCCATGTCATCATCACCCAGATCAAAATATGGAAAATTTCTAGCTCCCTAGAAGGCTGTCTCATGACCCTTCTTAGTGCTCTTCTGGCCTTGATGGCATAGGTTAGTTTTGCCTGTTTTTGAATGTTGTGTAGATGGAATAATGTGTAATCTTTCCCTCAGAATATATGAGAATTCTCCATGTTTTACACATACTAGTTCTTTCTGTAGCTGTGAAGTATTCCATTTTATGAATTTATTACCAGTATTTACCCACTCTACTGCTGATGAATATTTGGGTTCCAGTTTGGGACTATTATAAATAAAGTTGTTAGGAACATGTACTTGTTTTTTGGTGGACACAGCACTCATTTCTGTTGGATATATACCTAGGAATGGAATTTCTGGGTCATAGGGATCTATGTTTAGCGTTAGTGGATACTGTTAAACAATTTTCAAAAGTGACTGGACTAATGTATATTCCTACTATCAATATATGAGAGTTCCAGTTCTGTATTATCATGAACAGTTAATCTTTTTTTTTTTTTTAAGTGTAGCCATTCTGGTAGGTACCGAGTGAGATTTTACTGTGGTAGTTTTTGTTTTCTTTTTGCATTCATGTGATAACTAATGATATTGAGCCCATTTTCTCATCCAGTGGCTATTTTAATGTCCTCTTTTGTGAAGGATCTGTTCAGATCTTTTGACTATTCACTAATTTTTATGATGAATTTTTCTCCTTTTGTAATGTAAGTTGAGACGTGGATAACAAGTACTCGGGTAGCTTGCACATACCACTTTACCAGTTTGGGAAGTATAGAAAACATTTTTAGAAATAATTTCATCAAAAGTGCTAAGTTTTTTAGTCATTCCATATTTAAAGAGTTGAGTGTGAGATTTGCTCCTCTCCCTGTGCTAGTT
Source organism: Homo sapiens (assembly GCF_000001405.40). NCBI lineage: Eukaryota > Metazoa > Chordata > Mammalia > Primates > Hominidae > Homo > Homo sapiens. The sequence continues at coordinate 136,149,869 of NC_000005.10, forward strand.
TTACTAGTAAGAGTTCTAGGTTTTTAAAACTGACACCTATTGTTCTTTTTGAAACCAATCTCTTGAAGTTTAGTGGCATACCCATTCACCAAAGTCACTGGCCTTTTCTTTGTTTACATTCTCTTTAAACTCTCCCATATGTTTAATCTTCTGCAGTACCATTGTATCTAGTTCTGTCTTTTTAATAGTGCATTATCAGTAACTCACTATCAGGAAACTCTTTCCTAACAGTGAATGTTTCGTAATATTTAGGTGTTTACTTACTGTTCTTTTCACTCTGTTGCAAACTTTTTTTTTTTAGCTCTTTGTGCAAAATCTTAAATCTGTTTCTCATCTTTACCTGGCTAAACCTGTATCTCCAGTCATGACCTTTTCCCAGTGGAGTTTACCACCATTTCTACTGACAAAGCTGCCTTCTGAATGTTTTTAATTCTGTGGGTAGAATTCTCATTTTATCATTATCTTAGTCAACGTGGGTTTAAAATTTGAAATTATCTCTTAATTTCAAGGTACAGTTAGTAGAAAAATCAGTGACCATTCATTAAGTATCATAGTGTGTGGTATGGCACATGCAATGGTCCAGGTGCTGAAGACTACTTCTTAGAAGGATTTTGTACTGTATTTGGGAAGTTATGATATTATTTATGACTTATTAATTAGTTTTTATTATAAATATTCAGTGACCATAGCCTCTTCAGCATTGGGTGGTAAAGGAAGTCTTCACAAAAGGGGATAGATTGGAGCTCATCATTAAGAATGACTAAGATTTCTCTTGGAAGACACAGATGGGCAGAGGGGCAGGGATTTGGATTGGATCAGAAGGTGTGTATAGTGGAAGAGTAATGGGCAAGATTAGATTAGGACTAGATCTAGCCAGTCTCTTAAGTCTTGGTTCGTCTTCTTTCTGAATGCTAATGATTAGAATTCATGTTTGAATAGTACTGTTGAGTTTGTAAAGCTTGTGTTAGATAGACATTAGTACTTTAATATTTCTGTGACTTAGGAACCATCATCTCTATTTTACAGAAAAGTTAATAGGCTTTGAAAAAGTGATACTAGTAAAGAACAGAATCTGGTGGGCACAGTGGCTCAAGCCTATAATGCCATCAACTTGGGAGACTGAGTCTGGTGTGTTTCATTTCCAGGCATATTTTTATTCTCTGATATCATAGATATCTATAAATAACAATTTTTTTGTTTTAAGTTTGATATAGACATCCTTAGAAAGGTATATATATTTTTACAAATTGTTTTTCTTACTCATTTATTTGATAAATGGACACTATTCTAGGTCCAGGGCATCCAGTGGTTTTGAGGGCAGACGAGACTACCTGCATACTAACATTGCATTGGGGAAAACAAAGTAAATAAACAAAGTTGATAATGTAATATCAGATTAGGGTAAATGCTATAAAAAATGAACAGGGTCAGGGGATAGAGAATGTTGTGAGAATGGGCTGTCATGCTATTTTCAATCAAGTGGTCAGGGAATTCCTCTTTCAGGAGGTGACCTTTGAACAACTGAATTAATTTGAGTGAGTATGCTGCGTTAAGTTACGGGAGAAGAGAATTTAGGGGAGAGAACATCAGATGCAAAGACCTCACATAGAAATAACCTTAGAATACTTGAGAAATGGAAAGAAGTTAAGTGTGGTTAAATGCAATTAGGTAGGATAATGGTTAAGAAATGAGTAAGGAGAAGCCAAGGGCCTGATCATGTATGATATTGTATTCAGAATTCTGGTCTTGAAGCTCCTGTCTTTTTGCCTCCCTCTTCCTTAACTGTCTCTCTGTTGCTCATACACATACTCTCTCACACATACGTACACTACCCTATCTAGCCCCCCATTATATTCTAGTGTTCATGAATCAGTCAGCCAGGCCTGTCTCTTATCTAGCCTAGGAAATGCTATGTTCATGTCTGCCTATATATATATTTTTTTGTTTGTGTGCCTTTGCCTTTGACATTTCCCATCTCATCTCAGACAACCAAACCATGGTTTTACTTCCTGACCCACATGGATTTTATCATACATCCTTGATGTAGATGCAACTGAGGTCAGCCCTTCTTACAGTTCATTTAGTACATAACACTTTATACTCTGTGACCTGTTAGTGACAATTATGCTTTCATTCTCTTTGTTATATCTCTCTATTTTAATGTGGCCAGTTTTGTTTGCCTAGGAAAAATCATCCTACATAGGGCTGGGCAAGACAAGGCACAAGGCATATCCATACATAAGGAGGATATCTTTACTTCCCTGTACCCTTCCCCACCATGGTTCCAGCATAGAAGGCTGGATAGCTGCCAGTAGTTGATCGGCATCCAGAACTGTATCTGGTACTTTAGTAGGCTCTCAGTAAGTGTATTTTGAATGAATCAGTTTATTGACTGTTGAGATTAAACCCTACTTGGCATAACTTTTTTTAAAAAGCCCCATCATGGCTATTCACAATACATGGGATGTAACAAAGAATCAATAATTATTTGTTGAGTGTATGTCAGTTTTACTTTACTCTGTGTTTACATTATCTTTATTTACTTTATGTTATTGTCTGGGCTTTAGCTGAGCACATACATTCTTTTCTGGAAAGATGCACCCCAGTCCAGAATAATATTGATGCTAGAATTTTTCAAAGACAAAGCTATAGCTTTTGGCAATTGTAGGCACAAGAAAGGAAGCATCTTTTGTTACACCATTTTTCCAAACGTTATTCTTGTTACTTTAGTAGGTATTTATCGTCTGTGGTTGGCTGTGCAGCGATCTGCAGGAGATCTTACACATTCTTTTTATTCTTTATTTAGAAATGGGATCTCACTATGTTGCTCAGACTGGACGTGATTGAACTCCTGGGCTCAAGTGAGTCTCCCGAATAACTGGGATTACAGGTGTGTGCCACTGAGCCTGGTTTTTACCAGCTTCTATCGGTGGAGTGCCTGTCACTTCCACCTGTCATCATCAGGAGCTTCTTAATGGTGCAGAACAGTGGTTTACCTGGAGCAAGCTCATTAACCAATATAAAATATCACTTAAAATAAGCCGATAGGAATTATAAAATTAGAAACTGACCCTTTTAAAATGAATTTATTCTCTTTAAATTTATTCAACATACTTAGTTTTACAAATAGATACTTGCCATTTTACTGGCAGTTATAATGATTTATTTGAGGGTTTGGTACATCTTATACAACCGTGAATACAATTTGCATCTAATAATGTGACTTCAGTAGTATCATGATTTTTGTCCAAACCTTCTCAGTCTGGGAAACATTTAAAGAGAATAATGACCTTAGAGAAGAGCTGGATTTCTTTTAAGACTTCTATTCAGATCAGGACACAATCACGTTCAAAATTGACATAGCATGTAACATGGATTTCAGTGAAGAAAAGTACTTCAGAATCAAATTTTAGAAGAGTGTTTTAGGGTTTAGTGGCCTAATCAAAGGGAGTCCAGAAGCTATTTTTGGATAATACATAGGAGGTAGAGCAACCTGGTTTTGCCTCTGGTTATCATTTGACATTGCCAGTGTCTTACTTGTTCATATTATGGGGAAGGAATCGAGTGGTCACAGAACTTTTGGAGAAAATTTATCAATTTTTTGTTTACTTTGTAATGCTTTTCTGTTCTTATTTAATAAAATATGCCTTTCGATTATATTAATTTAAATTTGTATATATTGAATTGATTTAAACTAGGATCCTTTCCCCCTTTCTCTTTCAGGACTTGACCCAATGAAAGAAGCATATGGCACTTGTGAAGATAAATGTTACTCCTCCCTTTTTAATTGGAACTTCTGCTTAGGACCTGTGTATGACGTTTCACCTGTGATCTGTTCTTTCGGTAGCCACTGACTTTGAGTTACAGGAAGGTCTCCGAAGATTTGTGTCAAATGACGTCAATGGCCAGCTTGTTTTCTTTTACTAGTCCAGCAGTAAAGCGATTGTTGGGCTGGAAACAAGGTGATGAGGAGGAGAAATGGGCAGAAAAGGCAGTTGATGCTTTGGTGAAGAAACTAAAAAAGAAAAAGGGTGCCATGGAGGAACTGGAGAAAGCCTTGAGCAGTCCAGGACAGCCGAGTAAATGTGTCACTATTCCCAGATCTTTAGATGGACGCCTGCAGGTTTCTCACAGAAAAGGCTTACCCCATGTTATATATTGTCGTGTTTGGCGCTGGCCGGATTTGCAGAGTCATCATGAGCTAAAGCCGTTGGATATTTGTGAATTTCCTTTTGGATCTAAGCAAAAAGAAGTTTGTATCAACCCATACCACTATAAGAGAGTGGAGAGTCCAGGTAGGTCTTATTCCTGAGAAGAATTTGGAAAAACAAAAACAAAAAACCTCTCTTCCTGATATGCATGTAACTAGATTTAGTAATGAAAAGGTTGTATTAGCTTTGTGTTTCCATCTTAAATATTCTAATCTTGGAAGGGCTATTGGATTTTGAGTTTAGCTTTTTATATGTAGGTGATACAATTCTCAGGTGGCTTACTCTAATTCATTATTCACTGTAAGCACCCATATATCTACTCTGCCTTTTCCTGTGGATGACCTGTCTCTGTTTTATTTAAAGCCTAAGCTCCAAGTGTGTACTATATCCCATTCCTTTTTGTCAAATGAAGAACTTTGTTCCTACAGTTATCATCCTTCTCTCCAGCATTATATTTTCCCTTTCTACCAGAGTATTTCTGATAGCATACAAGCATGCCATGATACTACCCATCCTAAAATAAAACTTAAAAAAAAATTCTGCTTTTCACTTCATTCACATAACCCAACCCCAATCACTGCACTGTTTCCACTGGTCCTTTTAGAGGATTCTCCATTTTTATTATCTTTATGTTTCATTTTTTTCTTGTGACTTCTCTAGTTAGTCTTTCTTTCCTACCATTTAACTTGTCGAGATCACTAGTGACTGCCTTTTTATAGGTCAAGGGGTCATTTTTGAGTCTTATCTTACTGTCCGCTCAACTGCATTTGATACAGTTGATCTCCTTCCATCCTACTCAAAACTTTTTCTGTGTTTGGCCCCTAAGACAGTATGCTATCCTGGTTCTCCTACCTCACTGACTGTTCTTGCCCCTCTTTGCTGGCGTATTCTCCTGTTTTCACAGGAGTCAGTCCATGGACCTTTTCTCCATTTATATTATTTCTTTATGTGCTTTCATGCTGTCACATGTCTTAAGATTGTCTATAAGCTGATGCTCACATTTTGAACTCAAGTCAACTTCTCCCTTGAGTTTTAGATTTGTGTATCCAGTTGCCTACTTGACATTTCCACTTGAATATTTATTTATTAAACATACCAAATGTAATATGTCTAAGCGCAGTTTTTTTTCTCTGGTTTCCCCTATTGAAGTGAATGGCAACAGCATTCATGTAATTGCTAATGCCCTAAACTGCAAGGTCATCTTTTATTCTTCTTACTTAAATCCTATATTTAAAATATGAGCAAATGCTGTTTGCTGCACCTTCAAAATATGTCTTAATAAATATGTCACCTCTCATCATTTGTGACATCACTACTTTAGTACAGTACATCATCATCATCACTCACCTTAAGTAGTGTCCTAATTGGTCTTTCTGCGTCTCTTCTTCCCCTTAACCCATTGTGTTTTCCACACAACAGCCAGAATGATTTTTTAAAAACATACTAAATCATGTCAGTTCCTACTGAAAACACTTTCAAGGCTGTCACACTTAAAGAGATTTCTGTAAGACTCTGTATGACCTATCCTCAGAGTTCTCTGTTCCTTGGACTTGCCATACTCCTGTTTCCAGGCTTTAACTCTTGCTGTCTACTTATTCTCCCCCAGGATCTTTCCATGGCACATTTTCTCATTCCATTCAGTCCTTGCTCAAATATCCGCATCACTAATTGACTCTATATTAGATATTTATTTTGTTTATTGACTGACATGAGCAGAGTCTTCCTCTATTTCATTCATTACTCTATCCTTAGTGCTTAGAATAGTATATTGTTGTCTGGCACTTGGTAGGTGATGCTCAGTAAATTTTTTTTATAATGAATGGTATAAGCTGAGCTGCTAGCTGAGTGCATTAGTCATCTATTGCTGCATGACAGATTGCCACAAACTTAGTGGCTTAGCACAATGCATGTTTATTACCTCACAGTTTCTTTGGGTGAGGAGTCCAGTCACATTTAGCTGGGTCCTTTGCAAGGCGCTGTAATCAAGGTGTTGGTTAGGGCCAAGGTCTTATCAGAAGCTCAATTAGGGAAGGATCTGCTTCCAAGCCCATGTGATTGTTGACAGATTTAGTTGCTTTCACATAGCCTTCTTTATAGGTAGTTCACATTCATGACAGCTTCTTCAAAGCCAGTAAGGAAGAGAGGGTCTTCTGGTAAGAAGGACATTATATTCTTGTGGAATGTAATCATACATACGCTGTCACCTTTGCCATATTCTGTTGGTTAGAAGGAAGTGATAGGTCATACTCATACTCAAGCAGGGAGAATTACCCAATGGTTTGAATACCTGGAGGTGGGAATCACAGTGGTTACCTTAGAGTCTATCTGGGTTTCACGTGGAGATGTGTGGTAAAAAGACTGAAAATAACATTGGATGTGGAGACTAGTAGAAAGGATAGCAGATAGCAGTGATTATGCTGTCTGTGAAAGTTCAACTTAAGAGCTTTAGAGTGTCTTTAGACAGTTGGTATGATATGATTCTCAGTTTCTTACTGAGTCCAAGGAAAGCTGATAGCTGAAGGAACTGATGAAGAAAGGAAGATAAAAGGATTTAATAGAGAAGTATAGGCTGAAAAACTCCCAAGCTTGCTATTTGCTAGGAGGGAGTCTAGGAATTTTATGTATTCCCCTATAGCCAAAGTGTGACTAGTAGTCAGCCAGCCAATAGAAATGTCTTATTTTTTGTATACATTTTTCTCAGCTATGATTCATTCTATAGAAAAGACTGGGGCATAGCTCTGATACTTTTAAATAACGGAAAATTTCATGTCTTACTAGTTCAACTATTGGAAAGAGACTATAGAGACCTCATGTTTCGCCCTGAGCCCAAACTCTTGGGGGAAGGGGCAGATTACCCAGCTAGATTAGCTTGCTGACCCCCCATGATTAAGCAGCTATGACGCAGAATGGATCACTTCATATTACCAGTATTAATAAAGTAGTAGAAGGTGGTGGTAGTGATAGTAGTAACAGTGATAGCAATTAATATTTATTGAGCACTGATGGAATAGTGATTCCTTCATGGGGTTAGAAAAGGGTACTGACATTTTACAACCCTTTCAGTTTACTTATGGGTTTATAGATAAGGAAACAAAGACTTAAAAGGGAAGTAACTTAGGCATGCTCACACAGTTAGAATATAGTGGAGTAAGTTTTGCAAAAAGATAAAAAGATGGAGGATAGTTAGAAAGAGATAATGAACATAAGAAAAATAGAGGGCCAACCTAGGTGGTCCTAGGTGTTTAGTTGAATACAGTGCACCCTAAGCTTTTTGGCACCAGGGTCTAGTTTCATGGAAGACAGTCTTTCCATAGAATTGGTTGGGGGATGGTTTTGGGATTATTCAAGCACATTATATTTATTGTGCACTTTATTTCTATTATTACATTGTAATATGTAATGAAATAATTATACATTTCACCATAATGTCAAATTAGTGGGAGCCCTGAGCTTGTTTACCTGCAGCTAGGTTGTCTCATCCAGGCATGATGGGAGACAGTGACAGATCATCAGGCATTAGATTCTCATAAGGAGCGCACAACCTAGATCCCTCATATGTGCAGTTGGCGATAGGATTTGCTTTCCTATGAGAATCTCATGCTGCTACTGATCTGACAGGAGGCGGAGTTCAGGCGGTAGTGAGAGCAATGGGGAGTGGCTGGAAATACAGATGAAGCTTCGCTCACTCTCTCTCACCATCACCTCCTGCTGTATGGCCTGGTTCATAAGAGAGCATGAACTGGGGGGGTTAGGGACCCCTGATCTAATAGACAGTATTGTCTATTGATTAAGACTGTGGGTTCTGGAGCCAGGCTTTCTGGATTTGAATCCTGGTTTTACCAAATACTACCTCAAGCCTTAACCTTTCTGAGATTTAGTTTCCTCATTGTAAAATGGTAATAATACTACCTACCTAATAGGTTGTTATGAGCATTAGATGAGTTGGTGCCTTAAAAAGTACTTGTTAAAACATTAAGTGGCCTGGAATCAGTTTCAAATTAAATATCAATTCTAATAGAATAATATATTCTGGAAATAGAGCATTGAGGAAGATGGCAGAGAGAAAATTTTCCAAGAAATAATATCAAACACTTCCCCAAACTGAAAATTGAAAGGGCTCAGTGACCAAGTAATCAGAACAAAGGATAAAAAAAGCCCCACATGAAATTTTTGTATATCATAGATTAAAAAAAAGATTCTGAAAACTTTCCAGAAAAGAAAGACAGGAAACATATAAAGGACTAGAAATCAGAATACTGGATTTCTCAATGCAGTTCTGGATTCTAGAAGAAAGTAAAGTAGTGCTGTCAAAATTCAGAAGGAAATGTTATCTGCCTGCCGACAAGCAAAAAAAATAAATTTTTATACATGCAGGAAGTCAAGAAAATTCAACTTTTTACTTTCTCTTAGGACACTAATAGAGGATGAGGTCCAGGAAATGTGATCCAGCAGTAGAGAAGGGAAGTCCAAGGACTTCAGACTTGTAGGAGACTTGAGCAGTAACCAATATAGGTTGGAACCAAAAGTTGGAAGATCTGGGCCTGGCACGGTGGCTCACGCCTGTAATCCCAGCACTTTGGGAGGCCGAGGTGGGCAGATCACGAGGTCAGGAGATCGAGACAATCCTGGCTAATACGGTGAAACCCCGTCTCTACTAAAAATACAAAAAATTAGCCAGGCGTGGTGGTCAGCGCCTGTAGTCTCAGCTACTCGGGAGGCTGAGGCAGGAGAATGGCGTGAACCCGGGAGGTGGAGCTTGCAGTGAGCCGAGATGGCGCCAGTGCACTCCAGCCTGGGCGACAGAGCGAGACTCCATCTCAAAAAAAAAAAGATGGAAGATCCAAGGGAAAACGTAGAGTGAATAAATTATTTGATTATTTGTTGTATCCAAGAAATAGTAATGATAGGCGTTTAACAGATCTGTTGGAATTCTGGAAATATTAGTGGAATGTACTTAAAATTAAACAAATGAAGAAACAAGGCAATGGTTAACTTTAGTAAAAACATTGTTCAAGAAAAAGTAGACTCATAGTACACTTGATTCAGCAATGAATTACATGTATGTATATATGAATACTGGATATTGATTTAAGCAAAATGTTATATTTAACTCTATTTTGGGGATGGGAGTGGGATAGAATAATAAAAGAATGCTGCCTCATTTGCCCTAAGAGCAAGTCTACAAATAATATCTTGACTAATAATAGCAATATAAGCATATTATTTAGCAGTACACAAAGTAAATGTTATAAGAGATGGCTAAGAGTTTAAATTTGTTTTCTATAGAAACAGTATATGGGAGGGGGCTAGGAATTGCAGTTTTTGTTATAATCTCTAATAGCATGTCTTTTTTTAAACTGTCCACATATTAACATTATTTTGGATGATATAAAATAATTTTTTAAAAATCGTGCATAGATAATGTACAAGTGAAAGAGAAGCCAGTGATTTTAGCATACCTCTAAAGAAAAAAAAAAGCAAATTCTTACTGAACTGAATTCCTGAGTAGTTATTTCACTAAGTCTCTCAGATTGCTAGCCTGCTAAATGTAGAAATTCTTGCTGCCTAATGCCCTTCTCTCCAATGGCAGCTGCCTCTTGTTCTGCGAGGGGAATAGCAGTTGTTAACACACAGTAGAACAAAACGATTGTAGTCAGATGTTAACCACATATTTAGTATACTAATGCAGTAGAATGAAATGAAACAATAGACAAAAATAGCACAAATACTGACTTAACAGAAACACTGGATTGTTGTGTACATCCCTACTTCAGGGAGGTGAAGTGTGACTTAGGTAGCTTAAAAACAAACTCATTTTGTTGATGCTGAATGATATCAGAATTAAGTTGAGATTTTTCTAAGTGAAACTACATTGACAGATACAGGACAATTGTTAATGAGATGAGTTGTAAATGTTTGAAGAATCAGGTTTGTTTCAGTTTCCTGCATGGAAAGGTAATCAGATATTTGAATGTGATTGGTCACTTGGGTCTTTAGAGAAAGCGAATATTTGAATAAAGTTTATCTCTTAAAAATGTATCTGTTAAAAATGTTTAGACTTTGTTGTGTATATTTTCATTATGGTCATATTTAGAAGACTGATTTTGATTGGAAGGCTTTTACCTAGAGAATATTACCATATTCAATATGGAAAACCGTACTGAACAACGTAAAACATGAGATCTTTCAAACTAAGAAAGATCAAAGTGTTCATAATTGGAAATGTGGAAGTTTTTAGGGCATTCACATAACAGATTCCAACTTCACTCTGTAGTCTTAACTCCTTGTTCAGTGCGTAGGCCAACTGATTTTCTCATCTCCTCTGCCACCCTCCCCTTCTACCTCTTCCCAGCCCTAGTACTCCCATGTGAAATCCTCCTGTATCTTTAAGGTTCAGTCAGGTATGTTTTTTTCTTACAGTATTTTGTTTGATTCTCTGCTAGCTGGGAGCGCTCACCTCTGTTTAACTCCTATTGTGTTAAATTCTCTGTTTTATGGTTGTTTTTTAATATCCTTTATCTCATAGAACAGGAGTGGTATCTTTCTCTGGATTTTCTGTCTTCCAGGGTACCTTATGCAGGCTAAATGCTTACAGAGTTTTGGATTCAGTTTTTATGTAAATAGAGATTCAGGGCTCTATAAAACAGCCCTTTCTAAAAGTAAATTGTTTTAATAGGTTTACAGTCTTACATGAATCCTTTCTACCAACCCCTTAGTGTGGATGGGGCATTTGTTTAGTCATTCCTGACAAATGACTTTTGATTTTTGTTTTTCAGTCTTACCTCCAGTATTAGTGCCTCGTCATAATGAATTCAATCCACAACACAGCCTTCTGGTTCAGTTTAGGAACCTGAGCCACAATGAACCACACATGCCACAAAATGCCACGTTTCCAGATTCTTTCCACCAGCCCAACAACACTCCTTTTCCCTTATCTCCAAACAGCCCTTATCCCCCTTCTCCTGCTAGCAGCACATATCCCAACTCCCCAGCAAGTTCTGGACCAGGAAGTCCATTTCAGCTCCCAGGTAAGACTTTATTTTATTGATACCAAAAAAAAAAAAATTCCTAAGAATCACAGTTGTTCTTACTGTGGGCCCTCTGGGTGAACTGTTACATGCCAAGGTATAATAGCTGTTTCTGACTCTTTATTCTTTAGGTAATTGTTTGATTTCCAGAAGAGTTTAGATTTTATTTTGCCAATTACCGTATGTTTAAAAAATGGAAGTAGCCCTATTTGACTTAAATATTTTCTTCTATTTTATGACACTCAGTACCATTTATTGTCTTTTATATAACTGATACTGTGATGAAAGCTATGGCATTCAATTTAATCTTCAGAATGACTATGTGAGATAGATATTCCTGTTTTACAGATGGAAAAAGAAATTCTAAAGTAAATTTTAAACTTTTAAGTACCTTACCTAGGGTAGGGCTAAGAACTAGAGGTTCAGACCCAGGTTTGTCTAACTCTAAAGTCTGTGATCTTTCACCTTTACTGTGTGGCTTTTCAAATTATTTAAGACTTTAGAAGTTAAAATGAATCCTGGTTATCTTTAGTTAGATAACTGATGAACTGATTTCACTGGAGAAAGATAAGTAGATTTTGTAAAGTTCTAAATTTTGTTAATGGCATGTCATATATGGACATGTCAGTATGTCACTGTCAAGAAATATTTGAACACCTGCTGTTGTCAGGCAGAGTCATATATAAGTACAGTAAGTCCTCACTTGATGTCATTGATAACGTCTTGGAAACTGACTTTAACTGAAACAGCATATTACAAAGCCAGTTTTATCATAGGCTAGTTGATATAAACAAGAGTTAAGTTCTTGTGGTATATTTCTGGTCACAAAAATATCACTAAATTTATAAATAAAGACCCAAGACTCTTCTAATATTAAACATTGAAATAAATGTGAGCTGTGCATATCTTTAAGAAAGATCAATAAAAACAAGACTGTTATTTACTTAATTATTCTAATTCATGGTCATGGGTAGCCAGAGCACATTCCAGCAACTCAGGGCACAAGGTGGAAACCAATCCTGAATGGGACGTGATTAAATCACAGAGTGCACTCACACACACCCCGGCACTCACACTGGGACTGTTTAGACATGCATGCCAGTTCATCTGATGTGCACATCTTTGGGATGTGAGAGGAAACTCGGGTAACCAGAGAAAACTCAAACAAACATGGGGAGAATGTTCAGACTCACACAGACGTGGCCCTGGCTGGGAATGGATTTTTTTTCTCATCAGCATCATAACAAAATGATGCTGAACAAAACACCATTGAACAAAACATTATTCAAGGACCTACAGTATATTCTTTGTGATTTCTCTACTGCAGCAAAATATCAATTGGTATAGTTTTTTCTTTTGAAGAGAAATTAAGTGCCAGCTGTTTAACTTGCTATTAGGAATTTGCTCAAAAACAAATTTTCATAGTTTGTCTTAGATTCAGTGCTAATTGTAGTTCTGTCTCAAAATACATCCTGTACAAAACATTGGGATGAAAGACAAATTCGGTTCTTATTTATAATTACTGAGACAAAAAAGTATAGCTGTAGCTTTTGCAAAATTTTCAACTATGAGTGTTGAAACTCAAAGATTTTCTAGTTAACATTTAGTTTCCTAAGTGAATTACCTAACCATTTAATAGGACACAACAGCCATATTTGGATGTTGCACAAGCGTTAGACAATTGCTGTTAGTGTTGATGGCAAATTTTGAAGGGACATAGTTTTACTTTCCAGTTTTAAATGACAGTATACAGTATGTGCTGATCTTAATAATTTAAAAGTGTCTCTGTAGTAGATATATACCCAAATGAGGAAAATCTGTACTTCAGATTGATATGTAATAGCTGTAGTTTCTCTGAACACATAAAAATAAAGGCAAAATTCTTGACCTTGAATTCTGTTTCAGTGAATTTTAGGACTGATCCTTGTATCCTGGATTACCAGGGATCTGGGCTAAATAAATGTGGATTTGTAGTAGGTTTTCAATTGCCATTAGGTGTGCTGTCTGTTCTCCTTTTCCCTTGCCCTAGGATAGTATCCTACATTTTTTTGTGTGTGATGTTCAGTAATGAAGCTTGCTGGTAATCTTAAGAATTTTCTAAAGCTTTTAGAGTAATAATTTTGAGCAGAATGAAGATTTTAATTATTATTTTTTTTCCTCTTAGCTGATACGCCTCCTCCTGCCTATATGCCACCTGATGATCAGATGGGTCAAGATAATTCCCAGCCTATGGATACAAGCAATAATATGATTCCTCAGATTATGCCCAGTATATCCAGCAGGGGTAAGAGAAGTACTCACTTCATTTATTTTATAGTAGTAGTTGTTTTTAACTTATTGGCTACTTTTTTAAAAACAGCTTTATTGAGGTATAATTTATATGCTATAAAATTTTTTTGTTTTAAGTGTATGATTCAAAGATTTTGGTAAATACACCAAGTTTTGCACCACAGTCTAGGTTTAGAATATTTCCCTAACTCTTTAAAAAGGTTTCTCTGCGTATTTGCAGTCTATCCTCACTCCTATCCTCAGCTCCACATACCCTCTAATCTGTTTTCTGTACCTGTAGATTTTATCTTTTCTGAACATTTTATATAATTGGAATCATGTAATAATGTAGTCTTCTTTCACTTAGCATGTTTTTTCAAGGTTCATCCGTGTTGTAGCATGTATCAATAGTTTGTTCCTTTTTATTGCTTAACAGTACTCCTTTATATAAATATATCACATTTATTCACCAGTCAGTGGGCATTTGAATTGTTTCCGTATTTTGATTATTATAAACATTTGCAGCTGGGCTCAGTGGCTCACGCCTGTAATCGTAGCACTTTGGGAGGCCAAGGCGGGTGGATCCCTTGAGATCTGGAGTTCAAAACCCCAGCCTGGCCAATATGGTGAAACCCCGTCTCTACTAAAAATACAATAAAAATAAAAAATTACCTGGGTGTGGTGGCAGATGCCTGTAATCCCAGCTACTCTGGAGGCTGAGACAGGAGAATCACTTGAACCCAGGAGGCTGAGGTTGCAGTGAGCTGAGAGTGGAGTGCCACTGCACTCCAGTCTGAGCAACAGAGCGAGGCTCCATCTCAAAAAAACAAACAAAAATCGCATGTAAGTCTTTTTGTGGATATTGTTTTATTTCTCTTGGATAGATATCTAGGAGTGCAATTGCTGAATAACATGGTAAGTTTAACTACTTAAGAAAACTATAAAACTTCTCTGAAGCGGCAGTACCATTTTACATTCTCACCAGCAAAGTATGAGGGTTCTATTTTCTCTGCATCCTCCTAACACCTGTTATTGTCTGGCTTTTTAATTATAGCCATTCTAGTGGGTGTAAAGTGCTTATTGTGGTTTTAATTTGCATTTCTCTAATGAGCAATGATGAGCATTTTTTAAATGTACTTGTTGGCCATTTATATATCTTCTTTGATGTGTTTATTTTAAATCTTTTGCCCATTGGGTTGTCTTACTGAGTTGTAAGAATTTTTTGTATATTCTGGATATGAATCCTTTATCAGATATATGATTTGCAAATATTTTCTCTCAGTCTGTGGATTTCTTTTCATTTTCTTAATGACGTCTTTTTGAGGGTAATAGCTTTAAATTTTGATGAAATCCATTTTGTCAGTTTTTTCATTTCTAGATTATGCTTTTGGTGTTGAATTCAAGAAATTTTTGTCTATCCCAAGGTCATGAAAATATTATTTTATGTTTTATTTTAGAAGTTCTATAGTTTTAGCTCTTATATTAGGTCAGTGGTTCCTTTTGAGTTAAGTTTGTATGTGGTATATGGTAAATGTCTACATTAAGTTTTTTGCATATAGAAATCCAGTTGGCTTTGCCATTTGTTGAAAAGAGTATCATTTCTTTGTTGAATTAACATCTTTGTCAGAAATCAATTGACTGTAAATGCCAGGGTTTATTTCAGGACTCTGTTGGCTTACATATCTATACCTCATAGTCTTGATTGCTAAAGCTTTCCTATAAAGGTTTTTCCCCCTATTTTTTTGTTGTTTTGTTTTATTTTTAATTTTTAAATTATTTATTTATTTTAGAGACAGAGTCTTGCTCTGTCATGTCCAGACTGGAGTGCAGTGGCGTGATCATAGCTCACTGGAGCCTCAGACTCCTGGGCTGAAGTGCTCCTCCACCTTAGCATCCTGAGTAGCTGGGACTACAGGCATGCATCACCATGCTTGGCCAATTTTTTTGTTGTTGTTGAGATGGAGTCTTACAGTGTTGCCCAGGCTGGCCCTGTTTTTTTTTGTTTGTTTGTTTGTTTTTTTATGGCAAACTATATATAACATAAATTTTACCATCTTAACTATTTTTAAGTGTACAGTTCAGTGGCATTAAATCCATTTATAATGTTGTGTGACCATCACCACCATCCATTTCTATAGCTCTTTTCACCTTGTAGTATTGAAACTATACCTGTTAAATAAAAATTTCCTATTCTCCTTTTCCCCCAGCCCTTGGCAACCACCACTCTGCTTTCTAATCTCTATGATTTTGACCACTCTAAGTACTTCATATAAATGGAATCATACAATTTTTTTTTTTTTTTTTTTTTTTTTTTTTTTTTTTTTGTGACTGGCTTATTTTTCCTCAGGGCACATCCATATTGTAGCAATGTCAGAATTTCATTTCTTTTTAAGGTTGAGTAATATTCCGTTGTATGTATATACCAAATTTTGTTTATCTATTCATCCATTGATAGACACTTGGATTGCTTTCACTTTTTTGGCTATTGTGAATAATACTACTGTGGACATGGGCGTACACATATCTCTTCGAGATCCTGCTTTCATTTCTTTTGAGTATATACCAGAAGTACAATTACTGGATTACATGGTAATTATATTTATACTTTTTTGAGGAACAGCCATACTGTTTTCCACAGTGGATGTACCATTTTATATTCTCAGCAACAGTGCACACGGATTCCATATTCTTCACATCCTCACCAGCACTTGTTTTCTATTTTTTAGATATTGACCATTTTAATGGGTATGAAGAGATATCTCACTGTGGGTTGTTCTGTATTTTTTTTATCTTTTTTTTTTTTTGGATAATTGACAAATGAAAAATTGTATATCTTTATGGTGTCATTGTGGCTTTAATGCCACTTTGGTTTGAGACCTTAACCTCCTTAGTTTGTCCCAAGTTTAGAAATATGTACTGCTATTTTATACGTTTCTTAAAACAATGTGTTTTTATGTGTTTTCTATGTTTGTGATAATACTGAATGTGTGTTATATTGAGTGCTCTGTATTCCTAAGAGCAGTTAAATTTCCAGACCCCTAATAGTTTTGTTAATGTTTCTATAATGTCTAGAATTTATCAAGAAATCTCATTATATTAATTTGCCTATAATTTAAAATCTACCTTCATTTACCATAAAAATGGAACATGAATTTCTGGATTTGAATTCCTGTTTCTCTACTTATTTGCTTTGCAATGTAGGTAGTTTTTAAATCTCTAAGCCTGAGATTCCCCATTTACAAAATAGGGATGATATGCTGGAATTATTAATATGTTGATTAAATTAGACAATACATGTAATGATTTTAGCACACAACATTAGGCCGTACACAATAAATAGTATTATTTTTCTCCTTTTAAAAATATGGACTGTATTTACTCCACTTTATTCTCCTTTTGAAAATATGGACTGTATTTACTCCACTTAACCTCCTTTTCTTTTCTCCTGATTTTCCAGAGATCATAGTGCCATTTAATAGTGTTATATGTTAGATGTCCATTGGAATGTAATTTGTCTCAACCAAACAACTGAGCCCCTTTAGAGGAACTTGATACTCACATTTTCTCACCTTTGTAGATACCTTTTTCACTAGAATTTCTTCTCATTTCAGTCAGATTATGTGTATTTTCTCCTTTCTTTTTGCCAAAAAAGTGACAAAAAGAAAATCAAAGTTAAACGGCAGTGCCTGGAACCACCTGTTAGCAACAATACGTCTTCTGCCTTGAGCAGAGGCAGTGCTTTTCTGGTTCCTCTTTTCCTTTTAACCAAAATTGCCTTTTTAGTTTCGCCTAGCATTTTTTTTTTTCTATAACCTTCTGCTCGTTCTTAGCTCTAATCTTCCTGATGTTACTCTTATAACTTCATGCAACTCATTTGTACCTGTCTTTAGGAATGGGCCTCTACATGTATAAACTTTGTATAAACTTTAAAATCTGAGCTCTTAAGACTTCTTTGGGCTTACAGTGGTTTATTTTCCTCTCTTCCTTCTCATCTGCATTCTTTGCCATTGAATACTCAGAATTGATTTATTTTCCTCTCTTTCTTCTCATCTGAATTCTTTGCCATATAAAACTCAGAATTGAGTTTTAAAAGTTAAACTATTCTATTAAAAAAATAGTTGGCTGGGCGCAGTGGCTCACTCCTGTAATCCCAGCACTTTGGGAGGCCGAGGCAGGCAGATCATCTGAGGCTCAGGAGTTTGAGACCAGCCTGGCCAACATAGTGAAATCCCATCTCTACTAAAATACAAAAATTAGCCGGGCTTGCTGGTGGGTGCTTGTAATCCCACCTGCTCGGGAGGCTGAGGCTGGAGAATCACTTGAACCTGGGAGGTGGAGGTTGCAGTGAGCCGAGATCATGCTACTGTGCTCAATCATGGATGACAGAGCGAGATTCCATCTCAAAAAAAAAAAAAAAAAAGTTAACCAATTATTTTAAATTGCCTACATAGACCATGTGATTACTCTTACATTTTCCTTGGTGTTATTTTATTCCTGCCCCTTTTTTTTTGAGACGGAATCTCGCTCTGCCACCCGGGATTGAATACAGCGGCACAATTCGCTCACAGTTCTCCTGCCTCAGCCTCCGACTAGCTGGGATTATCATACGCATGTGCCACCACACCCGGCTAATTTTTGTATTTTTAATAGAGACGGAGTTTCACCATGTTGGCCAGGTTGGTCTTGAACTCCTGACCTCACATGATCTGCCCACCTTGGCCTCCCAAAGTGCTGGGATTACCGGTGTGAGCCACCGCACCCAGCCATATTCCTGCCTTTTTTGAAAGAGAATTGAGGGTCTGTGATTTCTTTGCTTGATTTCAGCTCCAGGAAGGGTGCTGGGATGTAGAGCTTCCATGTATCTCTTCTACCCTTTGTGTCTATTATGAGTTACTGACTTTTATATTAATGAGTTTGGCCAGTATTTTATATTGTGTATAAACCTTTTTCTGTAGGCAGTTCTGGCATGTAAAATTTAAACATATACCTCTATTTACCCAAAGATAATGTTCATTTAGTTGTTTTGTTTTTTTGTTTTTCTTTATAAATAGACTGCATTTTTTAGTTCAGTTTTTGGTTCACAGCAAAATTAAGTGGAAGGTACAGAAAGTTCTCACATACTCTCTTCTCCCACACAGGCACAGCCTCCTCCATTATCAGCATCTCTCACCAGAGTGGGACATTTGTTATAGTCAGTGAGCTTCCATTGACACATGATTATTATCCAGTGGGGTTCATTCTTGGTTTTGTACATTCTGTGGGTTTTTAACACATGTATCCACCCTTATGATATGATACAGAATCATTTTTTACCTCTTAAAAATTCTCTGTGCTCTGCCTGTTCACCTCTTCTTCCCCACAACCCCTTGCAACCACTGATCTTTTTACTGTCTCTATAGTTTTGCCTTTTGCAAAATGTCATAGTTAGAATCATACAGTATGTAGCTTTTTCAGACTGGCTTCTTTCACTTAGTAATATGCATTTAAGTTTCTCCATGTCTTTTTATGGCTTGATAGCTCATTTCTTTTTAGCATCTCTATTAGGGTTCTCTAGAGGGACAGAACTAATAGGATATATGTAATATATATGAAAGGGAGTTTATTAAGGAGAATTGACTCATGTGATCACAAGGTAAAGTCCCACGATAGGCCATCTGCAAGTTGAGGAACAAGGAAGCCAGGGGTGGATCAGTCCAAGCCCAAAACCTCAAAAGTAGGGAACCTGACAGTGCAGCCTTCAGTCTGTGGCCAAAGGCTCAAGAGCCCCTGGCAAACCACTAGTCTAAGTCCAAGAGTCCAGAAGCTGAAGAATTTGAGTCTGATGTTTGAGGACAGGAAGCATCCAGCACAGGAGAAAGATGAAGGCCGGAAGACTCAGCAAGTCTGCTCTTCCATCTTCTGCCTGCCTGCTTTATCCTAGCCACGCTGGCAGCTGATTAGATGGTGCCTACCCAGATTGAGGGTGGGCCTGCCTCTCCCAGTCCACTGACTCAAATGTTAATCTCCTTTGGCGACACACCCACAGACACACCCAAGAAACAATACTTTGCATCCTTCAATCCAATTAGTTTGACACTCAATACTAACCATCACAGCACCAAATACTATTTCATTGTCTTGGTTGTACCACAGTTTGTTTATCTGTTCACCTGCTGAAGAACCTTTTGGTTGCTTCTAAGTTTGAGCAATTATGAGTAAAGCTGGTATAAACATTCATGTGCAGATTTTTTATGTGGATATAGTTTTCATCTCATTTGAATAAGAAGCATGATTGCCAAATTTTATGGTAGGAGTATGTTTAGGTTTGTAAGAAACGGCCAAAGTGCCTTCTAAAATGGCTGTATCATTTTGCATTCCCAACTATGAATGAGAATTCCTGATGCTCCTCATCCTTACCAACATTTGATGTTGTCATTGTTTTGGATTTTGGCCATTCTAATAGGTGTGTAGTAGTATCTCATAGTTGTTTTAATTTGCAATTCCTTAATGACATAACATGTTGAACATCTTTTCACATGCTTACTTGACCAATCTGTGAGTCTGTGGTGGGCTCCCTACTCATATCTTTTGCCATACTTTAATCAGATTGTTTTTGAGTTCTTTGTATATTTTGAATTATAGTCTTTTATCAGATAGAACTTTTTCAGATTTTTTTTTTCCTAATCTGTGGCTTGTCTCCTCATTCTCTAGACAATGTCTTTCTCAGAGCAAAAGTTTTAAATTTTAATGAAGGCCAGCTTATCAATTATTTCTTCCATGAATTGTACCTAAAAAAAGGCATCATCATACCAGAAGTCATCTAGATTTTCTCCTGTATTATTTTCTAGGAGTTTTATAGTTTTGCATTTTACATTTAGGTCTGTAATCCATCTTGGGTCAATTTTGTGAAGAGTGTAAGGTCTAGTCTAGATTTACTTTTTTGATGTAGCTGTCCAGTTGTTTCCTGTATCATTTTTTGAAAAGATTTTTTTTTCTTCCATTGTATTGTCTTTGCTCCTTTGTCAAATACCAGTTGACTGTATTTACTTGGGTCTATTTCTAAACTCTATTCTGCTCCTTTGATCTGTTTGTCTGTTCTTTTATTTTATCATGATCTTGATTACTGTATCTTTATAGTAAGTCTTAAAGTGAAGTAGTGTCAGTCCTCCGACTTCATTCTTCTCCTTTGATATTGTGTTGGCTATTTTGAGGCTTTTACCTCCCCATATAAAGTACAGAATCATTTTGTCTATATCCAAAAAATAGCTTGCAGGGATTTTGATTGGCATTATTACTCTATAGATTAAGCTGGGAAACACTGCTATCTTGACGATATTGAGTCTTATTCTTGAATGTGCAGTATTTCTCCATTTATTTAGTTCTTTGATTTCTTTCATCAGAGTTTTGTAGTCTTCCTCATAGAGCATGTTCCTATTTTTTTATATTTGTGCCTAAGTATTTAATTTTGGGGATACTAATGTAAATTATAATTTTTTTATTTTAAATTTCATTTGTTTATTGTTGCTGTATAGGAGAGCAATCAACTTTTGCTTATTAACCTTGTATCCTGCAACCTTGCTATAATGCTTACTAGTTCCAGGAATTTTTTGGTCAGTTCTTTCTTATTTTTACATAGACAATCATGTAATTTGCAAACAAAGACAATTTCCTCCTTTCCTATCTGTGTACCTTTTATTTATTTATGGCATTAGCAAGGACTTCCAGTATGATGTTGAAAAGTGGGAGAGGAGGCATCTTTGCTTTGTTTTTGATCTTAGCAGAAAACCTTCTAGTTTCCTACCATTAAGTATGATGTTAGCTGTAGATGTTCCGTATCAAGCTGAGGAAGTTCCCCTCTATTCCTAATTTGCTGAGTCTCACTTAGTTTTTTAGTTTAACTTTTTTGTTTAAAATAATTTTACAGATACTGATTATAGTTAAATCCTTCAGGTCTCTGAAAAAGAATTTTTTGTCTCAAATTTAAACCTGAATTAGTTTATGTTAGAAAAACAATTAAAAATGTGTTGTTGCTGCTATGTTCTGAATTGTGTCGTCCCAAAATTCATGTTTTGAACCAAGGCCTGGGCACCTCCTCACTCCACCCAGAGGGTTGGGAGGGTAGAACATCAAACCAAAGAGGTTTATTCTCCAGCCTTAAGGCCTAATGCAATTTGCTTTGCTAGGTTTTCAGCTTCCTTGACCCATCATCACTCCCTTATTTTTTGTTTTTCCATTTTGGAATGGGAACGTCTATCCTGTGTCTGTCCCACCATAAGCACGTAACTTACCTGGTTTCATAGGTTTACAGCTGGAAAGGAATTTTGCCTCAAGTCTCGTATGTCATATGTAGATGATATTTGGATGATACTGGGTTTACAACATTAGAGTTGATGTGGAAATGAGTTAAGACTTCAGGGGCTGTTGGGATAGAATATATGTGTGTATTTTACATGTAAGAATGATGTGAATTTTGGGTTGCTGGGGTGGAATGCTAATGGACCATATTGAATCTCCCTAAAATTCATATGTTGAAGTCCTAACTACCAGTGTGATGGTATTTGAAGATGGAAATAATTAGGCTTGAGAGTGGGATTGTCATAATGAGATTAGTTCCCTTATAAGAAGAGGAAAAGAAACAGATCTTTCTCTAAGAGCATGCACTGAGGAGGGGCCATATGAGCACACAGTGAGAAAGCAGCTGTCTGCAAGCCAGGAAGCAGGTCCTCACTAGTTACCAAATCTTCTGGCACCTTGATCTTGGACTTCCCAGCCCCCAGACCTGTGAGAAATAAATTTCTGTTGTTTAAGCCACTCAGCCTTACGGTATTTTATAGCCTGAGCAAGCTACGACTATTGCCGATCCTGGTATTTCTATAACTTTTTAAATTGTCATATTCAAGCTGATTTCTAGTGCTTGTTTTCGGATATAGATTCACAGCTAGGAAGGACAGTGAGACTTGTGAAATATCTGAAAATTTTCTTTTTCATGTAATACTTGGGTTGGGTTAAAAGATAAACACATGGACAATCTGAGTTTCTGATATGTATTAAACTCTTTCTGTGTCTGGTTTGTTCACAGATGTTCAGCCTGTTGCCTATGAAGAGCCTAAACATTGGTGTTCAATAGTCTACTATGAATTAAACAATCGTGTTGGAGAAGCTTTTCATGCATCTTCTACTAGTGTGTTAGTAGATGGATTCACAGATCCTTCAAATAACAAAAGTAGATTCTGCTTGGGTTTGTTGTCAAATGTTAATCGTAATTCGACAATTGAAAACACTAGGCGACATATTGGAAAAGGTAATCTTGTCATTTTCCTACATTTAATCGAATTCAATCATTTGTTGTACTTGCCATGAACCATGCATTGTGAAAGGTGCTAGAAACATACAAAGAAGTTTGACACGTGGCCTCTGCCTTAAGTTGCCGATATTGAAGAATGTATTAATCAAATAAAGACATGATGTTCCCTCATTTTTTTGTCCTGCTTAGTGTTTCTTCCCAGTGCTAAGGATCTGAAATCATACTACCACTTTGTTTTTTGAGTGTTACCCTGACTGGAACATAAGCTGTACAGGAACTTGCTTTGTTCACAGCAGTATCCCCAGTAGCTAGAAGAGTGCCTCATTGTAAATACACAACACATATTTATGGAATATTGTGTATGAATGCTGGTGAAGGATTAGAATTTTATAATTAAGGTATTTGTGGAGTATTTTGGGTTGAGATGACTTGTAAGTGTTACCATGATGTGAGAGGAGCGGAATTAGAAATGGGAAATCTAGTGTGAATGATACTCCAGTGGCTTCACCACCACTGCTCCCATCTTTTAAATTTAGGCAATAAGGTTTTATTAATAATTCATCCTGCAGATAGTTGCCATAACAAACCGGGCCCTTTTCATACTGCAATAAAATGTCAAAGTCTCATGCATCAAGTGATCAGGAAGGAAACCCATCCCAGGTAAAGTGTATTGCCTGTTTCTTGAGAAGTTTTGTTTTTACCCCTTGCTGCATTTTGCTTCTTTAACTTGAGGGCATCTTGGTCCAAAATAGGAATAAAAGGTAAATAAATATAATTGTGATAGGATTTCTTATAGAAGTGATTCAAAAAAATCCTGCGGCCAAAAATAAGTTACGAAACAAAGTTTTCATTGTCTTGAGTTTACTGCCAACTTGCCTTAGTTTTTTCAGTGAAGTGCCTCACTTCTAGGCATTGATTTTTTTTTTCTTCCATCACAGTAGAAGTAATTTAAGGGAAATCTATTTTGTGAATTTTGAAATTCTAGAATCAGTTTTTTCTTTTTCCCCAGCATATAGTTCTAGGACCTTTTCTTTCATGGGTTAGTTTTGGGGTGGTGGAGGGATATGTTGGGAAAATACTAGGTGACTAGCTTTAGTTATATAATTTGAATATTTAATGTTAAAACTATTTCCACATATTTATATATTTTTAAAATTTTTATTTTTTTTGCCCTCACATCTTGCAAAGGAACATATATATTTTTAAATATAAAAAAATTTTAAGTAAGATAAATCTGCCATTTCAAAGCTCTTCTTATGACCTGAAATTATATATGTAACTTTGGTTTTTTTTTAGTGTTGCTGTCCTCTTTGTTAGCACAAAGAGTGCAAAAGTCTGTCAAATGACTGTTTATGATAGTTGATAGCACTGAGGATTTATTTGAAAGGACTCATCAAAAGATGATTTGGGGTTTTTTTTTTTTAGCCCTCTCTTTCTCTCATAGAGATGATAAATGATTGTTGGGAAAGGAAAAAGAGAACAACCTAAAAATGGATAACTTAATCTGCTGCCTATTTGAGGCTTCTCTTGTAGATGCAGGCAGACATTAACCTCTTGATTATCTTTGGCAGCAGAAGGCCATCTAGTGGTAACTTCTGTCTAAAGACTGCTGGAAGTTTGCTGTGGATTAATGGGTACTTTTGTTGCACCATACAGTCTATTTGGTTTCATTGTAATGATTCTTTTAGCTGACTCTTGTGATGTTTGTCTTTTTAAGGTGTTCATCTGTACTATGTTGGTGGAGAGGTGTATGCGGAATGCCTCAGTGACAGCAGCATATTTGTACAGAGTAGGAACTGCAACTTTCATCATGGCTTTCATCCCACCACTGTCTGTAAGATTCCCAGCAGCTGCAGCCTCAAAATTTTTAACAATCAGGAGTTTGCTCAGCTTCTGGCTCAATCTGTCAACCATGGGTTTGAGGCAGTATATGAGCTCACCAAAATGTGTACCATTCGGATGAGTTTTGTCAAGGTGAGTTGTGACCTCTAACATAATTTGAGTCACTATAAATGTGTATATTATGACTTTAGGTTATAATTTTTAAAAATTGTTAAATGAAAGTTGATAATTGCTTTTGGCCTGATTTAACAGGTTTTTAAATAAAATTATTGAATTTGTAATTTTAACTACATAATAGATCTAAGATTTCATTTTGTAATCTAGACATTATAAAATGCATGATTGATATTGATTTTGATATTGAATAGGGGCTGAGATTATAAGGAATTTTAGTTAAAAGACTAAATTTCTAGAAAGCATTTGTATTAGTCCATTTTCATGCTGCTAATAGACATACTCAAGACTGGGTAATTTATGAAGAAAAAGAGGTTTAATGAACTCACAGTTCCACGTGGCTGGGGAAGCCTCACAATCATGGCGGAAGGTGAAGGAGGAGCAAAGTCATATCTTACATGGCGGCAGGCAAGAGAGAATGAGAGCCAAATGAAAGGGGAAACCCCTTATAAAACTATCGGATCTTATGAGACTTTATTCACTACTGTGAGAACAGTATGGGGGAAACTGCCCCCATGATTCAGTTATCTCCCACTGGGTCCTTTCCACAACATGTGGGAATTATGGGAGCTACAATTTAAGATGAGATTTGGGTGAGGACACAGCCAAATCATATCAGCATTTAATATTAAAATTGCTATTTGAGTCTCTTAACTTCAACAGTTTTGATTATTATTACTAGATTTCATTAGGGTGACTTGGCAGAATTCTTTAGAATACTAAAATTATTTCATTCCTAGCTAAGTACTGTTATTAAAAGTAATGGCAGAAGCCACAATTACTTTTCCACCAACCTTAATATTAAGGATTTGCAAAGTTCAAAGGAACTTTTCAAGTTTTTCATCTACTCTCTTCACCTGACTGTATTGACATTCCAAAGATTTGTGCTTAAAATCTGAAAAGAATTTTAGTCATGTATTTAAGCAATCTGTACTGTATCTACATATTTAAGCAATCTGTACTGTATCTACATGGTTCTTAAGAATTTAGCACAAGAAGAGCACCTGTCACACGCTGTGCATGGGTTTTTTTCTTTTTGGTATTCAGCCCCAGTCCAGTGTTTTCATGATACTTTGCTGTAGATCTATTGTATACATCAGTTTACTGGTTACCCTGAAGGTATTTCTGCCTTCTTGTACAGTAATGTGACTTTTGCATATTTATTTTAATCTCCACTCCCCAATGTTCTTCACTCCCCTGACCGCCCTCCCTCCCCAACCCAGTTTTCCTGGGCCAAGACTACCATAAGCAGTAAACCAGAGAACCTGATAAATCCAGGAAAATAAAAGTGAAAAATTTCTATTTCAATTTTTATCTGCAGTTTTAGGCTAAAGATTTCAGCTCAGTTCATCCCAGTAATTTCCAACCTTAAAGGATAATCACTATGTGACTGCCACATTAAATTATACATGCATGTATTGATCAATATCTACAATGCCTTATCTGATATTCAAACAACTTGAAAATAAAAAATTTTTCGTTAAAAAAAAAAACCTGGGCCGGGTGAGGTGGCTCACACCTGTAATCCCAGCACTTTGGGAGGCCAAGGCAGGTGGATCACCTGAGATCAGGAGTTCGAGACCAGCCTAGCCAACATGGTGAAACCCTGTCTCTACTAAAAAATACAAAAATTAGCCGGGCATGGTGGTGGGTGCCTGTAATCCCAGCTACTAGGGAGGCTGAGACAGGAGAATTGTTTGAACCTGGGAGGCGGAGGTTGCAGTTAGCCAAGATTGCGCCATTGCATTCCAGCCTGGGCAACAAGAGAGAAACTCTGTCTCACAAAAAAAAAAAAAAAAAAAAAAAAAAGAAACTCTGACATGTGACATGATCTTACATGAGGCTATTTATGATTTTGATTTTGATTTTTTATATATGATTCCTTTATTAGTATTTAAGTGACATCTCTTTACATTTTTTAGTGGTTTCTCCAGGAATTACCACGTTATCTTTAACATACCCCAATCTACCTAGAGTTAATATTGTACTATTTTTAGAATGTAAAATATGAAAACCTTGCTGTTGAAGAGTTTTAATTACCTTCTTTTATTCTTTGTGCTATTCATAAATTTTACATCTGCACATTATATCTTATAATACAGTTAAAATTTTTCCTTTAAATAGTCATTAAGTCTTACAAAGAAATTAAGAGAAAATGGTATTTATAAATATTTGCAGGCAGATTCTTTGGGGCTATGTAAATACACTGTTTCTCCTTTATATTTTACCCACAATTTTTGCATTCTTCAATATATCTTGTCTACAGTAATTATTACTGTGGTGTTCTAGTGGTGATTTTCTATTTTGCATTTATCCCATTAAGGGAGAATGTATCTCAGATCAGAAATATTTGTTTTAATTATGAGATACTGTACTGTGTTACCTTTCTAAGATTAAAAAAAATTATGAACTATAACTGGCTCTAAGGGTTTCTTTTAAGGGAATTATATATTATTTTAGAATTCATGAATCTTTAAATAATGTAGCTGTTGTCTTTTAATTTCATGGTGAATACTAAGACTGGTTTTGTGATAGTTATTCTCTTTATGTAACTTCTACATATCTCTACTGTTAAAAGCTATCTTTTTCTTATGGTAAAATTGGTTTAGAGTGGTTGACAGTTTAAAGAGGGATTTGTGATGATATCTGTTCATTTTCATAGGGTTGGGGAGCAGAATATCACCGGCAGGATGTAACCAGCACCCCATGTTGGATTGAGATTCATCTTCATGGGCCTCTTCAGTGGCTGGATAAAGTCCTTACTCAGATGGGCTCCCCTCTGAACCCCATATCTTCTGTTTCATAATGCAGAAGTATTCTTTTCAATTATATTGTTAGTGGACTTGTTTTAATTTTAGAGAAACTTTGAGTACAGATACTGTGAGCTTACATTGAAAACAGATATTACAGCTTATTTTTTTCTACATAATTGTGACCAATACATTTGTATTTTGTGATGAATCTACATTTGTTTGTATTCATGTTCATGTGATTAACTCTTAGAAGTGTTGTAAAAGATGCAGAGTAAGTATTATGCCCCAGTTCAGAAATTTGGCATTGATCTTAAACTGGAACATGCTTTTACTTTATTGCCCTAACAATTTTTTATTAAATTTATTTGAAAATGCATCACATGATGAAAAATTATAGTAGCTTATAAGAGGGCATATACAGTGAAGAGTAAGTTTTCCCTCCTACTCTCGATCTTCCAGAAGCTGTACTTTTACCAGTTTCTTTGTCCCACCAACTTAAAAAAAAAAAGTACAATTCATTGTTTTGCAAAAGTGTATGGTAGGGGCTTAAAAGAAACTATAAAGTTTTATTTGAATGAACACTATGCACTGCTGTAACTGGTAGTGTTCAGTAAAAGCAAAATGATAGTTTTCTAGATGACATAAAATTTACATTTAATACAGATAAGTGTTCTTCAGTGTAATGTGACTTCATGCTATATATCTTTTGTAAGACATTTCCTTTTTTAAAAAAATTTTTGCAAATAACTGATCTCAAGTATATGTCATTTACTCAAAATCTGTCATAAGCATTACTTTATAGCTAGTGACAGTGCATGCACAGCCTTGTTCAACTATGTTTGCTGCTTTTGGACAATGTTGCAAGAACTCTATTTTTGACATGCATTAATCTTTTATTTTGCACTTTTATGGGTGACAGTTTTTAGCATAACCTTTGATAAAATACACTCAAGTGACTTGGACTTAGATGCTTATCCTTACGTCCTTGGTACCTTTTTTGTATTAACAAACACTGCAATTTATAGATTACATTTGTAGGAAGTTATGCTTTTTTCTGGTTTTTGTTTTACTTTCAACCTAGGTTATAAGACTGTTATTCTATAGCTCCAACTTAAGGTGCCTTTTTAATTCCCTACAGTTTTATGGGTGTTATCAGTGCTGGAGAATCATGTAGTTAATCCCATTGCTCTTACAAGTGTCAGCTTACTTGTATCAGCCTCCCTACGCAAGGACCTATGCACTGGAGCCGTAGGAGGCTCTTCAGTTGGGCCCCAAGGATAAGGCTACTGATTTGATACTAAATGAATCAGCAGTGGATGTAGGGATAGCTGATTTTAAAACACTCGGCTGGGCACAGTGGCTCACACCTGTAATCCCAGCACTTTGGGAGGCTGAGGCAGGCAGATCATGATGTCAGGAGTTTGAGACCAGCCTGGCCAATATGGTGAAACCCTGTCTCTACAAAAAATACAAAAATTAGCTGGGCATGGTGGTGCGTGCCTGAAGTCCCAGCTACTCGGGAAGCTGAGGCAGAAGAATCACTTGAACCTGGGAGGCGGAGGTTGTGGTGAGCCGAGATCGCACCACTGCACTCCAGCCTGGGCGACAGAGCGAGACTCTGCCTCAAAAAACAAAACAAAACAAAACACTCACCCATCAACGAATATAGACTCTTCTCTCATTTATCGATGATCCTCTTTTTCCATTTTTTAAGTACTTATGTGGAAGCTAGTCTCCCAAAACACAATCTTTAGAGAGAAAAGACATGAACGAACTCCAAAATATCCATTTAATCAATCATGTTTTTGGCTTTGGATAAAGAACTTTGAACCAGTTTTTTTCTCAGGAGCTGTCAAATGGACACTTAATTATGACATGAGAATGAAGAAATTATTTTGGAAAAAAAAAATGACCTAATTTACCTATCAGTGAAAGCTTTATTTTCTGGTGCCTTTTGAAAGTATATGGAGTCATATCATTCTTCTGTTTAAAATGTTAGTTTGGTTTGACTTTCCACTTTGTCCTTTCTGCTCTTGTGAAGAAAAAAAAAAGCATTTTCGAGGAAAGAATTATGCAATTTCTTTTGTTTTCTGTGTCATTATTTATTGCTTTTTCAATGTGCAGCCAGTGGATGGTTTTAGTTCTTTCAGATGAACTGCCATTTGTGTTTCAGCTCACAGTTCTTTGCTGGGTAAAAGAAATACTTTCTGACAGTCACCTGAGCCTTAAATGTAAGTATTACATGACATGCATTCTGTTTCTTCCAGAGTTCTGTCTGCCACACGAAAGAGAATATTTGCTTACTTGATAGAACTTTGGCATTTTCATCATTCTTTTACTTAACCAGGCTTATGGCATGATCTCTGGAACAAATTTGTAGGAAAAAATTACTCCAATTGAATGACTGATGTATGTAATCAACTTCATTGGGCTGCAGTAAACTAGTGGAAATTAGAGAGTTGTTTTATTGGTGTTTTCTACTGTGAGTTAATTAAAAATTGTTTTTATTTGGGGTCATTATGTCACAGTCTTGAGTTAACAAGATCTTACGTGATTGGCCTTTTCTTTGTTTTCTCTTAGGAGTTGTGTCTCATGAATGACAGTACTAAAGCTATTAACAACTAAGAGTTTGACAGAGAACTATAAGCCTGTTGTATCTCCTAAAAGTTGTCAACTCCCCACCCTTGGACTTTAAATGAAAATTTTATTCAGTCCAGCTATTCTTACAGTCCCTAAGGATTTTCATATATCTATGTATAGGAGATAAAATTTGCTAGTAAGATTTTTAAAAACTGGCTAGTGAAAGGAAAGTACCTCTGAAAGAAACCATTTTAGCAAATTATGGTTATATGTTTTAATTTAATCTACAGAATGTTTTATAGTAAAATTCTAGCACCACTAGAATAATCACATAGCATGTACAATATATTTATGCTGGCTGAAAAGACAGAATCTGGGAATAATAAAATTGCAACCAGTTTGGTAATGCAAACAGCAGAATAGAATGAAATCTCAGTAATGAATTAAAGCAACAAAAAGATATTGATTGGCAAAAAGCAAGATATAAGAGATTCATTTGCTTAACATTTCTACATAATATTTATGGTCTGGTCAGTATTGGTCTGGTCAGTATTGCCTGGCTGACGTGAAATGTAAACTAGTAGGCGTGTTATTGATCTGCTAAAACTAACCCTCTTTTTAAGAGGAGATTTAAGGAAGACGTCAATCAAAATGTCAAATATGTGTGTCAGAATATAAATAATTTTTCACATTGTATTGTTGCTATATAAAAAAAATAATAGAATTGGTTGGGTTTCTGAGGTGAAATCCAGAGTAAGAGTACTAGACAGTTCAACAAGCCACATCTAATGGCACAGATAGAGGATGTAGCTATTTTATACCTTTCATAACATTTGAGAGTAAGATATCCTTCAGGATGTGAAGTGATTATTAAGTACTCATACCTGAAATCTGTTGTCAAGATTAGAACTGGGGTTCATGTTAAAAACCTTCCATATTACCTGAGGGTACCTGTGGGGAACAGTTCCTTCCCCTGTGTGGTAGTATTTTGTTGGAAGAGAATGTTTATACAAAAAATGAAATTCTTCCAACAGCAGAGAAACTCTAAAAAGTTTGATAGTACCTATCAAAGTGCTGTACTTCTGTGATAGAGAACATCTGATGTACCAATTTAGATCTATTTCTTTATACTTTTTCTAATCAATTGCTTAATAGTACTTTGGATGATTATCACCTTTGCCACTTAAAATATATAAATATCCTTTTTACTTCATGAGGAAGGAAGAATTTTTTGATAATTACTGAGTTCAGCCTTTTGTGATGACTTATATTTTGGACTTACATTTTAACTTTAAAGAATGTCAGATCCCTTCTTTGTCTTACTAGTTAAATCCTCACCTAATCTCTTGGGTATGAATATAAATGTGTGTCATCGTTATATTGTTCAGCTAGATGAGCAAGTATCTTAGGGTAGTAGGTAGCCTGGTGGTTTTAGAAGTGTTTGGTGATTTTTATGGAGAGAGTTTTCCTAAGTGGTGGTTTATAGGTGGTATCAGATATTATTAGGGCAGCTTTTTGGGGAGTAATCTCAGGTCTCCCAGAGCAGCAGCATTTTTCTCATTGATATAAGTAAGATTCTTAGGAGCTTTTCTTATCACACAAGATGCCTGAATCGAATGTGAGAATTGAAGGCATTTCTTCTGCATAAACAAAGAATTCTACCTGCTGGACAGAAACCTGGAAAGTTCTTTGGAATTCGCTGAATTACAGTTTAGTATGTCCTGATTACAGAGTGACAATATTTATCAAGCCTTTGTTATATTGGATTATCTTCTCTCTTAAAATACAACTGTATTATAATTGAAATGACAGCCCAAAATTGGATGGTTTACCAAAACCAATGAAAGGGATTTCACACATCAATTTTTATTTCTGTTTTGAAGAGCACATGCTATATAATAATTGCTAGTAGCAACTGCAGTAAAACAGGTGATAAGTTATTTTCTCTGAAAAGATCCAGTCCTAGAGCAGGATTCTTCGATCATTCATGGCAGAGTGAAAAAGGTTTGTATGGTTCTTGTCCAAATAACTCAGTTCTTAAAATTCTTAAAATGATCGTAAACCATTATCCTTTAAAGGTTTATTTGAAGATGCTGTTAAAGTACAGAATTTTGTGTACAGGTAGATTTTTCCGTCCCTCATTAATAGTGCCTTCTTAATTAATACAGACTGGTGTTAGCTATAACAAAACTCCAGTAAGGCCAAAGAATCCCAAGTTCTTTGTGGAAAAAAAAAAAAAATCTTTTAGGGTCAGATTTTCCCTTCTAATATCATTGAAGATGATGTTGCATTGATTTATTCATAAAGTATTTTAACTATAGGAACTCTAGAAGATAATGGTTAGGCAAGTGATTTTTTTTTTAAATATGGTTGGCGTAAGTTGTATTTTGAAATTCACTTATTTTAAAATCGAAGAGGATTGTAATCATGGAAATAGAATGTTTGTATCTACCTGCCCACATTTTCTTAAAAAGATATTTCATATACAGATAATGAAGACCAAGCTAGTGGCTGCACTGTAGGTCTGCTGCTTATTTGTATTTGTTGTGCTTCTGTTTATGTTGTAGAAGCTGAAATTCTAGCAACATGCTTCAATTCTGTTATTTTGATACTTATGAAAATGTATTAGGTTTTACTATATTGTGCTTTTGAAAGCCATAACTCTTAAGAACTTTGTTTTTGCATATTGTTTGCTAATTCTTTACTTTAATAAACCTCAAAACCTGCTTAATGTGTCTTTTTTTGTTTTGGCTCTGGAGTTGGCCTGCCTGCGTTTGAGTCATGGGCCTCATAGCTTAGACAAGTTGCTTAACCACTCTATGCCTCACTTTCCTGACCTGTAAAGGAAAAGTCTACTTCATAGGAAGGATTTGAGGGAAGATTAATTGAAGTGTAATACAAATACAGTATTTAGAACAGTACTTAGAACATAAGAACTCAAATATTAAAATTGTTACTATCTTTTACATTTCCACTAGTTCTTTGATTCAGAATAATTACTTCTTATGTTGCTTGACCTCGGTGTATCAACCTTTGATGATCCACTTTGTGAATTTACAATTTTTTATTTCCTTTTGTCTTCTTTTTTGAAAAAATTTTAAATCACAGACTGACTTTGCATCATTGTCACTGTGTTGCACACTTTTACCAACCTCTGAATTACATATACAAGACATGCAAACTCATTCTAATTAGAAAGGAATGGTGAGCGAGGCACAGTGGCTCAGGCCTGTAATCCCAGCTTTTTGGGAGGCTGAGGCAGGTGGATCACCTAAGGTCAGGAATTCAAGAGAAGCCTGGCCAACATGGTGAAACCCCGTCTCTACTAAAAATCCAAAAATTAGCCGGGTGTGGTGGCGCGTGCCTGTAATCCCAGCTACTTGGGAGGCTGAAGACAGGAGAATCGCTCGAACCCAGGAGGTGGAGGTTGCACTGAGCCAAGATCATGCCATTGTACTGCAGCCTGGGCAACAAGCGATACTGCGTCTCAAAAAAAAAAAAAAAAAAAAAAAAGGAATGGTGAAAAATCATGTGCCCTTGCCAGAAATGTAGAAAAACCCAAACTACATATTAACCCTAAAGGATAAAGATAAAAGCACTTGTTCTTTTTTTTTTTTTTTTTTTTTTTAATAGATAAAAAAGACTCTATTCAAGCTTGTCCAGCCTGCACACATGGGCTGCATGTGGTCCAGGACAGCTTTGAATACGGCCCAACACAAATTGGTAAATTTTCTTAAAGCATTATGAGATTGTTTTGCGAGTTTTTTTTCTTTTTTTTAGCTCATCAGCTATCGTTAGTGTTAGTGTGTTTTATGTGTGGCCCAAGATAATTATACTTCACTGTGGCCTAGGGAAGCCAAAAGATTGGACATTCCTACCAATTTCTGAGAATCAGTTCCTTCCTATGTCTTTTTACTTAAAAGGCATTTTGTAAGGTATTTTGTAGCAACATCACTGGTTGTTTTAGAAGTGTATTTTTTAAAAAAGCACACTTGTCCTAGCGGAAGAAGGTTCAGTGAGCACTAAGAGGATGTTGGCTTCTCTTGGGTTTAAGATAATTAGTTTTCAGGTTGCTGTAGCCAAAACAGTTCAGGTGATGAGGGGTTGGGACAGTGGCTAATACTATTTTGTATTACAGCAGTTTTGATGCAGCTATCGTTTTATAAACATTTTTAAGATTGTCAGTAGACTGCAGCAATGCTTATAAGGAAGATTTATTTAGAGCTCTGTAGTATTTATGATTGAAAGAAGGAAGCATTTTTAAAACACCCTTCCCATTTAACATTTTAAATATTACTGATTTTTGTCATTGAGTTTGTAAGTCTATCATAAGCTTTGCAAAAACAAAACTTGTTCTTTCTATCTAAATCAGTTTTTCTGTTTAAAAAAAGGGTAATGGGGCTATAGGGAAAATTCAAAGAAGAGCTATGGGCAGCTTGCTTAACCATCTCCATGTTAACGTATGTTGGATGGGAGGTGGGAAGAGGGATTTAGACTGGTGGTGAAGACTTATCCATATTATATCAAATGGGTGTGTGTATAATTCCTAGTGAGAGATTTTCTGAGGCAGTTTATTGATGTTTAGAGATGGATTTTGAAAAGATCCTTATACTTTGTCTTAATCAGTTACCCCTTCCCATCTAATAAACCTCCTTCATTATTTCATTTTAAATAATACTTTCATTTGAGATAAATGCTGAGAATTTTAACAGAAAAGTTAAAACTGAAACCCCCAAACCAGTAGCAAAGGTTTATGAGTGTGCCCTTCTAACCTGTTCTGGTAGTCACTGTACATTGATCCTTGGCTTTCTTTGACAGATACTTTGCTGATTATAGATGGAGCTCTAGCTCTTTTTGAAAGGGTTCTCAGAGAAATTGGTTTGGTTCTAAAGTGTTTCTTGAGTTCTTTGTACCTAAGAAAGCCTTTCATTCTGCATAGCGTTTATCACCATCCAACATATATATTTCTTTACCCTGTTTATTGACTGTCTTACCTCATGGGAATGTAAGATCTGTGAGGACAGACCTGTGTTGCCACTGCTAGAACAGTTCTTGATATGTTATAAGTAAGCATACCAATATTTGTTGAATGAATGAGAGTACTGAAGCAAGAAGTGAATTTTTTAAGTATTAGAATTTACCTTTTAAATAATGTAATATTTACTTCTTAGTTGAATTGCTTCTAGCTCAATGTTTTATTAGCTCTCTTTATGCCTGAGAAGTGGTTTGATGTGGGGTGGGGTATTGTGGGAGCTGGCTAAAGTATAATTGAGAAGAAGGGGAAATTCAGCTAAGAAAGCACTCATATCCTTTCTCTTTGAACTTTTGGACTTTTGCTCCAAAGTTATCAAATTCTTGGAATTGTTGCTTGTAGAACCTGCAAAATTAATAGTCAAGTTAGAGCTTTAACCTGTTAACATTTAATATTTTCCCAAAGAAAGTAGGAAGGGCATAGTTTCCTTGATACGCTTGACAAGAGAAAATAACCCCAAAAAGTGTACTTTTAATTACACAGCTTACAGAAGCTGGGGTGTTACAAATTTTGTAGTGTGATTTTAGTGCCCTGGTTTAGACCCCATAATATCCTTCCCTAACTGTTGTACATAAGGGGCAAGCCTTTCATTGCACTCAGGTGGGAGTGGGAGCAAGGAATACCTTTGAGAGAGAGAACGTATGATAAAACAAATACATGAACCATATTTGTGCTTCAGAATAAAAGATTAATTTTGCTGAAGAGTGTGTGTGGGTGATGTAGGGGGAGAAGTTCAGGAAGAAGAAACAACAGGGTCTAGAGGGTTTTTTAGATTTTGTCCACTTTATAGTTTTGCCAACATTAGTTCAGAAGTGTAATTAACAGTAAACTTTCCCTAATTGCCTTTTGTTTACATAAAATTTTGTGAAATGTGGTTTTCATTAACTTAGAATTGTTTAGACCAAGTTAGTGAATTCAGTGAAGGTGAAGAATGCAGGCACAAACTAGTAATGTGTAACTAGTAAGGCTGGAGAGATGATGTTCATATGAAAAGAAGGTCCTTTCCTTTTATTGTCTGTTTAATAACCTGCTGTAAGCTTACCAATGCCCATTTGCCCTTTCATTGCAGAACACCTGTGTCCAGCTGGATACCACGTTTCCTAGCTTTTTTTCAGCTAGGTATGGTCATGTGACTAAGCTTGGCCAGTAGGATATTAGCAGAAGTGATAGGCACCACTTCTGCATTATATCTGGAAGAGGAATGCACCCCTTGCTCTTTTCCCCTTCTCAGTGGCTGGAATGCAGATATGAAGGCAGGATCTAGCATAGATACCTTGAAGTGGACATGGAAGCCGAG
This sequence comes from Homo sapiens, assembly GCF_000001405.40. NCBI lineage: Eukaryota > Metazoa > Chordata > Mammalia > Primates > Hominidae > Homo > Homo sapiens. The sequence continues at coordinate 136,186,337 of NC_000005.10, forward strand.
GGATGAGGATGACAGTTGTGCTACCCCTGAAAGAGTACTGTGCTACACCTGAAAGAGTACTGTGAGAAAGAAACTTGCGTGGCGGATGGCTTTGTTATAGCAGTTTGGACTGTAACCTAATTAATACTTACTTGCCAATTGAGTGATTAACACAGGTCCAACTTTATGGTAGGCAGGGCAGTAGGGCTGGAATCATTGTTCTTGTCCTCATGGAAAGTGAAGCTGTAACAGAGTAGTTCCGAGTTCATTAGGTTAATCAGTTTTGGAGGGTGGAGAAGCAGGACCCACAAATGAGGGTTATTTTAAACTATAGACTCTACTTCTGTGTTTCTGAATATTTTTATTTTTTCTGGCCCTGAGCCGTATGAGCTTGTTCATTCATTTGACTAATATTTGAGGGCTTGTTAGATGTCAGGCTGAGGAATAAGAGTGGTTAAAACAAAAATTCTTTCCCTTAAGGATCTTCATTCTGGTTAATGAAGACAGCAAACAAGGTAAATAAAATATATGGTGTGTTTACTAGTAAGTTCCAAAGAGAAAAAAATAAAGCAGGAAAGGAATATACCAGGGTTGGGGAACAAGGTGGAATTATAATTTTAGATATAGTAGCCAGGGAAGGTTTCACTGAGTAAATAATCTTTGATCGAAGTCCAGGAAGATGAGGAAGTTGTTACGTGAAGCAGTGATTTAACCAGTTCTTATTCAAGGCAATTCAGAAGGCATGTGAATGTTACTGCAATGATCTGTGCTTTTCTGCAGAAAATGAATAATTCAAGCAGAAATAGCTAAAGGTACAAACTTCTATTAAATTGCTTGTTCTTTAGTCTCTGCAGGAGATATAGTAATAACTGAAGTGTTACACAGGTGGAGACGGGAAACGTTAGTTGCTAAGAACTTTGGATTACCACCGCTAGGAAACCAGCCACTTGGAAGACCAATCAATAAAGGAGTGTTCAACTCAATATTTCACCTGATACAAGGTTAGTTTAAGGTGGAAAATCAAAGGATATGTGCTCCGATGTAAATACACCTTTTAAATTTACTTTAGCTCTGTTTTCCCTCTGTATTTCATTCAATAAATATTTATTGCCTATTTTCTGTTTAAAACTATGCTAGGCATTGGGAAACAGCAGTGAACAGGACACATGTTGTCCCTGTTCTCTGTTCATACAACTTACATGTTACTAGTGGGAAGAAGCATTGGGCTACTAATTATGCAGTTATTTAGTAGCTGTGATTGGGGAGGCAATATGGGGTCATGAGAGGATTAATCTTACCTGAGGATTTAGGCAAGTCCTTTTTGAGGAAGAAACATTTAACTGGAGACCTGAAGGATGAGAAGGCATCAGCCAGAGGAAGGAGGAGAAACAAACAGCTTAGGCAGAGGTAGGGATTGAAAGGCCACTGGAGTGTAAGAGGAGTGAGAGAAGATGAGGCTGGTGGGACCAGTTGATTCTGGTCCTTATTAGGCTTTTGTGTTTAATCCTGAGAGCAAAGAGAAGCCATTGGTGTATATGCTGGGGCTGGCGGCAGATGTGTTTATTGAGTGAGGAGAGACAAAAATGGAAGTAGGGCTTTGAGTTAGGGTTGTGATGGTGGACATAGACAGGAGTAGATGGAGTAGAGTGGTGCCTAGGGGGTGATGAGTTACATATTGAAGGATGAGGAAGAGTTTAGGGTCAAGAATGACCACCATGCATTTTTTACTTTGGGCAGCCATACGCTGGTGCAGTCTATTCAGATGAAGACTGAAGGAGGATCTAATTTAGACAGATGAGTTTTAGGCTTGTTGAGTTCGAAGTTTCCCATGAGATACCCAAATGGAGGTGTTGAGTGGGCTCAGGGATAGTGTGGAGAGAGTCATCTGAAAAGCAACTGAAGCCATGAGAGCGAATGAGATAGTTTAGGGGGAAGGTGCAAAGTGAGAAAAGACCCAGAATAGCTGTCCTCCAACTCTGGGCATACCTGTTGGGAAGTACAGACCTCTTTACTGTTTCCTGATAGCACATGGCTGAAAAAGGACAGGTCACTGACAAAAAGTAGTTTGTACCACTGCATGCACTTCTGAAATGGCCATCCTGGTTAATAATGATAGCTCACATTCAGGGCATTTACTACATAGCAAACATGAGCTGAACACTTTACTGATAATGTTTCACTCCATATTGAAAATCCTTTGAAGAAGGTATTGTCATCTCTATTCTACAGATGATGAAACGGGCTATCAGAAATACAGAAATAACGATGAAGGCATGGAGTGGATGATCAAGCTCAGGTCATTGGCTCCAGAACTCAGACTCTTGGTCACCACTATGCTACCTCTCCTTGACTCCTAGCATCTGCAGCTACCTCCCCACCGTGATCTCCAGCCTCTCCCCCAACCCCCACCAACAAAAATGCGTTAACCTCAACCCTTCTGGCTGCTCACTGTGGCTGGTTATAGCAGAGGAACCCAAACACCTGTGACATGGGCCCTATTCCTGTTTTTAGCCTGCCATGCCCTGCTCTCCAAAGGTGGTTTCAAGACATCTTGGAACTGGTGGGAGGGCAAAGGGCAGGAGGATGTGTATGCACAGGTCTACACCCAGACAGTCATCTCTCTTAGTTTGGGCTGCTTCCATAGACTGGGTGGCTTAAACAGAAATTTATTTTCTCACAGTTCCGTAAGCTAGAAGTCCTCCAAGATTCGAGTTCCGGCTGAGTCGGTTTCTAGTGAGGGCCCTCTTCCTAGTTTGCAGATAACCATCTTCTCACCGTGTCCTCACATGGCCTTTTCTCCGTGCCTGCGCCTGGCCAGAGTTGAGAGCAATCTGTGGTCCCACAAGGACACTAATCCTATCAGAACAGGGCTCCACCCTTATGATTTCATATAACTTTACTTTCTTACTCTAAATACAGCCACTCTGGGGGTTAGGGCTTCAACATATGAATTTTGGGAAGACATATGCATTCAATTTTAACACCACCTAAATATCCAATCACCATGTTGTAGTCCACTTATTCTAAATATTGTAGAGGACAGATCTGAATTCAGCCACATCCCTGCTTCCCAGAAGAGAGTCTGGGGCTGGGTTCAACATGAGGAAGAACCCATTACCCCTCAGTCTAATACTATCCTAGAAAAGAGAACCAAGTTACTCGGGTTCACAGTGCTGGCAGATAATACCTTTACTGACCCTGTGTGCTTTCTAGATTCCAGGTCTATGCAGGCTCAATTACCCAGAAACTTATTCCCAAAGTGTCTATTCATTTGAAGTGGCCAAGCCTTTGGCTTAAGTGGCTGAGGCCACTGCAACCCTGTAGAGACATCAGAGAGAGCCCAAAAGCCTCCTGGATTACTCTGGCTTGAGCTGATTCTGGCCCAGGAACTACAGGTGAATCCTAAGCCAGTCATCTACTCATGTTCTCCCATGAAGGAACCAGTCCTTGCATTTGTTTGTGGTCACAGGAGACAGTGGGCCGTAGTGAGAGCACATCCTGTTGGTGGGGTCTCCTCGCAGCAGCAGTGCTGCTTCACGCCTATAGCTCAGTTTTACAAATAGCTATAGTTTGGACGCTCATTTTCTGCAAGCATTATTGCTAGCATGTTGTTATTGGTTATAATAACTTTGGTTATACTCTATTATTCAAACTTGTAGAGCTAGTTGATATAATGCCCATTTTGCAGATGAGGAAATAGGCTCAGATAGGTTATTTGCACAAGGCCATACAGCTAGTGAGAGGTGGAGCTGGGATTTAAAGCCAGGCATTTGAACTCCAGAGCTTGTACGTTTGACCACTCTGCATACTACCTTCAGATCTGGCCATCAGGACATGTGGTGGAGAGATACTCTGCCTCTACATTAGTCTCCTACCTGTCACAAGCCCTCAGACCAAGGCTGAAGGGTCCCCCTACCCCCTCAGAAGCCCTCAGACCAAGGCTGAAGGGTCCCCCATTTCAGCAGCATGTGATTTTGTATGCTAGCCAGGGGCCCTCATATTTCTCACATTTATTTCCGTCTAGTCCAAGGTTCATGCAGATTAGCTTGGGTTACCTTTATTATAGGCTGCAGAGGTTTGGCTACCTTTCTGAAGACTAAACTGAAATGCTGTGTGAGGTGATCATAGAATTGGCATCGTTAGGACCTGGTGGGTATTAGTTCTGGAAGGCGTGAAGAATCAAGCCCAGGGAGGCTTTTCTGGTTTCTATGCTTCGTCTCCAGTGCTTCCTGGGATAGAAGCCAGGAGGGAATCTTGGATACTGACTGAGGAGAAGTGGTGGGCTGGGCTGGGCTGGGCTGGGCCTCAGGAGCCCTGGCCAGTCTCTCTTCCTCAACCTCAGTCTGGTCTCAGGAACCAGTTTCAGTGTCAGAACTCATAGAATTGTTGCAGAATTTTGTGCCTGTATGCATTTGGCCAGGGCCAAGAGTCCTTAGTTTTCTAAAGATTGCCAAAAGCCCAAGTGACCCTAGCATGTGTTAGAATGACTGGATTAGACAGTCTGTCAAATTCTTTTTCAGTCAAACCTTCTCTAAGCTCTAGTGCTCCATTGAGCCAGGTGACTCCTGAAACTATTTTAAAGCCCCGTAAAAAGACTCCCTAGAATTGGGTTAACTTTGGTTAAGGTTATTACAAGCCTTCCTAGTCCCTCTCAAGTTCTTTGAAGTTGATTTCCCCTTAACTGGGTTTATGCATCCATTTCCCTCCTGCCAGGTTCTCCAGGGCAGGCCCCCATCTCCTTTGGGAGGAAGTGCTGGGCAGCTGCCCCACCACCTGATCTTCAGGCTCTTCCTTCACCAGACGGTTCTGGTCCAGATAGGGCTCTTCAGGGGCTTCAGGCCCAGGAAAGCTCAGAGCAAAAGGGAAGATGCCAGGTGGAAGGAACTGCCCTGCAGAAAGGGTCCCCAGGAGCCCTGTTAATGGGAATTTATTCAGCAGGTCAGGCAGCAATTTTCCCTGGAGACCATCCTGAAAAAAAAACTTCCCCAAGGAAGTAATTGACCGACCCTGGGAAAAAGCCGAAGAGGAGGTAGTATCATCAAAATGTCCTGGGCGGGGAGGTGTCTCTCGCTTGGGTCTCCTGCTCGGGATCGATCTACCCTTATCCCCTTTTCCAAAGCGGCGCAAACAATTACCAGCACGTTCTCAGCGCTAGGTCTAATTGGGTGAGTTTTTATTGTAGAAATGCGCCCCTGAAGATGTGAGACGCGTAGGTGGGCCCCTGCGCCTTTCCACCGGCCTCCCACTGCCCGTGCTCACAGAAGAAACTGGGTCCTTAGACCCAGGCGGGACCCACTGAAACCCCGCGTTCAGTCATTTCCCAGGGGGATGCGGCCCCCCAGTGCCAACCTTCCAAAGTTCAGGTGAGTTCACGACGCTCGGATCCTAGTGGGGTCCTCCTCGGTGTCAAGGAGCAAGAGAGGCCGTAGCAGCTGTGGGAAACAGCCACAGGGCCTGCGAGTCCAGACGGGTAGCTCCAGGCTAGTTGCACGCTTGCGGTTCCTGCCCCTTCCGTGTGCAAAGTAAGGAAGTCAGCAGGCGGCGAGCAAGCAAGACGGGCTGGCGCGCCGTCTTTCAGGAAGGTTTCCCGACCCGACCGCCGTCTTTCGGGAAGGTTTCCCGACTGGACCCTCTGTCCAGAGGAAGAAAGATTTGGCCAGGGGATCAGAATCACGGTACCTACAGGTACTGGGATCGAGACCCTACACAGGCTCCCGACGCCTCGGTCTCCCTTTCCTCTCGGGTTGCCACTCTAGTTCAGGAAGGGTCTTTGGGTCAGGGCACCGTGTTCCCAGGGGCCAGCGATCCCCGGTGTCGTGCCCTCCCTACCAGGCTCAAGCTGGCTGCTCTTGGCTAGGTCGGGACGGGGCGCCCGGCGGCCGTGGCTCAGTCCCAAGCTACACCGGCCGCGTCTTCCAGGGCGCGCGGGCGTCGCGCAGCGAGCGGTCGTGGGGCAGCGCGGCGAAGGCCGAATGGCGCAGCTGGCAACCGATGAAGAGGACGACGAGCGCCACCGAGAGCAGCAGCAGGAAGAAGAGCAGCAGGTAGGTGGGCAGGTCGGGCTTTGTGGCCGCGCCGTCCCTCATACCGCGCGCAGTGGCCAGCTCCAGCGGCAAAGCGCCTTCTGCCTTGACCGTGGCTCCTGGGGCCAGCGCGCTGCCTACCGCCGCCTCGGGGCCGCCCGTGGCGTTGAATATGTCGCCGTACATGGCCCGCGGGTCCCGCCGACCCCAGCCGGACCGCTTCACTTGGCCTGGAGCATACTGGCGCGACCCGGCGCCTCCATGGCGCGCCCCTCCCGCCCTGCCGCGCCCAACTGACCGAGAGTCGGTGCCTTGGGGCCGGCGGGGACTGCAAAGACCCCGGGACGCGTCCGCTCACTCGCCTCCGCGCTCAGCTGCTTTCCCCGCCGGCTGGCGGACCCCAGTTCTCGGAGCTGGACAGTTCTGTGCCCGCGCCCCTCGGGCTCACTGTTTCTCTCCGTCGCCACCAGGACAGAGGTCCCAGTCACTGACTCGCCTTTCGGCTTTACAACAGCCCGCTCAGCTCGGACCCTCAGCTCCAGTGAGCTCCAGGTGCTGGGCGCCTCTGGGCTGCGGCGGCGGGGAGAGGCACTCAGCAAGTGCAGCCGCAGCCCGGGGTCTCTGCTGAGCGCCCGGTGGCAGAGCGCACGGAGGGCGGGTGGCCAGGGAGTCCTCCGCGTCCTCCGGCGCCGCCGCCACCGCAGCGTCTCGGAACAGTCCTGCAGGCTCTGGTCCCTGTCGAGACGCCCAGTGTTCAGCGAGCTTGTCCCCACTCCCTCCGGCTGCTGCGCTCCTGTTTTGAGCAGGAGACTGAGCTTTCTGGCGGCTCTGAGCGCGCTCGTGTCCCGGGCGGGGGTTCGGGGGAGGGGCGGGACTGGCGGCGGCTGCCCGGGGGAGCGGCTGCGAACCAATGAGGGCAAGAGAGGACGCGGCTGCGACTGCCCCCAGCCCGGCCTCACATCACTCAGGGACAGAGGGACAGAGACAGGGACAGAGAGAGAGAGAGAAAGAGAGAAAAGCACAGGGTCACAGGAAGACTGACGGGCAAAGACACAGTTACAGACCTATGAACAGAGCCACACGCCAAACAGGGACAAACCGTTGAGGTAAGCAAACCAACTCAGAGACAAAGCTCAGCTGAGCGTGCACACCTGCGTTCATTATCCTCCTTGACAGGCTCCCTCCAGGCATGGCCTGGTTTGTTCCGAGTGCCCACTGGCTGCTGGGTAGCGCAGGCCGGGCACACCACCTCCAAGGGTGTGCAGACGCGCTCCCAGACAAGCATGTTCAAGCCAGGACTGATTCTGTGGGCCCCGTGTCCTCTCCGGCTGCGTCCTGCCGGTCTGTGTGCATCCCGCACCGTGTGCAAGAATGTTCAGCTCCCTTTTGCCTATTCTGCCTGGGCACAGAGGGGCAAAAGGAGGACATGGCGCTGGCAGTTGCCCCCCTGCCCTTGGCAGGTCTGGAAAGGCGAGGTGGCCAGGACAGAGGTGTGCAATCAGTTGGATTGAGTGGGGAGGTGTCTCCTTTCCCAGGAGTCTGAACTGCTCACTTCCTCTGCAAAGTCTTCCAGGACCCCCAGACTAGAGTGGGAACAACCACCCTGGACCACCACAGCCCCTGCACTTCTCAACAAGCACCCACCCCTCACCTCTGGCCTGTCATTTTCTTTCAGGGCCAGAATTAGGGGGAGGTGGGTGAGAAGTCTAGAGCACAATACTGAATGAGACACTCGCTCTCAGAGTCTGCAAGTGCAGGGTTGGGAGTAGGTGTCTCCTTCAGTTTTGCCCCTAGATGCCTCACCCCTCACCCTAGTCCCAGCCCTGTTGTCTGCTCATTTGTCAGAGACCCTCAAAGGGTCAACCAAGTTCACATCCATGTCTTTCTCCTCTTTTCCTCATCTCCCATTCAGGGGTGCAATACATGGGGAGAGCTTGGTGACATTGGCTGAGAGAGCCAGTAGAAAGATGAGTTAGTTATTCTCTCTTCCCACTGCACCTCATGCCTGGCCACCAGCATAACAAGAACAATCAGGGTGTGCAAGGCAGACCTTGGCCAGAGCTCATACCCACAAATCCCTGCTCAGCCCGGCAGAATCACCTCCGTGAGCTCTTTGTCGAAGTTGAAACTGTGGTTCCAAGTCCTGACTCTACAGTGTTTGCCAAATGAGGTACAAAAATGCCCTCTTGGGTGTTTTTCACTTAGTCCCATAGATGGACCTGTGGGGGTTTTAGCAGGGCTTGACAGTATTCAGCACTGCCCCATCTACCAATCACCATCCCAGACAGAGCCCCCCTTGGTCCTAGAGGGCTGCCTGGTCTGCTTCCAGGGTGCAGGATGCTGAGCCCCTCCACATGGCTGCCATCAATGCCTCATTTTCCAGATGGCAGAGTTGGCTCTGAGAGGGGCCAGGGCTTATCCGTGTTAGCACAGGACAGCCACCATGTATCAGTGATATAGCAGCAGCAGTGGCAGTGGGCCACTCAGGAGATGGGGGGAGTCCCTTTCTCTGAAGACCTGACCTGTTTCAGACAGCATTTTTCTCGGCCAGCAGCACGCTAGAGAACATTATGTGAAGCCAGAACAGGCCTCCTCACCAGGACTTTCAGCCAGGGGGAGACTCAGCTCATGAGTTGGATGGAGGGGGTTGGGATGGAGGTGACGCTCCTGCTGTCAGTAACTTCCTGGGTCCTGGGAAGGCATGAATGCGGGACTTGGGTAGCTCAGTTTGGGATTTGGCCTGGAATTTCCTCCTGGGATCTATATGGGAAGTGGCATGGCCTACCTCCCCCACTTTCTCTCAGGTCCACCATAACCCCAGGTATGAACCCAGGAGGGGGGCTTACTGACACAAGGCAGCTCATTTGGGAGGCTGTAAGTGGAATCTGGGGCAGGCCTCAGCCTTTTGGGCTATAAAATGAGGGGCAATGGTAAATAAGTGTTTTCTGGTCCTCCTCTGGAAACAGGCTGTGATTATCCAGGAAATGGTGTGGAGCAGGGTGTCTGCAAAGGGTTTGGTGTGGATGGAAGGTCTCTGCAGCTTCGCTGGTCATAGTGGCAGGACGGGGATGGTGGTGAAACAGGGATGGTAGTGGTGGTGGGCAGGGAAATCTTTGAACCTGATGTCCCCAACACTGCTCATTCCTTCCCCACAGCTGCTGCTGTTCCCATGCGGCATTTTATAGAAATGACACATGCAAGGTCTCCCACCTGTGAATGAAGAAGCTGGAGCTCGGATGTGGGAAGTGGGGCTCCAGAGTCCATGCACTTAGCCACTATAATGAACCTTCTGCCATGGCAGAATGATTCTAGTAGCTACCATTCCTGGCCCTCTTACCACAAGCTGAGCACTAGGCGGGGGCTTAGCATTCATCTTTCTCCGCACAGCAACCTGTGATAGGCACATCTATCCCCTCATTTTCTAAAGGAGAAAGCCAGAACCCCAGGAAGTGGTGTCACTTGCCAAGATCACATAGCTGGTTATGGTGTAGGGGACCCTCCAGCTGTGGTCTGTGCTTGTCCACTCAGTCTGAAGCTGCCTTTTCTAAAGAGAAACTCAACAGAGAGCATGTGGTCAAACTGCCTTCCCTTTTAGTACAGTTGGAGGAGGTGTCTTGCTTTTTGGGGGGCCCTGAAGTAGGGAGGGTACTGTTTCTTTTCTGAAAGATGTTCAGGGCCCTGAGAGGGCAGTCACGTTCCCTGCACATCCCCGGGCAGGAAATTAAACAAGGCTGGTACTGAGTAAATGCAGAGATGAAGTTTACACAGCTCTTTATACAAGCCAGAGCGACCTTCCATTAAGGGAGCTTTGTGTACCCATACATTTAAGTCTTTGGAAAAGATTATAAAAAGGGGCTTAGAGGTTGGCTTTGACAGGCAGAGGTCACAGGGGGGGACCTCAGGGCAACCTCTTTCCCATTACGTAGTTGTTGAGTGACACATGTTTCTTCCCTCCTGACCTGTCTGCGGAGAAACCAAGGGAGGCGAGGCAAGGGTGCCTTTCCTGCCAGCGAGAGCCATTTGGCAGCTGTTTAATGGAAACTTAGGAGACTGGGAGCATTAGAGCCCCAGGATTTCATAAACTGTGCTGCGCAGGCCTGTGGTGCCTGGTGGAGCTATTTCTGTTTCTTCCACACGCCAAGGGAATTATTATTAAACTACTCAGCGTCACGCAGAAGCTGGGGGTGAAGATCAAAGGTGAAAAATTGCTGTCTGAAGATTGGAGTTCAGACAATTGAAGATTGGCTGGTGTGGGTTTTCCCTGTGTGGGTGTTAGTCTGCTGGAGAATGGGATGGCCACTTCCTCTGTGAATGCTGATGATGCCCTTGCTTGCAAAACTGTTTTGTTTGTTTTTTAAATCATTGCCCCTGTTAGTGGCTTTCTGTTTGCTCGTTTTAGATGACTTTGGCAACCATAGTGGTTGGTGACTTTAAGGTTACATTTTAGAATGACCATTTTTTGTTTTTTGGAGATGGAGTCCCGCTCTGTCGCCCAGGCTAGAGTGCAGTGGCACGATCTCGGCTCACTGCAACCTTCGCCTCCCGGGTTCAAAGCAATTCTCCTGCCTCAGCCTCCCAAGTAGCCGGGATTACAGGCACCAGCCACCATACCCAGCTAATTTTTTTGTATTTTTAGTAGAGATGGGGTTTCACCATATTTGTCAGGCTGGTCTTGAACTCCTGACCTCAGGTGATTCGCCTGCCTCCGCCTCTATAAGTGCTAGGATTACAGGTGTGAGCCACCATGCCCAGCCTACAATAACCATTTTAAGAAGTAAATAGCAAGTAGCCCAAGCCCAGACTCTGGAATGAAGCAGCTTTCCTAATGAGAATAACCTGTAGGAGGCTTGGAGAATGGTCTTGCCAGGGCTTTCAAAATGGCTGCAGTTTGGTTAGTGGAGTGGGGTAACTGGAGAGACGATGGGGTGTGAGGGAGAAATGATTCTGCAAGGAGAGAGCTCTGAAAGGGCTTTGTCTCCTATCCCAGAAAGGGTGTCTCCAGTTCTGTCCCGTGGTCCTGTCAGCTTGCTGGTCTCTGGTCAGATCAGATGATGGGATGGAGTCAGTTTCAAGATTCACCAGGCTGGTGAATGTTGTGCCATTTATTTTTGAATCAGGTCTCACCACTCATTGGTTAGCACCTCAACATTTTTTTCTATGGTCCCAATGACATGTGACCTCATCTGCCTCTCCAGGTCCCTTTAGTGGTATAACCTCAAGCCAAGCAGGTTATGGCGACCCAAGGCTTGCAGGATCCTGGGATTGATAGACTGATAGTCACCCCCTGGACCCAATCATCTTGCTTTCTCTGGGAAAGGCAGAGGTTTGCATGGTGGTGAAACCACATTCCTCCTGCTGCCTGGGCTCAACTAGGTGTGTTGGATGGGGTCACGGTGGGGTCACTGCATGCTAAGGGATGAGCCATCACTCTGGCCAAGTACTGGCAAGGAGGCTAAAGCTGGGATAGAGCCAGTATATGGCCAAAGACTGGGAACAGGACTGTTGTTTGGGATCAGTTGCCAGGCTCAGGGGCCCCTGGTGGTCTGGCTAACATCCTCACGTCCCTGTCCCTAGGCTTCCAGGATAGGGTGCCTGGCCTTTGTGGTTATACTTATGGAGAGACTGGGAGCCAGAAAGAGTGCCTTAGTCCCAGAAATGGAGACAGGTAGCAAGGCAGGGAGCAGGTGTGTTTAGTCACTTCAGAGGCCCCGACTCATCTGTGGCACTGATGCAGGACTGCTTCATGAAAAGGTCTGGGACTTGGTAGTGAGGCCAGGGCAAAAGAACTCCATCAGAAAAAGTTTGATTTTGTCTAGGATTGCATTTTCTAAAATTTGGCAAGAATACTTCAAGTGGGATGCCATATTACTTTAAGTAGTGCATGGGCACAGCATTAAACATCATGAATCACACAACGACAAAGTTTCTGTCTTTTAATCTTATTTAATTATTCTGATTATGGCAAGAAGAAAAATTCAGTCTGGCTCAGTGTCATCTCAGGTCCTCCAAGAAGCACATGCAGAAGATGTATTAGGGGAAATAGCTGTGATGGGTAAAAAAGGGGCACGAAGAAGAGGCAGCAGGGAGAGCTTCAGGTCACAGTACTGCTCTGACCCCTGAGAGGAGAGAGGGAAGAAAGGATTCGGTAAGAAGAGCCTCAAGCTGAAAGTGTCTCAGTCAGGCCGTAAGGAATTCCTAAGCAAACCTCACCTGTTAGGAGCCCCCTGCCAGGTGGGACATATGAAGCTGGTGGCACTGTTGCCCTTGCTAGCCAAGCATGGAGTCGTCTTTCCTCTGCTGAGGTTGGGGCTGGTGAGCCTTTGCAAAAGGCTGTCAGATCCTAGAGGAAGGGGCGGGTGCCAGGGTTGAAGTCCCAGCAAGACTCAGCCCTCCGAGGAAGCCCCCTCTCCCAGCCTTTGGTCCCAACTAACCCTGCCTTTTTGCCCTCTCTTTAGTGGAAGAGACCCAGGCAGTCCTCACCTGATTACTGTTGGTCTTAACTGTGTGCTTCATATTCAGTCTTCCCAGGGTAAGAGTGAATGAGTGAACCTCATTCTTGGGGTTAGGCCTCTGAGTCTGGGCTGAAGTGGGAGCCCAGGGTGTCAAGCAGACCCCCCCCTTGTGGCTAGAGCTTCATGTCTGTGGTCAGCAATGTCAGGCCCACGTGTGTCCTGGGCTGTCGTCTCTGCTGGGCCTTCTCCCTCTCCTTGCCATCAATATTTCCACAGGGCTGGCTACTGCCCAGGCTCAGAGCCCCATTGCTGGACACTGAGACTATAGCAGCCTCTTGCCTTTCACTCACCTCGTGGTCCATCCTTAAGGGTGGTTCTAGGTTTTTTGGAATCTGGAACTTTTACATCTTGGGGGATCTCTCTGAGAAAGAGCAAATAATTAGGTTTTAAAGTGAATATTTATTTAGAATGAAAAATGGAATCAAAATGAATTGAAAAGTTTAAAAATCTGACAAAGATTCAAAATATGAAACAAAACAAAACAAAACTATCCAGATTGGCTTTTGGCCACAAAGGAAGGACAGGGAAGGGCCATTGGGATCTACCTTCCTAGGGTTCAGGAGCAGGCCGGTTGGGAGGTCAGGGAATGGCCCCGTTGACTTGTAACCCCTACCCATGGCTGAGGGCAGGACCAGCTAGAAAGACTTGGTCTGAGTCAGCAATAAGCTCTAGGACTGGGAACCTGCCTTCTCTCTGCATCCTCAGGAGTCAGCGGTCTGGGCCAGCCTGCGGCGGGCTGAAGCTGGGAGAGCGGGCAGCAGGAGGTGTAGGCTTTAGCTCTCTGCATTCTTAGGAGTCAGCAGTTTGGGCCAGCCCATGAAGGACTGGGGCTAGGAGAGCCGGCAACAGGTCATGCAGGCTTGAGCTCTTTGCCTGTAGATTCTGCTCCTGAGCTGGGGACCTAGGTGGGCAGCTAGAAGCCTGACTTCCCTCTCAGGGGATTACTCCTGGCCCTGCAAAGACAGGCACCCCCTCCTACTCACCCCATCCCTCCCCAAACACCAGGTCAACCCTACAAATCCAGTTCTCTAGAGAAAGCTCTTTCCTATGAGGGGCTCTGTCTTCCTGGGCACAAATCCTGAGGTTGCTTCCCAGATTAATGGGAGCCTGGGATAGGAGAGACATCCTTTGGACAACGTTCACTCTTTATGCCCATCCCTGCCCCCCACATGCACTGAAAGGGTAGGGAGGACTTCTACCCTTAATTAGGAAGAGGAAGAAAATCCAAGTTTACAAAATTCAGGCACATATTTCTTCAGGGTGTGAAATTATGTTTTCTTTTCCTCCCAAAGTTCTAAAAGAAAACCCAACTACCTGGTTTCTTTTTGATAAAACTACGAGGGATCTCCATTCTCTTGTCTGGATAAGTCCCTCGCTACAACCAAGCACCCCCTGCTTCAAACGTTGCCCTTGGCTGCTGCCTGGGCAGCTCTTATTTCTTTCCCAGTCCTCCCTCCCCCTCTGTCACTGGGCAGCAAGTCTCTCACGCAGTGTGGCAGAAGTGTCACTGGTTGCTCAGTGGACCCAGGCAGAAGGGGCTATGGATGTGGGGTTGGGGCAGAGAAAGCCCCCTGTCCAAAGAAGAGGTGCACAGTGGTCATCTAAAGTCTGTGGAAGAGGATGCCTTATGCTCTGTGAGTCCTTGATGGGGAAGAAGGGACAAATATGCACATGTCCTGATTCATGAGGAAATGTGATTATTTTTAAAAAGTTTTAAGTGAGAGAACTGAAGCTGTCCTTTAAAGTGGCATTTTAAAACCTAAATTGGAAACTACATTAGCATTGCCATTTTATGCTGAGGCAATAGAAATTCAACATGCTCCTCTCAGGCTCCCAGGTCAGACATGAGGTTGTCTCCATCCTGAAGCCTTCCTTTGGGGAGGCATATGGGGTACTCTGTACCCCAGTTCTGCTGGGGAAGGGGCTTCTCCCACCCCCTCCCACTAGGAGGCTGCTTTTGAGCTGCCTGTGGATGGGAGAAGTAGACTGGATGGCTTGGAGTCATCTGGCCCCTTCTTGGAGAAAGCCTTTAAGATGACACTCCTCCCAGAAGTGGTGCTGGGCTTCACTAGTAAGTGGATGGTCTCAACATCTTAGCTGGAACCAAACAGGGAAAACAAGAAGATACTCGAGGTTGCTCAGGGCATTTTAAGATATGAAAAGCCGCCATCCAGCCTTGGCCCTCCCACCCTTGAATTCACCCATCCAGGCGAGAAAAGCAGCCTCACCCACAGCTCCCCAATGGGAGCTGAAGGGCTGGGGACAGCAGTCCTCCAGGGACTGGTCTTGATTTCTTTTCATGGGAATTCTCTCCCAACCCCTTCAGAATTACTTGGCATGCTTTTAAAAATTCAAGTTTTGCCCCCCAACCCCAAAGATTTGAACCTAGCATTTGGAGCTGCAAATGGGCATATACATTTGGGCATGCTATTGTCAAGTATTAACCAAGGCATCCCCCTGCATTTCCTGACTCCTGTGGTCCTTCCTTGCAGCCAGACAGCAGCCAGACTGCTCAATATTAATTGCTTCAGGGAAGGGAGGACATTGCAGAACTCGGCTAACAAAAGAGTCAAATTATTGGCTTTTGAGTTTCAAAATCTTGGCCCAGGTATAGGTTTGGAACAAGACATGATGAGTAAGGGCAGCATTGTGGCTCACACACATGGTACCTTTGGGCAAATTATAAAAAGGTGCCATTTCCCTGGGCATGTTAAACTTCCCTGTTGTGCAGTGCACACACTGCTCAACTTTATATGGCAATCCTGCATAAGAGCACATTTTCCCATCTCTGAAGTTAGAAAAGAATATCCCTGATCTTGGGGCAGGGTAGAGCAGGAGGTGAGGAGAAGAGAGTTCATGGGGACACAAGGAGACCTTAGATGTGAGTAGGTCTCTGAGAGGGGGTAGAGGAGTGTTCTGCCTTGAGAGAGATGACAGAAGACCAGATAGTTCGGGGGATTGGGGTGCAGAGGGAGATGGTAAATACCTTTCTTAAGGAGCCCTAAGGAGGCAGAAGCCCTAAGATCATTCCTGCAAGCTCACCTCATACATGCCTGCAAGTTCACCTCAGTGTACATGAAGTGATGAGGGGCCACAGCAAGCTGCCTCCAGCTCCAAAATGATTTGGAGACAGAAGGGCTTCTGAGTCAGTGCTCTGAGAAGGGCATGAAAGAGGCAAGCAGGCGTTCTGAGGCTGTCTTTTTGATGGGAATGAGGTTCCATGCAGCAGCGACCCACAGGACTGACGTTTAGGAAGCAGATAGACAACAGAGGTTTGGTGGACGTCAGTGAAGGCAGAGAGGGCTGTGGGTGGGATGATTGCCTGCTTTAAGCCTGCAGAATTTATCACAGGGTCAGTAAAGTGGGTGTGGGACTCAGAACTGTGGGACTCAGAACTGAGCTGAGATTTCTACCACCTCTGAGGAATGAGGGACAGGGGGCTCCTAACAGAGACTGACTAGTAATCTTTCATTTCTTACCCACTTGAGTTTGTGGATTAAGATTTATATAAATATGTAAAGAGAACCACAAGCAAATACCTCCTAGTAATTATCTCTAGGTGGCTGGATTAAGAGTGATTTTCATTTTCTTCTTTTCTGAATGCTGAGGTTTTTGGAAATTTCTCCAGTGACCATGGTTTACTTTTGTAATGAGAATAATATTTTTAAAGAAACAGTATAAAACAAAACAGCAAAAGTAATTTACATTTTAATTTTTCTCCCCTGTCTCCTGGGCCCTCATTCCTTAAGTGCCTCATCCATCTTGCTCCCTTCAGTCCCCTCTGCAGAGGCCTGGGCACTGGATGAGAGGTGGGCTGGGGGCTGGAGGGGACCGAGGCAGTGTACTCAGTTGGGAGTCCTGGAGCCCTAGGCCTTTATTCACAATGACAGCGGCAATAACATCTCAAAGGACAATTTTCTATCCTCCCTGTGCCCACTTGAGAGACAGGAGGAAGAGAACCCTCTCATCATTTTTGGCTTCCTGGTGATGGTCTCCTCCCCGCGGTGGGAGGGTCCGGCTGGGCTCTGCTGAGCCAGAGGGAGAGTGGGCTGGGCTTGCTCGCCATCGGAGCTCCTCAAACAATGCCCTTTCCCATAATCGGCTTCTCTGGTTCCTTAGAGCCCTGGTTCAGAACCTCACTCTGAATCACAATGAAGGGAAAGGCCGGCCCGCGAGGGCCCCAGTAGGACCATTTGGAAAGAAAGGAAAAGGATAACAAACCAGCCGGGCCTCTTTAAGGGATCCCCACCTGGGAGGGGACAGGGATGAAAATAGAAACGAGCAGGCAGGAGGGGGAGGTTTAGTGGGCTGGTGGGAGAAGCCTGCTGATTATTAAAGAGTGAATTACCTGGGTCTAATTACGAATGCATAAGCAGCACATTTCCTCCTGATACAAATCGGAAGTGGCTCAGCTTCAGTCACAGAGAAATAAAAGATAAATCTCAAATGTGAGGGACCCCCCACTCAACACACACACAGACAGTGCCCTGTGTCTTTTCCTCCCTCTGCCCTTACCGCAGGTTGGTTTGGTTGGGGAGAGGAGTGGACCCCCCACCCCCACCTCCTCTTTCATTCTCTCTGGCTCTGTTTATTATCTACATTAATAAATATTAATATATAATATCTATATTAATATTAATACTATTAATATTATCTGTATTAATAAATTAATAAACGGTCTTTCTCTCTCTTTACACACACACACACACACACACACACACACTCCCTACTTGCTCAGCCTGGCTGGGGCTTTTCTTCCTGCCACCTTTGTCCACAGAACCTGCTGGCATGAAGTGGGATGAGGCCCTGTCCGCCCCACTCTGGGGCTCTAATGGCAGCGCACCCTGGAAGCCTGCTGTCCTAGGCAGGTTTTCCCCCTCAGCGCTCTGCTGTCTGACATCAGGTGAGTTCTCAGTTCTGGGGACAGAGTGGGAGCGGACCTTGCCCATGTCCCAGTTCAAGAATGACATTTCCTTACCTCCAAGAAACAGGAGACAAAATCAAGACTGGGCAATCCCTGGAGTTGGGGTTATTACCCCAAACCCTTGTTAGCATTGGCTGTCCCTTTACTATTAGTTTTTAACGTAATAACAATGCTGTTGAGTCACGGAGATGCAGCACGGGAAAGGGTGGAATTGAGCTATTCACCCCTGTTTTTTCCTTGGTGCCTTCAATGCTTTATCCTTTATCTTTCTGCATGCCCAAATCGTATTCATTTATTTTTAGAGATGTGATCTCGCCCTGTCACCCAAGCTGGAGGACAGAGGCGAGATCATAGCTTACTGCAGCCTCGAACTCAAGTGATCCTCCTGGACTCAAATGATCCTCCCGCCTCAGCCTTCCAAAGTACCAGGACTACAGGCATGAGCCACCGTACCTGGCCCCAAATCTTACATATCCTTCTAAAACTGGATCAGTCCCACCTTAGGGAAGATCAGAAAACTAGCTAGAGCACTGGCCCAGGCCTGGGGGCCAGTCCCATCTCTAGTGCCCACCAGTCAGGTGATCTGATAACCATGCCACCTGGAAAGGGGAACTCTGTGGCAAGTGTTCAAATATAGTTGGTCATCAGAGTTGCCTGGGGGCCTCTTAAAATAGAGACTCCTAGGCCCAACCCTCAACCGTTGAATCTACATTATCAATCTGTGTCAAGGGATTCTGAGGGAGGAGGTCCCAGGACTGTGTTGAGAAATACCCCACAGGGAACGTCCCTCCTACCCAGGCTGCCTGCTGTGGACAGTGCCTCTACACTTGCTGCCTAGCCTAAGTGCATTCCTCCCACTCAGTTCTGTTCATTGCCACTCATTCTATGCTCAGTCCAGTTTATGGGCCCAGGACCCCAGGAATTGAACTTCCAGTTCATGCTCTACTTAAGCTCTTTCTAGGAAAAGGGGATCTTGAATCCTGGCCTACCCACATCACTGGGCTGATGTTTTAAATAAGTGAAATAAGGGATGTGGAAGTGCTCATCATATAGCTGTAAGATTAGAAATCGAAAGGGATGTTATTGTCCATCAGGCAACGATTCACCAACTGCCTTGTGACATCGCCTCTGTATTGCCCACCACTCTTGTTAAAATCTCACAAATCTGCTTACCTGTTCCCAGGCTTGTCCCTTTTCTCTTCAGTGAAACTGCAAACTCCTGAGTTGGAGTCCACTGGATCCTTCCAGCTCATCGCACATTACGATACATGAGCTGAGGTGATGACTGAGTCGACTGGCTGTATTTAGCTTGTACAACAAAACGTGCGTCCTTCTGTAGGATGGCCAGAACTACTTTTGGGGGGTGGGGGCGGTTCCATCGGTGTCCAGACACTGGGTTTCTTTTTAAGTGGAGCAAAGCCAACCTGGGGAGGTTGGAAACCCTGACTGTGGCTTCTTAAACAACTGCTGATTTGCATTCATAGGCTTCTGTTGTTTGAGGCACCAGGCCTTATGATTCAGAAGTAAATCATTCTTTTGGGATGAATGGGTGGGATTGATTACTCTCCTGCAGATAAGCTAAAAATGGTGTGAAAAGTTCCTGGATCCTTCCTCAGCCCCTTTATTTTAGTTATTACTGGGTAACATACCACCTCGAAACTTCGTGGCCTAAAGCAACAACACTTTATTATTTCTCGTGATTTTGTGGCTAACAAAGCTCAGCTGGGAGGTTCTTCTGCTCCACATAGCTGAATCACTTATGCAGCTGCACTTAGCTGGGAGCTTGTCTAGGCTGGAAATACAAGAGGCCTCTCAACCTCCAGGGTTTCTCTCTACACAGCCTCTCAACATTCAGCATCCTAGCTGAGATTCTTTACAAGGGCTGGCTTGTTGTAAGACAAGCCACCCTGGGCATGGGCTTATCAAACCACTGCTTGTGCTATACTTGCTAATGCTCCATTGGCTAAAACAAGTCCCATGACCAAGCCTAGCATCAATGGGGGAGGGGAACACACAAGGGCCTGAGTACTGGGAAGCATGTTTCACTGGGGCCATGGGGTATAGTTCACCACAACCATATTTTCCTTTCTTTCTTGGGAAGTCACCCAAACAATTTACAGGACAGAACAGCAGCCTTACCAGGCATTTGTGTCTATTTGGGAAATGGAACATCTACCCAGTACTATGTATCTCCACTGGGAACCAGTGCTACTGGCCCTGCCATTTCCTGTGTTTGGCGGCCTGTGCTGTGACTTGGGGGAGGTCACACAGACCCAGACTCCTCTGCTCTGTGTCAGTGGTGGTCTATGTCCCTGGGTGACCTCAGCTCGGGAAGAGGAGACCCCGAGGCCTGGCAGGAGGGCAGTTTCTCTGATTTTCCCTTGGGAGTAGAGTAGCTTCCTGCAGATGCTGCCTCTTGCATATGGGTTTCTGATGGTGGCCTCTGTGAGGCCTGTGGGAGGCCCTGCACATCCCTGATGATGAAGACACCGACATCTCCTTCACATCTCTTTGGGTTGCCTCTAAGTCTTTGCCACAAAGTGGACCCATGTGGGAGCAAGTATGGGGCCCTCTACCTCACTCCTCTTCTTTCCTTGTGTCTGTGTGCCTAGGCACTTCTGCCCAGGTTCCATTCTCACCTCCAAATCCCCCTCCTTGTCTTTGCCTATGTGGTGGAGCACAAAGGATGACCAGAAACACCCCGTGGGTGGTCTTAGGGCACATTTTTAGTCTCTTTAGAGTTACCCGGGTGTCTGAGCCGTGACCTCGTGGGTGGGTGCACACGGGCTGTGTGGGAAGTGACAGTTCCCTTGATTTCCTCATATATCTGTGTTCTTGTCTCACACCCTTAGATCCCTGTTTCAGAAAGTATCCCTTATGTTTCACCTTGGGTTGAGTCTTTCATGTCATATGTATGCAGGGGGAGTACAGACTGGAAGGTCTTCAAGAATCAGGAAAATGCTGTTTTTACCCTTTGGGAGAAAGATTGAAAATCTGTCCAGAGTGACTAGAATACTGATCCATACCATCCTCTTCCTGCAGCCTCAGCACAATGAAAACAGCTCACCTCTGAGCTGGGGCTTGGGGACATTAGGCTCAGAAGTCCCAGGACACAGCAAAAACATCTGTGTTCTTTGAAGGAAAAATATCATGAGAAGACACCCTAATGGCTTTTGCTGAAGCACAGAATACACATTCTGTTCACGCTGGTGGTGACAGACAGTGATCATGCTGCAAGCATCTTTATGTAATGATGAGTCTACAAGGCAGCCTCGGCTCTCAGATCGAATCTTCACCTTCACCAGGGCTTAACTGGCTCTGGGGGCAGCTAATAGATTTCTGCAGGTTAGGAAGGCACCAATGGCTCTATTTTGCTGGAGTGCCCATTCTGCGATTGATTGGAGTTGAGCGTGATACTCTGGGGCTGTGTTCCGTTCTATCACTGAGATGATCCAAAGTCACTTCCTCTCTCTCAGTGACTGACCCTGCTCAGGTCTGGGGCAGTCGCTGCTCCCTGCCGGCATCAGTGGTCCAGAAATCCTGAGTCAGTTGTACGGCCACTGGGGCTCATGCTGCTCTCAATGATCTATGCTCATGGGAAGCAGTGGAAGTCCCCAAGACCAATATCAAGTCCTATTTACATAACTTGAATAGTCCACTTCACCATACTCTACCTACAGAATAAGGCTCTATATTTCCTATGTATAGCAGCATCCTCACCAGCCAGAAGCTGGACCTGCCCACAGTGTCTACTGGTTATTTCTGGAGTCTCCGAGGGGTGACCCCACAAACAAGGTTGGTAATGGTGGTCACCATGCTGGCTGCCTTGTCGCCCTCTCTGCTTTGCTCCCCCTTCACCTTTCTGCTTCCTGCTGCCTCCATAGATGTTGAGAGATGTCTCACTGGGATCGCTGTCCCTACAGAAATGCCCAACGTGCCAATTCAAGGTCTTCCCAAAGCTGGTGGCTGGGCAGAGCAGAAAGACTTCTC